>NC_000004.12:12447916-13072916 GCF_000001405.40 Homo sapiens
TAGATAGTCTGGCACTAAATCAGCTATTCGTAATATATAACTAGAAACACTTGGTTGGTGATCTCCTGAAGTTTATACAAGAAGAAATCATGTTATATTCGTAAGTGCCTTCTCCCAACCCCCGGGGGGAGAACCAGCAATTTTCCAGTGAAATTCCATGAAGGTTGAGATTTTTTTCTATGTCATTTTCGGGTTAATTCCCAGTACCTGGATAAGTATCAGATACATAAGAGACACTCAATAAGTATTTGCCGAACTGATGAATTATGTCCTTGAACATTTGCATTTGGATCTTCTATTCCAAGCCAAAAGAAAAAAAGAAAAGTGAAGAAAGAACTCTTTATTCTTACTATAAAGAATCATAATCAAAGCTGAGGATGTAACTTATCCATCACTCTTTCTCCAGGGCCTGAAACGGCACATAAAAGAGGCTGAATAAGTATGTTTTACATAAGTCAGTAGTTATCAATAGACATTTTGTATTGGAACAACAAAAACAATATCATTAAATGTCACTGTTAAAATAATCCAACTCAACATTTCTTGCAGAGAATAAAAGTTCTTCTTGTGCCTCTCTTGGTCTTACTTCTCTGCCTCTTCACAGGGCTACTTCCCATAGTCCCAGCCCTACAAGGTCCAGCACACCACCCTCTGCTTTTCCAATTATACAAACTTTATCTCAACAATTTCATTTAGACATTTTTTTTCTGATTACCATTTGCAGTAGTAACTTTCAAATTTCATCCTCAAACTCATCCTCCTCACAACCTTCATCATGTAATATTCAATGAGTGCTAGAGTTTTCTACCAGGATAGCTTCCAAATGGCTTTTAAAATGTATAAATCAGAGCTCATTGTCTTCTTTCCTAACTCTTCTCCCTCTGCTCAATTTTGTATCTGAGCAGATGTCACCAGCATTCACCCAGCAGATACATCAGCACCCTCTGCAGTCTCCTGTTTACCCTCTCTCCTTAAATTCTGCTCTTCTCCTCCCTTAAATAATGTTGTTTCTCAAGTGCTCATGTCTGGCTCTCTTTTTCTCTTATTGTGTAAATTTAAGTAAAATAAAAGTACTAAGAGGTTGTAGGATATAATGAAAAGTTAAAAGAATTAAACTGATCTTTAAAGATTTAATAACAGATAAGTCTCATGCCTATAATCTGAGCACTTTGGAAGGTCAAGGCAGGAGGATCGCTTGAGACCAGGACTTTGAGACCTGCCTGGGTACCATGGCAAAATCCCTGGCTCTACCAACAATAATAATAAAAATAAATACCCAAGCATGATGGTGCATGCCTGTGGTCCCAGCTACTTGGGCGGCTGCAGTGAGAGGATCACTTGGACACAAAAGTTCCAAGCTGTAGTGCGCCATGATGGTTCCAATGCATGCTAGCCTGGGTGACAGATCGAGACCCTGTCTCGAAGAAAATAAAAACTGAATAACATCTATAACCTTGAATAACAATACACGAGAAAAAGCTGCCCAAATGCAATAAAGGTCAAAAAGACACTTGTTAAAAAAGATGTTGATAATGACAAATCTATGAAATAAAGTTAGCAACAAAATAAAACAAAACAAAAAACTTTCAAAAGTAGGTGTAATACATAAAGGGCAAATCCAATGCTCACATATTTAACAACTAGAACAGGAGACACAGACTGGCCAGAGGAGCAGCCCCTACTCTGTTCTACAACAGGGAAATGTGGACGGGGTGGTTTCAGGAAATCTTATAGCAGTTTCTTAGAAAGATTTGACTACTATCCATCTTTGCCTTCCGGGAAAAAGCAAAGGCTCCAACAACTTGTGTAGTCTCACAATACTGCCAAATAAGCTGTCACACTCTGTAACACAAGAAAGCTTCTGTTAGTGCAGAAATCAGCTCTGGCTCCAGCATAACTCAAATCTTTTGAAAATAGATGGTACTGTGAGAACCAGTTTCATTCAAAGATGATCCATTGTCAAAAAGGAAGTAGCACAGGGTGGGTGCAGTCGTTCACACCTTCAATTTCAGCACTTTTAAGAGTCCAAGGTCGGAGAAATACTTGAGGCCAGGAGTTCAAGATCAGACTGCTGGGCAATATAGCGTGACACTATCTCTACAAAAATACTTAAAAATTAGACAGCTGTGGTGGTGTGTGCCTGTGGTCCCAGCCACTCAGGAGGCTGAGGCAGGAGGATCGCTTGAGCCCAAGAGTTTGATGCTGCAGTGACGTATGATTGCATCATTGCACTCCATCCTGGGCCACAGAGTGAGACTCTGTCTCTCAAAATAAAAAGGAAGCAGCCCTGGATGCATGGATTCATACAAAGATACTATAAGAAATAAGAAAAAAAGGAATGGAAACATGTGAAAGATGACTAAGCCTCACCAGAAAAATATTACCACAGAAAAGATGTAAAGTACGAGCAAACATAAGCCATAAATAAAATTTTAAAAATACTGCTAAAAAAAGTGCACTGGTAAGATATGTCAAGTTAACTAAAAGAGATGAAACATGAGCTGGCAGAACTTGGGAAGTAAATGGAAAGGAAAAAGAAAGAACATCATCTACAAAATCACGTCTGCATTGGAAGCAGCATAAAAGAAAATAGAAGCTGTTCAAGATACATTAAGGCCATGAAAGACTGGAGTGAGAAAAAAAAATGAAAGAAAAATGATCAAAGCATTTTAAAAAATGCTGATGGCAGCTATGTAACATAGGAAAGAAAAAAGGGCTTCACATATAATAGGTAGCTCCAAAAATAAAAGGAGATGCTGAACAGTTAAAGTTACTAGTCTGCTATGATAAAGATTACACTGTGCATCTAGGCAAAATGATTAAATCATCCACATGCAAAAAATATCAGGCTAGATTCAAAATGATTCACGGCAACATTCAAGGATAGAAGACTGTGAAGGATGTGAGCATAACATCCTCAAGGAAACAAGATGTTTAGCCCCACCAAAGTTTATTCTAACTATAAAGTCAGTGTTCATCCACTTGTTTAGAAACTATTTATTGAGTGCTTATTATTTTCAAGCATTATTGGTACAGAGGATACAACAGCAACAACAACCATAACAAGCAGACACATATCTCTGCTCTCATTCTACATATATATATATACATGTAGTTTTCTCTGTCACTCAGTGTCTTTCTCTGTCACTCAGGCTGAAGTCCAGTGGTGTGATCTTGGCTCACTGCAGCCTCCACCTCCTAGGTTGAAGTGATTCTCCTGCCTCAGCCTCTTGAGTAGCTGGGAATACAGGTATGTGCCATCATGCCTGGCTAATTTTTGTATTTTTTAGTAGAGACCTGGTTTCACCATGTTGGCCAAGCTCGTCTCAAACTTCTGAACTCTGATCCACCTGCCTTGGCCTCCCAAAATTTTGGGATTACAGGCATGAGCCACTGCACCTGGCCCATTCTACTTATATTCTAATTAGAGTGCAAAAAGAGCAATGAATGAGATAAAGAGTAAAATACGTAGTGTGTAAAGAGATGATCATTGATTACTCAAAGGAAAAATAAAACCTAGAAAGTCAACAGGGATTGTCGAAAGCATTATCACTTTAGAGAGGATGACCACAGAAGGCTTGAATGAGAGGGGACATTTGAGTAAACATTTTAGTGAGTAAAGAAGTAAGCCTTGCAGTCATCCAGAGAAAGGGCATTCTAAGCATTGAGATAGCTAGGACTAAGGCCTTGAGGCAGGAGTGTGCTGGGAGCCAGGAATGCTAAGTGGTAAAGAATGGGGTCAGAATGGCTGGAACAGTGAGGAGGAGGCAATGAGAATGTCATGAGGTGAGGAAGGTAATGTGAAAAGGAGTGTTGAGTGTTTTAAGGATGTTGGCTTGTACTCTGAAGTGAACAGATTTGGGATTGGGTAGGGAAAAGATCAGAATCCCACTTCAGAACTTGTGCAGTTTGGGAGACCTACCAAAAATCCAGGTAGAGAAGCTAAATAGGTTGTTGTACATATAATAAAACATTTTTAGCATAAAAAGAATCACATATGTTATAAAAGTCTTTATTTTAAAAGTACTAGGGGGACACACTTCAGAAAACCTAAACATGAATAGAAAATCTTTCTGGAAGGGAATAATGGTGAATATTGAATTCATATATCTATAGGGACAAGATTAAGACACTTGAAATACAGGATACTTACCTGAAAAAATTGAAATGTTATTAACATAAAAATGTTGATATGGTGGTAAATAGCAAAGGAAGGAAAGGAAGATTGTAAGAAGTAGTTTAAGAAGACTTAGTTCCTGATTTACTGTAACCAAGCCTTCAAACTTATATAATTTAAAGTAGATAAATTTAGTTATAGGGATGCAATTTATATATAAAGTTATAATGTTAGATATTAAGAAAAATCCATCATTTTACTAAGAAAAAACAACCAATTTATGCCACATATCATCAGTGTCCCATCCACTTCTTTTCAGTCTTTCAACTACAGTGCATGTCAGCACAAGTTACAACTCACAGCTCTTGATAATTGTTTTGCATGAGGGCCTTCTGTTGCGAGGAAATCATTCTGCCCATACAAATATCAACCATTAGCGCCAGGGAATGAAAATATCTTCAGATCAGCCCTCAAGCTATTGTACTACAGCTTCGCTCAGCAAAGGCTTTGAAAGTTACTATGAGGGAAATCCTACTGGGCAGAGCTACAATCATTAAACCTCTAGTCATCAACTTGATCCACAGAGAAAAGTAGCCTGAGTAAAGAATGTGCATGGAATCCCTGGACAGTGACAAATGGCTTGTCTTGGAAAGAGCAGGATTGTAAGATTGAAGAAAATGACGTTAGAACAAGAGACCTAAGGCTAGATCTACAATGGTGAACAGACAAAACATGTAGATATTTGGGTTCCCCACATCACCCATCTAAAAGCAGCCAGGGTAGTGAAAGCACTGAATAGTCAAGAAGAGAGTTGGCCTGGTCCAGTAGAAGTAAGCCAGCACTCTGGGCTCCAGGTCACCAAAACTAACTTAGTTACTGCTGCTACTGAATGTCCAAACTGAAGAGGCAACAAAGGACACTGAGCCTATGATATGGCATCATTTTGTTAAGAAAACTAATGAGTCACTGGGAAGCAAGTTGATTTCACGATGTTCCTTTTACCTGGAGGAGGCCTCTTTTGTAATTACTGGAATTGGGATTATACTGGGAGTGGATTTGTATTCCCTGCTCTGAGTGTTTTTGGACAGTATGGTTATCCAGAGGGTCACTAAGCATGCAGTTTATGCCATGAGATTTTGCATAATATTATCTTAGACCAAGTGTCTTTGTTTGCTTTGCATTTCTATAAAGTAATACCTGAGGCTGGGTAATTTATAAAGAAGAGGTTTATTTGGCTCATGGTTCTACAGACTGTAAAGGAAGCATGGTACCAGGATCTGCTTCTGGTGAGGACCTCAGGAAGTTTTCAATCATGGCAGAAGGGGAAGGGGAGCCAGTATGCCACATGAGAGTGGGAGCAAGAGACAGAAAGAGAAGGGATGCCATGCTCTTTTAAACAACCAGCTACCTGGTGAAGTAAGAGAATGAGAACTCACTCATCACTTCAAAGACAGCACCTAGCCATTCATAAGAAATCCACTCCCATGATCCAAACACCTCCTACTAGGGACACCTCCAACATTGAAGATCATATTTGAACATAAGATTTGGAGGGGACAAATATCTGAACTGTATCACCAAGGGGCTCAATTAAAGCAGCAAGGAGATGTGACAATTGGCACATGAGCATGGGATACACTGGTTCTCCCATGTACTCCATCATATACATGCTGTCATCTATCTAGAATTTTGGGATGGGATCTTCAAAATGCAGCTAAGATGCCAGGTTAGGTATGGCATTCTTTGAGTCTGAAGTGATGTCCTTCCATATTTGATGTATACTTTAACCAATAGCCATCATATGGTGTTGTCTGTGCAGGAGATGAATAAGCTTGAGAATACAAAAGTTAGCAATAGGATAATTACTCATTATCACTTTTAGTGAAACTTGGGGTGTGGGGATGTATCCTTCCTATGCCTATAGCTCTGGGTTTTGCTAAACTAGAAGTCTGGTTTCAGAGCTGGGGGATGCTGTTACCAGGAATGAAGTAGGAATTATTCTACATTTCTCACCATAGGCTTTTCATGCCAGTAGACTAGGAGTCAAAGAAAAGAATGATTGTAATTGGTGGTGTAAAAGACCCCAATAATCATAACAAGATAGTTTGGCTGATACATAGTGGTGATAGGGAGTAGTAAGTATGAAATTCAAGAAATTTTAGGGGGATAATTTTATGCCTCTGTATCCCTTAATAACTGTAAATGGCTGGCAGAAATGCTGATGGGGTAATCTAGAGTGTGTAGCAGAGGAAGGAGGTGATTTGTACCTATTAAGCTACTAGGACCAGCTCTGGCAGTGGGGACTAGAGCTTGTCCTTTTGCAAGTTTTCCTTTTTTTAAGATATTGAAATAGGCCATTGTCTCAAATAACTGCTTGCAGGATTTTCATATACAGCATGGGTGGGTCTGAGTGGTATAAGAGAATTACCGTGAGTACCCTGCCCATTTTAGGGTAGAACAGCTTGAATTCAAAATTCTAGCACCCGCATTTCTTTGTCATAGGCTTTCTCTGCCATTGATTTCACATTTTGTGACTGTGAAAAAGGCCAAAATTGCAGGGGAATTAATGCCTCAGAAAGCAGCCGTCGATAAATTCCTAGCGTGGGTTGGTGTATCATCAATCACCCCAGCTCCCTCACCTCCACCTGAGACGATTCTGTGGATTTGTGTGTGTGTGTGTTTTGTGCTGGACCCAGAGTTTCCCAGAAGGATTTCACTGCAGTCTTCTATGGAGGGACCTTGCTTGATGAGGCCACGTTATTGGTTTCTTCTTTTCCTACTTCCCTACTATTACTTCCCCAATAAAGGACTTATACTCTGACATTCGACTGTTTGTCTCAACGTCTGCTTTTGGAAGAACCTAAGCAAAGACACCACTGTCACAACTGTATACTTGCTCGTAGTATTTTACACTTGCTGTCTAGATCAATAGAATAGCAAGTGTTATATAAAATAGCCAGTATGTTATATAAAGTCTTAGTTATAAAGCAACAATAAGAAAAGTCATTAGTGGAACATAATTCTAAATTATCTAGGAACATACACACAAATACCAAAGAAATATGCTTCACATAGTAAAGAATTTTTAAAGAAACAGTAAAAGCAGAAAGCATCGCATAAAACATGAGACAGAATTAAGACCAAATGTATATTTTATATCAATAAATTAAAATCGCCTATTTAGGTACAAAAATATCAGATTGGATTACAAAGCAAAAATATCTATAACGGTAAATTGACTCAGGGAGGTTGAAAAATAGAAATGTGGGTAATTTTCTACAGAGAAAATGTAGACAAAGGATGTGCTAAAATGCTAAGGTAATTCGAGAGCATGTTAAGAAAATAAGAATCATTTATAGATAAAGCTTATAAATTTAAATAGAGATCAAGTGGTTTTAAATGTGTGTGTGTGTGTGTGTGTGTGTGTGTGTGTGTGTAGCTAAGAATATATAATCAATACTAATATAGGAAAACTAAAATTTTACAGGGAAAATAGATAAAAATAAATTATTATAAAAACCGAATTCACTTTTCTCAATGCTTGACATAGAAGCATGTAAGGAACAACATAAAAAATCTACCCCTTGTTTGGTATACTTGATGTCTTTGAATTCCAATCCCTGAAAAGACAGACAATCTTTCTTTCAAGATTCAAGGTGTGAAGTTACATGTGTATGATGTCCCATATATAAGTAAAAATAAAACAAAATCCACAATAAATAAAAACTACAAATGCTTTAAAAAAGGTAAGAATGTGGGAGGATCATAAATAAATTCTTATGAATAACACATCTTTAACAATAATAAAAACCAGAAGTCATCAAATGTTTAAAAATGACAATATGGAAAGTATAAACTAAAAATTTACTTCAACATGAAAAATAAAATAAGAGTTCAAACAAAAGGCATATGTCATGAGCGAAACTCATAGTTTCTTAGTATAATAGTTAATAAAAATTAATACTAACAGCTCATGAAAATAATCAGCAAAATACACATTTCACAGAAAACACAGCTGGGCATAAGACTTAAAAGTAGGATTAATCTCACTCATGAGTGAAATGCAAAACAGGGCTACAATAATACATCACTTTTCATCTACCAGATTGAGGAAGAGCAAAAAGTGTGAAAACACAGTATAATTACAAGTAGAAAAGGGTTGAGTATATCCCCTGTCACTGATTAGAGGATAAGCTGTTACATTCTCAACTAGAGAACAAAATGACAACACATATCGAATGGGCATTCTTTCCGACCCAGAAGTTCTTTTTTTTTTTTTTTTTTTAGCAATGTAATCTACAGTTGGACTCATGTATAATTTTTAAAAAGGGTTCAAAAAGGAGACTTATTGCAACTTTCACCCCTGACAATAAAGGATTAGAAAATATAATAGTCACTGTTTGGGTGATGGGTACACTGGAAGCCCAGATGCCACCAATACACAACGTAGCCAAGTAGCACCTGCACATGTGACCCCACCAACACTCTATTTAAAAAAAAAGAATATTATTAACTGTATTATGTTACATTCACATAATGGTATACTCTTAATTATAATGAATTAGAAATCTCCAATTGTTATGAAGTGAAAACAGAAGTAGCAGATCAGGGTAAAATATTCTACCCTTAAAAAAACAAATGTTTATTTATTCAGGTATTCAAAAATATGTATGGACATATACTTATTCTAGGTTCTGGGGATATCATGGTAAGTAAGACAAACTTCACATTAAGTTCATAGTCTAGGGAAAGGCATGACAAGCAATTGAAAGAAAAAAAGAAAAAATTGAGTGTAAGAGATGAGGAATAAAGGGGACTATTTTAAATAGAGTGATCATAGATATCCACTAAGAAGAAGTTACTTCAGGAGATTCACCAATGAACTGGAGGAGTTGATCATGTGAGTAGCTGGATTGATACCTGTAAATATAAAAGGAAAAAGAACTAACAACTTCTCTTGCAACATCTGGTAGCAGTGTGACTTCGGGCTGGTTAACTAGCCTTTCTAAGCCTTGTTTTCTACACTCATAGCACAGAAAAGGCCATATCTCTCACGATTGGATATGATAAAAACTGAAACAACTCTCTTAGGGCAACGATGGATTTTTATAGGCTCATGTATTCCAAGCCACAGAGTATCAGATGAAACCAGCTTTGCAGACAACCTGAGTCAGTGACCAAAAGGCCTTTAGGACTGTCAGACTACATCTCTTATCATTGCTTCTCTCTGCATGTGGGCTGCACATCTCTGATTTTTAGACAAACTTTTTCTAAACTAGGGGACTGGAAGTCCAGATAAGCAGCTAGCATCTTCAGTGTTCACATCTCTCACCTTACCAAGCAATAGTCACTCTTCTATTAGTTGTATCTTAAAAATCCTAGGGAAGATTTCTGGCCCAATTTGTCTTACCTCCCCACTCCTCATGGTGAGCAGTGTGCAATAATGTACAATTTACTCTAGAGCTATTAAGTTGAAGTAGGGGCTGAAGGAATTTACCAAAAGTAGGGATACCCTTCTGAAATGAAAGGAGGCTTGCTTAGCAGAAGAAACAATAGCTGATCATTGCAGGAGGGTTATGAGGACCCATTGGTACAGTTTGTATGGACCATCAATCAAGGGTACTAGATCTTGCAGGCAGCATGTAGCACAGGTATGTCCATATCACTCTGGGATCACCAGGGCAGAGAGTGCCAGTGATCAAGAATTATTTTTCTGTTAGTTTAGACCCACCCACCATATATTTTTCAGTGCAGTACTGTGTAGCCACTGCTATGTGATGTGAGTTATAAGCAATAAGACCTGATTGATCTCTTTACATTAGATAACTATGAGCTCCTCTTCTTTGTTGTTTTATTTATTTTTTAATTTTTGAGGCATAGGATAGATTAACATGATTCTTTGTAAAAATTATAAAAATCTCAAAATACTAGCAGACAGAGGATATTCAAAACTATGCTTCTATTAACTAAACTTTCACATTCACTTCATATTGTTTACCTGCCTATTTTTCCTGCTGCCCCACACCAAAATTGCCATGAACTCATTAGCTAAGGATGTGGTGATCCGTAGCCTTCTCTCCCTAGTTAGTTCCTTTTGTATCTGCTCTTCTTTAGGTAAGAGTATTAAATAGAATTTACCCCTCAATGGCTTTCTTAATAGGACCCCAAATTCCCATGACATATACTATCCTCAGCTATTTACTGAAATACTTATAATTTCCTCTACCTTCTTAACACTAATGTAGAGAAGATATCAGAGCTACCTTTGCTTCTAATTAAATTTTCTTTTTAAGTCCCATTTAAACCCTACTCTTTTTTCTTCCCCTCTAATGTCTAACTTTCTGATTTTTATGTACTTATGTATTTTTGTTTATCTTGTTAATAGCATCGTTTAGAATTGAAAAAAGCTTAAAGCTTGGGTCCAGAATCAGAAACCAAGTATTCTCCTCTTTAAGGTACAAGTTTCTCCTAAGGATATGAGAAAAATGACCATGAAAATCTCTTCTAATTATAGACTCTCTTTATTTCTGCTATTTTTGTTTCTAACTCATTGATTTATCCCTCTCAGTAGAAAGGGGAAAGTAGATGGTCCTGAGATATACCTGGTTTCATTCATTAGCTGTGTGAGCCGGAACAATTAGCCATTCACTGAGAAATAAGTTGGTTTTCTCAGCTGTACTGGGGTGGTGACAGTAGAACCTATCTGGATCAGGTAGGAACCTCAAGAGAAAATCCAGCATGAATCAGCTTAAGCCTAAAAAGTGACTAATGTTAGCTTAGGTGAATCAAATGGTCAGAGCTAGGGAAAGCTGCAGGCGTGGCTTGACTTAGGAATTAGTGTTGGCAAGAAGGCTCAGCTGCTCTCCATCTCTCAGCTCTATTGTGGATCCACTAACAGTCTCTACTAGCTGTAGGCTCTACCTGCACAAGTACAAAATAACTGTCCAAATTAAAAATCTCCTGCACACCCCAGGGTTCAAATCCAGCAGCTACAGATCTTTTCTCCTCCAGAGATAAACCAAAAAATGGGAACCTAACTCTCATTGATTTGCATTGGGTCACTCCTTATCCAGCCATTGTACTGGAGATAGGAAATATACTAATTAGCTTATCTACAATTCTCCAGTGCTCCTGGTAAGTTGGCCTTACCAAGAGACAGGACTAGCTGGATTTCCTACGCCGACTAAGAATCCCTAAGCCTAGCTGGGAAGGTGACCACATCCACCTTTAAACAGTGGGCTTGCAACTTAGCTCACACCCAACCAATCAGAGAGCTCACAAAAATGCTAATTAGGCAAAAACAGGAGGTAAAGAAATAGCAAATCATCTATTGCCTGAGAGCACAGTGGGAGGGATAAGTATCGGGATATAAACCCAGGCATTTGAGACAGCAACAGCAACCCCCTTTGGGTCCCTTCCCTTTGTATGGAAGCTCTGTTTTCACTCTATTAAATCTTGCAATTGCACTCTTCTGGTCCATGTTTGTTATGGCTGGAGCTGAGCTTTCACTTGCGTCCACCACTGCTGTTTGCCACCATCACAGACCCGCCGCAGACTTCCATCCCTGCGGATCCGGCAGGGTGTCCTCTGTGCTTCTGATCCAGCAAGGCACCCACTGCCACTCCCGATTGGGCTAAAGGCTCACCATTGTTCCTGCACAGCTAAGTGCCTGGGTTCGTCCTAATCGAGCTGAACACTAGTCACTGGGTTCCACAGTTCTCTTCCATGACCCATGACTTCTAATAGAGCTATAACACTCAAGATTCTATTCCTTGGAATCCGTGAGGCCAAGAACCCCAGGTCAGGGAACACGAGGCTTACCACCATCTTGGAAGTGGCCTGCCGCCATTTTGGAAGTGGCCCACCACCATCTTGGAAGTGGCCCACCACCATCTTGGGAGCTCTGGGAGCAAGGCCCCCCAGTAACACTACCTGCAGCCTATGCCTCTCTATCAGTAACAGCTAAGAGCAAGTCAATGAGTTTTGTGTGTAAGTTCTAGATAAGGCCACCCCTCTCCAGTCTTATTTCCTCAAGGCAGGAGTCATTAAAAACAAACAAAACAAAACAAAACAAAAAAAAACCCCTCAGAATCCTATAACTATTTAGATAATGCAAAGTTTCTCCAGCCTCCATGTTACCTTTGAGAATAACTTTGAATGGAGAATACCAAACTCTGAGCATTCCTGGAAAGACCCCACAACTTCCTCCACAAATCACAGGCTCAAGCTAAAATCTGCCCTGATATAATTATTTAATCCTATTACCTCTCTTGGATCCACTGAGAACCTTTCTCACTCTTTATCCATTGAAATGATCCTTGTAAACATCCAGGATGTTGATGTTGCTGTGTTACTAAATCCAAAGTTCTATTCTCAGGCCTCCTGCTGACCTCTGAGCGCCATTAGAAATAGTTGACACCTCCCTTTTCCTTGATAGGCTCTCTTCACTTGGTGTTCAGGAGGTCACACTCTTCTGGTTTGTATCCTACCTCCCTGATTATTGTTTTCCAGTCTCTTGTGCTGGATCTTCTCCTTTACCTTGACCTCCTGGTGTTGTCATGCCTCGACTGTAATTTTCCATTACCTACCCAAATCCTATAAAACGGCCCCACCCCATCTCCCTTCACTGAATCTCTTTTCAGACTCAGCCCACCTGCACCCAGGTGATTAAAAAGTTTTAGTGCTCACAGGAGAAGGGCAGGAACCCAGGAGACAGAGCTTGCAGTGAGCTGAGATGGCACCACTGCACTCCAGCCTGGGTGACAGAGCAAGACTCCATCTCAAAAAAAAACTTTAGTGCTCACAAAAAGCCTATTTGGTGGTCTCTTCACACTGACACACATGAAACATTTACTAAGTGAATATATCCAAACTAATATCATTATTTTAATTATATTAATTTAGCCGCCACAGAGCACAGGGCTCTGAGATCATCCATTTTCCTTTCCATAAATTACTATGGGAAAGGAAGCCACCACATCACACCTCCAATGTTCAATGCCCCTTTCCTGTTTAGATTTTTCTCCAGAGCATTTTTACCTCTGATCTTCTCTACATTTCACTGATGTATTTGTCTGTTTGTACATCTATCAGTGCAGTGATTTTCCTGTCTTGTTTTAAGCTGTATCTTAAGTACCTATAAAAATGCCTAGCATATCAGATAAAGCTCCATATATTTTGTTGAATGAATCAATTAATGAATCAACAAATTAATGAATGAGTTGTTCATTTAATCATCCAGGGTCTCCCTCTACAGTTAATGGTGAAGGTAGATAAGAGTGATTTTTTTCTCCACAGTAAATTTAAGATATTGGGAGCGTGAGCGATGCAGAACATGGGTGATTTCTGCATTTCCAACTGAGGTACCGGGTTCATCTCACTGGGGAGTGCCAGACAGCGGGTGCAGGACAGTGGGTGCAGCACACTGTGCGTGAGCCGAAGCAGGGCGAGGAATCACCTCACCTGGGAAGGGCAAGGGGTCAGGGAATTCCCTTTCCTAGTCAAAGAAAGGGGAGACTGACAGATGCCACCTGGAAAATCGGGTCACTCCCACCCTGATACTGTGCTTTTCCAACGGGCTTAACAAACGGCACACCAGGAGATTATATCTCACACCTGGCTTAGAGGGTCCTACAACCATGGAGCCTCACTCATTGCTAGCACAGCAGTCTGAGATCAAACTGCAAGGTGGCAGCCAGGCTGGGGGAGGGGCACCCACAACTGCCCAGGCTTGAGTAGGTAAACAAAGTGGCCAGGAAGCTCAAACTCGGTGAAGCCCAACACAGATCAAAGAGGCCTGCCTGCCTCTGTAGGCCCCAACTCTGGGGGCAGGGCACAGACAAACAAAAGACAGCAATAACCTCTGCAGACTTAAATGTCCCTGTCTGACAGCTTTGAAGAGAGTAGTGGTTCTCCCAGCACGCAGCTGGAGATCTGAGAACGGGCAGACTGCCTCCTCAAGTGGGTCCCTGACCCCCGAGCAGCCTAACTGGGAGGCACCCCCCAGTAGGGGCGGACTGACACCTCACATGGCCGGGTACTCCTCTGAGACAAAACTTCCAGAGGAACGATCAGGCAGCAGCATTTGCGGTTCAACAATATCCGCTGTTCTGCAGCCACCGCTGCTGATATCCACGCTAACAGGGTCTGGAGTGGACCTCCAGCAAACTCCAACAGACCTGCAGCTGAGGGTCCTGACTGTTAGAAGGAAAACTAACAAAGAGAAAGGACATCCACACCAAAAACCCATCTGTACATCACCATCATCAAAGACCAAAGGTAGATAAAACCACAAAGACGGGGAAAAAAACAGAGCAGAAAAACTGAAAACTCCAAAAATCAGAGCACTTCTCCTCTTCCAAAGGAATGCAGCTCCTCACCAGCAATAGAACAAAGCTGGATGGAGAATGACTTTGACGAGTTGAGAGAAGAAGGCTTCAGAAGATCAAACTACTCCGAGCTAAAGGAGGAAGTTCAAACCAATGGCAAAGAAGTTAAAAACTTTGAAAAAAAAATTAGACAAATAGATAACTAGAATAACCAATGCAGAGAAGGCCTTAAAGGACGTGATGGAGCTGAAAACCACGGCACGAGAACTATGTGATGAATGCACAAGCCTCAGCAACCGATGTGATCAACTGGAAGAAAGGGTATCAGCGATGGAAGACAAAATGAATGAAATGAAGCATGAAGAGAAGTTTAGAGAAAAAAGAATAAAAAGAAACAAACAAAGTCTCCAAGAAATATGGGACTATGTGAAAAGACCAAATCTATGTCTGATTGGTGTACCTGCAAGTGATGGCGAGAAAGGAATCAAGTTGGAAAACACTCTGCAGGATGTTATCCAGGAGAACTTCCCCAATCTAGCAAGGCAGGCCAACATTCAGATTCAGGAAATACAGAGAACGCCACAAAGATACTCCTCAAGAAGAGCAACTCCAAGACACATAATTGTCAGATTCATCAAAGTTGAAATGAAGGAAAAAATGTTAAGGGCAGCCAGAGAGAAAGGTTGGGTTACCCACAAAGGGAAGCCCATCAGACTAACAGCTGATCTCTCGGCAGAAACTCTACAAGCCAGAAAAGAGTAGGGGCCAATATTCAACATTCTTAAAGAAAAGAATTTTCAACCCAGAATTTCATAACCAGCCAAACTAAGCTTCATAAGTGAAGGAGAAATAAAATACTTCACGGAAAAGCAAACGCTGGGTGATTTTGTCACCACCAGGCCTGCCCTAAAAGAGCTCCTGAAGGAAGCACTAAACATGGAGAGGAACAACCGGTACCAGCCACTGCAAAAACATGCCAAATTGTAAAGACCATCAAGGCTAGGAAGAAACTGCATCAACTAATGAGCAAAATAACCAGCTAACATCATAATGACAGGATCAAATTCACACATAATAATACTAACCTTAAATGTAAATGGGCTAAAT
This sequence comes from Homo sapiens, assembly GCF_000001405.40. Taxonomy (NCBI): domain Eukaryota; kingdom Metazoa; phylum Chordata; class Mammalia; order Primates; family Hominidae; genus Homo; species Homo sapiens. The sequence goes on from NC_000004.12 coordinate 12,463,469, forward strand.
GCTCCAATTAAGAGGCACAGACTGGCAAATTGGATAAAGAGTCAAGACCCATCAGTGTGCTGTATTCAGGAAACCAATCTCATGTGCAGAGACACACATAGGCTCAAAATAAAGGGATGGAGGAAGATCTACCAAGCAAATGGAAAACAAAAAAAAGGCAGGGGTTGCAATCCTAGTCTCAGATAAAACAGACTTTAAAGCAACAAAGATCAAAAGAGACAAAGAAGGCCATTACATAATGGTAAAGGGATCAATTCAACAAGAAGAGCTAACTATCCTAAATATATATGCACCCAATACAGGAGCACCCAGATTCATAAAGCAAGTCCTTAGTGACCTACAAAGAGACTTAGACTCCCACACAATAATAATGGGAGACTTTAACACCCCACTGTCAACATTAGACAGATCAACGCGACATAAAGTTAACAAGGATATCCAGGAATTGAAGTCAGCTCTGCACCAAGCAGACCTAATAGACATCTACAGAACTCTCCACCCTAAATCAACAGAATATACATTCTTTTCAGCACCACACCACACCTATTCCAAAACTGACCACATAGTTGGAAGCAAAGCACTCTTCAGCAAATGTAAAAGAACAGAAATTATAACAAACTATCTCTCAGACCACAGTGTAACCAAACTAGAACTCAGGATTAAGAATCTCACTCAAAACCGCTCAACTACATGGAAACTGAACAACCTGCTCCTGAATGACTACTGGGTACATAACAAAATGAAGGCAGAAATAGATGTTCTTTGAAACCAATGAGAACAAAGACTCAACATACCAGAATCTCTGGGACACATTCAAAGCAGTGTGTAGAGGGAAATTTATAGCACTAAATGCCCACAACAGAAAGCAGGAAAGATCTAAAATTGACACCCTAACATCACAATTAAAAGAACTAGAGAAGCAAGAGCAAACACATTCAAAAGCTAGCAGAAGGCAAGACATAACTAAGATCAGAGCAGAACTGAAGGAAATAGAGACACAAAAAACCCTTCAAAAAATCAATGAATCCAGGAGCTAGTTTTTTGAAAAGATCGACAAAATTGATACACCACTAGCAAGACTAATAAAGAAGAAAAGAGAAGAATCACACAGACACAATAAAAAATGACAAAGGGGATATAACTACCAATCCCACAGAAATACAAACTACCATCAGAGAATACCATAAACACCTCTATGCAAATAAACTAGAAAATCTAGAACAAATGGATAAATTCCTCGACACATACACTCTCCCAAGACTAAACCAGGAAGAAGTTGAATCTCTGATTAGACCAATAACAGGCTCTGAAATTGAGGCAATAATTAATAGCTTACCAACCAAAAAAAGTCCAGGACAAGACAGATTCACAGCCGAATTCTACTAGAGGTACAAGGAGGAACTGGTACCATTCCTTTTCAAACTATTCCAATAAACAGAAAAAGAGGAAATCCTCCCTAACTCATTTTGTGAGGCCAGCATCATCCTGATACCAAAGCCAGGCAGAGACACAACAAAAAAAGAGAATTTTAGACCAATATCCTTGATGAACATTGATGCAAAAATCCTCAATAAAATACTGGCAAACCGAATCCAGCAGCACATCAAAAAACTTATCCACCATGATCAAGTGGGGTTCATCCCTGGGATGCAAGGCTGGTTCAACATACGAAAATCAATAAACATAATCCAGCATATAAACAGAATGAAAGACAAAAACCAAATGATTATCTCAATAGATGCAGAAAAGGCCTTTGACAAAATTCAACAACCCTTCATGCTAAAAACTCTCAATAAATTAGGTATTGATGGGATGTATCTCAAAATAATAAGAGCTATCTATGACAAACCCACGGCCAATATCATACTGAATGGACAAAAACTGGAAGTATTCCCTTTGAAAACGGGCACAAGACAGGGATGCCCTCTCTCACCACTCCTATTCAACATAGTGTTGGAAGTTCTGGCCAGGGCAATTAGGCAGGAGAAGGAAATAAAGGGCATTCACTTAGGAAAATAGGAAATCAAATTGTCCCTGTTTGCAGATGACATGATTGTATATCTAGAAAACCCCATTGTCTCAGCCTCAAATCTCCTTAAGCAGATAAGCAACTTCAGCAAAGTCTCAGGATACAAAATCAATGTGCAAAAATCACAAGCATTCTTATACACCAATAACAGACAAACAGAGAGCCAAATCATGAGTGAACTCCCATTCACAATTGCTTCAAAGAGAATAAAATGCCTAGGAATCCAACTTACAAGGGATGTGAAGGACCTCTTCAAGGAGAACTACAAACCAGTGCTCAAGGAAATAAAAGAGGATACAAACAAATGGAAGAACATTCCATGCTCATGGGTAGGAAGAATCAATATTGTGAAAATGGCCATAATGCCCAAGGTAATTTACAGATTCAATGCCATCCCCATCAAGCTACAAATGACTTTCTTCAAAGAATTGGAAAAAACTACTTTAAAGTTCATATGGCACCAAAAAAGAGCCCACATTGCCAAGTCAATCGTAAGCCAAAAGAACAAAGCTGGAGGCATCACGCTACCTGACTTCAAACTATACTACAAGGCTACAGTAACCAAAACAGCATGGTACTGGTACCAAAACAGAGATATAGACCAATGGAACAGAACAGAGCCCTCAGAAATAATGCTGCTTATCTACAACCATCTGATCTTTGACAAACCTGAGAAAAACAAGCAATGGGGAAAGGATTCCCTATTTAATAAATGGTGCTGGGAAAACTGGCTAGCCACATGTAGAAAGCTGAAACTGGATCCCTTCCTTACACCTTATACAAAAATCAATTCAAGATGGATTAAAGACTTAAACGTTAGACCTAAAACCATAAAAACCCTAGAAGAAAACCTAGGCATTACCATTCAGGACATAGGCATGGGCAAGGACTTCATGTCCAAAACACCAAAAGCAATGGCAATAAAAGCCAAAATTGACAAATGGGATCTAATTAAACTAAAGAGCTTCTGCACAGCAAAAGAAACTACCATCAGAGTGAACAGACAACCTACAGAATGGGAGAAAATGTTTACAATCTACTCATCTGACAAAGGGCTAATATCCAGAATCTACAATGAACACAAACAAATTTACAAGAAAAAAACAAACAACCCCATCAAAAAGTGGGTGAAGGATATGAACAGACACTTCTCAAAAGAAGATATTTATGCAGCCAAAAAACACATGAAAAAATGCTCATCATCACTGGCCATCAGAGAAATGCAAATCAAAACCACAATGAGATACCATCTCACACCAGTTAGAATGGCGATCATTAAAAAGTCAGGAAACAACAGGTGCTGGAGAGGATGTGGAGAAATAGGAACACTTTTACACTGTTGGTGGGACTGTAAACTAGTTCAACCATTGTGGAAATCAGTGTGGCGATTCCTCAGGTATCTAGAACTAGAAATACCAGTTGACCCAGCCATCCCATTGCTGGGTATATACCCAAAGGATTATAAATCATGCTGCTATAAAGACACATGCACACGTATGTTTATTGCGGCACTATTCACAACAGCAAAGACTTGGAACCAACCCAAATGTCCAACAACGATAGACTGGATTAAGAAAATGTGGCACATATACACCATGGAATACTATGCAGCCATAAAAATGATGAGTTCATGTCCTCTGTAGGGACATGGATGAAGCTGGAAAGCATCATTCTCAGCAAACTAACGCAAGGACAAAAAAACAAACACCACATGTTCTCACTCATAGGTGGGAATTGAACAATGAGAACACATGGACACAGGAAGGGGAACATCACACACCGGGAATGGTTGTGGGGTTTGGGGAGGGGGATGGTTGTCGGGTTGGGGGAGGGGGGAGGGATAGCATAGGACATATACCTAATGCTAAATGATGAGTTAATGGGTGTAGCACACCAACATGGCAAATGTATACATATGTAACAAACCTGCACATTGTGCACATGTACCCTAAAACAAAGCATAATAATAATAAAATAATACAAAAATAAATTAAAAAAAAGATATTGGTCAGGTAGAAGAAAGGTCTTAGATAAATAAAATAACAAACAGCCCCTACAAAAACCCATGGAAAAGTAAGAGTACATTAGAAAATGTATACAAAGTTTCTAATTCAATATTTTCAAAAATAAGAACAGTAGAGCACCAATTCTGCAAGAACCTAATGCTTTTATGTATGTTCATGGAAAAAAGCTATCAAATAATTTTGAGAACCTCCCATTCCCAATGAAACAACACTAAAAGTCTGTCACTATGGAAAGAGACCTCAGAACACTTGATACACTAACAGAGTTGTAACTCTCATGATGGTGTTAAAACAAGAAACAATTCTCGAATACATTTTGACATGTAAATATTTATTCTACTTTTTTTTCAGATTGGGAACCGTGCAGTTATCCATTTATTTACATCTTTTTTACCTTTAAATTCTACATAAAATTGTGATTATGTCAGATTAGGTGTGAAATATATGGCCAATGAAGTAACAAACCAAATTTTGAAGTTAGGAGTTTTGGGATGCTCTATTCTTCTTATTTTACACATACACATATATATATAAAAGCATACACAGCTATGCACATGTACGTGAAGACCATATTATTATATTGTGAACATATACAAGGAATAAAAAATGGACTTATTCAGTAATAATTAAAATAGTTAAATTTTAATGGTGATTTTATTTTAAAAAACACATGAAAATTATATTTAGCCATTAAAAAAAGAAAATGCACTTTTATTGTGGGATCCAGTAATTTATTTATGGTCATTACACCAGATTCATGTCAGAGCTCTTCACATTTTTATATTTAAATGTTTGCCTCAAAGGGAGCACCAGAATCTCAATAATGTGAAATAAATTCTAGTTGATTCTGACATGAACACTCTCATAGGAGAATGCTGAGCTTCCTCAGGTAGATCCTAATGCTAGCTTTATAGTAGAAGACTGATGTTCCTCCCTGGGGATCACAGCACACAGTGAGAGGTGGTACGTAAACTGTGCCTATAATACAATGATGATTCTCAGTGGGTACCCTGTCTTATTAGGATAAATCACATAAGAGAGAACTCCATGTGATAAAGTCATTCGAGATGGATCATTTAGAATGAAAGGACTAGTGTGATTACTGGACCATTGACTGAAGTCTCCAACATAGTTCAAATAATTTCTTCGACTAGCCAAGCATGTTTTTAGAGTCAATAGGAATCCATTGGAGAATGGCACTCAGAAACTAAACAGTGTCGGTTGCTCACTGGCAAAGGCATTATATTCAAACCACTCGCAATACTAGCACATGGTCCCTAACCACCACAAGCCTTTCACCTTGCCAAAGTCGCGAAGAGTCAATAAAAAATGCAAATGTCAAAAAATAAATTCATACACACACGCATATAAGGAGGAGGGCACTGAGGCATCTGCACAAAATCCTGCCAAATTGCAGATTATTTATAGAGAGAGTAATTTTAGTTCAGGGATAGTAGATCATCCATGCAATTGCTAAATATATTAAAGAGTGATATTTCTGAAAATGTGTACTTTGACGTAAAACCACAGTATGGAATTTTATCTTCTCAGTGAAGTTGCTGCACTGTTTCTAGTACATGAGTCTCCCTGTGGAAGGGTATTGTGAGGTTGATGTAAAATACTGAATTGGAGGAGATACTCAAGTAAACTCTCAGGTGCTACATCAGAGTAACTTAATGTTGCCATTTTATAGAACCTGCTTCTCTACTTTATCTCTCCTCCCCCTTTCTCTTAAATGTTACAATATTCCCATATTGCACAACAAAATTTTAAAAGGTAACTCTAATCAGAAACAAAAGGCTGAAAAAAACTTCAGAGTTTCTCTAATACCCCTGTATACACATCAACCCCCACCAGTTCTTGAATTTCATTCGTGGTACCCATTTATTCATTAGGCAGACACCTCTAGAGCTTTAACTTCAAGCCTGGCACTGTCATTCCCTTTGTATAGGTGGGTCTGGTGAGGGTTAGAGGGATTAAGTAATTTGCATATGAAACATTGTGTGATTAGTAATAGATTCAGGACTAAAGACTAAGTTCTTTTACCTCTTTTTTATCTTTTCTTTTTTTTTTTTTTTTTTTTTTTTTTTGAGACAGGGTCTCACTGTCGCCCAGGCTGGAGTGCAGTGACATGATCTTGGCTCACTGCAACCTCCACCTCCCGGATTCAAGTGATTCTCATGCCTTAGCCTCCCAAGCAGCTGGGACTACAGGCACACACCACCATGCTCAGATAATTTTTTGTATTTCTAGTAGAGACGGGTTTTACCATATTGGCCAGGCTGATCTCGAACTCCTCACCTCAAGTGATCCACCTGCCTCAGCCTCTCAAAATGCTTGAATCACATGAGTGATCCACTGTGCCCAGCCAAGTTCTCTTACCTTTTTGCCGTAAGATGAGAGATCATTCCAGGAGCTGTCTAGGAGAAAGGCAAGAAAGATCAAATTTGAGCAAGGAAACTTTATACACACTGCCAAATATCTCCCTCATCACAAGTAGATATCAATCAATATGATTTTGCCTTCCCTTCCCACACATTTGAACTTTCAGGATTCTGTCTAGTAATATAATCTTTTCACAAAATTTTCCATGAATCACCCCCTCCTTTATAAAATCTATAACTCTTGTGAATTTTTATTCGCATTTATCCAAAACTCTCAAGACCCACCTGTCATTATGTCTTGGATTACATGTTTTTCTGTGCTGGCATTTAAATATTTTGAAGCAAGCACTATGTCATACATGTCATTCTATCTATTATGATGGCTTCCTTGGGCTAAACAATAAACACTTTTTAATGAATGAAGGAAGGAAGGAAGGAATAAGGCATGGACTTAGCTTCTGTGTCTAAACCATCCATCGTATCATTCACTCAAACATCTTTTCATGTCCTTCAGCCAGACAGCCAACTGTTCTTCCATCTTTCTAGTCATTTATACATATCTACATTCATTCATTCAGTCATTCAAGATTAAATAAGCAACTGTATGCTGGCAGCAGTTCTGGCAACTGGAGTGCAAAATACAGTTTCCCAACCAGACTCCAGAGTTCTGCCGATCAGATTTATATTTAAAGCTTACCCTCTGACCCCAGAAGTGAAAGGTGATTCTATGGACAAGTGGACACTGGAGTAAGAGCTCAGAAACACCAACATATCTCCTGAGTTTTAGAATTGCCATTTCACGACATCAAATCCATCTTTTTCGTTCTGGAAAATAAAATGACATAATGTAAACAACATGCATCTTCCCTACAAATCTTTGCCATTTTATCAATTTGTTGAAACTCAGCTCAATACCAGTTTAAATGTTTTCTAGTTTTACATCCATTATCTCATCAAATATGTGCCATAGGTAGAGTAAGCTATATGATTTCTCCTAATTGTATAGGATTACTATATTGCAAAAAAATAAAAGGAAATACAGGTGCAGATCGCATAAATAACTTGCAGAGTTGAAAAACAGAGAACTGAAGGAGAAAATAAAAAAAAGAAGTCTCCTGAAACTGACGTATTCCCTGTGTATGTGCCTCATTCACTTCAGTGACAGAACCAGTAATGAAAAGTTAAATAAAATCCTCATAACTAAAGTCTGTTCAGCAAATTTCAGATCATGGTTATTTCTCTCTTCTCTTTGGACAAGCAATACCGTTTATTGTTTTCACTGTATGTTTGTCAATTACAAACTGTGATGCCTCTAATATTACTGCATTCAACTGTCCTTTAGTACTTCCCTGTTTGCTCACAGTGTATGAACACTTTTTTTCTAACTCAGGAATGTTCATCTTCCATGCTTGTCTTTGCTTCAAATCTGGAATCAGATAGAACTGGTGTCAAGATTCTGTCATGTAATGATGTATAATTTAGGGCAACTTTATGAGGCAATTCAAACATGGGTGTTGTCTCAGCCTATTCAGGCTGCTGTATCAAAATACCATAAAATGTGTAGCTTATAAACAACAGAAATTTCTTTCTCACAGTTCTGAAGCCTGTGAAGTCAAATTTCAAAGTACTGGCAGATTTGGTGTCTGGTGAGGGTCGATCTCCTGATTCGTAGACAGGGCATCTTATTGTGTTCTCATATGGTGAAGGGTGTGAGCAGTATCCCTGGGACCTCTTTTAAGAGGACACTAGTTCTGTTTTGGGGCTCTCCCCTCATGACTCCATCACCTCCAAAAGGCTCCACCACTTGTAACTATCACATTGGTCATTTGGTTTCAGCACATGAGTTTTGTGGGGATACAAACATTCAGACCATAGCATTTTTCCTCTGGCTCCCCAAGATCCATGTTCTTCTCACAAACAAAATACATTCACTCCATCTCAATAACCCCCAAAAGTATTAACTCAGTCCAGCATCAACTTTCAAATAAAAGTCCAAAGTCTCATCTAAAAATTACTTAAATCAGATCTGAGCAAAACTCAGGATACTATTCACCCAGAGGCCAATTCTCCTCCAATGGTGAACCTAAGAAATCAAACAAGTATGTACTTCTAAAGCGCAATTGTGAGACAGACACAGGACAGAAATTCCCATTCCAAGAGGAAGAAATAGGAAAAACAAAGAAAGAAAGAAACAAAAACATCCTTGCACCTGCTCTGTGCCTGGGCCCACCCTCACAATAGTTCTCAGTCGTGACCCCACCTCTGTAGCCACTCTGTATCTATGTCATGCACCTTTGGCTTCCCTGGGCTGGAATTACGTGCCAGTAGCACCCCTATGGGTCCACTGAGTATTATATTAAAGTGAGGTCTCTGCAATAGTCCCATACTCATTGTGAACTTTGCACATTGGGCCTGTGATGGGAGTGGCAGCCCTGATGATTTCTGAATTGCTTGCAAGGTCATTCTACCACTGTCTTGAAAAACAGGTCCTGGTTGACCAATCTTCTTATCAGATAGTCATTTGGCCATACCCTTTGTGTTCTGTCCTGAACATGCTTTCTCTTCCTTTTCAGTATGGATATGCTAAAATTGTTCCAAATTTTTAAATTCTGCTTCTCTTTTGATTAAGAATTCTGTCTTTGAATCATATCTCTCTTCTTGAATTTTACTATAATTCATTGAGAAAAGCTGAGCTATATCTTCAACATTTTGCTTAGAAATTTCCTCAGCCAAATATTCAACTTCATTGCCTACATGTTCTACCTGCTACAAACACGAGGGCATATATACAATTCATCCAAGTTCTTTGCTGCTTTATAACAAGAATGGACTTCATGGTCCATATTTCTACCAACATTCTCTTCATGTCCATTTAGGTATTCTTTAAGAAGATTGAGGTTTTCTCTGCAGTTCTCCTCTTCTCCTTCTGAGCCCTAACCAGAATCACTCTGTAAGGTTCATTCAGAGCAATGTAGATTTTTTTTCTAGCATTCACCTTGAAACTCTTTCAGTATCTACCCATTATCCAGTTCCAAGGTTGCTTTCACAGTTTTAGATAATATAACAGCACTGCACTTCTTGGTATCAATTTTCTGTCTTAGTCCATATGAGTTACTATAATGAAAAAATGCATAATTTGGGTAGATTGTAAACAACAGAACTCTATTTTTCACAGTTCTGAAGGCTGAGAAGACTATAATCAAAGCTCAGGAGATTTTGTGCCGGATGAGGGCTCTTTTCCTGGTTCATAGTCAGTGACTTCTCACTGTGTCCTCACATGGTGAAAAGGGCAAGTGGTGTCTCTGGGGCCTCTTTTGTAAGGGCACAAATTTCATTCATGAGGGCCCATCCTCATGACCTAATCATCTCCCAAAGGTCCCACCTCCTAATGCCTTAATGTTGGTGATTAGATTTAGATGACTACTTTTTTGGGGGGTGGTGTGCCATAAATATACAAACTATAGCAGTTGTCTTCATCCTTAAAAACTAAAGAGGATAATGGTATTCCTCCCATTAGTCATTATGAAACCTAATTGAAATACAGAGAGCAAAATTGCTTAACATCATTTGGAATATATAGTCAGTGCTTGAAAAAGGTAGCTGATTGTATTATTACAACTAATATCTTATTATACCCTTGCATTATCCCAAACACGGTGGGATAATTGTTTGTTTTTTTGTTAGTCTAAGGGACTAGGCAGTATATGAGCAAAGTAGGAATCTAATACATATTTGTCTATGAATTTAAGATAATGTCCAGTAAAGAGTGAGAATTGAATTACTTTTATATGACAGGTTGAGAATCAAACAGAGGGACATCTCCAGAAACAGAATCTACAGCAGAAACTCTCTTAATTTTTTGATGGGTTATAGGAAAAAAGTAAAGAAAACCATTCAGGCTAGCTCAAAAAAGTAGGAAAGTGTTACCAGAAGCAGCAAATATCAGAGAGAATAAATATGAGTAAGCTGCACAAAAAGTATAGATTATAATTTGAGAGTATCAAAGAATATACCCATTCTTTCATCTCTCTCCTCTCTGTCTCTCCTATATGTGTAAAAATATAGCATGTTTGAAAAATCACAAAAGGTTTCCAAATTACTCTATGACTCATACTTTTGAGTAATCTACTTAATAAGTTGAGTTTTTCAGCACGGTGATAGCTTTGTAATAATAACATACCTTTCTGATATTCATCGGAAGAAATAAAATTCCAGTGACTTTTGAACTTTCTCATCATCTCATACTATTAGTAACCTTGGGAAAATCAACTCTTATAGACTTAACCTTGTTTTTTATTTGTTCTTCATTTTCTATGTCAGCTTTATAACAACATATGTGAGAAAATGTATACAATTAGAAAGTAAAAATTGAAAAGTGAAACAAATGATAAAATGCCAGCTGTTATAATCAACATTATGCAGCTCTCATGATGGAACCACTGACAGAAAACTGTTTTCGCAGTTGTGGGTCCTAATTAATTTGAGGAATGGGAATATGAACATGAGTTACTACTAAGTGTGGAAGTTAGAACAGAAAGTTTATCTGTCTCAAGATAAAAATCTAGGACCCCAAGTCTATGAGGTACTCTGGTATTAATTAACACTGCTGAGTCCATAAATATTTCAAGTTCTCAGTAAATAAAATCTAATCTGGCATCCCATATTTGACTTTCTAATTTTTTAATAAATGCATTTATTGTAACATTACTGTCTCATATTTTTATAGTTCTTTACAATTTGCAAAATCTTTTCATATATTTATTTGATTCTCATGATACCAAATGGTAGGGCACAAATGATATTATGCAGTCTGTTTCTAATTTTTTTTTTGCTCTTTTCCTCAGTCTTTCATTCTGGGCACATAGTAAGTAGTATGACATTTCCTTGCCTACTTGAAGTTTGGAGAGGCCCTGTGACTATTTGGGGCTGATGAACCAAGAGGGAATTGGCACATGTCACTTTGGGGCCATGTCATGCTTCTCTGCAATATCGTTTTCTTCTGCCAAAGTGACTGGTAAGTTTCAGGACTGTGGCAGTTTCATCAACCAGGGACCCTGAAAAAGTAAAATGATAAGCTTCCTGCCTATCTCTCCACCTTGTGATGGACATGTAGAATGAGTAAAAGTGTACTATTAACTGATCAGGACAAAACTCACAATACCAATAAGACAAGGCTCCCATATCCCTTAGATAGTTTCTTCCAACTCATTTTACTGTGAATTTATTTTAACAGGTATTTATTGAGCTTCCCTGATATCTAAGCCCCACACTGGCTGCTGGCATTTCAGAAGGGAAACAAACAAGGTATTTGCCTTTTAACTCTTGCAGATTCTTGCTGACAGCTCATCACAAGCAAATAATCAAAAGTCAAAGTGATAATTCATAGCCTACGGTGATGTTGAGAAAGCTTCAAGAGTAGCAAACTAACACTTTCCCATTGCATCCCAGACGGTTTCTCAGAGATAAAATTTGATCTGGGTAAGCTGGCATTTTCTAGGTAGAAAAGGAAGGAAGCTTTCTAGAAAGAAATAATGGATTCAAGAAAGGACTCAGGTTCCGTGAGCATTTCACTGAGTGTGGTGGCAGAAGTGAAAGATGAGACTAGAAGGATATTATTTAAATCAAGTGATGAAGCAGTTTGATTCACCTCTATTTTCAGTCATCCAGAAGGCATTTATAAAATTTCAACAACTGTCTGTCCCCGCTTTTTTCCTTATTAATTACCACAACTAACCAACTGTATATTTCACTTCAGAAAAAAAAACAACTCTTGCTTATTATCTGTCTTCCCCCCCAAAAAAGAGTTCCATGAGGAGAATTTTTGTTGTTTTTCTGACGCTGATTTAATAAAACAAAGATATAACATTGGCTCAGATTTGGAGCTTCAGAATCAGAGGCCCTGCAATAACATCCCAGCTCTGCCACATCAGCTGTGTGAGCGAAGGGTCAGTTGTTTCCTCTGTAAATTGGGTATCTGCTATGCCTAACTCAGAATTTCCACATGGATTAAAGATAATGCCTGGGAAGTGATTGCACACTGTGTAGCACAGAATCAGCACAGAGTAAATGATAGTCACTATTTTTGGAGTTGAGCAAATTATTTCTCTTTTTACAGTTTCGTGTGTGTGTGTGTGTGTGTGCATGCATGCAAATGTTATTTTCCCTCTAAATGTTGCTTGAAGATCTCTAAGGGCCCTCTTGAATTTCTTAAAGGCTACTAAGTAGAAGGTATGGTGCAGGGGGAGGGTTCTGAAGACTTCAATCCAAAAAAGCTCCTCTTATGTTTTCATACAACAGGTTTCTGCTGAAGATTTCTTTTGAAGAGCACTCTGTTTCAGAAAAATAGAGTTTGAAAATTCTGACATCCAGATTTTCTCCCAGCTTTAAGGTGTCTTTAAGGCTGATTGAAGACTTACTGCGTGCTACCTTCTTCAACAGGCATTAATGTTTCTGATATGGCTGTCCCTACCTCATTCTTAAAGCCATCAACCTCACGTAGGGAAAAAAGAAAGAGAGTGTGACTGCTGGGACTGCCTACACAAAGAAGGGGGTGCTTCTGGTTAAGAGAATCCAAAAGAGATTCAGAGTGGAGGTGACATTACAATTTCTCGTTATTATTAATAATAAATGACTAATATCATGCAGGGCTTGCTATGTTGCAGACATGGGCTTGATGCTACGTGAATCAGCATGTGTCATTTTTCAAAAACTGAATTGCTGTCCCCACTTTAAGAGTTAAAAAAGGGAAACACTAATTCTCCAAGCAGTGAAAACAGTATTTGAACTAGGTCACTGGCTCTGAGTGAGGTTTCTTTTGGAGGGGTTGGGGAGGGAGAGGGCTGGCTAGAGTATTTGCTTTTTAATTGTTAATTTTTGTGAGTATTGCTGGATCATATGCTAGCTCTATTTTTAGTTTTTTGAGGAACCTCTAAACTGTTCTCCATAAGTGGTTGTATTAGGCCATTCTTGCACTGTTATAAAGAAATACTTGAGACCAAGTGTGCTGGCTCACGCCTGTAATAGCACTTTGGGAGGCCAAGGCAGGTGAATCATGAGGTCAGGAGTTCGAGACCAGCCTGGCCAACATGGTAAAACCCTGTCTCTACTCAAAATACAAAAAACAAAAAAAAAAATTAGCTGGGTATAGTGGCGGGTGCCTGTAATCCCAGCTACTCAGGAGACTGAGGCAGGAGAATGGCTTGAACCCAGGAGGCAGAGGTTGCAGTGAGCTGAGGTCTTCCACTGCACTACAACCCGGGCAACAGAGTGATACTCTGTCTCAAAAAAAAAAAAAATACTTGAGACTGGATAATTAATACAAAAAGAGATTTAGTTGGCTCACAGTTCAGCTGGCTGTACAGGAGGCATAGTGGCATCTGCTTCTGGGGAGGCCTCAGGAAATTTTCAATCATGATAGAAGGCAAAGGGGGAGAAGGCACACCACATGGCAAGAATGGGAGCAAGGTGGGTGGGGGTTGGGGAGATGCCATAAAATTTTACATAACCAGATCTCATGAGAACTCACTATTATGAAGATAGCACCAAACTATGAGGTATCCAACCCAATGATCCAAACACTTCCCAAAAAGCCCTGCCTTCAGCATTGGGGATTACAATTCAACATGAGACTTGTGTGGGAAGAAATACACAAACCGTATCATTCTGTCCTCGGCCCCTCTCAAATCTCATGTCCTTTTCTCATTGCAAAATACAACCATGCCTTCTCAAGAGTTCTCCAAAGTCTTGACTTGTCCCAGCATTAGAAGTCCAAAGCCTAGCCACATGAAGAAAACTGAAACTGGACCCCTTCCTTATACCTTATAGAAAAATTAACTCAAGATGGATTAAAGACTTAAACATAAGACCTAAAACCAAAAACCCTAGAAGAAAACTTAGTCATTACTATTCAGGATATAGTCACGGGTAAAGACTTCATGACTAAAACACCAAAAGCAATGTCAACAAAAGTCAAAATTGACAAAGGGGATCTATTTAAACTAAAGAGCTTCTGCACAGCAAAAGAAACTATCAGCAGAGGGAACAGGCAACCTACAGAATGGGAGAAAATTTTTGCAATTTATCCATCTGACAAAAGGCTAATATCCAGAATCTACAACACACTTAAACAAATTTACAAGAAAAAAACAAACAACCCCGTCAAAAAGTGGGTGACTGATATGAACAGGGACTTCTCAAAAGAAGACATTTATGCAGCCAACAAATATATGAAAAAAAGCTCATCATCACTGGTCATTAGAGAAATGCAAATCAAAACCACAATGAGATACCATCTCATGTCAGTTAGAATAGTGATCATTAAAAAGTCAGGAAACAACAGATGTTGGAGAGGATGTAGAGAAATAGAATGCTTTTACACTGGCAGTGAGAACGTAAATTAGTTCAACCATTGTGGAAGACAGTGTGGAGATTCCTCAAGAATCTAGAGCCAGAAATACCATTTGACCCAGCAATCCCACTACTGGGTATATATGCAAAAGATTATAAATCATTCTACTATAAAGACACATGCACATGTATGTTTATTGCACCACTATTCACAATAGCGAAGACTTTGAACCAACCCAAATACCCATCAATGATAGCCTGGATAAAGAAAATGTGGCACATATACACCATGGAATACTATGCAGGCATAAAAAAGGATGAGTTCATGTCCTTTGCAGGGACATGGATGAAGCTGGAAACCATCATTCTCAGCAAACTAACACAAGAACAGAAAACCAAACACTGCATGTTCTCACTCATAAGTGGGAGTTGAACAATGAGACCACAGACACAGGGAGGGGAATATCACAAACTGGGGCCTATCAGGGAGTGGGGGGACTGGAGGAGGGATAGCATTAGGAGAGATACGTAATGTAGATGATGAGTCGATGGGTGCAGCAAACTACCATGACACATGTATACCTATGTAAGAAACCAGCACATTCTGCACATGTATCCCTGAACTTAAAATATATATATATATATATATATACACATACATATAAAGTAAAAAAGTCTCATCTGAGACAAGGCATATTCCTTTTACCTATGAGCCTATAATACCAAAACCAAGTTGTTTACTTCCAAGATACAATGGGGATATAGGCATTGGGTAACCATTTCTATTCTTAAAGGGAAAAATCTACCAGAAGAAAGGGGTTACAGGCCCCATGCAAGTTCAAAACCCAGCAGGGCAGTCATCAAATCTTAAAGCTCCAAAATAATCTCCTTTGACTTCATGTTCCACATCCAGAACACACTGTTGCAAGAATTGGGCTCCCAAGGCCTTGGATAGGTTCACCCCTATGGCTTTGCAGGGTTCAGCCCCTTAGGCTGCCCTAAAATGTTGTTGAATGCCTGTGACTTTTCTAGGGACAGAGTGCAAGCTATTCGTGGAACTATTATTTTTGGGTCTGGAGGGTGGTGGCCCCTTTCTCACAGCTCCACTAGACAATGCGCCAGTGGGGATTCCATGTGGAGTGTCAAACCCCACATTTCTTCTCTGTACTACCCTAGTACACGTTCTCTGTGTAAGCTCTGCCACTGCAGCAAGCTTCTGCCTGGGCTACCAGGCTTTTCCATACATGTTCTGAAATCTAGGTGGAGGCTTCCAAGCCTCAATTATTCTTGTGCTTTGTGAACCTGCAGGTTTAAATACACATAGAAGCTGCCAAGGTTTGTGCTTTCCAGAGCAGTGGTGTGAGCCGTATCTGGAGCCTTTTGAGTCGAGACTGGAGCCAGAGTAGTCAGGATCTAGACATCAGTGTTCTGAGACTGTGCAGGGCAGAGGGGTTCTGGACATGGCCTACAAATCCATTCTGTCCTCCTAGGCCTCTGGGCCTTTGATGGAAGGAGCTGCTTGGAAGGTCTCTGAAATGCCTTCCAGGCCTTTTTCCCATTGTCCTGGATATTAGCTTTTGGCTCCCTTTTAGTTATGCAAATGTTTCTAGCAAGTGGTTGCTTCACAGCCTACTTGAATTTCTCTCCTGAAAAAGCTTTTTCTTTTTCTGTCACATGACTAGGCTGCAAATTTTTTAAAAAATTTTATGCTCTGCTTCTCTTTCAAATATAAGTTCCAATGTTAAGACATTTCTTTGCTTCCACTCCTGAGTATATGTTGTAACAAAGTCCACCTCTTGAATGCATTGCTGCTTAGAAATTTATGCTGCAAGATAGGGTAAATCATGACTGGGAAGTTCAAACTTTCACAGATCCCTAGGTTGTGAACTGAATGCAGCCAAATTCTTTGCTAAGGCATAGCACACATGACCTTTGCTCCAGTTCCCAATAAGCTTCTAATTTCCATTTGACACCTCAGCAGCCTGGATTTCATCATCTATATCATTAACTGCATTTTGGTCACAATAATTCAACCAATCCTTAACAAGTTCCAAACTGTCATGCACCTTTCTGTCTTCTTCTGAGCCCTCCAAATGTTTCCAACCTCTGCCTGTTACCCAGTTCCAAACTTGCTTCCACATTTTCAGGTATCTTTATAGCAATGTTCAACTCCTCAGTACTGATTTTATGTATTAGGCCTTTCTGGCACTACTATAAAAAAAAACTTGACAGTGATAATTTATGAGAAAAAAGATTTAATTGGCTCACATTTCTGGAGGCTGCACAGAAAGCATAGTGTCATTTGCTGTTGGGGAGGCCTCAGGGAGCTTCCAATCATGACAGAAGACAAAGCAGGAGCAAGCACATCACATGGTGAGAATGGGAGCAAGAGAGAGAGAGAATGGAGGAGGAGGTTCCACACACCTTTACACAACCAAAGCTTGTGAGAACTCACTATCACAAGGACAAAATCAAACAATGAGGGATCCACCCCGATCCAAACACCTCCCACAAGGCATCACCCCAGCATGAGGGATTACAATTCAACATGAGATTTGGTTGGGGACAAATATACACACTGTATCAGTGATCATACTAATTTGCATTCCCAGCAACAGTTGGGAACAGTGTATGAGGATTTCCTTTCATCCACCTCTTTGCCAACATTATGCATTTTCTGTTTTTTGGAAGAAAATCCATTTTAACTGGGGTAAAAAGTATCTTATTATAGTTTTGATTTGCTTATTTCTGAAGATCAGTGGTACTGAGCACCTTTTCATATAGCTATTTGCCATTTATATGCCTTCTTTTGAGAAATGTCTATTCAGGTCTTTTTCCATTTTTAATATCAGATTATTAGATCTTTTCCTATTAAGCTTTTTTGAGCTCCTTATGTGTCCTGGTTATTAATCCCTTTTCAGATGGGTAGTTTGCAAATATTTTCTCCTATTCTGTGTGTTGTCTCTTTCACTTTGTTAATTGTTTACTTTACTTTACAGAAGCTTTGTAACTTGATATGATCCCATTAGTTCACCTTTTCTTTGCTTGTTGTGCCTGTAGGGTATTACTCAAGAAATCTTTGCACAGACCAATATTCTGGAGAGGTTTCCCTAAGGTATTCTGTTAGTAGTTTCATAGTTTGAAGTCTTAGATTTAAGTCTTTAATCCATTTTGATTTGTCTTTTGTATATGTGAAGAGATAGGAGTCTAGTTTCATTTGTCTGCACATGGCTATCTAGTTTTTCAAGCATAATCTATTCAAGAGACTAAACAATTCCCAAATGTATGTTCTTGACATCTTTGTCACCAAGTTCACTGTAGATGTATGGGTTTATTTCAAGGATCTCTATTCAGTTCTTTGCTCTTCATGTCTGTTTTTATGCCAGTACCATGCTGTTTTGGTTACTAGAGCTCTGAAGTATAATTTGAACTCAGGTAATGTGATTGCTTCACGTTTTTTATTTTTCTCAGGATAGCTTTGGCCATTCTAGGCATTTTGTAATTTTATATAAATTTTAGGATTGTTTCTCCTATTTCTCTGAAGCATGCCATTGGTCTTTTGATTGGGATTGCATTGGATATGTTTACTACTTTGGGTAGTGTACACATTTTAATAATATTGATTCTTCCAATCTATAAACATGGAATATCTTTCTATATTTTTGTGTCCTTTTCAATTTCTTGCATTAATGTTTTATAATTTCATTGTAGAGATCTTTCACTTCTTTAGTTATGTTTATTCCAATGTATTTTATTTTATTTGCATCTATTGTAAATAGGATTACTTTCTTGATTTCCTTTTCAGATTGTTCACCATTGACATAAAAAATGCTATGATTTTTGTTTATTTATTTTATATCTTGCAACTTTACTGAATTTGTTTATCAGTTCTAATAGTTTTCTTTTGTAGAGTCTTCAGGTTTTTCCAAACGTAAAATCATATCATCTGCAAGCAAGGATAGTTTACTTCTTTCTTTCCAATTCAGAACCCCTTTATGTCGTATTGCCTTTGGTAGGAATTCTAGGACTATAAAAAATGACAGTGGTAAAAGGCAGCATACTTACGTTGTTCCAGATCTTAAAGGAATGGCTTTCAGTTTTTCCTCATTCAGTATAATACTAGCTATGTGTCTCTCATGTATTGTTTTTATTTGTTGAGGTATATTTCTTCTATATCCAATTTTTTTAGGGTTTTCTTTTTAATCAGGAAGCCATGCTGATCTTTAACAAATATTTTTTCAGTATCTATTGAAATGATCATATTGTCTTTGTCCTCCATTCTTTTGATATGTTGAACTATCCTTGCACCCCTAGGATAAATCCCACTTGGTCATGATGAATGATCTTATAAATATGTTGTTGAATTTGGTTTGCTGGTATTTTCTTAAGAATATTTGCATCAGTGTTCATCACTGATATTGGCCTGTAGTTTTGTTTTTGTTCTTGTTTGTTTTCTTATTTTTAAAGAAAACACATCACATTTTCCTGGTTTGGGTATCAGAGTAATACTGACCTTGTAGAATGAGTTTGGATGTATTTTCCCCTTCTGTATTTCTTATAATAGTTTGAGCAGAATTGACATTATTTCTTCTTTCAGTGTTCTTCAAAATGAAAAGTGAAGCCATCAGGTCCTTGTCCTTTCTTTGCTGGGAGACTTTTTACTATGGCTTTGATCACATTTCTTCTCATTGGTCTGTTCAGGTTTTGGATTTCCTCATGGTTCAATCTTGGTAGGTTGTATGTGTCTAGGAATTCATCCATTTTTGTTCTAGGTTTTTCAATTTATTGGCTTATAATAGCTCATAGTAGCTTCTAATGATTCTTTGAATTTCTGTGGTATCAGCCATAATATCTTTTTTTGATCTTTTATTTTATTTATTTGAGTCTTATCTCTTTTTACTTAGTCTAGCTAAAAGTTTGTTATCTTTATTTATCTTTTCAAAAAACTTTTTATTTTATTGATATTTTCTGTTATTTTAAAATTTAAATTTCATTTATTTCTGCTCTTATTATTATTTTTTTCATCTACCAATTTTTGGTTTGGTTTTCTCTTGCTTTTCTAATTATTTAAGGTACATTGTTAGCTTGTTTATTTAAAGTTTTACTACTTTTTTGGTGTAGGCACTTCTTGCTATAAACATTCCTTTCAGTATCACTTTTGCTGTATTCCATAGGTTTTGGTATGTTGTATTTCTTTATTCTTTCAAGAAAATTTTCAACTTCCATCTTAATTTTTTATTGACCCACTTTTCATTCAGGAGCATATTGTTTAATTTTCATGTGTTTGCATAGTTTCCAAAATTTCTCACTGTACTGATTTCTAGTTTTATTATTCCACTGTGGTCAGAGAACACAATGAATATGACTTCAACTTTTTTGATTTTTTTAAAACTTATTTTGTGGCTTAATATATAATGTATCCTTGAGAGTGATCTATGTGCTAAGGAGAAGAATAGTATTCTGCATCTATTGGATAAAATGTTCTGTAAATATCTATTAGGTCAATTTGACCTATAGTATAGATTAAGTTCCATGTTTGTCTCTTGATTTTCTGTCTGGATAATCTGCCCAATGTTGAAAGTAGGGAGTGAAAGTCTTGAACTATTATTGTATTGGAATCTATCTCTCTCCTTACCTCTAATAATATTTGCTCTATGTACTTGGGTGCTCCAGTGTTGGGTGCATATATATTTAAAATTGTTATATCCTCTTGCTGAACAGACACCTTTATAACTATATAACAACCTTCTTTGTCTCTGTTTATAGTTTTTGTCTGGAAATCTGTTTTGTCTGATATAAGTATAGGTATTTTGACCCTTTTTTGGTTTCCATTTTCATGGAATATGTATTTTCATCCTTTTATTTTCATTTTATTTGTGTATTTATAGGTAAAACGTATATTTTATAGGCAGCAGATCATTAGGTATTTTTTTCATCTATTCCGCCACTCTCCGTCTTTTGATTGATGAGTGTATTCCATTTATAGTCAATCTTATTGTTAATAAGTAAGGACTTACTTCGACTGTTTTGTTATTCGGTTCCTGGTTGTTTTGTGGTCTTCTCTTCCTTCTTTAATTCCTTCCTGTCTTCCTTTTAGTTAAGGTGATTTTGTCAGGTGATATGTTTTAATTTTTTGCTTTTTACCTTTTGTGTATCTGTTATATGTTTTTGATTTGAGGTTACTATGAACCTTGCAAACAATAATGCATAGCCTATTATTTTTAACTGGTGACAGTAGTCATGACATTAACAAAGAAACAATCAAAGAGAAAAATAATAAGCACTCTACAGTTTAACTTCATTTCCCCATTTTTTAACTTTTTGTTGTTTCTATTTCTATCTTATTTTATTGTCTGTCTTGAAAAGCTGTAATTATTTTTGATAGGTTCATCTTTTAGTCTTTCTACTCAAGATATGAGTGGTTTACACACCACAAAAACAGTGTTATAATATTGTGTTTTTTTGTGTGTATTTACTATTACCAGTTTTTTCGTTCCTTCAGATGATTTCTTATTGCCCATTAATGTTCTTCTCTTTCATGCTGAAGATCTCCCTTGTAGATTTTCCAAGAAGCATTTCTTGTAGCACAAGTCTAATGTTGATAAAATACCTCAACTTTTGTTTGTCTGGGGAAGTATTTATTTCTCCTTCATGTCTGAAAGATATTTTTACTGAATATACTTTTCTAGTATAAAAGTTTTTCTACTTCAGCACTTTAAATATGTCGTGCCACTCTCTTCTGGCCTGTAAGTTTACCACTATAAAGTCTGCTGGAAGACATATTAGAGCTCCATTGTATGTTTTTTTTGTTTGTTTGTTTTTTTGTTTTTCTTGTTGCTTTGAGGATCCTTTCTTTATCATTGACCTTTGGCAGTTTGATTATTAAATGCCTTGAGGTAGGCTTATTGCAGTAAAATTGGCTTGGTGTTCTGCAACCCTCTTGTACTTGGATATTGATATCTTCTGTAGGTTTGAGATGTTCTCTGTTATGCCTTTGAATAAGCTTTCTATTCCAATCTGTCTGTCTTCCTTCTTTTTAAGGCCAATAACGCTTAGATTTTCTTTCTTGAGGCTATTCTCTAGGCTTTGAAGAGATGCTTGTTTTTCACTCTTTTTCTCTTTTGTCTCCTCTCAGTAAATTCTCAGATAGCCTGTCTTTAAGCTCACTAATTCTTTCTTCTGCCTGATCAATTCTGCTGTTAAGAGACTCTGATGCCTTCTTGAGTATGTCAATTTTATTTTTCAGCTCCAAAATTTCTGCTTGATTCTTTTTAATTATTTCAATCTCTTTATTAAATTTACTTGAAAAATTTATTAAATTTAAATTATTAAATTTACAGAGAAGGGTTCTAAATTACTTTTCTGTTGGATTTCATTGTGCTACCTCAACATAGCTGTTTTGAATTATCTGTGTGAATGACCACACATCTATGTCTCCCTGGGATTAGTCACTGGTGATTTACTTTGTTTGGGAAGGTCATGTTATCCTGGATGGTCTTGGTGTTTACAGATTTTCACTGGTGTCTGGCATTGAACAGTTAGGTAAGTATTTTAATCTTCACAGTCTGAGCCTGTTTTTACCTATCCTTGGGAAGCCTGTCCAGGTATTTGAAGGGACTTAGCTGTAGTGATCTATGTCTTTGGTCACTGCAGCCATATCTGCTTTAGGGGGCACCCAAAGCCCCCTAAAGCCCACACTGTGGCTTTCATATATTTGTAAAGGCACCCCCTTGGTGGTCTTGGGTAAGACCCAGGGGAATTACTAGGCAGAGACTTTTGTTCTCTTCTCTTATTTTCCACCTAACAAATAGAGCCTGTCGCTCAGTGTTGAGCTGCCTGGAGCTAAGGGAGAGATGATACAAGAACTCTTGTGGCCTGTATTGGGTCAGACCCAGAGTCAGCATGACCAAGGCCCACAGTAACCACTGCCTGGATACCACCTATATTCACTGATGGCCCAAGGGCTCTACATTTAATAGGTAGCAAATATAGCTAGGCTTGTGTCCTTCCTTTAAGCCAGTGATTTCCCCCTAGGCCCACGCAGGTCCAAAGATACTGTCCAGGAAACTTAAAAATCTACTTGCTACTTTATTATACTGTGGCTGAGCTGGCACCCACACCACAAGATAAGGTCTTTTCCACCCTTTTCTCCCCTTTCCTCAAGCAGAGGAGTCTGTCTCTGTGGCTATCACCAACTGAGGCCCACTGCAAGTACTGCCTGGCTTCCACCAATGTTCACTCAAGGTCCAAGGGCTTTTACCTCATCTTGCAGTGAACGCTGTACGTTTAGACTGTCTCCGTCCAGGCCTGGTGGCTCTACTCTGACCCAGGATATGTACCAAAATGCCAACTAGAAGCCAATGCCTAGAAATGGGGGGATCCACAAGGATCCTGCTTGATGCTGTACTCCACTATGAACAAGCTAGTGCCAATGTGCAAGACAAAGTACCCTTTACTCTTCCTTCTGCTTTCCTCAATCAGAAGGCATCTCTCTCCATAACCACCACAGATGGGAATATGCTGGGTCACACCTGAAACCAATGTGGCCCTGGGTTTTACACAAGCCTTGTGGCAAGTACTTCCTGGGTCCCACTGCTGATTATTCAGGGCTCAAGAGTTCTTAAGTCAGCAAGTCAGCAAGTGATGAACTCTGCCAGGCCTGGGTCTTTCCCTTCAAGGAAGTGGGTTCCTTTCTGGCCCAGGGTGTGTTTAGAAATATTGTCCAGTACCTAGGGCCTGGAATGGAAAACTCAGGACTCTGCTTGGTGCCCTATTCTACTATTGTACTCTGGCTGAGCTGGTATCCAAGTTGCAAGACAAAGTCCTTTTTACTGTTCTTTCGCTTTTCAAGGACAGAGAAGGAGTCTCTCGGGAGTTGTGAGCTGTGCTGCCTGGGGTTGGAGGAGGGATGACATGAGCACTCCTTTGGCAGCTTTGGCTGGTTTCTCACTGGTATGAATGTGCTCCTAGTCTACTGGCTCTGAGCCCAGGAATTGCAGTCCTTCTAAACTAGACTAACTTTCAAGTTTATTTGGGGGCCCAGAGCCCTTTAGCCCACAGTGGCAGTTCTGACTGCTGGGATGGATGATTTCCCTCTGAGTAGGGATGGTCCAAATGCTCCCTCCATGGGCACCAGCTGAGTTCTTTCCAGCGATGCTTACTGCTATAACAGGCAGCCCTGAGTTCCAATGCAAAGTCTCACAATCACCATGTTCTCTTCCCCAAATGCACAGTTTCTCTCTTTGTGCCACGTGGCCACTACCGGGGAATGAGGAAAGGTTGGTGTAGGTGATTCAAATGTCTTTCCTACCCTATTCAGTGCCTCTTTCCTTAATATGATGTCAAAACAAGATAGTATGATCACTCATGTGATTTTTGGTTCTCACGAGGGTGCTTTTTTGTGTGGATAGTTGTTCAGTTTGGTATTCCTGTGGGGGAGACAATTGCTGGAGACCTCTATTCAGCCATTTTGCTTCTCTTCCTCTCAAGAAGAGGGATATTTAACAGTTTTGTTCATTGCTATATTCTTAGTGCCTATAATGGGGCTTGCCTCATAGAGGGTGCTAAATAAATATGTACTAAGTGTTCAAATGACCTTATTGAGGTCTACTTATTGATTAAGCCTGCTGCTAGTTACTGGGATGCACATATGTATATGACCTTGTATGTGCCCTCCAGAAGCACAAAGTTGAGTCAGTTAACTGGCAGATTTACCAAAAAATGTAGATAAAACATGATAGGGAGTTTTAACAGTGAATTAAGTAAAATGCAATGGAACATAACATTACTGATCAGTTTGAACATTATCCTATTAGGAAAAGGGAACCAATGAATATTTCTAAGTGTGAGAGCCATGGTTTGAGTTTTAGAACAGTGCCATTGAAGGTATGGTTAGCAGACTAGGGCAAGTCCACAATGAGTTAAATACAGAAATTAAGAGATATACAAATTTCTGTAGTCATTTACCATTGTTAAGATGACCAAGCACATGACTAGCAGACTTGCTTATGTTGAACACAGCAGGGAACTCACTTGTGGCATGAGCTACTTACTAGTTATGCATCACAGGACTGGAAATTAAAAAGTAAGAAAGAAAGTCTTCAGTCTTTCATCACAGCTAGTTTGAGATGCACTGTTTTAAAAATGATGATTCAGCCGGGCATGGTGGCTCACGTCTGTAATCCCAGCATTTTGAGAGACTGAGGCAGGTGGACTACAAGGTCAGGAGTTTGAGAACAGCCTGGCTAACATGCTGAAACCCCATCTCTACTTAAAAAATACAAAAATTAGCCAGTCATGGTGGCATGTGCCTGTAATCCCAGCTACTCAGGAGGCTGAGGCAGGAGAATTGCTTGAACCCGGGAGGCAAAGGTTGCAGTGAGCTGAAATTGTGCCACTGCACTCTAGCCTGGGTGACAGAGCAAGTCTCCGTCTCAAAAAGCAACAACAAAAAAAGTGATGATCCTGGCAGCCTTTTGGCAGTGCTTGATGAGAGCCAGCTCATGGCTGAATTATCTGACAAGTGCCTGAAGTGCTGCTGTGCTGTGTCGTTGATTAAAGACAGATCCGTATGCTTCCAATGCCAGATGTGCTGGCGTCAGAGCTGACATTCTGCTGCAGAGACACTTCTAATTTAGGCCTTTACAGCACCTACCCTGGGATGCACTGTGAGGCATTCACAGTGCCAGAGCCAGAGCCAGGGAAAGCACTAGCAGATAAGGCCAAGAGATAACAGTCTAGGAGTGGCAGGCCTCTTCTCCGTTCACTGCTCACACATTTCATCCCAACATGCAAAAGCTTAGGCACTGGAAAGGTGCTCAACAGACCTTTATGTCCAGGAAGAGCTAACTCCAGAAAGGTACATATTGAAATGAAACTTTAGCCAGTGCTGCTCTGTGGGTGCTGAAGTAAACATAAACCCAAAGATCCATACAAGTAAAAAGATTATTTTATTTATTTGTAATACTAATAAAAAATTATGCTATTACACACTATTATCAGTTTATTAAAAAATTACGTTGGGGCTTCAGAGAAATAAGTAGCTTTTACAGAGTTAAACACCTGGAAGTTTATGTATCTTTGCATTGAAAAAGATCCTCTAGGCCTCCATGCTTATGCTGTTACTGTTTGTATTGGATAAAATAAAGACTGAGACTTTTTTTTTTTAGTGTTATTAAAAATATACCCTATTTTCTTTTTATCAAACAAAACTACTTTTTTATTTCTGTCCAGTAGAGTGTAGACAATCTGGCAAAGAGAGAGAATGATCGGATAAACACCTTTCAGAATAAATGTCTGTACATACTTTAATGAACTGAACAAGAAATTAATTTGGTCCTACTCTCAAGCTCTCTACATCAATCATGCTTTATGAATTAAGCCCTTGCTTTAAGTTTTTGTTTCTTTCCTGCCTTTCAAAACATTACATCTTGAGGGTTTTTACCCGTTTCAATGACGGACCTTTCTCAGATTCCTTTGCTTCCTGCTCCTGTTCTGCTCAATCTCTACATGTCAGTGCACCCCAGGATTGGCTCTTGGATTATGATTGCTAGATTTAGCAAATAAAAATACAGATGTCTCTTTAGATTTGAATTACAGATTAAAAACAATCCAAAAACTTATTTTGTGTTGTTTAAAGAATAAGTATGTCCCATGAAATATTGGGATACATATATACTAAAAAACAAACAAAATTAATAACACCCCCTCCAACTATATTCTGAATTCTCTTCTCTTCTCTCCCCACATGGTTTCCTTGGTTGAGCTCATTGAGTCCTGAGGCTAATCTTTGAGCAGATGGTTCTCAATTCCCAGTCCACCCATATCTCCTCTCATCTATATTCAACTGACTTCTTGACATTTCCACTTGGATATCTCACACTTAGCGTATCCAAGTAACTCTTATGACTATAACTCTCCTATGTACTATGAACCCCTTTTTTGTCAATCTTCCCCAACCAATAAATAGCTTGGAATTTTAAGACAAAAACTGATATCAATCATTCTTGATTATTCTACATCATCATCCTTCAATATTTAACTCACAATTAAGTCTTGGCTTTTCCACCAAATTATGTCCTAAATAATTTTATTTCTCTCAGTCTTCACATTTCTGACCCAAACTTATGTCATCATCCTCTCTCCCCCATGCAATTGTAATGCCTTACTAACTGGTCTCATTTATCCCACACTTGCCCTTTAATAATACATTCTCTACTTTAAAGTTCATATGGAAGCAAAAAAGAGCCCGCATTGCCAAGACAATCCTAAGCCAAAAGAACAAAACTGGAGGCATCATGCTACCTGACTTCAAACTATACTACAAGGCTACAGTAACCAAAACATCATGGTACTGGTACCAAAACAGAGATATAGACCAATGGAACAGAACAGAGCCCTCAGAAATAATGCCACATATCTACAACCATCTGATTTTTCACAAACCTGACAAAAACAAGCAATGAGGAAAGGATTCCCTATTTAATAAATGGTGCTGGAAAAACTGGCTAGCCATATGCAGAAAGCTGAAACTGGATCCCTTCCTGACACCTTATACAAAAATTAATTCAAGATGGATTAAAGACTTACATGTTAGACCTAAAACCATAAAAACCCTAGAAGAAAACCTAGGCAATATCATTCAGGACACAGGCATGGGCAAGGACTTCTTGTCTAAAACACCAAAAGCAATGGCAACCAAAGCCAAAATTGACAAATGGGATCTAATTAAACTAAAGAGCTTCTGCACAGCAAAAGAAACTACCATCAGAGTGAACAGACAACCTACAGAATGGGAGAACATTTTTGCAATCTACTCATCTGACAAAGGACTAATATCCAGAATCTACAATGAACTCAAACAAATTTACAAGAAAAAAACAAACAACCCCATCACAAATTGGGCGAAGGATATGAACAGACACTTCTCAAAAGAAGATATTTATGCAGCCAAAAGACATATGAAAAAATGCTCACCATCACTGGCCATCAGAGAAATGCAAATCAAAACCACAATGAGATACCATCTCACACCAGTTAGAATGGCGATCATTAAAAAGTCAGGAAACAACAGGTGCTGGAGAGGATGTGGAGAAATAGGAACAGTTTTACACTGTTGGTGGGACTGTAAACTAGTTCAACCATTGTGGAAGTCAGTGTGGCGATTCCTCAGGGATCTAGAACTAGAAATACCATTTAATCCAGCCATCCCATTGCTGGGTATATACCCAAAGGATTATAAATCATGCTGCTATAAAGACACATGCACACATATGTTTATTGCAGCACTATTCACAATAGCAAAGACTTGGAACCAACCCAAATGTCCAACAATGATAGACTGGATTAAGAAAATGTGGCACAAATACACCATGGAATACTATGCAGTCATAAAAATGATGAGTTCAAGTCCTTTGTAGGGACATGGATGAAGCTGCAAAGCATCATTCTCAGCAAACTATCGCAAGGACAGAAAACCAAACACCGCATGTTCTCACTCATAGGTGGGAATTGAACAATGAGAACACATGGACACAGGAAGGTGAGCATCACACAACTGGGCCTGTTGTGGGGTTAGGGGAGTGGGGAGGGATAGTATTTGGAGATATACCTAATGTTAAATGACGAGTTAATGGGTGCAGCACACCAACATGGCACATGTATACATATGTAACTAACCTGCACATTGTGCACATGTACCCTAAAACTTAAAGTATAATTTAAAAAAAAAAGAAAAAGAACAAATAATAATAATAATAATACATTCTCAATGCATTAGAAAGTGATTTTCTAAAACTCTTTATTGAATTATATACCATAAAATCAGGAAAGTTGTCATATCAAAACTGTACTACACAATAAATCTTCAAAAGCTAAACATACTCCTGTAACCAGAATCCAATTAATCTATTCTTTGCCAACAAAATAAATCACTGCTCTATTTTTTTTTAATCACCATAGATTAGCTTTGCTGGGTTCTGTGATTTATATAAGTGGAATCCTACAGCAAATATGTTTGCCTACTTTTTAAAAAATTTCACATCATATTTGTGAGAAAGTCATCTGTATTTTGCATGTGCTTGCAGTTAGTTCATTCTCATAGCCGTGTAAGAGTCTATTGAATGAATATACCACAATATTCCATAGGTTTTTATGGTATGTTGTATAGGTTGAAAAAATTAATTGACATAAAGCCCTTGGTTATTAGTAGATACTTAATAAACAATATGAATTATTATTGCTGTTATGTTTATAGGAAAAAATAAAATGTTCTCGGAACTATCAAAAGTAGTTCTGAGAACTTGTCAAACAATATCTCAAGTGAATCTTATTCTTAATTTAATGGGTATTAGATGAAAGTAGGTCAAAATAATGTCGTACATATAGAAAACTTAAATTTCAATTTGTTTTTGATGGAACTGCCCCTGGACTTATGGGAAAGCTGAGGAAATATGTATTCCAGAATTATATCAAGAGGGGTTTTGCAGCCTTTTGAGTCCCATTCTTTGATAATTGAATATGGTATCCATGTTTCTTTTTGTGTCTCTCAAAACCTGATGAATTATGACTTACGCTCAAAGAATTAATGATGTGACACTCTTCTCAAAATGCCTTGACACTGTCTTGTTGTTTACAGGATAAAGTCCGAACACTTGGTGTGGCCTACCAGATCTTCTGTTGCTTGACTGCCATCTGCCATTCCCAGCACCTCCTTTCCTGGAACCACATTCTTTTGAATACAACACCACAACCACCCCAGAATGGCCTATTGCCTGAAAATTCCATAGTAGCTCATGTTTTGTCTTTGTACATTTGGGTCCCTTCATTGTGAAGTTTTCCTTGCCATCTACCCCAATCTATCTCATACCACCCTAACTTCCTATGTTTGTCTTTCATAACGCAGCTCAAGGAACACCTGTATACCTCTGACCACTGATGTTTATGACCCTCAGCCAGAACTGACAACTCTTATCTGGGTTTCCTTGTTTGTTCTGTAGGTGGCATAATTACAGCATCTGTTATAACCCGCTATTGCTCTTGCTGATTTAAATATATTTCTCCCCAAACAGCTTATGAACCTTTGAGATGACAATTATGTCTTAATCATCTGCGTAGTAACAGCTAGCAAAATACTAAAATGCCTTAGAATTTTTTTACCAGTAAACAAAAAGCAAATAAATAAAAGAATGCATGAAGGAAGGTCAGTGAGGAGGAAAATCTTAAAGATTTGTTGCACTGAATTTTCTAAAATCTTAATTTTATTCAACTCTTTTGCCTATGCTATTGAAGAAGCCAGAAAAAGTAGGAAGTCAAGTTTGGGGTTGACAAAGTACTTTAAATGATAAGGAAACAACAGAACTGAAATTTAAGACTCACTTGTTATTCTGGATTCATAATGAGAATCCAGTAAGATTCAGGATAAAGTCCTACATTCAGTTAAAAGAGATATGTGGATACCTATGAAATCCAGAGTACTCAGTTTAAGAACAATAATTAAATGGAATCTCAAGGACTTTAGTTGGTTCTGAAGTTGATAGCAGCAAACAGTGGAATGTACATTTCTTACAAACCATAAATGGGATGTAATACATTATAGATCAACGGTCCAAAGAAAGGCTGTAATACTCGTGTTGTATCCAATATTTATGTGGACTACTGAAACCATTTGTTAATACTCACGGTTGTCTTATTTAATTAATAATTACTTACTCTTAAAATATGTCATACAAAAGGAATTGTTTATTCAGTTTTATATTTTCACAGTACTTCTTAGGCTCATTTTGAAACACTATGGAAGTGAAGATTTTTATTGACCTATATCCGTAAGAGTGTTTATGCACTTTTATATTTAGTACAAAATTTTACTTCTATTTTTTAGTGTGTTGCCAATATTCATACCATGATAAATTATAAGACGTTCTCACTCAACTCATCTTTTCTCTTTTTTCACACATTCTCAAGCTTTCTACCCTGACAATCTCTGTGAGTAGAAAAGAATAGACTAGATATCTCTCAAGAAATAATTTTGTGATAACTGAGAAAAATAAAAGCAAGGATCTTCCATTTCTTAATGTTAGATAGCAAGAAAAATCACATTGAAAGCATTTATGCAAAATTCATCTAGATAACCTTCCTAACATGGGATCCTATTCCCCTTAAATATGTTAAGGAGAAAAATATCCATTCATTTGAAGCCAATGTTCCCCTGGGGAAGAAATTTACCCGCATTGAAAACTAGTAACTATCACCCCTGAAATACATAAACAAAACACTGATTTGTCCATATTATTTCACAGGTTTGATATATTAAAGCTTGTATTGATACATAATTTTAAATAATTTAATAAAGACTCAGGGACACAAGGCAGGAAAGCCAAATTCTCACCTTCAACAAGTAGAGCTACAATTGAAGAATATAATTATTCTAGAGGTCTTCTTCTGTTTCTCAAATGTAAAAAAAAAGTCAATACATTTACACACAAATCTGTCTTGTGACATAAAACTTTTTTTGGAAGTCATAAAAATCACAATTAACTTTATATTATTTTATACAAAGATATACCCTTTCATAATTTATGCCTAATTTCTAAGGGTTATTCGTCTTTTTTAGCATATAAATTACTTTTCAGAATTCATGTCATACTAATCTATTTTTTGTCTTTTAAAAATTGAGATGATCATGTTGAGTCTTTATCAATCCTTGTGCTCATTTGGTCTTGTGTTGAGGTTACCTGGAAGCTCTTGTTGACTGCAAAGGTTCAGGATGTTTGTAAGTTGCTAAACAGCATGACCCACAAAACGGGCTAGGTTTAGATAACACATGTTAAACAGCTCTGTGAGAAGGTATTCTTGAAGCTTAGCAGGTAGTTTGCTAATGAGAACAAGAAAAGCTTAAGAGCTGACTCTTATCTCTGCTACTGCCCTCTGTTTTTGACTCCCTGGGGCTGGAAAGTTGAGTGGATTAAGAAAGAATCCACTATAAAGTGGCACTAAACTGTTGCTAGCATCTCCTTAATAATGTCAGAAATTGTCCTCTCATAGGGGCCTGAATATGTAACTTATGTTGATACCTGCCTGAATTAAGTTTGAAACACCTGACTTCATAATAGAAAAGGAAAGGAACTCAAAGTATAGTGCCCAAAGGACCATG
Organism: Homo sapiens; assembly: GCF_000001405.40. Lineage (NCBI taxonomy): Eukaryota > Metazoa > Chordata > Mammalia > Primates > Hominidae > Homo > Homo sapiens. The sequence goes on from NC_000004.12 coordinate 12,495,401, forward strand.
GAGAGCTCATACTTTCTCTGCACTGGCATATCTGAGTGTCTGCTCTAGAAGGTAGAAGCAAGGCTATAGGAGTATACAGGTGGTGACATTTGCAGCCAGACAATGGAGTTTGGAAGAATTTTCCAGTGGAACTTCATTCAGCCAATCCTTAGGAATTCTGGTCAGAGTTCAACCATCTGAGATATTGAAGGTCTAGCAAAGGCCAAGTGAGTAAAACGACCTCTAGAAGTCAAATTAGATTTCAGTCAAGGCAGGATTACAGTTCCAGCTGAACAGTAAAGTGAAGGCATATTCTGTTGGACAGGCAAAGTACAGCAAGGGTTGGGTAGACCCTTAGCGTCGGAAGGTACATAGTAAGGATTATTCCACAGACATTCCAGGTTCTATGTATCAGAGAGCAAGAATAATTCCAGACACCTCTTACTTGAAGTCTGAGAAACACTATTATAACTTCTATTCTGGTCAATAATTGTTGTGAAATAGAGTGGGGCTGAGACTTTGTATCTTATTGTAAATCTTCTTTAATAGAGCAGCTAGGAACAAGGAGCTAGCGGAACCTTCTAGGGTTGTAGGACAGTAATTCTAATTGCAGATTCCCATGAGAGAAGATCTGACTATCCAACATCGAGATCTGACTTGGGAGTAGTTGAAAAACTAAAAAAGACTCTGGGCATTGCAGGTGGTAGAGAATTGCTCTAAAGGGATATGACAGGAGCCATTTAACCAATCGTATAAAGCAGAATATAGGAATATAGTAAAGAATTAGTATACTGGAAAGAGAAGAGAGAAATATTAGCATGCAAAGGCATCACACCATACCAGAGTACAGCTGTTTGATGATGTGTCCAGCATTGGAGCTATGCAGGCTTAACACCCTCAGACACAAATGCTGCAATCTTGTGACTATGCTCACTCTGGATAAGCTAGCATAGGGCTAGTGTCAAGAAAAACTAAATAGATAATAAAAGCAAAAGAGGTAGTTGTGTTCTAGGTGGGATAGATCTGACAGTATCTCATTATAACAAACAGGCTTAGAGTGTATGCCCTTCAGTTCAATTTCTGCTTTTGGGGGTTCCCATAAGTCTAAAAAAATAAAGATGCTTCTGGCTCAATAAATGTCTAGAACAATTCAATGCATATATATGGGTGAAAATAAAGTCTCTCTAATACAGCCTATGTTGGGAAAATTCTAATTAAAGCATGCCTTCCATACCTTTGTTTACTGGCAAAGTTCAAGTATGTCTCATGACTCTGAGAGGTGAAAAATTGATTATGTTTGTTCTAAACTTATTTAATAACCGAGGTGAAAATCAAATTTTTCTTTGCTCAGCTTTAATGAACTGGGCACAAATTACTACACAGCTAGAATTTCAGGACCTCATTATGTGTAGGAACCATCTTTCTTTTCATTTATCTTACTGTGTGACAAGGTGCTGTCATCCTTTCCTTCCTCTACCTATCTGGAGTCCCTTGAGATGTCCATCTATAAGTAGTCTTAACCTTTCCATTATATGTCCCAGTCCTTCCCGGAGTGGGGAGCATATTGTTAGCTTCCTCTTCCAAATAATGGATCTAAAATAAATTTTTCTGCCCAAGACATCTCATGTATCCAAAAGACATTCCCCTGAAGAGGAAAACACCAGGATTTTCTTACCATGGACACAGTGGTTCTAAATAACTTCTCCTTATTTTCTTCTAGCTCTGTGTTTGATACTTCTCTTAATGCTCCTGGTCTATGAATTCACTGCCCTTTCATCTATTTTGCAAACTGCTTTCTCTTTAAGATGAGAAGCCTAACACTGTCTTTCTAGCTAAAATACTGGCCCACTGTAGATCGACATTCAGACTTCTCATTTGGTAACCTAACCTTAGGATCTCTTGGGACTTTCCATTTGTACACAGTCTCAAGATCGCCTACTTTGGAAGTGTGTGTGTGTGTGTGTGTGTGTGTGTGTGTGTGTGTGTGTAGTTACCTTTGCCGACTTCTGTTTGAAGCTAAACATAACCCATCAGTGAATTAGATTCAAACTGAGTTTTGCAGCCCAAGAACTCAGGACACCTATCTATCTATTGAACTGCATCTAGTCACGTCTGAACTCAGTAGGATCAAGCTCTCCTCCCTCATTGGGCTCATCTTTGATTTCCAAGCCTAAAACTCCACCTATTATAACTAGAGCACTGCTACAGAATCCCATTCTTCTGATTATCTACATCTTGTTGTCCACATCCTGATTTCTTGTCTACATCTTATTTCTTTCTGCATGGGGATATAATCCTGCTACCTGTTGTTAAAGCCTTTGACTACTAGAGTATTATAAAACCCCAGGTCTGCCATAAAGATGATTCTGATGGTTTCTTAGCTGACTTGCATTAATCTAACTCACCTATGTATAAATACAGTTGTGTGGGTTAATGACCAGGATACATTCTGAGAAATGTGCTGCTGGATGATTTTGTTCTTGTACAAACACCACAGAGTGTACTTACACAAACCTAGATGGTACAGCCTACTACATACCTAGGCCGTATGTTACCACCTACTGCTCCTAGGTTGCAAACCTGTAAACCATGTGACTACTGTGTACTAGCAGTTGTAACACAATGGTAAGTACTTGTGTATCTAGATATGTCTACACATTGAAAAGATAATGTGTTGTTCTACAACGTTGCAACAGCTACAATGCCACTTGGCAATAGGAATTGATCAGCTCCATTATAATCTTATGGGACCACCATTTATATATTACTTGTCATTGAGCAAAACATTATTATGCATCACATAAGAGGATATGCCACAAGCCCATTTAAAAATAGCATTACTTTTGTTTTCATTGTCATTTTTCCTTGATGTAAAAGGTTAGTTGCAGTTTGTGGCAAGACTGAAGCAACCTAGGGGCCTTGGTAGTGAAATTTAATCTCATTTTCCACACCTGTCTCTGGATTCTTGCTGCTGATACCACATGAAAGATTCAACATGCCCATGGGGATACTGCAGTAGAATAGCTAAGGGATTCATGAGTCCATGCTGAAAAAGGTTGGAATTCTAGGACCTCTCATTCAATAACACTGTCCTTTTCCTCTTTTCCACCACCTTGTGTTCCTGGGGCCCACAGCTCAGGTGGTAGAGTTTGCCTAAATTAAGGTACTTTTAGTGTACTGGAGAAAGGAAAGTTCCCTCTAAGAAATAAGAACTGGATAATCTATAGCAGGATTACTAGTAGCAATTCTTGAGAGTTGCATGACCATTCCGTTGTACCAGAGGGTATTTCATTTAGGCAGGCCAAAATTTCCAAAGTGTCAAGCAATAGCATTTTCTCCCATTACTAGGTAGAAGGGAACAATTCTGTACAGCAGAAGAGGGTGTTCTTCCTGGAAAGGTTTAAGTTAGAATATATGCACTAAAGCCCACCTCTATATTCAAGCTCTGACATTGTGTTAAGCACTTAAATATCTCCTAAGCTAGATTCTTTAACAGAAAATCAGGGAAATATACACAACAAGATAATGAAATTAAGTGCTTTGTAATAATAGAACACTAGACACGTGAGGTTATTATCAAATAGGCATTGTTCATGGGGCTGGCGTGCTTTCAAATGTTGAGATATATCCCTTAACACAGTGCTTTATACTGAATGGGAAAAGGTGTATAAATTAATGGCACACACAGAACTGGGTTTAAAATCTGTTATACTTCCTGGGCTAAAGCCATCTACCTCAAAGTTTTCCATGTAAATGAAATGCAATAATATAATTATAGAAATTAGTACGGGAACATAGAAAGATTGACAGTTTATATATCTGTTGAAGAGACACGTACAATGTGTATTTTTTATTTTCAAATGTTAAAAACTCTAATAATAAATATAAGTGAAAATTTTTAACTGCAAAAATGAATCTCTGGCATAAGCTTTTAATATATTTTTGCAAAATAAGCAATGCTTTAAAATAAGAAAAAAAATCAATAGTTTATTTATAATATAATTTATCTAGAATAGGTAGTGTTTCTTTAATGTTTACAGTGTATACACAGTTCTAAAGGCTTTTTATGCATTAACTCATTTAGTCTTTACAATAACTTTATGATAGGGATTGTTATTATCTCCATTTACATATGAGGAAACTTAAATAACTATAATAAGTGAATTGTCTAAGGCTACAAGGTAACAAACTGCTAGAGGCAATATTCAAATCCAGGCAAGATTTGCTCCTGTTCAAGGGGTACTGTCTCTCTTTGGGGAGATAATAATTTTCAAGGGATCTCTGGTATTTCTACACGTCTTGTAGGTGAAGCATTAACTATCTGTTTCTCCAGACAATTATCTGTTTCTCCATTAACTATCTGTTTCTCCAATCTTTTCAAGGATCCATAGCCTCAGGAGATAACAAAGAGTGTTTCCCTCCAGAGCAAAGGGCACGTTTTCTTGCAGTTGGGAAAAACACGTTTATTGTCTGTCTCTGGAGCAAAGAACAGGCATGGTTTTTTTTTTCCCCCATTAGAAAATATTTGCTTTTCCTAAGTTCAAGTTTCCTCTCCTTTTAATGCAACTCACTGTATATGCAGGTGTCAGCTGGCCTCTTCACATCACCATAGGAATTGAGTCTCAGGGAATCAGCACAAAATGTTGATATTCCAGCTACTGCTATTGACATAAGTAATAAAATCCTCCTTCACCTTTGAAACAGAAGTCTCATGTCTTCTACTAGCACCCATAAAACGCTGAGTAGCTCACTCAGACACTGCAAAGTTCTTTCCACTTTTAGCATAATAATAATAATTGTTACAATCATACCACTATAAAATATCTTTAGATGTTGGAATATAGATTTTTAAAAAGTCTTTATATGTTAGAAGTTTTTGGAACATTATTAATTTCTGGATATGTTTCCTTAAATTTATCTCTATATATAAGCCTAGGAAAGGACACTTTACAAGTTACTTTGCAATTATTTTGTTGTAGGCTGCTGTAGTCCTGATGCCTTGTATTAAACATCCAGTGACATTTACTACTAGGTCACTACATGTCATTATAGATTGGGAAACATGACAAAAAAGTTTCACACACAGGATGTAAATAAAACATATTTTTAACAATATATCAAAAAATAACATCCAAAACATTTTATTGTAAATCCTCCCTGCCTTTAGGTCTCCAAAAATTATTTATAGTACATCACATGCCCTTCACCCAGTAGAGCAAGAGCAGAGTGCAGGCTAAGGTTTATGTCAATTTGAAAAGGCTATTGACTTTGTTGGCCTGTTAGAAGATAAATAGTCAAAAGTAATGCAAAGAAATGACCCTGGCTACTTTATTTTTTAAATAAATTTTTTAAAATGTATATGTAAGCAAATTTTCTTCACATATAAATACAGTACCTGAATATTTTCAATTATAAAGGATGTTGTAGCAAATCTGGTTACTAAGTTTTGGCAAATATTGTTAAAGTTTGAATAATATGCTAGAAACTTCAATCGGATTATACAAATGCAATCTACATAGAAGTCCTACGTTCCCTAGAAGCAAGACATAATTAAACACATTATGTGGAAACTAATACAACACTCTGATGATAAGAAAAGTCATACATCTTATTTGTGGAGCTCTTTATAATTTTCAAAACAGATTTGCACATTTTCATCATTTGCGTCTTATAATAACACTGATAAAACCTTATCCAGTGGTTAGAAGACCAAAGAGTCACACAACTAATCAACACTGACATTAGGACAAGCACCCAGAAATTTTGTCTCACTGTCTTTTCAATAGACTATGCTACGTTTTATACTATGCTTTTCAATAGACTATGCTACGATTTATACTTTCAAAGTCATCAGGGTAATTATGTCATTCAAATATGCTCCAATCCTTTGCTTTATATAATATAAACATAATAGACCTTTGAATTAAGGAAGAAGAGAAAGGAAGAGGAGAAGAAGGAAGGCAAAGAAAAGGAGAAGGGGAAGGGGAACAAAGGAGAAGAAAAAGGAGGAGGAGGAGGAGGAAGGGGAAGAAAAGGTGAGAGAAGAAGACTGATAACACAACATAAAAACAAGTTATGACACTTTATATCCAGCAAAAGCATTATATTTGTTATAGCTTTTCTCTATTGCCCTGTTAGTTACATATTTTCAATTCACCCTCTCCAATCCCTTAGAATTGACTATTTCATGGCCATATATTTTATTATTCATTGTTTGCACTATGCCTAACCTCCAGGCCAGTTATCCAGCCCCTAGGTTTCCTCTTCCCATTCATTTCTCCTCATACCAGAGTAACCTTTTCTAATTAATGCTCATGTTACTCTTCTCTAGGCCCTGTCTTTGCTGCTGAAAAACAGAGCTGAATAAAACCCAGGTTCAGGCATGGAGAGAGCTTGATGTGGTTTGCTGTCACTTAAACAGAGGTTTACAACAGTTATACATGCTATAATCACAGTCTGAACAAACTCCTATCCAAACACCGAGAAAGAAATTATGAATTTTAGACTATGAATTAACTATTGTTAATTACTAATTATAAGATAAACAAGGTAGACATCACAGTAACAGGAACATTCTTACTGTGTTGCTAAAGATAAAAAGAATTTGCCAGATAGAAAACAAGAGTGAGTATTGTAGGCAAAGGACAGCAGCCTGAAGGAACATGGTTGTATTAATCTGTTCTCAGGGTGATAAAAGACATATCACAGACTAGGTAATTTATAAAGAATAGAGGCTTGATTGACACACTTCAGCATGGCTGGAGAGGCCTCAGGAAATGTATAATCATGGCGGAGGCAGAAGCAAAGACATACTTCTTCACATGGCAGCAGAAAGGAGAAGTGTGGAGCAAAGGGGGAAAAGCCACTTATAAAACCATCAGATCTTGTGTGTACTTACTGACTATCATGAGAACAGCATGAGGGTAACCACCCCCATGGTTCAGTTACCCCTGACTTGGTCCTTCCCATGACATGTAGGAATTATGGGAACTACAATTCAAGATGAGATTTGGGTGGGGACACAGCCAAATCATATTATTCTACCCCTGGCCCCTCCCAAATCTCATGTCTTCACATTTCAAAACACATTCATGCCTTTCCAACAGTCTCTAAAAGTCTTAACTCATTCCAGCATTAACTCAAAAGTCCAGGTTCAAATCTCTTCTGAGACTAAGCAAGCCCCTTTCACCTATGAGCCTGTAAAATCAAAAGCAAGTTAGTTACTTCCTAGATACAATGAAGGTACAGGCATTGGGTAAATACACACATTCCAAATGAGAGAAATTGGTCAAAATGAAGGGACTGCAAGCCCCATGCAAGTCCAAAATCCAGCAGGACAGTCATTAAATCTTTAAGTTACAAAATGATCTCCTTTGACTCCATGTCTCACATCAAGATCACACTGATGCAAGAGGTGGTTTCCCATGGTCTTGGGGAGCTCTGCCCCTGTGGCTTTGCAGGGTACAGCCCCCTTCTCCTGGCAGCTTTTTAAGCTGGCATTGAGTGACTGTGGTTTTTTTCAGGTGCACGGTGCAAAGTGTCGGGGGATCTACCATTCTGGGGTCTGGAGGATGGTGATCCTCTTCTCACAGTTCCACTAGGGAGCTCCAGTGGGGACTCTGTGTAGGGGTTCCAACCCCATATTTCCCTTCCACACTGCCCTACCAGAGGTTCTCCATGAAGGCTCTGCCTCTGAAGCAAACTTCTACCAGGACATCCAGGCATTTCCATACATCCTCTGAAATCTAGGGAGAGGTTTCCAAACCTCAATCCTTGTCTTCTGTGTACCCGCAGGACCAACACCATGTGTAAGCTGCCTAGGCTTGAAGCTTGCACCCCCTAAAGCAATGGTCTGAGCTGTAATTTGGCCCCTTTTAGCCACAACTGGAGCTGAAGCAGATGGGAGGCAGGGCACCAGGTCCAAGGCTGGACAGTGCAGGGGGGCCCTGGTCCCAACACAGGAAACCATTTTTTCTTCCTAGGCCTGTGATGGGAGGGGCTGCTGTGAAGGTATATGACATGCCCTGGAGACATTTTCCCCATTGTCTTGGTGATCAACATTTGGCTCCTCATTACTAATGCAAATTTCTTCAGCCAGTTTGAATTTCTCTTCAGAAAATGAGTTTCTCTTTTCTATTGCATCATCAGGCTGCAAATTTTTCAAACTTTTATGATCTGCTTCCTCTTGAATGCTTTGCCACTTAGATACCCTCAGTTAGATACCCTCAGATACCCTAAATCATCTCTCTCAAGTTCAAAGTTTCACAGATCTCCAGGGTATGGGCAAAATGCCACCAGCCTCTTTTCTAAAGCATAGCAAGAGTCACCTTTATTCCAGTTCCCAACCAGTTCCTCATCTTCATCAGAAGCCGCCTCAGCCTGGACTTCGTTGTCCATATTACTGTAAATATTTTGGTCAAAGCCATTCAACAAATCTCTAGGAAGTTTCAAACTTTCTGACATCTTTCTGTCCTCTTCTGAACACTTCAAACTGTTCCAGCCTCTGCCTGTTACCTAATTCCAAAGTTGATTCCACAATTTTGGGTATTTTTATAACAGCATCTCCCAACCCCCATGGTACCAATTTACTGTATTAGTCTCTTCTTGCACTGCTAATAAAGACATACCTGAGACCTGGTAATTTATAAAATAAAGAGATTTAGTTAACTCACAGTTCATCATGGCTGGGGAGGCCTCAGGAAACTTACAATCAAACCCTTCCCTTGGAAGGGAAAACAAACACATCCTTCTTCATATGATGGCAAGAAGAAGTGCTGAGCAAAGGGGGGAAAACCCCTTATAAAACCATCAGATCTAGATTTCATGAGAACTCACTCAGTATCATGAGAGCAGCACTGGGCTAACTGTTCCCATGATTCAATTACCCCTGACAGGGTCTCTCCCACGACACAGGGGGATTATGGGAACTACAATTCAAGATGAGATTTGGGTTGGGACAGAGCAAAACCATATCAATGGTGTATCCAAAGTACATGGATGCAAATGTGTAATAGAATAATAATTATAGCAAACACCTAATAGTGATTACTGACACTGATGTAAGCATTTTACCTGTATCAACTCATTCAATCCATACAACTATTCTGTCAGATACATAACATTATCAGCATTTCCAAGATGAGAAAACAGACTCTAAAAGGGTAAATAAGTTGTCCAAGGTCACACAGCTAGAAGTGTCAGAGCCAGGACTGGAACACTGGCAACCTGATTCTAGAATCCTGGCCCTTAATGGCCAGGCTATAAGGTGACCTGACGGACAGTAGTAAGGATTTGGCATAATGTGTGAAAGATTCAAGGATTTAACCACAAAAGTGAGAATCAGCTTGTTTTAAAAAAAGGTAATTCTGGCAAGGGTATCGATAACAGATTTGGGAAGAAGTCTTATTAGGTGGCCACAGACAAATAATGATAAGGGCCTGATGGAATTCAGTTTTGCAGGAATGGGGCAGAGGGGACACATTTTATATATATTTAGAAAATAAAACCACTATCATTTGAGCAACAAATGTATATGTAAAATCAGCAAAGAAAAGAATCAAAACTAGTTTCCCAGTTCTGAGATGCATGACAATATAAATGTGGCACCCTTTTAAGAATCATGAAAAGGGATTCAGTCAGTTATTTGGGGCAGTATAAATGTTGAGGCATCAGTGGATGTTCACATGGAAATTTTCAGTGCTCAGAGATCAGGCACTCTGTTTATTATGTAGGTCAGGAAATTTGAAAATTATTTTCATGGGTGATATGATTTGGCTCTGTGTCCCCACCAAAATCTCATCTCAAATAATAATCCCCATAATTCCCCTGTGTTGAGGGAGAAACCTGGTGGGAGGTTATTGGATCATCGGGGTGGCTTTCCCCATGCCGTTCTCATGACAGTGAGTTCTCACGAGTTCTGATGGTTTGATAAGGGGCTCTTCCTCCTTCACTTTTTTTTTTTTTTTTTTGATGGAGTCTCACTCTGTCACACAGGCTGGAGTGCATTGGTGTGATCTTGGCTCACTGCAACCTCTGCCTCCCAGGTTCAAGTGATTCTGCTGCCTTAGCCTCCCAAGTAGCTGGAATTACAGGTGCCCAACACCAGCCGGAATAATTTTTGTATTTTTAGTAGAGATGGGGTTTCACCATGTTGGACAGGCTGGTCTCTAACTCCTGACGCACCTGCCTCGTCCTCCCAAAGTGCTGGATTACAGGTGTGAGCCACTCTCCCCAGCCCCTCCTTCACTCTTTTCTCACTCCTGCTGCCTTGCAAAGAAGCTACCTGCTTCCCCTTTGTTTTCTGCCATAATTGTAAGTTTCCTGAGGCCTCCCCAGCCATGAAGAAAAGTGAGTCAATTGAACCTCTTTTCTTTATAAATTACTCAGTCTTGGGCAGTTTTTTATAGCAGTGTGTAAATGAACTAATACAATGGGGATGTTTTCTTGCTTTAAGGACTTGAACCCTGCAAGTCAAAACTATGTCTATCCATGTCTTGGCAGTGTGGTGAGACTACAATATGAGGAGAAAGAGCAAAGTCTCTGGAGCCAGACTTTTCTTAAGATGGAAGTTAAGCTGTGTTACTTAGTAGTTTCCTCAAATCTTAGAGTTAATCTGAGAAAAACACAACCTGCAAATCAATAGACTAGGGTTTGAAACCCAGGAACATCAAATATAGCTGTTGCTTAATATTTTTGTTTCAGCTTCCTCTACTACAAAATGGAAATGATAATATATACCTGCATTTGTTGATTAGATGAACTAAGACATATTAAAATGTTAGTCCACTTCTGGTATATGTTAATGACTCATACCTATTAGCCAATAATTACAGTCATGGTAATATACAAAATTTGTTGTGAGTACAGTCAGTAAATTGCCCTATCACTAACAATAGTGTAGATTAAAATGCAATAAAAATATATGTATGCAGATTCCCTCTGTCTGGAGAGTTTTCTCCTCCTCTATCACTCAGATCTTATGCAACATTCCAAGAACAGTTGCAATGAAATATCTACAAGTCCTAACTAGGACAGAAGAGAAAGCCCATCATTCTGTAGCTCCAGAGCAATTGTAGAGCACTTCTGTTACAGTGGAATAACTTATCATTAGACATGATCTTAAAAGGATCTTCTAATCTATTTTGAACTGCAAATATGTAAGGATAGTGCCTTATTCATATTTGATTCTCTAACAACACCAATGACAGTGCTCAGTAAATGTTAACCTGCACAGGTTGAATTCCTCGGACATAACCAGCTGCTCTAACTTAGTCATACTGAGAAAATTGCTCACAACTTATTAGAAACAATAGAAATATTGCAGTAGCTTGATTTAGAACACCAAAGCAGATGTGTAAACAAGTCTCAGAATCTGCTAGCATGGGCATGTGAGGATATTTATTTTTTTAATTCATGCATTTTCATAGAGAAAAATTAAGGCATCCCTTTGTTTATATCCATGTGACAGAAACAAATGCCTTTTGTTTTGCTCAATTGTCAACATATTGTTCTTTTTCAAGTCTGCATTTATTATTAAACCAGCCCAAGGAAATAACAAGTAAACGCCAGCTTTTCAGGTATAAACACTTAGAAAATCTAGAATGTTAATTAGCTGTTATCTTGGCGGTTCATGTCATACATCTATAGAAAACAAAAAGCTGATATGCATTATATTTTATATACTTATTAAAAGCTTGTACATGTAAAAGAGTACTTATCGAACTAATATTTAAGGAAATAAATTAAATGTATCATTTTGTTATGCAGTCATCCAGTATCTATGTTTCATAATATTTTTTGCTTCCTTTTATTAAAAAAATCAACTATAAATAAAAGTTAGCATTACAATCCATTTAGGTGGCCAGCCTTGGCTCTATTTCTTCTTCCTTAACAGAAGCATTCATTAAAATTTTTAACTTACACACATATCAGTAAACACAAACACATACATATTCAATAAATATTAGTTCTTATTATAATTTATGTTTAATTTCATAAACATAGCATTCATCAAGTTTGATTTTTTAAATTTAACATTGGTTTTGGTCTACTAGAAGAAAAGAACTATGTTCTTTTTAACTGACATATAATATTCTCTAACATGAATCTGTTGCAATTTGTTTACCCATACTAACAGATGTTTAGGACTTTATTTTTTTAATTAGTTCAGAGACAATGCTGCAATCAGCATCCCTTTATAGGTTTCCTTCAGCAAATACGTAAGAGTTCCTCCCAATTATCTATGAAAAAGAGAAATTACCAGGACACAGGAAATGTGTATTTTCAAATGGATAGAGCCAAATTTCTCTTCAAAGTAGCTCTAATTAGACTACCTTTAGCCATGAATAACAGTTTCTATGTTCCCACATATTGCCATTATATGCTATTGTCAGACTTAAAAACTTTGGCAATCTGAGGATATTATCGATGGTACTTTATTGTTGTTATAATTTTAACTGCCCTGTTTATTCTTAAGGGTGGGTATGTTTTTCTATGTTTACTGGCCTCTTGGATTTTCCTTCTGTGAATTGGCTGCACATTATGCTTTTTTTCAATTGTGTAGTAACGATGATAGTTCTGGTGGTAAAACACTAATTTTCTTCCACGCAACAGCTGCCCACAATTGTCCTAGGAGATTTGGCTTTGCAGTCAAAAAAAAAAAAAAAAAAAGGAAAAGTAAACAAAAAAGTATGTAGTAAGAGCAATTTCTAAGCTATGCTTTATATTGCTTTTCCATTGTTAGAACCAATATACACATAAACTATAGAAGACTTACCTACAATTACAGAATGGAATAATGAGAATATACATGCAGATGAAAGAAAATAAAAGTCCTAAGGCTGGGAGGTTCAAATAGATACAGGTGAGCTACTGTCCTCATCTCACACAGAGAAGATTCCTGACATACCATGTATTGTTAATGGACTAGAACTGTAGGTTTAAGCATACTATTTGAATTTGCAGAGTTAAACAGTAGAGGAAGTGAATATAATTTGATTTGGTGTGTAACAGGAGAGTGAGAGAGCATATGTGGGAAATCTTTTTCCATTATAACAGAAATTCAGTAGAAAAACATCAAAAAGTAATAATTAAAATAGCATACACATATTTTTGTGTATGGATATGGAGATGTGGTAGACTGAAATAGAGACCTATTTTTTTCATTCTATATATTGTTGGATATCTTATGCATATGCATATATTACTTTATTTTTTTAAATGCAGCATGAAAGAAAATACAGAAAACAACAGAGTTGTCACATATCAGCAAATTGAATGGATAAAGTTATTATCTATTTCATGACCAAGTAGGATATATTGCAACAATGCAAGTTGGTTTATATATTAAAATTAAGGTAACTTAACATATTGAATAAACAATCAAGAAAACCATATGATAAACTCAATACCCTTAGCAAAAGATTTTGGCAAATTTTTTTTTTAAGTTTTTTTTCTTTTATTATTATACTTTAAGTTTTAGGGTACATGTGCACATTGTGCAGGTTAGTTACATATGTATACATGTGCCATGCTGGTGTGCTGCACCCACTAACTTGTCATCTAGCATTAGGTATATCTCCCAATGCTATCCTTCCCCCCTCCCCCCACCCCACCACAGTCCCTAGAGTGTGATGTTCCCCTTCCTGTGTCCATGTGATCTCATTGTTCAATTCCCACCTATGAGTGACAATATGTGGTGTTTGGTTTTTTGTTCTTGCGACAGTTTACTGAGAATGATGATTTCCAATTTCATCCATGTCCCTACAAAGGACATGAACTCATCATTTTTTATGGCTACATAGCATTCCATGGTGTATATGTGCCACATTTTCTTCATCCAGTCTATCATTGTTGGACATTTGGGTTGGTTCCAAGTCTTTGCTATTGTGAATAATGCCACAATAAACATACATGTGCGTGTGTCTTTATAGCAGCATGATTTATAGTCCTTTGGGTATATACCCAGTAATGAGATGGCTGGGTCAAATGGTATTTCTAGTTCTAGATCCCTGAGGAATGGCCACACTGACTTCCACAATGGTTGAACTAGTTTACAGTCCCACCAACAGTGTAAAAGTCTTCCTATTTCTCCACATCCTCTCCAGCACCTGTTGTTTCCTGACTTTTTAATGATTGCCATTCTAACTGGTGTGAGATGGTATCTCATTGTGGTTTTGATTTGCATTTCTCTGATGGCCAGTGATGGTGAGCATTTTTTCATGTGTTTTTTGGCTGCATAAATGTCTTCTTTTGAGAAGTGTCTGTTCATGTCCTTCGCCCACTTTTTGATGGGGTTGTTTGTTTTTTTCTTGTAAATTTGTTTGAGTTCATTGTAGATTCTGGATATTAGCCCTTTGTCAGATGAGTAGGTTGCGAAAATTTTCTCCCATTTTGTAGGTTGCCTGTTCACTCTGATGGTAGTTTCTTTTGCTGTGCAGAAGCTCTTTAGTTTAATTAGATCCCATTTGTCAATTTTGGCTTTTGTTGCCATTGCTTTTGGTGTTTTAGACATGAAGTCCTTGCCCATGCCTATGTCCTGAATGGTAATGCCTAGGTTTTCTTCTAGGGTTTTTATGGTTTTAGGTCTAACATTTAAGTCTTTAATCCATCTTGAATTAATTTTTGTATAAGGTGTAAGGAAGGGATCCAGTTTCAGCTTTCTACATACGGCTAGCCAGTTTTCCCAGCACCATTTATTAAATAGGGAATCCTTTCCCCATTGCTTGTTTTTCTCAGGTTTGTCAAAGATCAGATAGTTGTAGATATGCGGCATTATTTCTGAGGGCTCTGTTCTGTTCCATTGATCTATATCTCTGTTTTGGTACCAGTATCATGCTGTTTTGGTTACTGTAGCCTTGTAGTATAGTTTGAAGTCAGGTAGTGTGATGCCTCCAGCTTTGTTCTTTTGGCTTAGGATTGACTTGGTGATGCGGGCTCTTTTTTGGTTCCATATGAACTTTAAAGTAGTTTTCTCCAATTCTGTGAAGAAAGGCATTGGTAGCTTGATGGGGATGGCTTTGAATCTGTAAACTACCTTGGGCAGTATGGCCATTTTCACGATATTGATTCTTCCTACCCATGAGCATGGAATGTTCTTCCATTTGTTTGTATCCTCTTTTATTTCCTTCAGCAGTGGTCTGTAGTTCTCCTTGAAGAGGTCCTTCACATCCCTTGTAAGTTGGATTCCTAGGTATTTTATTCTCTTTGAAGCAATTGTGAATGGGAATTCACTCATGATTTGGCTCTCTGTTTGTCTGTTGTTGGTGTATAAGAATGCTTGTGATTTTTGTACATTGCTTTTGTATCCTGAGACTTTGCTGAAGTTGCTTATCAGCTTAAGGAGATTTTGGGCTGAGACAATGGGGTTTTCTAGATATACAATCATGTCGTCTGCAAACAGGGACAATTTGACTTCTTTCCTAATTCCCCTTTATTTCCTTCTCCTGCCTAATTGCCCTGGCCAGAACTTCCAACACTATGTTGAGTAGGAGTAGTGAGAGAGGCCATCCCTGTCTTGTGCCAGTTTTCAAAGGGAATGCTTCCAGTTTTTGCCCATTCAGTATGATATTGGCTGTGGGTTTGTCATAGATAGCTCTTATTATTTTGAAATACGTCCCATCAATACCTAATTTATTGAGATTTTTTAGCATGAAGCATTGTTGAATTTTGTCAAAGGCCTTTTCTGCATCTGTTGAGATAATCATGTGGTTTTTGTCTTTGGCTCTGTTTATATGCTGGATTACATTTATTGATTTAGCTTTTGGCAAATTTTAACACCTATTTTTGACAAAAAGCTTCCAGCAAACTGGAAACAAAAGAAATTTCTCAGCCTTACAAAGAATAACTGCAAAAACACATATCAACATTTAAAAAAGAAACTGTTTTTAGAGTAGTTTCATGTTCATAACAAAATTGAGCAGAAGGTACAGAGGTTTCATATATATTCCTGGCCGTCACATATGCCCAGTCTTCCCCACTATCAACAATCCCAACCAAAGTGGTACATTTGTTACAACTGAACTTACATATTATTCTTAACCAGAGTCTACAGTTTACATTAGGGTTTATACTTTGTATTGTACATTCTGTGGGTTTGGACAAATCTATAATGATATACGTTCATCATTACAGCACCATGAAGGATAATTTTACTGCTCTAAAATTCCTCTGTTCTCCATCTATTGAATCCTCCCTCTCCTTTAATGTCTATCAATCTCTGATCCTTTTACTGTCTCTGTAGTTTTCCTTTTTGAAAATATTATACAGATGCAAAGATACTGTATGTAGCCTTTTCAGATTGACTTCTTTCACTTAGTAATACACATTTAAGTTCCTCCACATTTTTTCAAGGCTTGATAGATTACTTCTTTTTAGAACTGAATAATATTCCATTGTCTGGATGCACCATAGTCTATTTATCCATTCACTTACGGAAGGACATTTTAGATGCTTTCAAATTATGTCAATTAGCAATAAATCTGCGATAAATAACCATGTGCAGGCTTTTGTGTGGTTATGTTTTCAATTCATTCCCATAAATACCAAGGAGCACAATTGCTGGATGCTTTAGTAAGAGTATATTTAGTCTTACAGGAAACTGCCAAACTGTCTTCCACAGTGGATGCATCATTTTACATTCACATCATTAATAAATGAGAGTTTCTACTGCTCTACCTCCTTGCCAGAATTTGGTATTGTCAGTATTTTAAGTTTTAACCATCTTAATATGTGTGTAGTGGTATCATTGCTTTATTAATTTGCAAATTTCTACTGACATATGATATTCAGAATTTTTAAATATTTTTATTTGCCATTTATGTATTTTTTGTGAGCTGTCTCTTCAGGTCCTTGACCACTTTGATGCTAGGGTATTTCTTTCCCTGCTGTTGAATTTTGAGTTACTTTTATGTTCTGAATAACACTCCCTTGTCAGACATGCATTTTGTAACTGTTTCCCCATAGTCTGTGGCTTGTTTTTTCATTCTCTTGACAATGTCCTTCACACAAGTTTTTTCTTTTTTTAATTTTAATGAAGTCCAACTTACCAATGTTTTTCTTTTATGTATTGTCTTTGGTGTTGTAGTTAACAGATATCATCACACCCAAGATTAGAGTTTCTCCTGTGTTGTTTTCTAGGAGTTTCATAGTTTTGCATTTCACATTTGGGCCTGTGATTCATTTTGAGTTAATTTTTGTGAAGGGTATAAGTTCTGTGTTTAAATTCATGGTGTTACATGTGGTTACCTAGTTGTTCCAGTAGCATTGGTTGAAAAGACTATCTTTGCTTCATTGTATTGTCCTTGCTTCTTTGTCAATCTGTTTAATGTATTTAGGTGGGTCTATTTTGGGGCTCTCTATTCAGTTCCAATGATCTATTTATCTATTATTTCACCAAAACCATACTGTCTTGACTACTGAAGCTGTATAGTACATCTTGAAGTTAGGTAGGTAAAGTTAATCTTAATTAAAAAAAATGTCAAAACTAGCATCAGAGACCAGTCATAAGTCTTCCCTTTGTTGCATTTTGGCTAAGCAAGGGGTCACCTTCTTATAATGGCCAAATATTATTTTATTGCTCATGCAAAATTATAAGATGGCCCTACATAGGTCTTCGTGAATGAAATATATGGATAGTTCTGAGAAAGTGTCTGGTTTGGATGTGTATTAAACTATAAAGAGAGTGTTTGGAAAGGATTACATTGAATGAGTCATTTTGGGAAGTAAGGCCAGAAAGTGAGTTGCTCTCATACCTTTGCCATGTGACTTTTATGGATCCAACAACAATGCCTGATTTGCAGAAACCTGGAATTCTAGGGTAGGAACTTTCATATACTAAACACAGTGAACATTTTGAACTTGCTGACATTACTTTCCTGAGCTTCATTTCTCCTGTCCCTATTTGCTTTTAAAAAATAAAAAGAATAATCTTTGTGGCAATTAAGTGAGGTATCGTAAGAGAAAAGTGTTCCACAAATGATAAAATCTTATACACCTAGAGAGTGACAAAGTAAATTCTTCTGAATCGTACTAAATGATCAAAATCATTAAAGTCAATTTTCATATCCCAGTCCTCTTGAATGAACATATTCTTTGAAATAAATAAGTATAATTTAGTAGCCCATGTGATATTTCAACCAAGGATTATGAAGTAAGTGTTGATAAGGTTTGGTTCTCTGTTCCCACTCAAATCTCATCTTGAATTGTATCTCCACATCTTGAGGGAGGGACCTGGTCAGAGGTGATTGGGTCACAGTGGCAGATTTCCCCTTGCTGTTCCCATGATAGAGATTGAGTTCTCATGAGATCTGGTTGTTTGATAAGTGTCTGGTGCTTCCCACTTCTCTCTCTCCCTCTCTCTCACCACCATGTAAGACATGCCTTGCTTCCCCTTCCACCATGATTATGTTTCCTAAACCCACCTCCCCCCACCATGCAGAACTGTGAGTCAATTAAACCCTCTTTCCTTTATAAATTACCAAGTCTCAGATATTTCTTTATAGCAGTGTGAATATGAATGAATGCAGAGAATTGGTACTGGAAGGTGGGTGCTGCTATAAAGATAACCTGAAAATGTGGAAGTGACTTGGGAACTGGGTAACAGACAGAGGTTGGAACAGTTTGGAGGCTCAGAAGATGACAGGAAGATGTGGGAATGTATGGAACTTCCTAGATACTTTTTGAATGGCTTTGACCAAAATGCTGATAGTGATATGGACAATTAAGTCCAGGCTGAGGTGGTCTCTGATGGAGATGAGGAACCTATTGGGAATTAGAGCAAAAAGAGACTGAAGGCATTTTGTCCCTGCCCTAGAGAGCTGTAGAACTTTGAAATTGAGAGAGATGATTTAGAGTATCTGGCAGAAGAAATTTCTAAGCAGCAAAGCATTCAAGATGTGACTTTTATTGAAAGTGTACAGTAATATGCATTCACAAAGAGATGATTTAAAATTGGAAAGTATGTTTAAAAGGGAAGCAGAGCATGAAAGTTTGGAAAATTTGCAGCCTGACCATGAGGTAGAAAATAAAAATCCACTTTCTGGGGAGAAATTCAAGCTGGTTGCAGAAATTTTCATAAGTTATGAGGAGTCGAATGTTAATAGCCAAGACAATGGGGAAAATATCTCCAGGACATGCCAGAGGTGTTCATAGCAGTCCCTTGCATCACAGGCCCAGAGGCCTAGGAGACAAAATTGGCTTCATGGGCTGGGCCCAGAGCCCCACTGCTCTATACAGCACTGAGACTTGGTGCCCTATGTCCTAGCCACTCCAGCTCTAGCTGTGGCTAAAAGGGGCCAAGGTACAGCTCATGCCACTGCTTCAGAAGGTGCAATCCCCAATTTTTGGTAGCTTCCACATGGTGTTGGGCCTGTAGGTACACAGAAGACAAGAATTGAGCTTTAAGAGCCTCCGCCTAGATTTCAGAGGATGGACGGAAATTCCTGGATGTCCGGCCATAAGTCTGCTGCAGGGATGGAGCCCTCATGGAGAACCTCTACTAGGGCAGCATGGAAGGGAAATGTGGCGCTAGAGCCCCTACACAGAGTTTCCACGGGGGCACTGCCTAGTGGAGCTGTGAGAAGAGGGCCACCATACTCCAGACCCAAGAAAAGTAGATCTACCAACAGCTTGCACTGTGTGCCTGGAAAAGCGATAGACACTCATTGCTAGCCTATGAAAGCAGCTGCAGGGGCTGTACCCTGCAGAGCCACAGTGAGGGGGAGCTGCTGAAGGCTTTGGGAGCCCACCCCTTGCATCAATATGCCCTAGATATGAGACATAGAATCAATGGAGATTTGGGAGCTTTAAGATTTAATGACTCTCCTGCCAGGTTTTAGACATGCATGGGCCCTGTGGTCCCTTTGTTTTGGCCAATTACTTCCATTTGGAATGGGAAAATTTGCCCAGTAAATGTACGCCCATTGTATCTTGGAAGGAACTAACTTGCCTTTGATTTTATAGGCTCATAGGCAGAACGGACTTGCCTTGTCTCAGATGAGACTTTGGACTTGGACTTTTGAGTTAATGCTGGAATGAGTTAAGACTTTGGGGGAATGTTGGGAAAGCATTATTGATTTTGAAATGTAAAAAGGACATGAGATTTGGGAAGCACCATGGGCTGAATAACATGGTTTTGCTCTGTGTCTCCACCCAAATCTCATTTCTAATTGTAATCCCCAGGTGTTGAGTGAGAGACTTGGTGGGAGGTGATTAGATCTTCGGGGTGGATTTTCCTCTGCTATTCTCCTGACAGTGAGTGAGTTCTCATGAGATCTGGTTGTTTGTTAAGTGTCTAATGCTTCCCCCTTCTCTCTCTCTCTCTCTCTCTCTCTCCTGCTGTCATGTAAGATGTGCCTTGCTTCCCCTTCTGCTGTGATTGTAAGTTTCCTGAGGCCACCCTGGCCATGCAGATCTGGGAGTCAATTAAACCCTCTTTCCTTTATAAATTACACAGTCTCTGGTATTCCTTTATAACATTGTGAAAACGGATGTTTTCACAGTTGTTTTTGGCATTGCCTCTATTACGTAACAGGCCTTCACTACAATTAGTTTCTAGAGATAAAGCTCACATTTACTGTGAAAACATAAGATGGAGTTCAAGTGGAAATAGAATAAGGGAAGGTGAATTAGCAGCATTATTCCCAGCAATTTTTGCTGTTTCTATTAAAGGCTTTTCTATATACACGAGTTTATTTTTAAGTGAAAATAAACTCTTTTCATTATCATTTAAAGCTATAATTTCCTGAATGCTTCTGGTTTGTTTGGAAATGTCTGACTTGCGGCCCTAACTGACTTCAGACTGTTCACATCCAGTCAGCAGACCACCCAACCAGTAGTTGACAGTCCTTGCCAGGGTATTAACACGGTCTCTACTTGTTCTTGGCTGTGAATTTAGTTTGCTCAAACACATGTGGATTGTCACCAGGTCAGCCTGTCCATCTGCTCTGTGGCCCAAAACAAAAATTCCAAAGAAGCCAGACCAGATCACAGGCTAGATCCAAGGTTCTTGAACATATAATCTCATAGCCCTTGGAGATTACATCTAAATTTCCCCATACAACAAGGAAAAAATGTATTTTAAAACAGCTCTCACTATGCAGTCTAAAATCATGAGTCATTCTCAAGTGGACTTCAAGATTTTAGAATATATTTACCACATATATATATATATATATATATATATATATATATATATATATCTGAGAGAATACTTCTCAATTGGTGAAATAAACCTTTAGAAGTTTGCTAATTGAGCTTTTTTTGGCTTACAAATGATCTTCATTGAGATACTTTTATGTCTTTTACGTATGCTTCCAAATTTACTCTGACACCAATTCCCTGTGATTTGATTCACTAGCAAGGCTACTTTGTTAGAAAATTAGGAGACTGGGTTTTACCTCCATTTATGCCTAAATTAGCTGTGAACCCATTCAGGTCACTCACAGACTACATTTCTTATTATCCAAATAAAGGATAACTGCTGAGTTGGTACATTAACTCTATGACATGATTTTCTGTTACTTAATTTGATAACTATAAACATAATGTAGCACCTTCAAAATATGGTTATAGCATAGCTCAAAGGATTTTATATAATAAGTGTCTAAAAGCAAAATGTAAAATTAGTTATGATTTAATTTCAAATGCACAAAACTCTCTTTGCCCCTTGTTAATGAAACTTTTTACATGCATGTCAAGAGTTATGTATCAGTACATTTCAGCCAGATTCTGGAACTAGAGTGGACAGACTAGGTAAGCAAGGGTATCCCTTTGAAAACTGGTAGTGTTTTCCATGGCAGAAGCAAGAGTCAGAGATCTTAACCTGAAAGTACTGCAAGAGCTTATCTATAAATGTTTAAAATAAGTAATAAAGATGAGCAATGACTATTAATATTTACAGCAAAAATGAGAAGATGTTATTTCAGTGCGTAATTTTCAGGGGAAAAAACCCCATTGGGCTGATTTACTTATAAGTTTACATTTTTGCAAATCAAATTAGACTGATTACATGACAAATCTGATGATTGATGGGCCAAAATGGATTATTTCATCCATCATTTCTCTCCCTGTAAATAACACTCTAAGACATATAGACACAAAGTTAATCACACTCGATATGGAAGACAATTTGTATTCAGATATGCCTGAGTACACCACAAAAAAATTTATCTTTTCTTCAGTAGCATGGATCAAGCTGAAGCCCGATATCACAACCTTGAAGGTATAAAAATAATCATTCAGATACTCACTAGGATGGGCAAAATTCACAGAAGCATTTTACTGAACTTCTCTCAGTATAAAATTTGTTATCACCACCCATACCTGAGTTACCTTGGTCCAGGCTATTGCTTAAATTATTGCAACAGGCCCTAGTTGTCTCCCTGCTTCCACTCTTGATCTTCTCTCATCACCACAGAGCTGTCAAGAGTAATCTTAGACCAATGGACTCTAGTTATATCAGGTTGTATAAATTGACTCTCCCACTAAACACAATTTAAAACACCAGACTAACATATTTTCTAATTGCCACAAAACCTTTGAAGAGCTGAAAAGATAGCATAAAAACTGCCAGGCCAAATTTCGGAGAAATGTTTAAACCCAGATAACCAGATTAATGGAGCAGCAAAGATATTTAAATGGTGTTTACAAATGCCACACATTTGAACTTAAGGTTGTGATTTACTGAGGTGAGGAAGACAGATTTTGATGATTTAGTGGGGTGATGAAGACAGAATTTCAGTTGCATTGACTGTCCAGTGGAGATAATCACACAGCTACTCTTCAAACGTTAAGCTGAGACCAGGGCCAGTAAGTACAACTGCACATTGTAAAACAATGGGGGAATTGGAATGGCAAGGGGAGCTGGGTAGGCATTCTGATACATTACAGTGTAATTTGTGACTCCTGAAATTATGCAGTATATAAAATGTAAAAGCCAAAAGAAACAGCCTTATTTGGATCCCATAGGTTTAATCCTCAGGATAAAGGCAAACCTCAATAAAACAATGTTAACTTAAGCCCGGTATAATGCAGAGCAGCTTGCTATAATGCTGATTAAAGCAAGGAACAAAAAGGGGAAATAGAAAAATTATCCTTCCTGAGAAGTTCCATCCACAGACCACCCTTTATGTGCATTGCATGGGTGGCTCATGTATGTCATCTAGGTGGGTCAGGAAACGTCAAGTCATGGCTTTGGTTTAAAGTGGTCATCTAACGGTAGTGTTCCCAGGCACCTGACAGAAGCAAACACAGAGATCCAGAGGAGGACAAATTTACCCCAGCCTTCATGATAATTCAAAAATGATTATTTCAAGAGCAATGACCAGCACTTTCTAAAGATAGACAGGTACATGGAGGTTAAGGAGAATGACTGTATTAAACAAATGGTATAGTTTTTCTTTTCTCTGCTGATGTGTAAGGTATTTCTAGCAGATTTCAAATCACCATAAATACTTTCATTCCAATTCTAGGCTCTCTCTCCATTTCTATTTTTTAGTTTGAGAATACTACCCTGACTTGAAAAAGATAGCTTTAAACATCTTTTTGCTTGATAACGCAACTCCACTTTTCCTGTACTCTCTTCTTTCCTCTAGAATTATCATAGCTAATTTTGAATCTTGATTTTTAATATAATGTTTAGACACATGATAAATTTGATGTTAAAGCATAATTTGGAACTATTTCAAAGTAGTAATAAAGAGAGAATGGCATGTTTATGATATTGAGCATTTCAACAATATTCTGTGTCACTTCCCTTCAAGGTTAAATTCCTACAAGTGTGTGTTTTGGCCTGTTCAGAGGCTGTGCCCATGGTTAGGCCACATGGATGGTAGCCCCATTTGATTCCATTACTTGTGAATGGGCTGCAGTTTCTCAAGAATTTGTTGTAGAAAAAGCAAAAAGAGATGCTTTTAGAAATATTTCTCTTTTCTTTCCTCAAATATCCTTCAAAGCTGTTCTTTTATCACAATCTTTTAATTGTAAATTATGACAATGAAATTGATAAAGTTTGCCAATGCTACTATTATTTATCAAATTCTTAGGATAGTACAAACATAACATAAAATGTTTCAAATGCATTTGCTCATTCAATACTCATGAAAACATTATTAAATAGGGCAGATGGTCAGCCATACACACAGGGACAGACATACTGGTTTTTAAAATATTGAATTATTTCCATGACAGAGAGTAAATAGCCACTTCCCCATTTCCCTGGTGGCTTCCTGTTCAGCATCTCAGCTGTGCTTTTTCCTTAGCATTCTTCACAGCTGCTTGCAATCCAGCAAATAGCAGGGACCATTTGTCCCAGTTGGGTGCACTAATTAACTATACCAGTGCTGGAACCAGCATCCTTTCAAAGGAGGGGTCAGTGCCTCTGGTGTACCAGTTATTGGTATTTTAAATATAATTCTTAGAAATGAGAAAATTGATCCTTAGAAATCTAAAATATAAAGCATGCTTATATCACACAGCTTTGCATCTTATGGAATTAAATATGGTTCTGTAGAAAATGCTTTCAATGAGATGCCACAGACAATTAGATCAAAGTGTCTTGTGAAACTCCTCTCATTGAGAGAGATCTTAGACCTCTGGTTTTAGAATTTTGAGCATTTATTTATTGAACCCTCTATTTTTTATTGAGTTTAGATACAACTATAAAAGTGTAATTCACAGTCAAATTATTTATAAATTTTTGCAACTTTCAGATCCACCTGTTTACTGATGCCCTTTGACTCTATAAATAATTTTGTTCAACTAGAAAACACAGGATTCATCAGCTATGTGTCAAAATTTCTTTATGTTGTTATAATTTGTTCCCTAAATGAAATCTATCACGTTTAAATTCAAAGTTGGAAACCCAGAGATGAAGAAACAAACATTGCCACGGCATCTGTGAACACAAATGTCCTACAGTAAAAAATGTTTATTAAACAAAAATAACTGAAAAGATCATAACATCTGAATGTATTTGAAACAATTATTTCTGATGATATTTTACATTTTTCAGTGAATACTTAATGAATTTATTTAATAATCCAATAAACACAAATTGATTATAATTTATATTGGCTATAACAACATAAACTAAATGTGCAATAATAGAAACATTATTTTACAAATAATGACATATACCATATTGAGTATTTTGCAGTTATTTTAAGTTATGAATGTAGAAACTAATAGACAGTAAAATCATTATAATACTAAGTGTAAAAATTTGAATATAGAAATGTAAATACTTTCTTATTTTTAAATGATGTTTTCCTTCTGTCATCACATATTCAATGTGTTTATGACACAACTATAGCCAAATTATGATTAAATTCTACCAACATTCAATTTCTCTAGTACTATGACTTTTTGCCCTCTGTAAGTCATTTTGTTTCAATTTATGTAAAAAATTATTGTGTGATATTTGAAAGCAGCAGTTAGCCATGATTCTTACCATTTATAAGGATAGTTGGTCTGCAGTGACAGTAAAGAAAACCATATAAAGAGAACAATTAAAATTAGAAACAGCATATCTTGTAGCAATTGTAGCCTCTGCTCAAATCTGGGCAACAGAGTTGGACTTTGTCTCAATAAAAATATGTATATTTTTAATGAGACACTGTATTTGTTTTCACGCTGCTGACAAAGACATATTTGAGACTGAGTAATTTATAAAGAAAAAGAGGTTTAATGGACTCACAACTCCACGTGGCTGGGGAGGCCTCACAATCATAGTGGAAGGTGCTGTCTTACATGGTGGCAGGCAAGATAGAATTAGAACGAATTGAAAGGGGTTTTCCCTTATAAAACCATCAGATCTTGTGAGACTTATTCACTACCACAAGAACAATATGGGGGTAACTGCCTCATGATTCAATTATCTCCCACCAGGTCCCTCCCACAACACTTAGGAATTATGGGAGCTACAATTCAAGATGAGATTTGGGTGGGGACACAGCCAAACCATATCAGACACCAATGTGTTCAGTCTTAAAAACTGGAAGAATGGAGTTTTTCCTAAATGAGATGGAAAGACTATAGAAGGAAGCTGGTTTGGAAGAAAGCATCAGTAGTGCTGTTTTATATATCTTAGTTTTAAGATGTCACAAACATATAAACTTGTATTTATTTGCAATCATATGTGTATCTTTCTCTCTTGTGATAAAAAAGAGATGATTCAATGCTAATAGTTCCATTCTATGGTGGATTTCATCCTTATTTTCAAGAGTCATCAATCTTTTGATTTATACATCTTCAGGTTATCCCAAGCTCTACTTGTTCTTTGTTTTTCTCTCTTTTTTTTCAGACACCCTGGAAAGCCTTCCTTCTTTTCCCTGTTTCTAGACTCAGTGTCCCTCAGGGTCTGTTTTAGGCCTTCTGCTCTCAGACCCCATGTATTCTTCTCAAGGAGTATCACCAACTTCAAAGTCCATGTCACCAGCTCAACCCTGGGCCTCAAGTTCCAATCATGTCTACTTGGGCTTCTCATTCTCACAGGGGCACATCAAACTACATTCTTCAAAACTGAAAATCCCATTCCCCTCAATGCTCTGCCTTAATCAAATAAACTTCTCTTAGTTATCAACTTTAGTAAAAGATACCATTCTATCTAGACCTGAAACTTCTTCTTACCTCCCACATCTATATCCTTAACCAATTCAACTTCATGACTTAAAGAGAAAATAGAAAGGAGTGGAAACAGATAATAATGTGCTCATTCTTTTCAGGTGGAAGCTGCAACCATGCCACACAATAAAGCATTGAATTATTCTTTTTCTATTATTAAAATAGAATAGAGGTGGATTATATCATATCTTCTAAGTTTCTTTCTGATGATGATGATTGGTTGTTTCATCTGAAGACATGTTATATCAACTTCATGTCAGGCACCATGAATCACTCTATCAAATTACATTCATGGGCTTCAAATCACAGCTGGAATTATATCCTATGTATGAATAGATGTGAAGTTTCAGGGAGAATAGGAAAGTAAAATCATTTAAGTACTTCCTACATTTGCCCTCTCATTTGCATTTCACATCAGTTATTTGAAATGAGAACTAGCATTTCTTCTTTATGCATAAGGGAACTGAGACACAGAACTGTTAAGCAAATTGCTCCACATCACACATTTAGAACGTTATGGACTTAGGTTAATACATCACTTCTTTAAAATCTTTTTTTTTCTTTAAAATCTTTTATTTCTGCTATAAAAAAATGCTATGTATATTTTCTTATTCATGACTCGACACTATTCTGCTGAAATTAATAATAAGCATATTAATTTGAGGTTATATTTTATTGTATAAATTTTTGAAGTAGAAAGTAATAAAGGAAATTAGAAGCTGGTGAGCATTAGGTACTATGCTATGTGCTTCACATAAGGTATTTTATTAATTCATTTATCATAATAATTGTGTTACTGGCATCACATTTTACAAAGTAGATAATAGTCCCAGGGAATATATGTGAGGAATCCTTCTTTACCAAATGTTAGAAACAAAACTCAAATAATTTAAGTAAACATAACATTTTATGGCTTATTTAATTAAATAAGAAGTAGATGACTTACGAAGGAAAATAAATGAATAATGTAAAGGACATACACATAGCTAGGCTTGAGAAACAATTGGATCCACCAAAACTAATTCACTGACTCTCTCTCTCTATTGAATCTCTCTCTCTAATATCTCTGTCTATTGTTGTACATAGTATTAGTTTTCTTATACAACACAGCTGTATTATGTAAGGTTCTCCAGAAAGACAGAACAAATAAGATAAATATAGACATATAGGTATGTGGATATATGAGAGACAAATTGATATGAAAATTGATTTATTTAGTTATGAACCCTGAGAAATCCCATAAAAGACTGCCTACAAGCTTGAGAACCTGGGATGCTGGTAGTGTCCCAGTCCAAACCATTTGTGGCTCAGTTCAAGTCCCAAAGCCCCTGAACCATAGAAACCAATGGTATAATTCTTAGACCACAAGCCTGAGAGCCCAAGGGACCACTGGTGTAAGTATTGAAATCTAAAGGTGAGAAAGCCTGAAGTTCTGTTGACTAAGGATAGGAAAAGAGTGTTATAGCTTCAGAAGAGAGAGGGAAAAACACCTTTTATTTCTTTGCTTTTTTTGTTTCATTCCAGACCCCAGTTGATTAGATAATGCCCAGTCACAATGAGGGCAGATCTTCCTTGCTCAGTCCGTGATTCATACACCAATCTCCTCTGAAAACAACCTCACAGACATAGCCAGAAGTAATGCTTTATGAGTTCTCCGGTATTCTTTAATCCAGTCAAGTTGACAACTAAAATTAACAGGAGTCAACAAAGAAATAGGAAGTTATAGGATCCAGGAAATGAGGCATTTGATATAAGAAAAATGCTGAAATAGGGAAGGACAACATGGCCAACTGATGCAGCCAGGTGCAACAGCTCCTACCGAGGTGCTGAGACAACTGGCATGCTCTTAACAGATCTTTAGAAGGAAAACACTGAGAGTGGTTGGAGGGAGGACACAGAATCTGGACTGAAGGCAAAGAAATCTGGGAACCTTGTATGGGCCTACGGCACACTGGACTCATTCCTGGCTGTGGGAGAACAGGTGAGTTGAACTAATGAGTAATAACTGACTCTCACCACAGGCCTCCAGAACCCCAGCAGGAGGATGCCTCTTGACCACCATGAACACCCATATTGGCAGAGAGAGCTCCTTAGAGAAGTGGTAGGGGCAGCAAGCCAGCTGATTTGGACCCCAGAGGGTTTGGCGTGGGAGTGTCTGTAGCAGAGCATGCCTAGGGACAGCCATCCTCTTAGGCTTCACTCACTCCCATTGGAGATTTTATCCTTAGGGCAACTGTCAGACCTGATCTCTGCAGGGCAGTCTTGCCCATCAGACAGGGCTAGGTTGACCTGAGCAGACCTTGGTCTGCTGGCCTCTCCTGGGGCCCCAGCCTGGCCACACCTGTTTGCAGGGCAGTCTTGGGTGCCCTAGGGACCTGCACCATAACTTGTGCTAGTGGATTGTGCCTGACCAGGACCATGTGGCTCCTATGGCCATACACCAGCCCACCCACTTGCTACCCATATTGCAGCTTCCCTCAGGCCCAAAGAAACTACCCAACTCACTCTTGCTGATGTGTGTCTGCATGGGTGAGTTTTGCCTTTCTTGCCCCACCAGGATGCAGGAGTGCAGTCTGCCTTCCCTCCCCCTGCCAACCACCATTTCAGACAGAGCCTTGGCAGGCACAGAGCCATCCAGCCCTGCCTGCAACAGTGCCCAGCCCTTATCCTATCACTACAGAGAACAGCAGATCCTCCCCTACCCTGAGCAATCACTCTTTCTTGTGGGAAACACAGAAGGCACATAGTCCTGTGTCCACAAGTTCCCCACTACAAGCCAACACTACCTCCAGCATGACTGTACAGACAATCCTCAGCAGCTAGGCCCATTCACTGTCAAGCTGCATTGCCTCCACCACCATGGTGAATGCCCCCAGGGAGTCAGGCACCCAGTCCCCACCAGCACTCTGCCATAGCTGCTACACCTTGGCCATTCCAGTGAAGTGGACTCTTAGCCTTGAAGGACAGAGAACAAAATTGGGGCCCAATACAAGTCCCCTAGAGTTTGAGCACACAGTCCAGGAGTTGGGAACTTTGTGTTTGCCCTGTAAAATCTTCCAGAAATGAAGCCATTTAGCTGAATCTACTGTACATCAAAATCAAACCCTCAGGTCATCAAATAGGATAAAAGAAAAAAACAAAGATCAACAACGTCAAAGGTTGAAGGTAGATAAGCCCACAAAGATGAGAAAGAATCAGTGCAAGAAACCTGAAAACTCAAAAAAACAGTGTGCCTTCTTTCCTCCAAATGACCATTTTACCTATTCAGCAAGGGTTCTGAACAGGGCTGAGATGGCTAAAATGACAGAAATAGGATTCAGAATATGTATAGATACAAAGATCATTGAGCTAGAGGACTATGTTGAAATCCAATCTAAGAAAGCTAATAATCATGATAAAACAATTCAACAGCTGACAGACAAAATAGCCAGTATAGAAAATAACATAACTGATCTGACAGAGCTGAAAAACACACTAATAGAATATAATAATGCAAACACAAGTATTAATAGCAGAATAGACAAGCAGAAAAAAGAATCTCAGAGCTTAAAGACTAACTTTCTGAAATAAGACAGACAATAATAGAGGAAAAACAATGAAAAAAATGAATAAAAGTTCCAAGAAATATTTGATTATGTAAAGAGAACAAATCTACAACTCATTTGTGTCACTGAAACAGATGGGAAGAATGGGACCAACTTGGAAAACACATTTCAGGATATCATCCATGAGAACTTCCTGAACTTGCCTAGAGAGGCCAACAGTCAAACTCAGGAAATGCAGAAAACCTAGTAAGATACTTCACGAGGAGATCATCCTGAAGACCCACAGTTATCAGATTTTCCAAGGTCAAAATAAAAAAAAAATTGGTAAAGGTAGCTGGAGAGACAGGTCAGGTCACCTACATAGGGAAATGCAACAGACTAAAAGTGGACCTGTCAGAAGAAACTCCACATGGCAGAAAAGATTGGGGGCCAATATTCAACATTCTTAAAGAAAAAAATTTCAACCCAGAATTCCATATTTGGCCAAACTAAGCATTATAAGTGAAGGAGAAATAAGATCCTTTTCAGAAAAGCAAATGCTGAGGGAATTTGTTACCACCAGACCTGCCTTACAAGATATCCTGAAAGAAGCACTAAATACAGAAAGCAAAGATTTTTACCAGCCACTACAAAAACACTCTGCAGTACACAGAGCAGTGATGCTATAAAGCAACCAAATAAAAAACCTGCAAAATAACCAGTCAACATCATGATGGCAGGATCTAATCCACATATATCAATATTAACCTAGAATGTAAATGGGCTAAATGCTTCAATTAAAAGACACAGTGGCAAACTGGATAAAGAACTAAGACCCATTTGTATGCTGCCTTCAAGAGACCCATCTTACATGCAATGATGCACATAGACTGAAAATGTAAGGATGAAGAAAAATCTACCAAGCAAATGGAAAACAGAAAAAAGCAGGAGTTGCTATAGTAGTTCCAGGTAAAACAGGCTTTAAACCAATAAAAACCATAAAAGACAAAGAAGGGCATTACATAATGGTAACATGCTCAATTCAATGAGAAGATATAACTATACTAAACATATATGCATCCAACACAGGAGGACCTGGATTCATAAAGCATGTTCTTAGGGACCTTCAAAGAGACTTAGACTCCAGCACAATAATAGTGGGAGACTGTAACATCCCTCCGACAATATTAGACAGATCACTGAGACAGAAAATTAACAAAGATATTCAGGACCCGAACTCCACACTGGATCAAATGGACCTTATAGATATCTACAGAAATCATCACTGCTGCCTCCCCCGCCAAAAAAAACCCCAAAATATACATTCTTCTCATCATCACATGGCACATACTCTAAAATAAACCACATAATTGGAAGTAAAACACTCCTCAGCAAATGCAAAAGGACTGAAATTATAACAAATGATCTTGGACTACAGCACAATCATATTAGAAATCAAGACTAAGAGATTAACTCAAAACCATACAATTGCATGAGAATTGAATAACCTGCCCCTGAATGACTTTTGGGTGATTAATGAAATTAAGGCAGAAATCAAGAAGTTCTTTGAAGTTAATGAGAACAAAGATACAACATACCAGAATCTCTGGGACACAGGTAAGACAGTGTTAAGCGGGAAATTTATAGCACTAAATGCCCACATCACAAAAAATAAAAAGAAAAAAAATCTCAGATTAAAAACCTAACATTATTACTAAAAGAACTAGAGAACCAAGAGCAAACAAATAGCAAGCTAGTAGAAGACAAGAAATAGCCAAAAGAGCTGAACTTAAGGAGATTAAGCCACAAAAACCATTTAAAGATCAACAAGTCCAGGAACTGGTTTGTGAAAAGATTAATAAAATAGACCACTAGCTAGATTAATAAAAAAGAAAAGAGAGAAGAGTCAAATAAACACAATCAGGCACAACAAGGGGGATACTACCACTAATGCCACAGACATACAAACAATCATTGAAAAATATTATGAATACCTCTATGCACATAAACTAGAAAATCTAGAAAAAAATGAATAAATTCCTGGATCCATCACCCTCTCAAGATGTAACTGGGAAGAAATTGAATCCCTGAACAGACCAGTAATGAGCTCTGAAATCGGGTCAGTAATGAATAGCCTACCAAGCAAAAGAAAGCCCAGGACCATACAGATTCACAGCTGAATTCTACCAGACGTACAAAGTGCTGGCAGAATTTCTGCTTTCTGCTTAAACTATTCAAAAAAATTGAGAAGAGGGACTCCTTTCTAACTTATCCTATGAGGCCAGCATCATCCTGATACTAAAACCTAGCAGAGACACAACAACAATAAAAAAGAAAACTTCAGGCTAATATCCTTGAAGAACATTGATGCAACAAAATACTGGCGAACCAGATCCAATAGCACATCAAAAAGCTTATCCAACATGATCAACTGGGCTTCATCACTAGGATGCAAGGTTGGTACAATGCACACAAATCAATAAATGTGATTCATCACATAAACAGAACTTAAGACAAGAAAACACGTAATTATCTCAATAGATGTAGAGAGGCTTTCAATAAAATTCAACACCCCTTCATGCTAAAATCTCTCAATAAACTAGGTATTGAAGGAACATGCCTCAAAATAAGAGCTGTCTCTCGCAAACCCACAGCCAGCATCATACTGAATGGGCAAAAGCTGGAAGCATTCCCCTTGCAAACTGGCATAAGATAAGGATGCCCTCTCTCACCACTTCTATTCAATATATTATTTGAAGTCTTGTCTAGGGAAATAAGACAAGAAAAAGAAACAAAGGGCATCCAAATATAAATAGAGAAAGTCAAAGTATCCCTGTCTGCAGAGGACACAATCCAATATCAGGAAACCCCATAGTCTCAGCCAAAAAGCACCTTAAGCTGATAAGCATCTTTCACAAAGTCCCAGGATACAAGATCAATTTGCAAAAATAACGAACATTACTATAGACCAACAATAGTCAAGTCAAGAGCCAAATCAGGAGCACAATCCCATTTACAATTACCAAAAAAGAATAAACACCTAGAAATACAGCTAACTGGGGAAGTGAAGGATCTCTACAGGGAGAACTACTACAAAACATGGCTCAAATAAATCAGATATGACACAAACAAATGGAAAAACTTTCCACGCTTATGGATAGCAAAAATCAACATCCTTAAAATGGCCACACTGCCCAAAGCAATTTACAGATTCAATCCTATTCCTACTGAACTACCATTGACATTTTTCACAGAACTAGAAAAAACTATTTTTAAATTCCTATAGAACCAAAAAAGAGTCCGAATACCCAAGACAATCCTGAACAGAAAGAACAAAGCTAGTGGCATCATGTTACCTCACTTCAAACTATACCACAGGGCTACAGTAACAAAATAGCATGGTACTAGCACAAAAACAGACATATAGACAAATGGAACAGAATAGAGAACCCAGAAATAAGACTGCATACTTACAGTCATCTGATCTTCAACAAACCTGACAAAAAAAAATGGGGAACAGATTTCCTATTCAATAAATGGTGCCAGGATAACTGGCTATTCATATTCAGAAGATCGAAACTGGATCCCTTTCCTGTATCATACAAGAAATAATCTCAAGATAGTTTTACATATAAAACCCAAAATTGTAAAATTTTTGAAAGACAACCTAGGCAATACCATTGTGAACCTAGGAACAGGAAAATATTTCATGACAAAATCACAAAAAGCAATTTTAACAAAAGCAATAATTGACTAATGAGATTTAATTAAACTAAAGAGCTTCCGCATAGCAAAATGAACTATTAACAGAGTGAACGGACAAACTGCAGAATAAGAAAATTTTTGCAAACTATGCATCTGACAAAGGTCTAACATCCAGCGTTTGTTTAAGGAATTTAAACAAATGGGTATTTGGTATGTATCCAAAGGAATACAAATCCTTCTATTATAAAGACACATGCACATGTATGTTCATTGCAGCACTATTGACAATAGCAAAAATAAATGAAATCAACGTAAATGCCCATCAATAAAAGACTGGATAAAGAAAATGTGGTACACACACACCTTCAAACACTATGCAGATATAAATAAGAATGAAATCCTGTTCTTTGCAGGAACATGGATAGAGATGGGGGCCATTATTTTTAGCAAACTAATGCAGAGACAGAAAAGCAAATATCACATATTCTCACTTATAAGTGGGAACTTATAAATGATGAGAACACATGGACACATAGAAAGGAACTATAGACACTGTGACCTATTGGAGGGTGCAGAATGGGAGGAGAGAGAGGATCAAGAAAAATAGCTAGTGAGTACTAGGTTTGATACCTGGGTGATGAAATAATCTGTATGACAAACCCCGTGACACAAGTTTACCTGTATAGAAAACCTGCCCATGTACCCCTGAACTTAAAATAAATTACAAAAAAATAAGAAAATACTGAAGTACATTTTTATTTAAACAGGGGTTAAGAAGGAGTAATGAGTAATCAGTACAAATTGAAATAGGAAGATTTGTGTCTTCCCCAATAAAAAAAAAGGTGAAAAAAAAAGACTGAATGTTTACTTTATGTGTTTTTCCCTATTGAAAGGAGTTTCACACTTTCATTAAATATTTGTGTCAGGAATAATTAAGGATAAATACATAAAAAAACTAAGCCAAACTAAGCCAAAATAATCAAGACAATTTGGAAATGAGAAAATAAGTAGCATCACACAACAAGGAAATGATTCATCATAGCACACAGCAGCACACAAGGCTTAGTATTGAATAATATTAATTTATACATAATTTGTATGTATAAATAATTACTTACGGAATAATTGTCACATATGAGATACAAAAATTTATCTTGGATGCATAGGGTTAGCAAATGTAAATGGTGAGTGATGAGGAAACAAGGCTAAAGTTGTATTTTTCATATTGAGAAGTTAATAGATATAATGTGTCAAAGTGAAAAGAAACAGTATCGATGCATTATTTAGAAATACCAGAAAGAATAGCTATAATAATTAGAAGTAGTCACCTTTGGAGAATGAGAGCCGGGAGTAGGGTGTTTTAAGACTTACAGTGCTACTTGACTTTTTAAAACTAGGTGCATATGTTAACTTTGATAAGAATACAATTTAGTGAAATAACATGGGAAAAGAAGCCACGAAGACCAGACCAGTAGTTGCATCGAAGGTATAGAAAGGTACAGAGATGAATTCTGCTCTCTAATAATTTCAATGTTGTATTGATAATGATGTCACCTTGCACATGTAAACCACTTTGCAGATAACAAGGAACCTGTAAAAAGATCAAGAAAAGTACATTTTCTCCATGTGCCTCCTTCTTTACATCACTTCATCTTTTCTGATGTTCTTCACCTTGTGCAATGTCTTTCAACGCTTCTCAATGGCAAACTCCTACTCATTTCTCATCATGACTCTAAAAAAATCATCCTTTCTATAAAGCCTTTGCATATACTCCTCCCTCTCACAACCACATTATTTCTTCATTTAAGCCTCACATCACATACAGCCTGTGGTTTCATCACGGCACCCCCATGCTCTGGCACTATGAGTTACTTACCTATTTGTCTCCCTGATGGACTGTGAGCCACTGTTGAGTGGGGATGTTTTATTCATGTTTGTGACCTTGCTGCCTTTCACGGAATCAAGGAACATACTAAGTCGTAATTCATATCTGCTTAATTAATGAGTTAGAGAACTGCTGCACATCAGAGAAGAGGGTAGGGCAGGTATCATTAGCTTCCTTTGGCAGGTGAGGGCAGATTCTCGGAGGGCTGAGCATCCTGCCCAAAGTCACACACTTAGCAACTCTGAAGTACTTCTGGGCTTTGATGGAGTTTATTTCTCACTCACATATAATTCAGGGGGGATTATTACCAAGATAATCATGATCTCCCCACCAAGTCCCTTAGTACACCCATTAGGCACAGAATCTAGGTTAAGCTAAGCACAAGGGACTGGCCCCATATGTCCCTTGGCCTTTTCCTGGTGGCTAGGTAGCTTTGTGTCCCATAGCAGAGTCATTCCTGAAGAGCCTTAGGACATCTCAAAGTTAGTGACTCTCACTTTTCTCCTACCAGGTCCCACTGGGCTCCCAGCCTCGAACAAGATCTGCCTACTTTCAGAGGCCCCAGGCTCAAGACTGACAAGTGAATGGTAATGTGATTCCCTGGCACTGAATTTTTTTTGAGAGGGTAAAACCGTAAGCGTATAGAGTAAATAAATGTTAAGGAAGAAAACCACAGATATTAATATGAAACATGTTATACATTATTACATGGCAATAATAACCCTTTACTCACAGAATATCTGGGTTTTATGTGTTCTTTAAGTACTTGAAGCTTATTTATACAATGCAGAGCTATAAATGTTTTGAAAAATAAAATTTTCTAAGAGCAGGTGTAATTCCAACAGCTCAAGTGCCAACCCTCAATAAATGTCAATAGAATGATTGGAGGCTTACTAATAATAGTGATAAAAAGATTTTGCAAAATATCCATTGAAATCTTAAATTAGGTAAAATTCCCATGCCAAATATTTCATACCAATTAATCATCAATGGCTTTGTTTTGATTTTTATCAGTAATACTACGTCTCCTTAACAGCAAAAACTCAAGCAAGATATTCTCAATATTGTCCAAAGAGAACTTGCTTTTAAGCATTTTTACATTATCTTTGACTCCAACTAAAGTGCAAAATTATTGAGGCTCCCTTGTCATTTTACCCCTTTCCATTAACAGTGAAGTGCTCAGCACCATTTTTTTTTTTTGACATTAAAAGCCCAGGGAGTTCCCAGACAGTGTAAATAAAGGGAAACATACTGATATAGTAAACAATATGCAAAATGTACCATGTTAGGTTACTTGCAAAATAAATTTATTCTAATGGGTTTGTTCCTAGACCATTCTGCAAGTGTATGTGTGTCTACACAGTGTGTGTGTGCATCACAATGACAATTTCTCTGTAAAGTATTGAAAATATATATTGTATAGTGATTACTCATGTCTCTTCATGAACTATAAATAAATTTGGAGCTAAGAAACAGGTCAAGGTTACACAAACTGATGTGGCAGTCCAGCATATACAGAAGTATTTGCATGTTATGGAGGTAATGTGCAAATGCATTCATATTGCTAAAAAGCTAAACTTTACAGACTTATACATTGTAAAATATCAAAGTCCGTCTTGTAAATGGCCTCTCCCATTCTTCCCAATGATCAATACCTTTCCTTCATTTTAGGGAATTATGCAAGTTTGTCATTCATTCTTTCAGTCCCCTTTGTTATACATTAATAAATGTATCTATATAATAGATAATATGCAAATCAACATACCTAATTAACACTTTTATTCTACCATGTTATCCTTTGTTTCTTAAATATATACATTTCATACCACAAGCAATTAATACATTTACATTTATTCATTTTATTCTATGGAACATAACCATAGGCATTTCTCATATTATTTAATATTCTTCAAAAATATTAAGATATTTGCCATATATTATACCTATTTTTGGACATTATATTGTTTTAAAAATTTTGCAGCTGGGTGCGGTGGCTCACATCTGTAATTCCAGCACTTTCGGAGGCCAAAGCCGGTGGATCACCTGAGGTCAGAGTTTGAGACTAGCATGGCCAACATGGTGAGACCCCCATCTCTACTAAAAATTCAAAAAATGGCGTGGTGGCAGTCTCCTGTAATCCCAGCTACTTGGGAGGTTGAGGCAGGAGAACCATTTGAACCCGGGAGGTGGAGGTTGCAGTGAGCTGAGATCGCACCATTGCACTCCAGCCTAGGCAACGAGAAAAACTCCATCTCCAAAAAAAAAAAAACTGCTATTATAAAAATTAAGAAGATACTTGCATTAATATTCATCTAAATTTGAGATTAGCACTTTGGCATTGATTTGAAAAAAACTTGGGACTTTTTATGCAGATTGACAAATTGTTTTTCAGATAGGATACATCAGTTTGCATTTCCATTGCTAATTATATGAATGGCCATCTCTCATATTTTTGTTATCATTATCATTATTGTTAATATTTGATCAATTGATTAGTGAATACTATTTTTCAAAGAATGAAATACTCGATTTTTTATTTCCTTTATTAGTGCTAAGGCTGAACATTTTGAGTTAATTAACTAGCCATTTCATTTTGTTAATTTTCTAAAACAAAACTGATCTAATTTATTCATTTTAAAATTTATGTCATTATATTTCTTATAAACCTACCTGTATTGCTATTTCTATATAAAATACATTAATTTTGTGAATAATTGTTCCTAGTAGTCCAACATTATTCCAACATTATTTGGCATATAGTTTTGATTATGATGATTATGACTTGCAAATGTTTTTAATTCTTCTCTGTTAAAATCTTCATTATTTTCCATTGTTTGCTTTTAATCTTAGAAAGCAATTGTTACCTTATGGAATATTTATTTATTTACCTATATTTTATTATAACATATTACCTGTACTCTATCTGTAATTTATTTTGTTGTATTTTAAGTTTCATTTGTTTTGTTAATTTTCAGTTTCATTTTTATATAGCCAGGTTTCACATTTTTAATACAATAATTCATATTTTCTTCTGAAGTTTTTTATTGTACTTTAAATTATTACATAATTAAATAAATGAAAGAGCCCAGAGGAACCCTTCAGAAACCTTTCTATTCACCCATTCTAAAACCGATATTGGTTCTTTACTACATTTTCCTTTTATTTTTAACAATGTTATTCCAGTAAACTAATATACAAGAAATTGTACATATCTGAAGTGTATAATTTGATATGTTTTGGCATATTTAAACATCCGGGAAACCTTGAACACAATCAAGGTAATAAATGTATTAATCACCCCCAAAAGTTTCATTATGTACTATGCACTCCTCTCACTAATCCCTTTGGCCACGCCTCCACACTTGCCCAGGGAGCCACTGCTCTGCCTTCTGTCACTGTAGATTGCTTCATATTTTCTTGAAATTATATAATTTGAACCATAGGGTATGATATTTTTCTTTGTGTGGCTTCTATTATTTCAAATTATTTTGAGATTCATCCATGTTGTAGTATGGATCAGTAAATCACACCTTTGTATTACTGAATGATTTCCAATCATTTTAATTCTGAGGAATACTGTTTGCCCACTCATTTGTTTATTAATATTTGGGTTGTTTCCAGTTAAGGGCTATCATAAGGTTGCTATGAGCATTTACATACAAATGCTTAGCCTTCTTAATTTTTGTCATTCTAATATGTGTGTAGTGGTATTTCATTACGTATTTAATTTGCATTTCCTAAGGACTGATCATACTTGCATATTTTCATGTGCAGATTTGCTGACCATGTATCTTTTTAGTGAAGAATAGTATGCTAAAATCTATTCTCCATTTTTAATGGTCTATTTAGTGGATTTTTTATTGAGTTTTGATCATTCATCTATTCTGATACAAACACTTTAACAGACATGGTTAACAAATATTTTCTCTCAGTCTGTGACTTGCCTTTTTATTCTTTTAACATTGTGTTTTAAATAGCAGTTTTTTTATTTTGATGATGTCTAATTTTTCAATTTGATTGTTTAGGAATAATGCTTTTGATGTTTAAGTTAAGCAATGTTTGCCTAAACCAAAGTTACAATGATTTTTTGCTAAAAGATTTGTATCTTAGGTTTTCATGTAGGTACACGATACACTGTATTTAATTTTTGTATATGGCCTATAAGTACATACTAAAGTTCATTTTTACATATGAGTATACAACTATTCCAGGATTATTTGTTGAAAAACTATACTTTGTCCACTGAATTACTTTTGCACCTTTGTCAAAAATCTGTAGTTCATGTATATTTAATTCTATTTATAGATTCTCTAATCTGTTCTACTAACCAATACCATGTTGATGATATCACATTGTCTCCATTGCTATAACTTTATAACATTTGAAATAGAGACTTATAACTTTGCCATTTTTTTCTCAGTTGTTTTGATTATTTTGGGTCTTTAGCATTTCCATATATATTTTAGCATTATCTTACCAATTTGTACAAAAAGTCTGTTGGGGTTTTGATTATGATTGTGTTGAAACCACAGATCAATTAGGGGAGATCTGATAGCTTAAGAATATTGAATCTTTCTGGCTGGGCATGGTGGCTCATGCATGTAATCCCAGCACTTTCGGTGGCCGAGGGAGGCAGATCACGAGGTCAGGAGATAGAGACCATCCTGGTTAACACAGTGAAACCCAGTCTCTACTAAAAATACAAAAAAATTAGCTGGGCGTGGTGGCGGGCACCTGTAATCCCAGGGACTTGGGAGGCTGAGGCAGGAGAATGGTGTGAACCTGGGAGGTGGAGCTTGCAGTGAGCCGAGATAGCACCATTGCACTCCAGCCTGGGTGACACATCAAGACTATGTCTCAAAAAAAAAAAAAAGAATATTGAATCTTTCTACCAATGAACCAATGAGCAGGGTATAATTTTTTATAATTTAAGGTGTTTTCTACAAGTCAAGTTTGTTGATCATGCTCTTCATATCATTGATATAATCATTAATTTTATATTTATTTCACCAATTATTGAGAGAGAGGTGTGAAATCTCCCACTGTGAGTATAGAGTTAATTATTTCTCCTTTAATTCTATTACTTAGTATTATATACATTATGGCTTTGTTATTAGGGGTATAAATATTTAGGAATATATTCTCTTCTTGAATGGACCTCATTATTATGAAATGACCTTGTTTAACCTGGCATTATTCTTTGCTCTGAAATTCTCTTTCCCATATTAACTTAGCTTCTTTAGTGTTTCTTGTTTAGTGTTAGCCAGACATATTATTTTTCATCCTTTTATTCTTATTTTTACTTATCTTTTCTTTTATTTTTAAAGTGTGTTTATTTGTAGGCATCATGTTGTTGGGCTGTCCTTTTTAATCCAACCTGACAACCTATTTATTAATTGTGTTATAAAGACTATGTACTTTTAATGTGATAATTAATCATGTTAGCTTTAAATATAGTAACTTGTAGTATTTGGATAGTATACTATAGCATTTGTTTTAAGTATATCCTATTTTCTGTCTGTTCACTTTGTCCTTCCTTCCTTCTTTTTAATCCAAAATTTTTCATTATTACATTGTAGCTATGTTGGCTTGAGTAGACTGTAACATTTTGTTTTGTTATTTTACTGGTTTATTAAGCTTTACATCTTTACCTTATTGTTCTCTACATTAAAGAGATATTCTACTTTACATAAAATAATGATAGCATCAATACTATGTTATTCTATTTGGTACTTATTATTCTCAATATTAGTGTCATTGCTGTCATACAGTATATTTTTACATGTGGTAGAAATTCTACAGATCAGTATTTGTAAACACTCAATTACCATTGAAGTGACTTAAATAAAAATAAAAGTATCCAATACATTTAACTGTGTAGGTATGCTGTCTTTGCTCTCTATTCCTTTGTGCATCCATGCTCCCATCCAGTATCATTTTTTCTCCCTCATAAAGAGTTTCCTTTAATATTTCATATAGCGTGGGTCTCCGGGTGTTGAACTTTCTTCAGCTTTTGTTTGTCTACAATGCCTTTTAACTTTTATTTTGTAAAGATATCTTCTCTGGTATAGAATTCTAGGTTGAATTTTTCTTTTACCAGGATTTAAAAGATATAGGTCCGGGCGTGTGCTGCAGTGTCTTAGCATGCTGGAGTGGTTGGGGTGAGAAGAACCATGAGAAGCCAAGTAAATCCACTAGAGGAAAAACCCCAGAACTGAAGTTACAGAAAATGAATTACAGCAGCACAATGGCAGCTAGATTATTTTTGCTTTTGTCTCCAGTTTGTATCAGCAGAGTCTAATATTCAATTAAATATACAGTTTACTTTACTGTTCTAATTGTACTGAGATCCCAAAGGTAAACGACCCCCATCCTTCCAGACAGCAGCAGGGCTGCATGAAGACTGACAGACCCCCGGCCCCCACATTCCTTGTCCTTCTTAGAGGCTAAAAGCCTATTTTGTCCCTGGTCATGGAATAGCCCAGTTTAGCCTCTTGTCAGTGAAAGCCATCAGTCCCATGTACGTCTCCATGAGGAGGAGACCTCCAAGACCACCACACCATTTGCTTGACTTGTGTAGGCTGCTGAATACAGGGAGGTACCCAGTATCTCGAATGCCTGCGGTCGCAAATATATTTACATTTGGTGTCAGATTTTGTATTTTAAAACTTAATCAATTTTTTTAAAGATCATTCAAAAGCAGCCAGGAGACTAGTTCACTAAGATCAGACTGCGTCTACAGCTCCCGAGTGAATCGCTGTTCTTTTGTAAAGGTGTGTTTGACCTAAAGTCACACTTTTTCTAAAATTAATCCAGTTAATACTTGAAGTATCTTTCCAAACCCAAGAAGGTTTACAGAAAGTCACCTTGACAGTTCTTTGCACACAATGTCGACAACTATATGTATTCTAAGTTTGTATTGTATTTATCTTTCAAAGGCAAAGGGGTAGTTTGCTTTTTGGAGAAGGCACTTTTATAAAGGAACCATGTCAGATCCTCATGAGGCAGCTGACGCCTGCCTTGCTTCCTACAGCTCCCACGTAGATGTGGGGCTCTGTCCAAGTCTGGCGTTAAACGTGCCCGAGCTTCTGGCGTTAAACATGCCCTGGAGGATTTCCGCACGGATATCACGCACCTCCCTGCAACCGTACAAACTGCGTGCTTACTGACTGGAAGCTTTGTCAACACGCTTGACCTGCTGGCTCGCCAGTTCTTTCTTTCTCCTTAGGACTGTTTTAACTTTAAGCAAACAGCGTGGTGTTGTCCCAGTGCGGCCGGTCGCCTGCGGGATGCTCAGGGCTGCCTCAGAAACCCGCCAAGGACTTCAGCCTTTGTGTTTATAAAGACATTTAGAACCAGATAGATGCTTCTCTTTTGAAGTTCTTATTAAAGTAGGTGCAACAACCAACAAATTAATAATAATAATAATAAAAGATATAGGACCACTGTCTTCTAGTTTGCATTGTTTTGAATAAGGAATATAATACCACCTTTATACTTTTTCCTGTCTGTGACTTGTCTATTTTCAATAATTGGTTTAAGAGTTTCATTTAGCATTGATTTTGGGCAATTTGATTATGGTGTACATATACTAGCGCTCTTAATGATTTGTGTGTATGTTTGTGTGTGTGCACATGGGTGGGTTAAGTTTCTTGGGTGTTTAAGTTAATATTTTTATCGACTTGAGAATGGCTCACGAATTTTAAAAATATATATATTTTTATTTTTTTCTTCTTTAGGACTGCAATTATATGTATTTTAGGTTGCCTCATTTGACTGCAATTATATATATTTTAGGTTGCTTCATTTGTCCACAGCTCACTTGTATTCAGTTGATTTTGTTTTTGTTTTTGTTTTCTCTTTTTTCTCCCAATTCCATCTTAGAGAACTTCTACCACTCTGTCTTTGAGTTCACTAAGTTTTTATCCGCAATGTTTATTCTGTCAATAATTTTATCCAATGTATTTTTAAATTACACATTGTAAATTTTATCTCTAGAAGTTCAATCTGAGTTTTTTTATATCTAATATGTCTCCACTTATCTTTTAAACATACAGAATACATTTAAAATAAATATTTCTATATGCTTATCTGCCAATTTCTTATGTGCATCTGAGTCATATCAAGATCAATTTTTAATTTATTTTCCTAATTATGGTTCATAATTTTTCTACCGGTTTTTATTTCTGGCGATATTTTAATAGATGCCAAACATTGTAAATTGTACCTTGCTATGGCACTGAATATTTTTGCTTGTATGAATGCATTTTAGTGTTATTTTTGTACACGGCATAGTATCTTGGAAACAGTTTGATCCTTTGCAGTTGTTTTAAAATTCGTTAGGTAGTACCTGAACAGTTCTCAGTCGCGGATTAATTATTACCCATCATTGATGCAAGACCCTTTGGCGAGAGGCCCTTCTTTAAAACAAGACACAGTGCCCCAGGAATCACAACCTTTCTCTTGTCTCATTGGTGGCAACAGGCACTGTTCCTGGCTCTCTAGTCTTTTCAGGTCTCTTTTTTTCCGCCACAGCCTCAGGTCATTTGCTCACATTCATGTGCTCATCTGCTGAAAACTCAAGCAGAACTGTGTTCCATCGTCCAAAGCTCTCTCTTTCTCTGTGTGCAACTTTCTCCTCCCAGTATTCCATAATGTAAACTAGCTATCTTAGACTCCCCAGATTCTCGATTCTATCTCCTCAATTTACAGAGGCTACAAGTCTCCTCCAGGGCCTTGAATCTCTGCGCTGTATCCGGGAAACATCCATGGCAATAAGAACAAAAAATAGTAGGGCTCAACAGGCCTTCCCAGCCATGCTGAACTGTGAGTCAATTAAACCTCTTTCCTTTATAAGTTACCCTGAGATATAATAGTATTTTTTGGAATTGTTTGCATTAAGAATGTCATAATGAATTGTGACGAAATCTGATTCGATGAAATCGAATTCTAATTGTAAC
Source organism: Homo sapiens (assembly GCF_000001405.40). Taxonomy (NCBI): domain Eukaryota; kingdom Metazoa; phylum Chordata; class Mammalia; order Primates; family Hominidae; genus Homo; species Homo sapiens. The sequence goes on from NC_000004.12 coordinate 12,540,073, forward strand.
ACCAGACCACTGATTTTATCTGGGAAGCTAAAAATTACCATTACTCACCAAGAGTCAGTCCTCATAGAGGATCTTTTCCATAAAGTATGTTTGTTGTTGCATGCATCAATTTCAAGGGATTAAAGTATATTTTACCTACAAGAGGTGAGTTCCTCGACAGCAGAGATCTTGCTTTAATCAACCCAGCTTGTGGAGTGGCCAGCAGGTTGCTTGGCATATAGCAGGACCTCAGTACATCTCGCATAATAAATGAAGCTCTCAGAGCTTGCACTCCACAATGTACATTGAATGACTTCTTTTTTTTTTTTTTTTTTTTTTTTTAAGACGGAGTCTTGCTCTGCTGCCCAGGCTGGAGTGCAGTGGCACAATCTCGGCTCTCTGCAAGTTCCGCCTCCCGGGTTCACGCCATTCTCCTGCCTCAGCCTCCGGGATAGCTGGAACCAAAGGAGCCCGCCACCACGCCCGGCTAATTTTTTGTATTTTTAGTAGAGACGGAGTTTCACCCTGTTAACCAGGATGGTCTCGATCCCCTGACCTCATGATCTGTCTGACTTGGCCTCTCAAAGTGCCGGGATTACAGGTGTGAGCCACCGTGCCCGGCCCATTGAATGACTTTTAATGTACCTTGAAGCTGGGCATGGTGGCTCACGCCTGTAATCCTAGTACTTTGGGAGGCCAAGACAAGTGGCTCACTTGAGGTCAGGAGTTCGAGACCAGCTTGGCCAATATAATGAAACCCCGTCTCTACTAAAAATACAAAAATTAACCAGGCGTGGTGGCGCATGCCTGTAGTCCAAGCTACTCGGGAGGCTGAAGCAGGAGAATTCTTGAACCCGAAAGGCAGAGGTTGCAGTGAGCAGAGATAGCACCACTACACTCTAGCCTGGGCAACAGAGCGAGACTATGTCAAAAAAAAAAATGTACCTTGAACTTCAAGTCACTAATCTGGCCCAAAGGACAAAAATCAATAGAAGCTCTTTCATATTAAAAGTGCTATGCTAGGTGACAGAATTTATTCAGAAACATGAAGGACGTATGAGCCACCCAGCTCATAGGAAAAACAATCACAGTAAAATGAAAAATAATTTAAGGTACAATAAATATGATTCTTTATGAATACTGATGAAATTTCCCTTCCCACCTGTTTTATATTGTTTTAGGATTTACAGTAACCTCTTTATGTTTAGAGAAAAAAATAATACATGATTGGATTCCAGAATTGCAATTGTCTGTTGAAAGTTTAACATCATTGTCTTGAATCCCCTTAGAAATTCAACACCTAATTATTTATGGCATAGAAATGCCATAAATAAAAATCTGGGTGTATTCCATAACAGTTCATAACAAGAAACTTAAAAAAGAGAACATAAAACTTCAAATTATTCTGTTGATACTTTCAAGAGTGGTATGTGTCTTTCTCCTATAAATTGAAGTAGCTATACTATTAGCTCAGCAATTTAGAATTTAATGTAAAAAACAAGATTTGTATCTCTTTCACCATATAAAATTATGTTGTAACAATTCTGAGTGTGAAAATCAGTGCCTATATGTATGTTTCTTTAACTGTAAAAGTCTATGAATCCCTTTCTTTACTTAGCAGGTTCATCATTTCTCAAGCCATGTTATCTACGCATTATTAGTCTGATGGCCAGGTGAGGAGTTAGGGATAAATCCTCAGGGAGGTGTACGCTGCTTTCTAAGGCAAATACCTCTCCATTGTCTTTAAAGAAATGGAAAGTGTCAGACATGAATAGGAAGAAGTGGACCACTTCTGCAAGCCCAGAGGGTTCAGGAGAATATTGGATTTTAAGGTTCTTAAATGCATTGTCTCAGAGATCCTTACTCTGGATATCCCTCTGTTCCTGATCTTTGTCTATCCGACTTCCTGAGGTTGAGAATGTAATCTTGTCAGGAGTTCTTTTATTCTTATAACTAATTCCTTGGCCTGACGCTCTGCTATATCTACCTTTTGGCTGTATGAAATGGGTATATATTAACATGCCACCAAAGAGGCTCCCTACTTTTACATTTTGTTTCAATTTGGCAATTATTAATAATACTCAAGCTTTTATTTTATTAATATACTCAACAAGATGCATTAGATTTAACCAGCTCTGTAAGATAATTTCTCCAGAATCACTAAAGCAGATTAGCCTCAGATGACTAGGCAAATGAGTGTGTTTTATTCCATTTCTTACAAGAAGGAGACTTAGAACTATATCACATGTTCATGTGATGGAAAAGAATACACAGATATGCTCTTACCCCACAATGTTAATTCCTCCACCTTTATTATAATATAGCTGAAAGCTCCTGGAGAGACTAACATTCTGAAAAATAAGATATTGTTCCACTGAATCAATGACATCACATTAAGTGAACTGGATGAGCAACAAATGACAAGTGTGTTGGAGGCCTTCCTAACATTTATGTACTCCATATGGTAGGCAATAAACTCAAAGATTCAGGGTCCTGACATGTCAGTAAATACTTTAGGGATATACTGGGCTGGGAAGACTGGAGCATCCACTATAAAATAAAGAACAAATTGTTGCATCTTATACCTCCCATTATCAGGAAAGAAACACAGTGCCTGTAAGATTCTTTGGGTTCTTGAGGCATCATTCTAACACTTGGCAATGCTGCTACACCCATTTTCCCTGTGACATGGAGGTCTGCCAGTTCTGAATGGGCCCCAGAGCAGGAAAAGGCTCTTGCAGCAGGTCCAGACTGCAGCACAAGCAGCTCTGCCACTTGAGCCATAGGACCCAGCAGACACAGTAGGACTAAATGCATTTGTAGTCAGAAAAGATGTTGTGTAACATTTATAACAAACCACAATAAGAGAATTATAATGGATCCCTCTAGGGTTCCAAGGCAAGGCCATGCCATTTGCATCAGAGTTATCCACCATTCAAAAAACAGCCACTGGTGTCCTGCTAGGCCTTAAGAGACATAACACCTGACCACAGAAGAACACGTGATAGAGGACTTTGGCCAGTGAGACTATCAGACCCTAGCATACACTACTCTTTCAATCCTGAGTATTGCAATTAAAAATATAGTTGCTACTATTTTAGGCAAATCATAGTAGCTATTTTTATTTAATTTTTTTTTACCTTTTAATAATCTTGAAAATTTATTTAAAATTTGAAAATTTAAATGTTCTGAATATGTATGTTTATGTATGTATATGTAAATATATGTATATATATGTATGTATTTCACGTTTTGGAAAGCTTATGATTAATTCTTTCACTGATATGTCTATTGTTTTACTGCTTTTTATACATTAAGAATATTTGCTTTTAAGAATATTAACAAATATAAATAAAATTAACATTTATTCCATTTCCCACCTACAGTGTGCCATTTGACTTGTAGTTTTATTTATAGCATTTTGGGGCACAGGAAATTGTCCTTATTCAATGTTTAGAAAGTAAGTTTATTATCCTTTTATTCTGTGTCTTCCTTTGATGTCAGTACACTAATTTAAGATACCAAGTTATTCAGTAAAAAATTTTACTTTAAGAAAAATTCTACTCATAATACATATAGAAAATTGATAGTGATGGGGAACAAAATTTGAAATTTCCTATTCTTCAAACCTTAAAATCATCAATAAACATGTTTCAGCATATTTCTCCCCCACATTTTAATATGTATATTTTTCTGCATATTTTTAATAATGCCAAGTTTACAATTTTCTCTTTCACTTTTTTCCCTTAACATTTTCCCATTTCATTAGTGATGGCTGTCTACTACCCAACCAGGGACACTCACCATGACTATTGTTGTAAAATTGTCTTGCTTCTATTTTTTCCAATTATAATTAATGCCACAATAAACATCTTTGTATATAATCTTCCCTTATCCCAGGGAGTGGATTATTTCCACTGGACACATTCAGACAAAATGGGATTCTGAGTCAAAGGACATGAGGTACTGAAGAATATTAATATATATTGCCAAATTTCTCTGGCAGTATTTCTTCCCCAATTATATGAGCCTTCAAACTGTTCCTAACAGCAGAATCCACTGCTCTTGGTGGTTGTTTTGCCCTTTGAGCCATAGACGTGCACACATATATGCACATATCCACAATCAACTCTTACCCTATTACCCATGTTTTAAGTGGAAATTATAATGACGTGTGCCTCTTTTAGCTATAGTTTAAGGTAAGGAAAAAGTAAATTGTGGCTTATGAGTTATTGATTGAAAGCAAGGTATCATTTGTCAAAGCAGTCATTGGCCTGAAATACCAGCAACTATACAAACACATATGCCCCAATCACAGGTTTTTTGCTCATGTTCTGTTATGGAAACACAAAGGCATATTGATTACATTCTGGAATTAAAGCTCAACTTGATGGCTGCAAACATACCATTACCTATAATACATTTATTTTTGAGACTTGTTTAACTGTAGCAGCTAAGAAAATCAATGTGTGGGGGCCCAGCTAGACTGACCTTTATCAAACAAAATAACCTTTCATGTCTTTTTTTCCCCCTCCACTCTTCATGTAATTTTACTTCTGCTCCTCTATGGTCTCATGATCTCATGGTACTTAGAAAAATCACACAAAAACTGTATTAGGTAGCTTGGAGTAAAGATGACTTGATTGAAACAGAGGGGAAAAGGGACATTTCCACGTACTTAGAAAAATCACACAAAAACTGTATTAGGTAGCTTGGAGTAAAGATGACTTGATTGAAACAGAGGGAAAAAGGGACATTTCCACAGGTTGTAATTAATGGCCCAGGGCAGAGGACCTATATAAGCTATTAGCTAATGCATTTTGATTTTTTTTTTTCATTTTTCTCTTTTCCCTCTTTGTGGGAGGTTGCTGTCTTCCTTTGAGGGAAGTAAATATGACACCTCAGAAATGTATTTAAAATAAAAGACTCTCAAGTGACAAAAAACATATTGACTTTATTAGAGGTGTTCAAATTTCTTCAAGAAAAGGCACATTACATATTGGTAATGCAAACAGTTCTTTCACATGGAATCTGTGTCCTTCATATTTTTGAAAAACATTTTGGCAAAGGCTTATTGGCTGAGGCTCCCCAGTCAAGGCCATTAGGAGTGGAGGTGGGTGAAAGAAAAAAAATGGGACCCTGGAGTAACCATTGCCATGTTGGAGTTTAAGAACATCACTATCATGGGGATAGGGAACATGATGGTTGAAAAGGATGTACTTTGACATCATTAATTCTTTTTAATTATTTATTCATTCATTTACATACACTGAGCACTGACTCCCACCCAGGGACTGGTTGCCTATATGGTCGGAGTCTGGCTGCACAAGTGTCCACTTGAATAAATGATAATTAATTCACTGAGCCAGCTTAGGAGTTGAAGCATGCCCAAAGTGATGCAGGAGATCCTACAGAAAAGTCACCATATGTAAGAGAGCTGAAAAGGGCTTCCGGCAGAACAGTCCAGATTCACTGGGCTGGGTTTGAAAAGCTATGTAGACGTTGTTTTTTTCTGAGAAGATGGAGAAGGAAATTCACATGGAGGGAGAAGCATTTTGTCCGGGATCCTTTAGGGAAGTCTGAAGATGATGTGGCTGTAGTAAAGGTCCCATAGAGGGACTGCGAAGAGATGAAGCTGGAAAGGTATTTTGGGGCCATATGGGACAGTCTTTTAAGCCAGCTGGAGTTTTGATTTATGTTTCATTTTCCCATAGGGGAATGACATGCTCTGCATTTGACCCTTTCAATCTATTTGCAAATAGTAGCCAAGTTGAGTCAGATCACTTAACACTTTTGCAAAATCTGTAATGACTTCCATTTTACTCAAAATAAAATCCAACTAACAGTGAATTATAAGACAGTGCATGCTTGCCCCTCCTCCCTCTCATCTCTTATTGAGCTACTCTCTTATCCACTGTAACCCAACCACAATGACCTCATAACTGTTCCTCAAACACTCCAGAGTCTTCAGCTCTTGAACTCCAGGATTCTCACCAGTGGCCAACAGTTTCTCAGACCTTAGGTTTTGAATTGAGTTACGTCATCAGCTTTCCTGGTTTTAAGGCTTTCAAACATGGATTGGCTTCTCTGATTCTCCAGTTTGCTGACAACCTATCCTGGGACTTTCCTGCCATCATAAGTGAGTAAGTCAATTCCCCTAATAAATCCCATCTCTCACTTCTCTCTCTCTCTCAATGTACATGTTTCCCTCTGGATAACCCTGGCTAAAACTAAGATCCAAACGAACTCTAGGTACTTCTCTACTGTTTGCAATGCCTGAGCAGGACCAGAGTGAGTGTCTGGGGATTTGGGGAGTGCTTAAAGGGATTCCTGCTCTCATTGATTGGAGGGAAAATTTTCTCGCAGTTGGAGAGAAAAGTTCCAAAGAAACAGGTAGAAAATAGAGAAAAAGGGCTTTCAGATTGACCTGAAATCTCAACATTTTGTTGAAGGAAGAAATCATATTCTCAATGCCAGTATATGGTCTGGAATTGTTTCACAGGATGGGAAACGAATAGGAACTAGGAACTGCATAGTAAATTGTAATAAATAGTATGATTGGTCCACATGTCTAAGTGGCTTATGGACTTAGCAAAAAGGACAGAAAGCTAATGAAGCTCTCTGTGATTTAGGATTTAGGATTTAAGTCATGATTAACACAATAACATTTGCTTTCATCAGCTGGCTAATACAAAACAGAGTCTCTATCCAGAGATAATAATGATCATGAACAAGTCAGCAATTGCTACCCAAGAGTGAGCAGCACTTTATGTGCCAGGTACTTTTAATGAAAGTTTTAAATAGTTCAATCCAAGAGTTGGCAACATTTTTCTGTAAAGAGCCAGGTGGTAAACATTTTGAAATTCAGGACATAGGATCTCTGTCACAACTACCTGACTCTGCTATTACAGCAGAAACACAGCCACAGATGACACGCAAACAAGTTGGCATACTATGTTTTGATAAAACTTTATTTACAAAAATAAGAAAAGGCAGTCTCTAGATTTGGCCATGGGCTGTAATTTGATGGCCTCTGGTTTGGTTTAGCTGATAGCCTTCCCAGCTCTATGGTATTATTTTTAACCCCAATATATTGATTAGGGGACTGGAGCTAAATTAGGGCTAAGCTGAGATATAGAGGGGGGCAGTGTTCTAATACATATCAATATAATTCCAATGCCTACATTCTTTATTATACATTGAATTTTTCACTCAGCTGTGACAAATGAATCTGTATTTCTACCATCTATATCCCTTTTTCACCAAAGGAACCGCTAGTGGAAGATATGTTGGTTTTATTTGCCCTTATTCAGCTCCAAACTTCGGTGGGGACCCTCAGAGATAGCGCATGTTTTCTGTTTCTCAAGTACATTTACCTGCTCCAGTGCCCCCAAGGATTTTTGCTAAGTCTACCTATTTGCCCTTTCTTTGTTCTTCTGCCTACATTGAAAGCCTGACATGCGAATTTTATTTTAATGTCAACCTCAATTTGTTAATGCTAGAAGCTTTCCTTGTGAACTTCTGAAAAACAAGGGAGTAGATTGAGAACGAAGGGATTACTCATTGAATACTAATTATACATGTAATTCCTTCTTGCTGAGAAGAGAAAAAAAGCAACAAGCTGGAAAATTTAAATTTGACCAAGTGGGGCCAAAGAAATAGTAGAAAAGGCAACATGGTCTATGAGGAACAATGCTAAGCCAAGGAACTACGATTCATGGATTCACTGGCTATTTTCTCTAAGCTCTGTGGCCTTGAATATGTCACTTTGTTGTCTCTATTATGGAATATAAACAACCTAATTGAAAAGTATAACCTTTGGAACTTCCCAGAATTTGTTTTTTGTCCTCTGCACATGGATGGAGACATCAAAAGAAACATGAACCTTGGTAGGCACACATATTTGAGTGCAGCCTCCCAAACTATAAGTAGCACCTAAAGCCTGTCTTTATTACCCTTCTGATCATCTTGTCCCCTTCCTCATCAAGACCAAGAATGTCACTCCTATGCAGAAGTATTTCTTAGTTTTGCTTTCTAGTGTGAGAAGCAAGAATCTCCCCAACAAACTGGCATCACTAACGACGGACCCTTCTTCGGAGATCTGTCCCTAACCTCAAGTAAAATGGCATCTTCTCTCCTGAAAGCCCGGTAGCATACAATAGAGTATTCATGAAATTTATAACAGGAATCAGATAGAAGCAGTGACTATTCCCTCAAAGAGTATCAGGGAGGGAAACTCCTAAAGACGGAAACTCTTGGCAACCTAAACTTATAAAACAGTCTTCTGAAAAACTATGTAAAACTCTCATATCAGGTACCACCTTAAATAGAAGAGTGATTTTCTAACACTGACTCCAAATAATTACATTAACATGCAAGCTTCATCTCACCCACTTTTAACATCCTGTATTCCTTAAAATCAGGCATTGAGGGCACATTCTGAGGTTGGCACTAATACAAAAGAAGCAAATTCATAGTTCCATTGAGATTAATGTGTTTATTTGTATAAGTAAAGGTGTGTGGCCAAATGTCACAACCTTCAACTTGGAAAGCCAGTTTTCTAAAGTAAAATGTAAATTTTATTTTTAATGGCATTGGTTGAAAGAAAAAAAGCATTTTGCCTTCCTCCTTCCCAAGAATCCTTTGTACATTTGGGGGATGAATTGTTCCACCATCTCTTTCGGCTTTAATAATTTATTTTTCCTGGAACTGCTGAGAGTCTTGTTTTTCCACTGGTATTCAAAACTGCTTGGGCTTGGTGCTTCCCCGAGTATATAAAACCAGCTTCACAGGAGACTTAGTGGCTCAGATAATGTGACTGCATCCACAGGAGCTTGTTTTGTAGAGCTGGTTAATGTGAAATGCTTTATAAAGAACGCCATTATCTGCCTCTAATGGAAGATTTTTCCTTCACCAAATGGAGAATCTCTCTTTCACAGCTCTCAGAGACGTTTAAAAACAGTTCCACTTCTGATTCCTGTTATATTTATGATCAGGCCCTTAAGATATTGAGGGAGGAAAAAATAAGCATGAGGTCATCCTAACTGAAATTTTAAGTTATATAAATTGGAAGATTTACTGGGTAACAGTATGCTTTTTATGATTACAGAGTTAATTTGAGTTTTCCAAAAATATATGTTAATTTTAACATATTTTTATATGTTTTATGTTGCTTTTAGTTCAAATAATTGTACATATTTATGGGGTAGAGTGTGATGTTTTGATGCATATGTGCATTGTAGAATGATCAAATCAAAGTGATTAGCATATCTGTTATCTCAAACATATCGTTTTTTGTAAGAACATTTAAAATTCTCTCTTCTAGCTGTTTTGGAGTGTTAATGTATTATTGTTGACTATAGAATACTTACATTTGTTCAGCACTTACCATGTGTTCAGTGCTTTATATTTTATATTTGTTACATCTCACAATCCCTAGAAGAGACATATTGGTATCTTTACCTCACATGAAGAAATTCAGAGAAACTAATTGAGTTGTGTAGAACCATTGAGTATTATGGAAACTAAGAGCAAAAATTTTATAATTGGAACACCTATATTCAAACTCCATCTTTACCACTTGATGATAAGATTTAAATCTGAGTCTTAGAGGCCGTTCTCTGGGACTGATCTTCTCACTTTTAAAAATGTCGATAATTAATAGGTTATCATAAAATAAAAATGTAGTACATAGAATTTAAAAAATACTTTTCACACATGATAGGGAAGATTTGCTAGCTAAAATGTAGGAGAGATTAAAATCTAAGATGGATAAAAAAATTTAAAAACATCAATACATAATAGGTAAAGTATATTATTAAATAAGTAAATGGAGTAACATAAATAGGTAATAAATATTTTATTGAATTGTCAGTAAAAATTTTCAAAAGTAAAAAATAATATTATGTTATTCTAGTGTGTGAATAAAGGAGAGTAAACGATATTTAACAATAGAGGAACAAGTACTTTTATAAGCAAGTATAGCAGTCAGCACACTTTTGCCATAGGGTAGGTTTCTAATATTTTCTTATATATTCTACTATTAAAACATGGAATATTTATTTATCCCAAAGAGACAGATAGAAATATCAGGATATAGAAATGAAATGTGAAACATCATTTATATTTTTTGAAATCTTGGGAAATACCTAAAGGTAATTAAAAATAGGGGATTAGTTAATTTATGGTAAATCCAAACAATGAAATTACCTTAGTCTACATAAAAATGTGACTGGTAAATGTATTTATTAACTTAGAAAAATCCCTTATGTATTAAGTAAAAAAGAACAGTATAAAAAATGCAGTTTGTTATTTTAAAATGATATGCTATTACTATTCGCAATAAAAGATATCTGAGCACTGTGTGCCAGATATTGCACTAGTACTAAACACATACATGTGTGTGCATATATGTGTATAATTGTATATATACATGTGTTAATTAACTCTGAGTGATGTTTTCTTATTCCTAATCTACAAATAGGAATATAGGAATACAAGATTAAGGAATTTGCACAACATAACTCAGTTAGTATGTGTCTCTACCAGGATTTGAACACAGTAATATCTGATTTCAAACAAGACATAAAAATCACTGGGTTCCAAATTTATTTATTTATTTTACTCAACCCATATGAGTGTGTGCATAAAATATGCATACATAAATCCCATGAAAACTCGTAATCATCAATAAACTCTAAACATAATTAAGACAGTGGGTACAATCCCTAGTGTTATGGACTGAATGTTTGTGTACCCTCAAAATTCACGTGTTGAAACCCTAAAGCTCATCACGATGGTGTTTAGAAGAGAACCTTTGGGAGGTGATTAAGGTTAGAGAAGTTATGAGGCTGGGGCCCTTATGGTGGGATTAGTGCCCTTATAAGAAGAGACACCACAGAGCTTACTCTCTCTTTCTCCACCATATGAGGCAAGAACACAGATATCTACAAGCCAGAAAGAATCCTCTCCAGAACTTCATATTCTGGCGTCCTAATCCTGGACTTCCAACTTCCAGAATTGTAATAAATCAATGTCTGTTGCTTAAGGCACCCAGTATTGTATCATAGCAGCCAGCTTGTTAGAAAGAAGTATATAAATCTCTATTTCAAATAATTTTTTCTGGACATTTTTAAAATTACTTGGTAGCTTCTTACATCAGATAATATCATCATTATTTTACAGATATATTGTTGCTAAAGATGAACTTGTATTTGCAGGAGGACAAACACGAACTCTGCTAGATTCTTGGCTGGGATTTCTAAGCCATTTTTTGTTATCATGTGCCAATTAGTTCACATAAACTAGATAATATACACTGAAAATCCATGAACTATGCCAGCCTAAAGTACCTGATGTCACAATAAGAAAAATGAAAATAAACAAGGGAGGAGATCAAATTCTCTACTTTTGAAGTTTTATTGTTTTACTAATATGCCTCTGGTGTTTGACATTTAACTTGGCCAGATTTAAGAAAATTTAATAGAGTCTGGTTCTCTAGCTGCATTCTGAAGCAGAATGAGATATAAGACAAAGAAGTAGGAAGTTGGCTCTACATTTTTCTTTGTTTCTCTGTATTAAATGTATGTTATTTCTCTGGATGCCTAAAGATTATTCTTTATCACTTATTTTGCCACTAATTTATTTCAATTTTTTCCCTTCTCTCTTCTTTCCTGACACTCCAATTATATGCATGCTACATCACTTAATGTTGTCCCACTGATTATAGATAGATAGTATATGACTATTAAGTGTATAAAGATAATTTTATTACATGTAAAATATCATAAATATATATTTGCTATATAGTATATATGTATATAAATATGTATTATATTGTAAATACTTTTAATTATAGCTATTAATTAAATATATAATTCATATATAATTATACTGTTTATTTTAATCATAATTCATTTTATTTTATAATTTATTTGAGTAAATTATAATATAAAATACAAATTATATATATAATTTTCAAAAATCAGTAAGTACATTAAAAATCACATTATTAAGTGAATATAATTTTATTTTGAAATTACCTGTATCTATCTATATCTGTATCCCTCTATCTCTATCATATAGTATTCATTTTCTTCGTGGTTCATTTTAGATAATTTCTCTGGCACTGTCTTCATGTTGTTAATCTTTTCTTTATAAGTGTCTAAACTACTGTTGGTCATCTACTGCTAGTGATGATCTCTGTCATTTTAAGATTGGGTTTTTACAGGAAAATTTTTCTCCAATGCGTTACATTTTTAATATTTTTTCATAGACTAATTTTCATAATTTTTCATAGACTAATATTCTTTAACTCAATGCTATACTTTATGAATTTTAAGTTCCTTATTGCTAGGTTTTATTTCATTCTGTTAAAAAGTATTGGGCTTTATCTGGCAGGTAATTTAGTTATTTTTGTGTTACATTAATAATTTTGACAGTTGTTTTTTAAGAGTATTTTGGGGTGGTGGTGAACAGGTGAAGTTAGAATAGTGTTTATTCTAAAAAATATTAACCCCCCTAAGAACACTAAGCACGTGGCTCCCCTATTGTCACTACTGATGGCACTGCTTATTCCACAAGGTCTCTGCTGGACACCTAATGATATACAATATAATGCTATCTGTAATAATCTTTTGGATTATAAAGTTTCTTTTCTTGGGAACTTTCCTTGTTTGACCTTGTGGGTTTTAATTCTATACCTAAACAGAACACCAGATAGCATACACTGAAGATCCACTAAACTAGGCCAGCCAAAATGATCTAGTAATACATGAACAGGTTATATTCAAATAAAGTTTCACGAGGACCTATGTGAAAATATCTGGAACTCCGTTTCTACACATCTCCCTTGTTTGGGGCACTCCCTCCAACACAGTCTAGCTGCTTTTTCCTCCTTTAACTCTGACCCAGGCCTCCTTTATTCAGCAAGATTGCTGGTATCTGGTTGGTTTCTGCTGCCTCCCCCTCATTCAGTAATTTCCTCCAGTCAAAAGCTACAGCAATCCTGAGACTCACGTTGTTTTCTTTCCTTTTTTCAGGGGTCACTTTTTTTGCTGCATGTTGTCCAATGTTTTAAAATAGTTATTTTCTACATTCTGTCCATGTCTATTTAGTTTAACATTGCAAGAGAGCATTTTTGGACTATTTCATTCCATCATGATCAGAACCTGAAATTAAAAATTCATATTGTTTGCTAGTTTTTCATTTCAAATTATGTCCAGCCATGTTGTATACATCTTATTAGTGATTCTACAGTAAGACTAAATGCTATAGAATGACCAAAATGCAAATGATGTAAAGATGTTCTTAAATTCAAACTAAACTGTATCCCAAAATTTCTGGAAGAAATTAAAGTCCAAAAATTAAAATAATAACTTCACAAGTTATGAAACTTAACTTAGAAAGTTAAGCAAAGGAATTAATGCTTAAAATAAAATTTTTCTTTTTTGTTTATTAAAGTTTAAGAAAATTCAAGTCTAAAATTCACTCTTTCAACTTCCTATATGGGCTCAGTTTCCTCGGGATTCCTCTCTCTCTCTCTCTCTCTCTTTCTTTCCTTCCCTCTTTTTCTAACTCTTTGTTTTAGATCCATGAAAAATGTCTTATTTCTTAAAGAGTCCAAATAGAATTTACAATATTGTATAGTGCCGTCTGACAGAGAGTGTCACTTGAGATATTTCCACGTTCTCACAAAGTTTAGAAATGTGCAACATTGGCAGGACAGATCATGTTAAATATTTAAATAATTTTTCTTCCTGTATTATATGTGCACACACTCACACATGTATGAACATATATTCTTCCATACTTATACCTGTGTCTATATCCATCTGTCATTTTTCTTTTATCCTTGAAAACAATTGCCAACATGCAGATATTTTCCAGAGACATAATGCCCAGTCTTTCCTGTTCAGACTTTTTAAGTCCTTTGGCTCAATGCCTCCTTTTACTGCTTTTTTTTTTTTTTTTTTTTTTTTTTGACGGAGTCTCACTCTGTCGCCAGGCTGGAGTGCAGTGGCTCAATCTCAGCTCACTGTAACCTGCGCCTCCCGGGTTCAAGTGATTCTCCTGTGTCAGCCTCCCGAGTAGCTGGGACTCCAGGTGCACAATACCATGCCCAGCTAATTTTTGTATTTTTAATAGAGATGGGGTTTCACCGTGTTAGCCAGGATGGTTTCCATCTGATCTCGTGATCCGCACACCTGGGCCTCCTAAAGTGTTGGGATTATAGGTGTGAGCCACCGCGCCCTGCCTTTCTACTGCTCTTTACTGTGGAATTATCTCCTAGACCAACTTTTTTTTCCCTATGAAAAATTATTTAATCCAAAGCCATCTGGCAGGGATAAGCTTATGGATAGGGTCAAGTTCAGGGCCCATGGGGGATGGGGGATGAAGTTTCCACCATTTGAAGCATCCTCTGCCACACACACATCAAACAATATAAAATGATAACAAAATCAGCTATGAACATTGTCCCGCTCCTTTGTATAATGCCTTTGGGTGGGTCAGCACAGAGAATGGAAGCGGTATTCTTAGAAGCCATGCCTACACCAGAATGTCTAACAACACATGACCCTCGTGAAAGTGATCACAAGCCACAAAGATATATCCCACTCAACTCAAACTAAAACTGTGTCTGGTTTAATTTCCCGTTAGTCGGATCCCAGAAATGTCCATGTCTGTTCCCTTCCCAACCTTCTCCTGAGGAAGAGAGATGAAGGGGAAGATGGAGTCCAAATAAGCAGTCGTCACAACCAATTGTGGATACAATGTCTTACTTTTGCCAATTTTACAAAATATATGACCTTATGAATACATCACTGAAAACTCTCAGAGAGGCCTGGAAAGGAGTTTGTGTTTCTTAGCTTCAGCACATATCTTCAGAAGTGTGTCTGTGAATCCAAGGCTGGTTCCTGTCCCTGAAAGAAGATTGGCATCTGAAGCACCTGACTTAACCCTACCTGCCTACTTTTGAAATAATAATTTGAAGCCAAGGCCCCAGTATTTCAGTGCAGTTCATGGACAACTCATGCATCTAAAATTGGAAGGCAGAGAATATTACTCTATCCCTGAATGACTAAAAGGCCTAGAAGACTTTTCATCTTATTGTGAAATGTTTGCCTGGGCTAAAGCTATTTGGGTAAAGCTGAGTCATAGCTCAAGATCAAGATGTAGCAGCTTGGCCCACCGTCTGCTGAGGCCAGTTGTAGTCTAGTCTGTGTTCGTGGTTAGGCTTTATGGAGCAAGCAACTGCTGTGGCCAATGTCGTCGGCAGGGTACTAAGTGCAAAGCTTTTGGAATTTGTTATCAAAGTCTAAGAGCTACTGGGTGCTTCCCACAAATTGAGCAGGCAGTCCTCAGCTTTACTGAAGTCTTCATTTTTGCTGAGGCTAACATGCCCAATATTTTCATCTCAGACCATATCCTCCATGATTTTGTTCCATCCCAGGACTTCTATTCCACTACTGATTCCAACGTCTATCCTTTTCCTGAGTCCTGAGGCCCATGCCTCTCCTAAGGTTTCCCCTTTCTTAAAAGAAATAAAGTCCAGGATCCTATTGCATAAGGGCTTGTATATACGCTGTTGCTTCTACAAAACAAACATCTTGTCTTTGCACAAAATTGCCCTAAATTACAGAAATCAATTAAGTTCTACGTGTCGTGTGCTCTGAGGTCTAAGCCGAGTGCTCACAAAGCAGTAGATAAAATCCAGTGGAAAAAAAGTAGCCTTGTATTTCAGCATGAACCTGTGTGAATCATGAGGCTTAAAATGCCATACCCACACAATAGGACCAACATAAGATATGCTGACCCCCAAAAAAGATTAATGTTAAGGATATTAATATTGTAGACATAATGCCAGGGTTGGAATCCTTGCTCTGCCATTTACTAGGTATGTGACATTAGGCAACTTGCCTCCTTTATCTGCACTTAAAAATCCTCTTCACTGTAATAAGGATAACACTCTAATACAGTAACATTATATTGTATGATAACATTGCTATAGAATGAATGATGGTGTCTCCACAAAATTAATATGATGAAACATAATCTCCATGAGTTGGTATTAGGAAGTAAGGTCTTAGAGAGGTGATTAGGTCATGACAGTAGATTTTTTGTGTATTGCTACTCTCACAAGGGACTGAAGAGACCACAGTTCCCCCTTCTACCACGTGAAGACATAGCAAGAAGACAGCCATCTAGGAAAATAGGAAGCAGGCTCTTACTGTATCCCAAATCTGCTAGTGCAATGATCTTGAGCTTACCAGCCTCCACACGTAAAATCCATTTCTGTTGTTTATAAGCTACCCAGTCTATGGTAATTTGTTATAGTAGCCTGAATAGACTATGATAAGCATTATGATATAGCACTGTTATGAAGATTAAACAAGTTCATTTATGTAATTCACATAGTTCTTTATGAGTATTCGTTAAGTATATTACACACACACATACATACATGTATGCGTACATAGATACATTAATTAATTAATCATAGTCTATTTCTCAAAGTTGCCAGATGAATTCACCCAATGAAACGAGGTCACCGCTCAGACTTCAGATCCTTCACTGCCATCACCAATATCTTAGAGAAAGAGCCTTTACTCCTTCAGCTTTACTTTTACAGCTTATTGCATGGCACCATCTGCCCCAATCCTTCTGGCCCATACTCCTTAAGTTGGGGTATGAAGAGGCTCAATGATTTGTCATCCCTCTCACTTCTCTTAGTTCTGAACAGAGAAATAAGATAAGAAATAAGATAAGTAAG
The DNA here is from genome assembly GCF_000001405.40 of Homo sapiens. Lineage (NCBI taxonomy): Eukaryota > Metazoa > Chordata > Mammalia > Primates > Hominidae > Homo > Homo sapiens. The sequence goes on from NC_000004.12 coordinate 12,556,823, forward strand.
GCAGATGAGACTAAAATACCGACTTTATTACTGAGAAAGCTGATGTTAGTGAAGGTGGCTTATATTTGTGTTCCTCTAGGCTTTGTAATACTGATGCTTAAATTTAAGGAATTTACCCACTCAATGTGACTACCCCTACCTGGAACAGGTCTCTCTACACGTTTCATGTGTGTACATGTATGTATGTGTGTGTTTCATCCTGTAGAACTTATGACAACAAGAAGTAGAGCAGAACATATAGTCCTGAAGGGATCTTATATCCAAGCATAATGGAAGAAGGAATGGCTTGACTATGCATCTCCGATTTCTTCTTCCAAACTCACCAATCAGGAAGTTCCTCACTAACAGGGAGGAGGAAGTGATAGGATGAGAAGAGGTCAAAAGTATTAGGCTAAGAGATGGCCACTGAAACACTGAATCAAACAAAACTCATGCAAACTCAGTGGCCAAAAATAGCAATCACTTATTCACATGCATCTGAATCTCAGATGAGTATTGGATGATCTAGGCTGACCTCAACTGAGTTACTTTGCCTCAACCTGCAGGTTTGGCTATGCCTGAATGAGGTGACTCTACTCCATGTAGGCTTATCCTGGGGCCCAGGCTGAAGGGACAGAAATGACAGAGAAAACTCTTTTCAAGGCAATAGCAGAAGCACAAGGGAGAGAGAGGATGAAAACACACAAGGCCGCTTGAGACCTAGATTCCTACCTGGCACACTGTCACATCCACCCCTGTGCTATTTAACAAAGGAAGTCACTTGGCCACGTCCAGAGTCAAGAGGTAGGAATACTCTACACCCAGGATGAGGCCACAGCAATGGAGTGATGCAGGGAAGAGTGAAGAACTGGGACCAGTGATCCATCCATCTCAAGTCCCTAATCAAACTGGCACACTCAACACAATTTCCAGTGTCGATCTCTGTATTAAATTCCACTTATAGCATAGGTACCCATTTTCTAAACAACAACATTCTCTAAACAACAACAGCAAGAAAACAAAATTATCCTTGCATAAATTAATAATGTCTAGTATATGGTAGATATTCAATAATTTGTTGAAGAATGAAAAATAAAGGAATGAATGATGAATAGTTGTATGCCTTGAATGTTACTTAAATTCATTAATCCTTCTTGTTATTCAAATACAATTACAAACATTTAGCTATTTACAGTTGTTGTGAGTAAAGAATACTGTGTTATTATTAATTCATGAGTTAGTACATTGATTTGCAAAGGTGCTTTTTAAACTTTTTTTCTTAATTTCTCCACAACTCTGATTACAGATGGAATCTCAATCTTTGAGATTTAAAGTTTTTTTTCTTAATTTCTCTGCAACTCTTATTATAGGTAGAATCTCCATCTTGGCCTTTGTTTTCCTCTACCAAATTTCTAATTTGTCATTTATAAAAGTACTCTCTGTAACATGCTGTAACTTTAAGGCTTTTTTTTTTTCTATTCCTTAATCTTTTGTTCAGGACTCTGAAATTTAATGGTATAACTTCAAAAATGAGAATAAGTGGCCAAAAACGGCACACTTTACAACTATAAGACCTTGTTTTCAAATAGACAGATTATATCTTGATTGTATGTTATTGGGTTTATTTTTAAATTTTTTTAAAAAGATGAAATATCTATTACAACCTAAAGGAATAAGAAAAATATTGTGACAATGTAAATGTCAACTGTGACTGGAGATCTGGAGATTGACTGAGAGTCCCTATTTTTAATAAATTTGCATGGATGTGGTAAGACTCAAAGCACTTTTGAGCAATCATCAGAATATATAAATAAATATGAATGTAAATGACATCAAAATACCTGGGTTGGGAGGATCAGCACAGTTTAAAATCAGTTGAATTTCGTAAGCATTTATTGAGCACGTACTAAATTCACAACATCGAGTTGAACCTTGCGGGTACATACAGATGGAAATGCCACATGACTAGAGGCACTGAAGAACTCTCTTATGAACTCACTGACCTAAATCACTCAGTCCAGTTTTTTGAGCTTTATGTATCTCCATCGTTAAGCGACACATGACGGTAATATGTGGAGGCATCAGGGATTTGATGTGGACATATCTTTGGCAGACACCCTTCAACCCACTCCAGAGGTCCAAATAACCCTTCTCCTTGCTCTACTCCACTGTTTAAAAAACTTTAAGGGCTTTAACCCTGTTTAATCTGGCCAACATGTGCACCACAACCTGTCTTCTGACCTCTTCCCACATTTTCTGTCATTCACTAAACAACCACATTGACCTTTTATTTGTAGACATACATAACACATATTCATTAGCACATGTATACATATAGAGAAAAAAATAGAATAACTTACTCTCAAGGAACCTGCAGCCTAGTTCATAAGTGTGAAATCAGTCATTCAATTAAATGTAGAGTGAGATTGTGAGGCATGAGCCATTAACTCGACCTGACTGACCATTGTTAAGGAGGTCAGGAGAAATTTCAGAAAAACCATAGCATTTTAACCAAACCCTAGAGAATAAAAAACAATTAACTGAGAGATGAGGAAGGAGGGTGCATGTTTCCTACTAATAAAGAAAGAGCTGTGGAAATCCCTAACATAATGTGAATCCTAATATTCTGATGGATTCTATTCAAGGTCTTGCCCAATTCTTAATTTTCAGCAAATGTTTTACACAAAAGCCTTGACTATGACAATCTTTCAAGAAAACCAGGAGAAAGGCCGTAACTGCATGTTAACTGTGCCTCATCCAGTGGAAGCCCACTCTAGTATTGAGATGTTTATGCTTGAGAATGAATGTAACCTGATTTTATAAAATGGTCAAATAGCATCATACTATACACCCACTTTAGATATAGGTTAAGAAGTTATTAATCCACAAATAAAATGAAAGGCAAAAGAACATTCATTAAGATTCAATTGTTTAAAAGACTATAAGCAATAGTCTGCTTGTACATTATACATTATGAATAACAAAATTCTTGAGCACATACTATCTGCTTGTTACATATATTATCTCATAACATGCTTCATCCTGTGAAGAAGGTTGTGAAGAAGGTTGATACGGTTTTGTCGTGTCCCCACCCAAATCTTATCTTGAATTGTAATTCCCATAATCCCCACATGTCATGGGAGGGAACCTGTGGGAGGTAGTTTAATCAAGGGGCAGTTACCCTCATGCTGTTCTTGTGATAGTGAGTGAGTTCTCACAAGATATGATACTTTTAAGGGGCTTTTCCCTCTTTTGTTTGGCATTTCTTATTGCTGCCACCACGTGAAGAACGATGTGTTTGCTTCCCCTTCCGCCATAATTGTAAGTTTCTGGAGGCCTTGCTAGCCATGCAGAACTGTGAGTCAATTAAACCTATTTCCTTTATAAATTACCCATTATATGCCAGGTTTTCCCCTGAAATACATGTGCCATCAAGTCTTCTGTATCTTCTATACTTCTGGTGCCTGCATTCTGAGGGATGAGTGTGGTCCAAGTGGATATCAGTCAAAAACAATTAAACTGACAGACACGATAAACATTTTTGCTCAGTAAGTTTGATGAAGGCATGAAATTAGTGACTGAGATAAAGAATAATGGGGAATTATTTACGATAGTAATGAAAGATCACTTTGATGGAAAATTACATTTTAGTTGAAATCTAAACATTAGAAAGCAGCTACTCAAAGAGCTGTGTATTTATGTTCCAATAAAAGGAAATAGCATGTTCAATGTCCTAGCATGAAGAACAACCTGGCATATTTGAGAAAGTGGCCAAAATGATGGGCTTGGCCAATTAAGTTGAGATGGTATATTAGGCTGCTCTTGCATTGCTATAAATAAATACCTGAGACTGGGTAATTTATAAGAAAAGAGGTTAAATGTCTTACAGTTCTGCAGGCTGTACAGGAAGCATAGCTCTAGCATCTGCTTCTGGGAGGCCTTAGAGAGCTTACAATCATAGCAGAAGGTGAACTGGGGCAGGCATCTCACACAGTGAGAGTGGGAGAAAGTGGGAGTCAGGTGCCACACACTTTTACACAACCAGACCTCAAGTGAACTCAGAGTTAAGAGCTCACTTATCACAAGGGGTTGGCCCAAGCCATTCATGAAGACTCTGCCTACACGATCCGAACACCTTCCACCAAGCCTAACCTCCAACATTGGGAGATTTCTATCCAACATGAGGTTTGGGTGGGGACAAATATTCTAATTATGTCAAATAGGCACAACATGATAGAGAATAAAGATAGAGAAATAATGAAGGGTCAGGTCACACAGAGCATGTGACATGATGAAACCAAGCAGTTTATATAAACATGTGCTACATAAAGTTTCCAAAGTGAGGGGTTGGTGTGACCAAAGAATGTACCAGCCAAGGGCTAGAAACATGGATACTAATCTCAATGCCATCCAGGGTCCATAATGTAGGAGGCACTCAACAAATGTCAGTTATTCTTCCTTCTGCTCTACCTCTAGTTCCATACACTGTACTCCACCCCTTATTGCCTTTTAGAGTTAAGACATTATATTTTTCTATGGGCATACTTTTTGATGGACGACAGATTGCAACTGTCCTTGTCCTAAGAAATCACAATATTTCTTACAAAAAGAACCTGTCTAACATCTAAGTCTAATCAAACTCTTTCTGTTAATTTAATTAAACTAATAAACACTAAATGCCTATTATGTACAAAGGATTTTTGCTGTTTGCTGCAGAAGTTGCAAGGGGAACAATCACAGTTCTGTCTTCAAAAAACTGACAAAATAAATGCCTCCCCTACCCAAAACTTCTACTTCTAATAAGTATATAAACGTAGTGTATTCAATAAGAGTTTTTAAATGGCAACTGAATGAATGGTGTAAAATGCAATTCTGAGATGTAGTAAAATAACAAGCCCCTATCAAATATTCCAGAACAGGTCTCAATGCCTGATAGAACCAAGGTTCCTAATAGGTGTTGGATGAAGAAAGAATACACCCATTCCCCTCACCCCACCCCACCTCACATCTATCATAAGGCCATGTTAGTATAGGACAAACATGCCAGTAACTTCTGACCATTTAATTTTCAAATTATATGCCTGGGTCAATTTTATTTTTCAAAAATTCTATACAAGACTTTAGATGGAGGAATAGCTCTGGCTATTGTATGACAGCTTTATGAAGCTAATAACTATTGATGCCATTTAATTTATCAAGCAACAATTAATCAAAACATACTGACTACTAGCACAGTATATTTGATTTCTTCATTGAAACTAATACTTTTGTTTACATATGAAAAACAACAGGATTGCTAGATATTTTAAATACACAGAAAGAAAACTGGGATTTTACAATTTCCCAAGGTCTCTATAGCAGACAATTTTGCTCACATAGCTGTAATTTTGCCAACATCAACAACTATAATTTTGCCAACAACAATAACATTTTTTAAAGGCTGATTTTGGCACTGCTTGGCTTAGACAAAGTAAGTATTCTATGGCATTTACACATTGTAAAACAGACATATTTCTTAGGGACATAAAGCTGGGCTTCAAGATGTCATTTCCTATTTGTTGGTAAAGAAATCAACACTATAATTAATTAGATTTGGTAGCAGCATTAGCTGGCTCACCTGCCCCCACAAAGCTGATTCCAAGACTTTATCTCCTAGTCAAAAGCTTATTGCACAAATTGATGTTCTTGTTCATTATCCGCTTTCAGCTGAGCAGAGATAGTTGTAGAAGTCCTTAACCTTCAACCAATGTGCATTTCAGTATGCTGGCTATACTCTTTGTGGGTTGATAGAATGAAAAAATCTATGCCCTTCATTTTGAAACCCTTAAGCGATCTCAGTGCTATTTTAAATGTTTTATCTTCGCCTCTCACAACAGTCATGTGGGTTAGACAGAACAAAGAAACATTTGCCATTTCACAGATGAGAATGAAGGTCTGAGTGACCCAGTACCTTGTAACTTCAGTAATCTCTGGAGATTGCTCCAGAGGGTTTACAGAATGAATTTTGAGAGTCCCTAATTTCACACCCTTTACTCTTGGCAGTATCAATCTTTTATTCTCCCCAACTGCACAGCTTCATGCTGAGACTTGCTTTTATTCCTTCTGAGGGAGGACCTCTCTGCCATCACTTAATTATAAATCCTGCATGTGACTCCCTTTCAAAAGTCTGGCAAACTGTAGTCATTTTAAAATCCAGCAGCAGACATTAACTTAGAAACCTTCATGAGTGATGGGAAAGGAAACTATTAAAATGAGAAAATAGAGATAAAATTTAAAGTACAAAATGGTCTTTTTATCAGCTCACTCCAGAAAAAAAAAAAAAAAAAAGAACTTCTGTTGTTATAAAAAAAAAAAAAAAGAAGAGGAGATCTACTGTTGGTGCAGAAGATTATGGGAACAAGGAAATTCACAAAAAGAAAGGGTAGAATTGCTGGGATAGTTGGCTATGAATTTCACTAAATTAGAGACAGAAAATCCTCTTTCACTTTTGCAAAAGGTGATACCACTGAAATATCTTTGTAAGATGTTTACATTTTCATTTTTTTAACTTTTCCATTTGATAAAGTGTCATAAATGGTATCAAATTATTGGGAAAATAAGGAAGAAAGTAATTACCCATATTCTCCTCACCCAAAGATAGTTACTTTGACGTCCATTTTTCTTTATGTATGAAAATATACATCTTTTAACACTCTTTAAAATGGTCATGAAATATTTGTATACGTCATAATTCAGAAAGTTCAGTTAAATAATGAAATACATTATTTATCCTGTTCTACACAGATTAACTTACTTACAACAGACTCAATATTTTATCCTTGGTGAAAAGAAATGGTGTTTACTATGCAGTGGGTGGGAAAATGAGTACCAACTGGCATTCCATTAGGATGGATGTTGGGTGGTATGCCCAATGGGGCTGGGAGGAAGTTAAATAATTTGAGGTGCTTATCATGAACCAAAAATTGGGCTAAGATAAATGTTTGAGAAGATATGCTTGCATGCATAATTTTACATACTGCTGGAAAGATATCTACTGTTAACCTTCTTTAGTCCCTTTCAATCATACCTTGAATGATGCATATTATTGATAAATATCTTCTTTATGAAAATATCCCAGTTGATAAAAGTGAGGTTCCTGCTGATGCCCAATGAATTTGATTCAAGGAAGCCAGAGACACTCTTTTAGGATATGATTTTCTACTAAAACAAACCTAATAAAAAGCACACCAGTAAAGCGCCTCACCACTGATCATTGCTCTTGTGCCTGATTCTCCACCTCTGCAGTTCTATCTTCAAACAAAGCAAGGCTGTACCTGCAGGCCCTTCCTCAAAAATTTGTTTGAGTCTTTCCAAAGGCTGGGACCTTCTGGGGTAGACAGTAGCATGCCTCCCTTGAATCTAAACTCCCATGTGGGGTTTCTTCTCTCAGGAGAGCTCTCTGACCCTTTACCTTTTCCATGTGTCTGGCTAATACACGTGTAGGAGCTCCAGTACTTGCGCCTTTGAGATCGGCCTGGCCCAGAGGTGGGGGCCCTGGTTCTAGGAGGTGGCTTGTTAAAGGTTGTTCTCAGTAACAATCAAATCAATATTTTTCCCATGGAATCCCAAGTCCATCACAATAGGGCTGATGAGCTAGTCATCTCCCCCAAATATGCATAAAAATAAATCCCAAAGAATACAACAAAACATAAAAATCACACACAAAATGTCTAGAAGATTAAGTAAATTACTAATTGTCAAATCTTGGATCTAATCAGGAGTTAAGAATAAATGTAAAAAAAATTATGCTTTATACCTCTAATATGCACCATCAAAATACATTTTTAAAAAGAAATAAACAGAGAAATGTTCTAAAATGTTAAGTTCAAAAGAACTAAAGTGAATGTGTTTTGCAAGAGCTATAATGAGTAAAATTCAAAGGCAAAAAATAGCAAATAAGTGTGCAACAGCTGCATTAAAGACATAATATTCTTAATAAATAGCTCTTTAGATAAGTTGTTCAGTGGGAAAAATAAACAGGAAATACTAATGGTAAGGTTCACAGATACTTCATGAAATAGGAAATAATGGTTATAATAATATTCAGCACTGTGCAATCATTTAAAGATGTCAAGTCAAAAATCATATAAATTTGACTCTCAAGTTTAAATTATTAGAGAAATTGTGATAACTCAGTGCTGGAAAGTATGTACAGTACAGTAGTCACAGAGATGAATAGATACACATGGGGGAAAATTGTATGTCTGAAGAGATTCATACCAATATTTTTTATAAAGCAAAAACATAGAAGTAATCTAAATGTTGAAAAACATGACAAGTAAATTAGAGTATCTTTACAGGTTATATTATACAGCCATTAAAAATGATGTTTACAAATATGTGCCAAAGTTGTGTGATAATAATTTTTATGCAATGTTAGGTGATACACACAGGATCTAGCTGAAAAAGCATGCATAAAAGAGCTCAGACAGAAACGTTCCAAAATACATTTTTAAATGGATATTTTTACGTTTTGCATTCTTAAACTTGGGTGCAGCTAAGGAGGTTGTCTGAATGTAGATTTCTGGTCTAGAGGCCTAAAATCTCTGATTCGGTGAATCTGGAGAGGGGCTCAGGAACAATCTACATTTTTAAACAAGTCTCTCAGGGGCTTCAGATGCAGGTGATCTGGAGCCCACTCTTGGGAAGCTGATCTAGTTAGTAGGATTATAGACGCAAATATATATAAAAACATACATAAATATATATATGTACAACCTGCATAATCAGAAAGTCATACAATATATAAAATATATGCTGTATACATCATGTCTGTAAAATATATACATAATATATCTATATTCCTGATTATACTTGTTTTTATTTTTAATTACATTTTCGATATATGAGTAATTTTTAGGATTTGCTTCTTTTTCTTTTGATTTTCGAAAGAATTTGTAGGACACAATAGTCACTAAAAATAATTCTTTGTTTCCTCATTCTATTTTATTCCCCAAGTTTTCTTTTTAAATGAGAAAGAAAATTTTATTTTGCTTATTTCAAATCTGTGCCCTCAGTAGAAACAAAATGCAATCTGAGTGGCAGATTCTGGTTCTGCTGTCTTCGTACTAAACTGATAAGAAAATGGAATGGGACTGACATTTGTAAAGTAGCCTGAAAATTTCATTCCACAAAAACCAAGGCTGTGACTTGGAAGAATATGAATGAAGAGTGTAAAGTTAAGAGCCCTTAAGGACATAGAATGATTGCATTTCAGCTCCATGGGTAATCTACAGCATGACTCCAGGGGCATTAGCTATGAATAGAGAAAAGAGGAGCTTTGCCACGAGAAAAGCAGCAGGAAGATTGGTGGGGTGGCGGAACCTTGAACACAGACAAAAAGTACCTGCTGACCCCAATTCCACTGAGAAAGAAAAGGATCAAGATGATTTAAGGGAGGAGCAGGGCAACTCCAAGATGGGCTCAAATACCACAGTTAAACTACTTTCTTCTGTTCCACAGACCAACCATGCAGTCAGCAGACCCGCAGGGTGATACAACTGAAAGGACCTGAGATTCGCAAACCTAAATGAAATTATTTGTCTTGCTGTTTACCAGTTGTCCTAACTTGGGCAGGCAACTTACACTCTATGGGTCTTGATTTTCTCATCTGTAAAAGGATTGAGTGGAGACTGCAACCTCTTAGGTGTGGAATTGCCTAACTCAGTATTTGGTCCAATCCTATGTTCAACAAATGCTTTCTTTTCATCCTGTGAAAGATTTTATTTCTTTTCATCCTGTGAAAGGTTTTCCTTTGTTCAAGGCATGAAAACTGTGTTAAACTGCCATCACAAGTCGAGTACTCTGCTATTTATTGCAAATGGAAGTACACATACACCTATACAAACACATTTCTGTAATTGATGTGATCATTTTCCTTAAGGAAGTAACAATTATGACTATAGTGGAAGACAGAAAAATAATAGATGATAGCTAAGACATAGGTGTCCACAAGTAGCAACCATAGCACTTGCAAAGTGGAAGACATGTAATTCTGAAAGAGAAAGAATGAGATTGGAGACATGTTTCAAGAGGAAAGCTACATGTGAGCTGTGTTGTAATGTGAACAGGGACTGGAGAGAAGAAAATGTAATTCCTTCCAGGTTCATCACCTATTGACCGAATTGTTCCTATACTTCATGAACCCTGCTGTGTCTCTTACAGGGATCGTTCCATAATACTTCCAGTCCGTCTTCTGGCTGCCTTCCTAGCTGACCTGACTGTTATACTATGCAGTTCTCTCATTGCCACCCTGGATTATGCAATGACTTGGATTCATAGATGTCTTCAGTTAGCTATACAATATTAAATATGTGTTAGGTGGACCTCTGTCACATATTCTCTGGTTAGAGTGGGTTTGGCTCAGTTGTCTTTTGATATATTCACTCTCTTCTCTATGATTGGCACAGTGTGGGTTGGCAACATCTAGAATTTTCACACTGGTAGAGATATTTGTGAGGATTCTGTCTGATTTCCCAGTCATACCTGGGTTCAACACATGAAGGAAAATGAAGAAATGGTAAGATGCAGTTAGGCCCAGATTTTAATTTCATGTCTTCCATTTACATGCTGTATGACCTTGGGCAAATTCATCAGCTTCTCTTAGCACTAATGGAGATTATAAATATGTAGGATCTAGTACTGTGTCTGATACCTGAAAGGCATCTACTGAATGCTGCTATTCTCTCACACTCCCCTAGGTATTTCAGAGTTCATTATACAGCCTTTTATCGAATTGTCCTGTGTTAGGGAGACTACCCTAAGATAAGGCAGCACTTTTTAATAATCTGGTCTTTTTTTCAAAGAGGAGGGTTCATTCTTATTTAAGAAATAATCAATTTCTTTTATATAATCAAAGTTAGCCTTCGTTTATCTTCCTTTCACCTGGTTCCATGATTGTCTTCTGTACTTATAAATGTGTCTTCAATTGTCATTAGGAGTTTGGTGCAGGTCTGTGATAAAACTGTCATTAGTCATTAAAAGAATGGAAATAAAAATTATTTATTTTCTAATAAATAAAAGCATGTTCAATTAAAAAGGCTTTCTTTTATTCCAAGGTTATGTAATTGTTATCCATTCATATTAAAATGACTTATAATTTATAACATAATGCCAGATTATCAGATATATATGTGTATATATATTTTTATATATGTATATATATGTTTATATATATGCACACACATATATATGACTATATATGTAATTGCTTGGCAAAAGTTAATGCTGGCAACAATTTTCCAGTCTCCCATTTCATTTCTCATTAATGATTCACAAATTCCAAAACCCAGGAGCCACTTAAGTTAAACAGTTTAAGGATATCATACTTCTCTTTATCTGCTTTTCAAATTCAATTTGAAAAAAAAAAATGTCATTAGGTCATTTCCCCTTAGTCTTTCCTCCAGGGCAGAGATGCCCCGTATTTTCATTAGCAACTTTGGTGACATGGTTTCAAGTTCTGTACCACAGCTGCTACTCTCTTTGACTTGTATTTCTAGCTTCCCACCTTTGCTTCCTTTATGCTTTTCCTTTGCCAGACTGTGATAATCGGGGTTCCTACTAGAAGGCTGATCCTTCTCTCCTCTTGTCTCTTGTTCAAGCTGGAGGTTCATGATTTGCCCATAATATCCTTCCCTGACTCATCCTGGCCAAAGTTTTACTCAGATTATAATAATAAGAGAAATACCATTTTCCTGTTTTCTTTCTCATATTTTGATTTTACTGCTTGTCTTCAATTATTTGTCCTTGAATGTCCTTATAGATTGACATCTAAAGGGGTCAGTAAACTTTTCCTTTAAAGGGTCAGAGGTTAAATATTGTTGGCTTTGCAGGCCTAGGGTCTCTCTCAGGACTACTAAATTGTGCTGTTGTTGCATGAAAGCAGCGATGATTTATAAATGATTGGGCATGACTGCATTTGAATAAAACTTTATTTACAAAAGCAGATTGCAGCTGGATTTGGTCGAGGGTTTGCTGACATTTCTACTGGTGACACTTTTACTCTCATACCACTCAGTTCTCCTAATCCTCCCTACAGGGTAATTGGTAGGTTTTAAAATGGGGTCTTGCTCTGTTGCCCAGGCTGGAGTGTGGTGACGTGATCACAGATAACTGCAGACTTGAACTCTTGGGCTCAAAAAATCCTTCCATCTCAGCCTTCTGAGTAGCTGGGTCTACAGGTGGCACCACTGCACCAAGCTAGGATTGGTAGGTTTAGAAGAGATAAGTCTTCTCTTTTATGTAACTCTTCTTCTCTCTTACCTCCCTTTCTCTCTTTCTCTCCCTCTTTCTCTTTCTCTCTCTCTCTCTCCCCCGCCCCAACACCCATATTCTGTTCTGCTCTTTATTAGGTGAGGATACTGCTATGACAGAAACCTGTGATTTTCCAGCAGTACTTGTAATTAGGGCGAATTAACTGCCAGGTATATATTTTAGAAATATTTGTTACCCTAGTGTAACCTAGACTATTTTGATTGATGTATGGGATAGAGGATGAGGAATTACTTCATATAGTCATGTCTAAAAATGTCCTTCATCTCATCATTTTATCTGTAGAACAGCTGTTATTTGGATTTCCATGAGTCTGACTCCTGTGACATTTCAACTGGTTTCAAACCTGAGTAGATGTGTTTCCCTCCCAAAGGCAGGATAGACCTGCACTCAAAGTTTGGTTTGAATGTTGAGACTGATGATGTGACACACACCAGAAGAGTTATGAAAATGTTTATTATTTACTTTTTTGAGGTCCTGGGAAGGGCTGGGCAAGCCTCTCAAATCTTGTTATGCCTTGAGAGAAACAGAAAAGGAGACTGACTCTGGGTTTTACTGTGATTTCAGGGTGGGGCTAGGGTGAGGGTCCTTACATGTAGGCAAAAGCTTGCATGGGTTTTAATCTTTCATGGGCACCAAATAAGGTACCACCTAGGCTTTAATCTCAGCTAGCCCAGATATGAGGGACAGGGGAAAAGAGGGAGTTAGATGTAAAAGTTGTCATCAAAAAATAGTCAGACTATTATAGTTGAAAAGAGAGGTTTTATTTAATTAAGAATCATATCTCTAGTTACTTACAATGAACAATACATATATAAGGATTTTTTTTCTTAATTTCTCCGTGAACTCCTGGATAGCAAATGTCTTATCTCATCAATGTGTCTATACTGATAGTTGCAATAACTTAGTAAATGTCCTTATGCATAATTATAATTAAATGATTCCTTTATCTAAATGATGCAACCTAATTATCTAATGCATTTAGAGAAAAATGCCCATGTAGACTTGTAAGGGTTTTGTTGTTGTTATTGTTGGATTAATAGAATGCTGAGAATTCTGTGGACCTTTTTAGTGCTAATAGTCCTAATTGTATCTAAGTTTTATTGGATTTCTCTGTGATGAAGTCAAAGTTTCCTCCAAAACCAGAATTAAAGAGGGGCTATCAAAAGCACAACCACATTGCTTGAGTTATCACATTAATGCCTCAAAGTATCTAAAGGGGAAAATACCGCACATTGTACATGAATAAGAAGCAACGTCTGTGTGGAAAGAAATTCTATCTTAATATTATATTACAGAGTAATCTCTGGAAAAGTACTCGAATGAAACCTCATACCTCTCACCATGTAATGATTGTGCCCTTTCCCAATACCAAATAAGACATATACATTTTGAAGTCCAGTGTTTAGGAATAAATGACAGAGTTGCTGACACTTTTCCACATAAATATTAAAGTAGGAAAATTGACTTGCAAACCCCTTGTTCAAAATCATTTGTTTCGCAATCTTATTTATTATTATTATTATTTGTGTGTGTGTATGTGTGTATGAATGGATTATGGAATAATGTATTCTTTGGTATCCTAAGCAAGGCAAAAGAAAGCCATATATTCATTGAAAGCAAAAAGTTTGTTTCCATTACGGTAAGATTTGTAAAAATGGCTGGGAATACTCCATCCTCTTGATGAAATTGTTGAATGAAATGGTTTATTTATAGACCTGGTAGGGATTACAAGAAAGACCTTTGTGTATTATCTTCCTCTTTCACCGCTAATTGATGACATTTCTGAGTTCCAGGACCTGTGAAGAATTCTACCTTCAGACAACTGCTCAACTGGATTGAATCTGGGAGAAGAAGATGGGGGCATTATTTCTTGACAGCCACCTAGATTCCAACAGCATCATGCAACAAATGGTACTAAGACCTTCAGAACCCTTGAAGAGCTAATCAGCACTTATGCATGAAGGCAATGTTCTAAACCTTAGTGGTCAGGAAATGTTTGAGATTTGAAACAGTTGTTTGAAGTTGAGGCAGAAAGTAATAAAGAATACTAAAATTATCAAAGAAACACCAAACACAAATCAATAGCATCCAAATGAGCTTTACCTTTATAGCTGGTACTCTTTCTGTCCTCTTTTCTGCTTCCTAAGAGATGTTTTTTGGTGATTTGGTCCTCCTAAGTGCATGCACATTGGACAGGATAGTATGAGTATGATTAGAGTGTAAGCATGACTAGAAGCACAAGTTAATTTATGAGTGATTGAATAAAAGTAATTTTGTGAAAAATAAGAACAAGTTCTTTTGGTTTATATTTTGGCATGCTTTCTTTCACCATTTTAAAGAGATCTTTCCAAGATGAAATACATTGCAGAAATACATATCTGTCACCTATTTAGAAAATGACATTCATTTGAAAATGAGCCACTGTGAATTAGATACAAAGAGAGGTCAAAGTTAATAAACAGAGGCATTTATGTGAATAGAAATGTGCTAATGTTTATTATTATGGCATTAGTTCACATTAGAGATGTATTAAAAATAATATCTAGGATCATAGGCTAGAATACATCCTTAAAGGTCATTTTGGACAACCCCTTAATTTAATAAAAAAGAGAGGAACAAACTTCAGAATGAATGGCTGAGATTATTTCTCAAGATCACACAACTACTTGGTAGATACATCAAATTTTAAACACAAGACTCCTGGTTTCTAACCTAACTCTATTTCCACAAACTTAACATAATGCAGTTAAAAACTTTAACTCATATTTCAAATTTGTTGTTCTTACAAATGTGGATTGTTTTGTTTATTTTACCTCTCCACTTTTTTTCATTCCAAGCTGCTCACCTGCATCTTGGAGGGGTTAAAAATAATTATTCAATATATTATTAAGTACAAGGCAATTGGATCATGTGAACATGTCCTATATATTTTATGTTCATACTCTTAGAAAATGTGTAGCCTCTCAAAGAGTTACTCTCTCCCCATGATTTTGCATGCAGCTACCTGTCCCTGTTGGCTTTGCTTGCATTTACACTACAGTCTATTCTGCAAGAGTGCAAGAGTGTAGATGTAATTATCTGGTATTTCACCCATGCAGCCTTCTCCTTTCCTAGCTTCTGCTATGGGCACATCTCATCCTATTATAGCTTGATTCAAAGCAGAGCTGCAGGTGTGAGCTAAGTGTCCATCCTTTGCACTGCTTGACCATGCTTCATAGCTGAGTTAACCTTGATGTGATGGTGCCCTGAGTTGTTATAAATTCTTGCCTTTTCCTCCAATCTTACATAAAAAAAGCTCTGGCTATGCCTATGATGGGTTTGATAAGAGTGTCTAATTTTGGACTTCAATCTTAGCAGGCCTAATTGCCTAGAAATATAAAGATATATTTTCATTCTAGCCTTTGGTAGCAGTAAAGGCATATACCTTCCTCTCTCTGTTGAATCATTTACCTTATTTCTCAGTTTATTCATAACCCTGATAGAAAAGATGGGTGCTCTTTATTTGTGAACCCTCAATTCAAACAAAATATCAGCGGCTTTCTTAGGCATTTGATCCATATTTCCATATTCTGACAACGTATTCCTCTTCCTCTTAAAGTATAGCACTATTTCTTTTAAGCTACCTCACTTTGAAAAGGTTTGCTAATTCAATAGGAAAAATAATACTCAATGTACTTACAAGTTCTATATTACTTGTCAATATTTTATCACAATTTGAATTCTAAAGACACTTTTTGTAATATAAGGAAAATGCCAGATATGTGATACAGTAAAAAGTCATGTTAACTGTCGTATATTTAAAAGAGAGGCTCCACAAATATTGAACTGCATTATATGAAACTCATACATAGTTTTGTATTGCCTGCATTTAGATTTCTTCCTTCACATAGGCATACTTTGTAAATAATTCATAAGTCATATTCACAATCTGACAATTAAACCTGCAATAACTAAACCACAGTAATATTGGTAGTAAGTGGCTTATTGGTAACGGATTATTGTAGAAGAATTCAGGATATGTAAAATGCATATACTAAACTTCCTGATCAAAAGGGAAATCAGGGCAAAATGAGTATAAGATCATGTCTTTTGGGATTTTCCAGTCTAAAGTATAAAGACCAACAAACAGTTAGTCTCCAGGAAAATCACATTTCAGTTGCTAAACTCCACAGATAGGTTTATACCTCTTATTCATTAGTCACAATATGTTGAACATTTTCTCAGAGCAGGGCTTATAAAACCAATTCTCATAATTTGAGAATTATAGGGAAATTCTCCAATTTTAGACAGAGAGATGAAAAGAGACCAATCTATAATAACCATAAAATAAAATTCAAAAATTAATTGTTTCAAAACCGAACTCACATAAAGCACAGCCACAGAACATCAGAGACTGTTGGCTTTTACCTCCCTATTTTGTTTACCTGGTTCCAAAATAATCTGAGTAAATTTTACATCTCATATGTGAAAACATTACTCATCCATTTATAATTTCTGGCTAGTAGATCTCACATTCAGTGATAAAGAGAAGTTTGGAAATCAAGACAGGATAAGAAAAGGTATCTTGGACAGTCTGTGACAGTCTAATCGATTGCTTACAGTTGGCTGCAATCATTTCCCTTCCCATATTCCTGTCCTTTCACAAAGGGAAATCTATTTCCATACTCCTAAATCCCAAGTCAATCTTGCCACTTGCTTTGGCAAGAGAATGCAATATGCCAGCTTTGAATCTTGCTTCTAGGAATGTGCACTACTTTCTTTCCTCTTTCTCTTTGATGCATGTCACTACCATGTGAGAAATTTGAGTCTAGTGAGCTAAAGAATGCAAGGTCAGTGGAGCAGAGATAAGTCATCCCCCACCAGCAATGCTCTAGCAAAACTGGTAACTATTCACAGTTACATAAGTGAATCCAACAGAGGTGAGATGGACCACCCAGTCATGCCCAGTCCAAATTGCCAATGTGAAGAATCATAAGCCCAATAAGTGGTTATTTTGTTCAACTGTAACTTTTGAGGGAGTTTGTTATGTAGCAAAAACTAACATACACTCGGTCTTTTTCATCACTAATTTTGTAAAAAGTTACTGTTTGCCATGGATCATTGATCACCTTTCTGATTCATGAGGCTCTATCTCAGTCCTCATTTGCATTGCTGTAAAGGAATACCTGAGGCTGGGTAATTTATAAAGAAAAGAGGTTTATTTTGTTCACAATTCTGCAGAATGTATGAGAAACATGGAGACAGCATCTGCTTCTAGCGAGGGCCTCAGGAAGCTTTCACTTATGGTGGAAGGGGAAGGAAATAAGACATCACATGGCAAGAGCAAGGAAGAAGAGAGTGAGGAGGGAGGTGCCAGACTCTCTTTAACAGCCAGTTCTTTCAGGAGCTAAGATGACAAATCACCCTACCCGGTGAGGGCCCCAAGCTATTCATGAGGCACCTGCCCTCACAGTGCAAACACCTTCCATTAGGCCCTACTGCAACATTGAGAATCGACTTTCAAAATGAGATTTGGAGAGGACAAACATCCAAACTCTATCAGGCTCTATCCAGCTAAAACCTAAAAAGAGGGGCATTGCCCTTCTAAGATGTCAGTAGCAGCTTAGGCTGAAATCCTATGTTAGTGCTACTAAAAATACAAAATATTCTCCTCTCTGGTCACAAGCATAGAATGATTTGTTTCAACCAGGTCATCCCAGCGTAGAATTAAGAAGTAAAATCATTAATAAGAAAACATCCATTTCACTGAAGGGAAAAAAACCACAGTAACTTATGACAAGATTTCATTGAGGTTCATTGCTAGAGTGCTGTGATTCATCAGTCAATAAAAAAGTGAATAATCAGATGAGAGATGCTTACCTTATTCAGGCCCAGTGACCATTTAGAGACCTTGATGTGTATTTCCAAGAGGGTGAGGAATATAGAAAACAGCATTTGACACCTGCTTTGAGAATTCCTCACTATCAGCAGCATAGAGGAGACAGTCTTCATTGAGAATATCATGTAATAACAGAGTCTGGCAAAGCATTTCCAGTCAGATCAAATATGGACCCTGCAGAAAGGAGGTAGAAAGGGCAGTCTTGAGCCCACCAAAAAGGGCAGCCTGGAGGAATAAGGTGACCCCAACCAATGGAAGGGATGATGGCAAGAAAGGGCCTTAGAGTTAAGTTGTAAGTGGCGGAAATGATGAGTCATTACGTAGACCAAGAAAACTGGAATTAAAAGAAATGACAGAAATACATCAGATAATATCCCAAATAAGACATGGCATAAAAGAGTCAGCCATATCCAAAGAACACTTGGACCAAATTAAAACTGTAGGATGAGCAGAGATGTTCTAGGCAGAGAACCAGGAAAAGGGAGTCCTAGCAAAGGAAAACATTAGGTGTAAAGACATAAAGACATGAAACCCGCATGGTATAATCAGGGAACGTCGTGGGTCTCAGGCCAGCTGCAGAGAGGAGTATTTGGTTCCGAGACGTAGATGATGATAATAAAGAGGTAAAAATCAAACTTTAAATGGCCTTATTCTTCAGGCAGCAAGTAGCCCAGCAGTGGCAAAATTAGCTTCCATATTTACATGTTCCCGTGTAAATGTGGAATTGATCTCAAAGACATTTGCTATCTAACAGCCTGACAGGCTTATTCTCCATGTTCTGAGGAAATAGAGCTTGTGTAAGTTTCTCTTACTCTCTCTGGTATGGGCTGCCAGGTTGTCACACTTATCTAGTTCCTAAAAATATGATCGGCAATTTTGAGGATGAGAACTAAAGAAAGTAGCTGTAAGATTGATAGTCATCTTCCCTTTTAACAGGTCCCTCTTTTATTTTATAACTTCTCTTGGATAAAAAAACACATTTAAGAAAGCAGAAAATATTTAGTGGAAAAGGAGAGAAAAGGGGCTAAGTAAAGAAGAGATGAAAGACACAACAAAACAAAAATCAACTTTAGAAAAAAGAAAAACCAGGACTAAGAGAAGAGAAGAAACACAAGCTAGAAAGAAGTGATAGATATTAACTAAAATTTGGCAAGTAATTAGTAGGACACTTGGGCCAGGAGGGTAGAGAAAGAAAAAAATAAAGCAGGCAAGCAAAAAAGCTTAATAAAGGAGTATAAATATAATGTTGATCAAGAATATTTCATTATAATACATTGTTAATTTACACTGCATTATGAAATACTTGGCCAACAGCACATACAGTACTTAGGTGCTGCCTTTGTGACTCTTACAGCTATAATATTAGTGGGAAATTAGAGAATTTATATTTTTTTCTTATATCTAAAAGGGCAGATAAACAGTGAGGTGGGTAATGTTTGCAAGTTTACAACTGGTCAGTGCTGATAGGAAAACCCTGCTTCCTGATGCCATCTTTATAGTTACACAAATAAACCTCTCAGCAAATGTTTGTTGTTGGAAGTGAAGTGATAACACGAAGGCACAAAGTAAATCAACGGGAAACACATAAATAGAACTCAAGATTCCTGACTTGCATTTTTAATCATGGCTCTGCACAGTTGTTCTCACATGCATAAAAGACAATAAAATCACTTGAAGGAGACTTCTTCCTGCTTCCTCATGATGCAGCACCTTAATTTAGTGTAGGATTTCTCAACTGTGGCACTGTTAACATAGGGGTCCAGATCGTTCTTTGTTGAAAGGGGAAGGGTTCTATGCATTGCAGAATGTTTAACGACATTTCTGATCTCTATCCACTAGATCCTAGTAACATTACAACTAAAAAATGTCTGCAAATATTGCCAGATGTCCTCTGGGGGACAAAAATCATTCCCAATTAAGAAACACTGGGGCTGAGTGTAGTGGTCCATGCCTGTAATCCTAGCACTTTGGGAGGCCAAGGCAGGAGGATCGTTCGAACCCAGGAGTTCGAGACCAGCCTCGGCAACATAGTGAGACCCCTATCTTAAAAAAAAAGACAAAAAAGCCAGGTGTGGGGGCATGTGCCTGTGTTCTCAGCTACTCGAGAGCCTGAGGCAGGAGGATCACTTGAGCCCAGGAGTGCAAGGCTGCAGTGCACTGAGATTGTTCCCCTGCACTTCAGCCTGGGGGACAGAGTGAGATCCTGTCAAAAAAAAAAAAAAAAAAACCATTGATCTAGTGGAAATAGAATAGATCAGGCTGCAGCAGGTAACAGATCTAGCTCCATCACAATGAATGGGGTGACCTGAGACAAACCCAGTTTTGTTACACTCCATTTCTTCATCTGTCTAGTGCCCTTTTACATGACCAAGATAAAGCTGTGAGTTTTATCAAAGTGGTAAGTAATGACAAAGATGATTATCAAAGCAAGTCAAATCTGGAAAGGTGTTTGTCCACAGTAGTCATTGATACAGGGAGTTTGGTGAAGGAATAAAAGGAATATAATAGGAATAAAAGTTATTGCTTGGGGAACTCTCATCATTACTAAGAGCAAATGGCCCAGCAAGTGTGGAAACTGAAGAATGAGGAACAAGACTGATGGCACTGGGAACAGTAGCAGAGTGGAATTGGATTCACGGAAAAAAAAAGAGTGGTGGGTAGATAGAATTCAGGTAGAGCTAAGGCTGGAACTCTACCTATGTGCTAGAGCAGCCTCTTTAGGCAGAGCTTGATGCCTGTTTGGAGGGTCAGCACAGCACCTGATACAGACACAGATTGGAGAATTTTACCCATAGTGTCTCGGATGTCACACTTGCATTTCGTGTTTTATTTCAAAAAGTATTTTAAAAAATGTGAGGCACTGGCCTGGGCACCTTATTATCTTAGACCACTTATTACATGTCCGAAACATTGGTATTCTTATTTGAAAAAAATGAGGCAATATCTTTTGAATAATCTAATGTATATAAAATGAGCTACAACAGAGGTTGAATCGTGGTAGGTTCTTGATAAAAACTATATATACATTTCCTTCTTGGGAAGTACAATGGTAATAAACATAACGCTTTCTCCCAGTAGCTTATATGAAAGGGGTGACAGTAGAGGAAAGGAATAGTTATTGAGTGCTTTCATAGCATACCACGCATGCATGTCATTTTCAGTCTTTACACACTTCTATGAAGTAAATATTTTTATCCTGTTTTAATGAATGAAAAAAATGAGATCCAGAGAGAGCAAATATATCACCTAATACTCATAAATAATTAAATAAGCTGAAAGTCACACCGTTATAGGTGACCCCAAAGTTTCTGCTGTTTCACTTACAGCACATCTCTACTCTCTAAAAGCCATCCCGGTAGTACCAAATGGGTTAGTTTATTTACAAAAAATAAACACGCTACAAAATAGAAGATGTTAATATTATTTCAAAGTCAGGAAGAGAAAAGCAAACCTGACAGTTGGGAAGCAATTTGGGATTCCAAATATATCATTACTCATAACTTTAAAGGAATGTTTTGCTATTATGTTTGCTTGTGAAAGTATCCAAACAATTCCAAAAACATTTGAAGCAGGCATCAAATATTTGAAAAGCCTCCACATTTTACAAAAGGAGTTGGCAAGCTTTTTAAATGTGGACTCTCTATCCAACTTTGCCACCTGAAGAAGGTGGACAAGTTTCCAATTGATGAAAATGCTAACAATAATGATTTTCTTTACTTAAAATGTGCAGAATAATTTCTGAACTCGTAAGACTGTCATAAGTACCCAAATGAACTATTCCTTCTAATCGACAAAGCAATTACTTATTTCTTAAGAATGAGAGAAATGTACCTTCATGAATTAGACAGGTTGTCCTACCGGGTGCTGACAAGAGACAGGCAAAAATAAATCTTTTTTTATCATAGTTACTGTAATAATACATTTTCTGAAAACTATTTTTTAACCCAAGAACCACCGAAAAATGATAATCATTGAGCCCTTCTTACACATTTGAAGAAGCTCATATATCATAAGTCTAACGTTTGGTCTTTTCTTCCATTGTCTTCCTTGGGAAAAAGAGAAAGTTGAATGAATCTGAGCAGTTGCTTACAATTGTGCTACTTCAAATTGCCAAATCTTAGTCTTTGACATTTTATCATTGTCATGCATTGGAGAAAAATGCTCCTTAATAGGGTAGTATTTAAAATAAGAAGCCACGACCTTGTCATTATTATTAGTACAATGGAACCAGGCACGCTAGAATCAGCCATCCAAGCTATGGAGGGGCTGGAAGTTAATTACATTACCTTAGACAATAAGTTGGTCTTCGTGGTTCCAGTTATCTCTGCACACAGTTGGCTCAATTTTTTGTTGTTGTGTAATGTCCCATTAATCACAGTTACATTTGTTCCCTGCCGTGTGATTCATCATCCTTTCCCCCTGAAACGACTTCCATTCTCCAGGACTCAAGATAAACCACTAATTTAAAGTGGCAGTGACCAACCTTGGCTATCACAATGGCATAGTTTGACTGAGGAGAGTCAATGGCAGCGCACACAGACTCCAGGCATTTCAGTCAATTCAAATTATCCCTTGTGATTGGGTTCAGGCACGGGGATAGAGATCAGGTGTGACAATTATAGGACAAACTCTTGAAATGAAGCTGAAGGTGTGTTTGTCTTTGAAACTTATCCGAGCACATTCATTTGAAAAAGATGACAGAGCAAAGTACGTGGAGAGGGAGCAAAGTATAGTGAAAAAAATCATGGGCTAAGTTTGGGGAGAAATATATTCTCACTTTAGCTTTGAATAAAGATATCTGTGTGACCTTGAGCAAGTCACTTTATCACCTGGTCTCTCTTAAAAATTGGGAACTTGGAACAGGTGATGTATTTACGTGGTGTTACTATTTTTCCTTTTCCTGGACTCTGATTTTTTAAATTTGAGAATTAGCATAGAGAGGCTTCCTTTTAATAAAATATCAACAAAAAGTATTATATGAAGCATTTTGAAGTGTTTCTAATGATTAAAATATTGATTATTGGGAGGATAAATCTATCCCTGTTCTCAGCTGTATATTACAGATCTTTCTCCTTATCAAGACCAGACTTCAACATTCAGCAGGCTATTATTTATTTTCATTTTATCTCCTGCTAATTCTAACTTCGCCAAATGGCCACAAATATCTCCTAACTCTCTAATTAATTACTTTGTACAATTTTGTAGCCTAAGAAAAAAACTCTTGTATGATTCCCTCCAAGGTATTTCTGGAGTTTGGGTGAGAGGACCTATTAAATAGCTCAAGTAGCCAACCCCATAAGCAAATTTCTGGAGACTTAATCTATTGACAGAAAGTTTGGAATTATAAACTAATCATTATTTTATCAAATTAATAGTTTCATATAAATATGATACATGGGTTAATTCCTTTTAATTAATTAATTAATCACATCAGTTCTGAACTTAAGATGAAGCCTTTCAGAAATATTGCTCCTCTGATTCTGTTCCTTGTGCTGGTCAAATTCAGTAATTTATGGTAACATGACACCTTGTATTGTCATTATTATTTCTTTTTGGTTTCAGTTTGCTTGTTTTTTGTTAGCGAAGTTCTTAAGACGGAGTTTTGATCTCACACATTTGAAGATAGTTTCTTGCATAATCCCTAGACAGAGCACTCAATAAATGTTCCTGGCAAGAAATGTGTTGTCCAGTGAAGCTTGATCAAATACCATGTATTTTCCACCCGTGCAGCCCCTCCTTCAGGTCTTATGAAGAGCTCCCAATTGCTAGTTGGTTGATTTTAGGGAACTAATAAGAGCCAAAATCACATATTTTCTAATGTGTACTACTGACCATACACATCAATATTAAACTTCACAATATCAATGTAAAGTAGCTGCCTCCACTTGCTTTTTATAGATCGGAAAACCAAGACGTAAAAAGGTTAAATTATGTTTGTGAAACTGTATACCTGCAATAAATGAGTTGAGAGCCACACCCAGGCTATTTGTCCCCAATGTGTATGTACTTCCTATTACGTAGTGCTTCCTACATCACATAAACTAGTGAGTTTATGATTACCGGGAATCATAGACTTAATCTACGTGAGACCCTGAGGAAATCACTTGGCATGTCCCTCTATTACAGACAATATGTCAGCTACCATAAGATTTTCAATTAAGACCTGATTAAGATGAAAGTGAACATGGGAAATATTTAGAACAAACAAGAATAGGCTTTTTGTGGCTTTTAAAAAACTATCAGTACTTTCATAAAGATGAATTCTTCTCAACCAGGGACAATTTTATGCTTCACAGGATATTTGGCCATATTTGTGGACATTTTGGTTTTTGAAGTTATTGCAACTGCAGTAATGCTATTGGTATCTAGCATGTAGAGGCCAGGGATGCTTTTAAACATCCTACAATGCACAGGAGAGCCCCTCACAACAATTAATTACCTGGCTCAAAATGTCACTTGTGTCAAAGTTGGAAAACCCTGATATAGACAGATAGTAATTAAAAAATATAATTGGAAAAAAATGGGTACCCATTAACAATAACAACAAAAGCTATAAAGTACATAAAGACAAATACAATAAAAATGGGCAGGCTCTTTATTGAACACTTAATAAAACATCATTATAGGATGTGTTTAGAAAAAAGAGAGAAAAATATATAACTCATTCATTGAAGGGGAAAGTTCAATAATGTAAAGATGCTAAAACTCTACAAATTAATCTCTGCAGCCACTGAGATCCCATACTATTACTTTCTGAAACACTGAAATAGGCTGAGGAAGTATGTGAGGTAGCAAGAAGATTATTTTAGTGGGGGTAGAGAGAACAAAGGGTAGCTCCCAAAACTTGGGACCTTGTAGAACATTGTAAGAACTTTGACTTTCCTCTTAGTGAGAAAAGATAACATTGGATGATTGCTGCAGATGTGATTGTTTTTAAAAAGCTCAGTCATGTGGCTATGTGGAAAATAGTTTGTGAGTTATGTTGTGAGAGGGGCAATCAGGACTGAAGCAAAGCAACAGCTAGCTTGCGATTGCAGCAGAATACACTTAAGCAGTGGTGCTGTTTTTTCTTAGGAGGTGACAGTGAAGATTATGGAAATTGATCAGCGAGGAGACAACTGAGGGTAAAGCTAAAAGCATTCACTGTGTGATGAATTGTCTGTAAATATTTGGAGGGAAATTAGACCGAAATGATTTTAAGTTTTTGCCTTGTAAACCAAAAGTTAGGACTCGCCATTTACTCAGATGGAGATAACTGAGATAGGAGTAGATTTGAGTGCAGGTAGAAAAGAAGACTTGAAGTTTGGATGCGAAGTTTGAGATGTGTATTAGACATTGGATAGATTATCAGAGACCACTAGATACATGAGTGTCAGTTCATGAGAACAATCAGGACTTAAGATACACATTTTGGAGTCATCAGGGTTAAAGCAGCACATAAGCACATTCAGATGACCTGGAGTAAAACCTGACAAAGAACAGTTTATGAACTAAGACTTAGAACATTTTAATATTTAAAGATCTGAAAAAAATACTGAAAATGCACAGTGTACAGTGACACTAGGAGAAAAATAATGATGACATAAAAGCTAAAGTGTAAATAGAATATAATTTCCAGTGTGATTGATAAAAGTTTTGCCAGCAATGGGACTAGTTCCCCAGATTAATAAAATATTTTAAATAACATCCAAAAGATAAAAACCACTTTAAAGAATATGCCATTAAAAATTCAAAATTTGGCTAACTAATCTTAAAGTGATAAATATTTCTGCTTTTATTATATTAGCAAAATTAAAAAAAGAAAACAATTCATAATCCCTCAAAGAGGGAAAGACTGAACAAGCAATAATTTAGTAAGCTAAAGATAACTATAGAATAATATTTTTCAAGAATATTAAGTGATCTAGACATATTCAAATAATGTACTAAAGAGATAGAAAATAATATATAAATAATATGATGTCAATTTTATTAAATTATAAATGCACATATAAATAAAAGTAAAAATATGCATATAATGCCTGGTTATAAGGTAACATAAGAGAACACGGGATAAAATGAAAGACAACAGCACATTGACAGTTAAATTATGCATATATTTAAATTTTCATATTTACTTTTATGGTATTTTATAAATTTTTGTAATCTGAATATAGTCTTACTGTATTTTAACATAACAACACTATAAAAATAAACTATATTATCATGGGTACAAAATGTGTTACTTTTTATCTTTTGTCTACAAAGCTATTTACGTCATCACAAATAATTCAAGCTGTGTCCCAGGTAATATTCTGTTTGAATAATCTTCCTGTGTCTTTTGTGTGGTGCTCTGCCCACTGCCAAAACAGTTATGAACATTTTATGTGTCTGCTACATTTTTTCAGAAAATATGTGCTCACACTTTAAGAAATGCCTTTCAGTGATGAACTCACCCTGTGGGAATAACTAAAGTAAAGGATGAGAGGAAATCGCCCCTGTGTGCTGGCCACCAATACTTGATTACAGCAACTACTCATATCCTCCCTCTTTCTACTGTCATGAAACCACTTCAGTGAGAAACAGTGGCTCTTTCCCATCCCTCCTTCCAAAAATAATGTTTGCATGACTGATGTAATAGAATTGAGAGTCCATATTAAGCTGATATATTTAGGGTGAATTGATTTTTGATAAAGGTTTTAAGACAATTCAATGGGAGAAAGAAAAGTCTTTTTAACAAATGGTGCAGGCACAACTGAATATTCATGTGCAGAGAAATGAAGTCGGACCTCCCCCTCGTACTATACACAAAAGCTTAATCAAAAGCAATGTAGGAACCAAAACTACACAATTAATTTTTTTAAAATAAAGGTGAATAAGCGTATGTGACCTTGGATTACAAACTGAATTTTGGTTATGACACCGAAGTCAACAGCAAAAATGGGAAAAAAGAAATAGAAACCAAGTTTAAAAAAAAATTTGCTTCAAAGGATGACATCAAGAAAGTAAAAATATAATTCATAAAATTGAAGACTGCATTTGCAAATCATATATTTAATAAGGGTCTAGTGTCCAGAATATTTAAAGAACCTTTACAACATGAGAATAAAAGATATTACAACTATATCACTTTGTGAAAAAGGCAAAACTAGTAGAGCTAGTACAAAGAACAGTAGTTGCCAGGGGCT
This sequence comes from Homo sapiens, assembly GCF_000001405.40. Classification (NCBI taxonomy): domain Eukaryota; kingdom Metazoa; phylum Chordata; class Mammalia; order Primates; family Hominidae; genus Homo; species Homo sapiens. The sequence continues at coordinate 12,584,159 of NC_000004.12, forward strand.
AGTGGGGAGTGAGGAATGAATTAGCGGAGCTTGCAGAATTTTTATGGAAGTAAAAATATTCTGAATACTATAAGGGTGAGTATCTGTCATTATACATTTGTCCAAAACCATAGAATGTACAACACCAAGAGTGAACTGTAATGTGAACTGTGGACTTTGGCTGACAACCATGTGTCAATGCAGGTTTGTCAGTTGGAATAAACATTATATGCCTTTTGGGGTGTTGCTAACAGGGGAGACAATCCATGTGTGGGAACAGGATATACAGGAAATCTCTGTACCTTCCTCTCAATTTTGCTGTGACCCAGAGGCTTATATTAAAAAATAAAATCTTTAAAAATGGAATTTAAAAAAATAAAGAGACAAATTACCCAGTTTTTTTAAAAAATGTGAATGTTTAGATAGACATTTCTCCAAAGAAAATATACTAACGGCCAAGAAGCACAGGTAAGGAAGCTTAATATCAGTAGTCATCATGGAAATGCAGATCAAAGCTGAAATGAGATACCATTTCACACATAGTAGGATGACCATAATCAAAAAGGTGGACAATGACATGTGTTATTATAGACAGGATGTAGAGAATTTGGAGCCCGCATACATTCCTGGTTGAAATAAAAAAAAAACGTGCAGTCACTTTGGGAAACAGTTCAAAAGTTCCTCAAAATATTATCCATAGAGTTACTACATGACCCAGAAATTGCAATTGTTCATGTATACACAAAAGAAGTTAAAGCATTCATCCATAAAAATCTCATACACAAATATTCAGATCAGTATTATTCATAATGGCTAAAAACAGAAACAAGCTGAAGTCATGTTTATCAAAGGATGAATGCGTAAACAAACATCCATAAAATAGAATATTATTCAGCCTTAAAAATAATGAAGTACTGATGAATGCTATAACATGTATGAACCATGAAACCATTATTATAAATGAAAAAACCAGACATGAAAGGTCACATATTGTATGATTCCGTTCATATAAACTCTTCTGAATAGGTAAATCCTTTGTGACAGAAAGTAGATTAGTGGTTTTGCAGAGGCTGGGAGAGGAAGTAATGGAGTGTGACATTAATGAGGACAGCTTTTTTTTCTTTTTTTCTTTTTTGAGATGGAGTTTCACTCTGCCCCCCAGGCTAGAGTGTAGTGGTGCAATTCAGCTCACTGCAACCTCGGCCCTCCAGGTTCAAGTGATTCTTGTGTCTCAGCCTCCTGAGTAGCTGGGACTATAGGAGTGTGCCAGCATGCCCGGCTAAATTTTGTATTTTTAGTAGAGACGGGGTTTCGCCATGTTGGTTAGGCTGGTCTTGAACTCCTGACCTCAGGTGATCCACCCACCTTGGTCTCCCAAAGTGCTGGGATTACAGGTTGTGAGCCACTGAGCCAGGCCTGAGTACAGCATTTCTTTCTGGGACACTGAAAATGTTCTGGAATTAGATTATCGTGATGACTGCAAAACTTTGTGAACATTCTAAGAGCCACTGAGTTGTCCCCTTTAAAAAGTAGAGTTGTTTTATATGTGAATTAAAATTAAAAGGAAAAGGGGATCTGCTTTATGTTTAAAGTATTCTAAAAATGCCATGGATACCACCATGAAGCCTGCTATATGATGCTGTAACTAGATGTCCTCTCCTCTTCTTGCTTTACTCAGCTTTGGGCTTTCAACAGACTTTCATGAAGGTGCATGTCATTTGCTTATAGGATGCACAATGTAGATACACATTACTGGGTACACAATGAGTTGTCTAGAGAAAAGGTATTTCAATTACAAATATTGAGAAACTTTCAATTGTTCAAAGCATGAATATAAGTGGGTGAGATCTTTCTTGATGGAGTCAGCTTGGCCTTATGCTTTAACCCTATTGTGTTCCATGAACCTGGATGACCATCACAAGCCATTATAGTCAATCCTGGATGCATCCCAGCTCCTTCTTAACTAAATGATACAATACACCCCAGCTGTTCTTTTATGCACTCTAGTTATCTTCTAATCTACAATCTTAAACCTAAAATAAATATCATTATATTCTAACTCATAATTATATTATAATTCAGGATAGCTGATTGAAATTAAATTTAAAATCAGTATATTCACGATTGTCTGTGATTTTTATTAATAAATAACAGAAACAATTTCTGTGAGATTTACAGATACAGGCCATAACTGGCAAAGACATGTAAATGTGAGATTCCAGTGAGATATGTGCATGAATTATTCAAGACATTTGGTTTGCACTTTAATTGCACATCGATTTGAATGTTGTGTGTGTGTGTGTGTGTGCTTATACTCTCACAATGATGACCACAGGCAGCATAATTATACACTTAGAATGGCCATAGCCGTTGGCAATGTGTAAGGTTTATAATGTTGATCACTGCTTTAGTAAGCTTTCATTAGATTATGCTATGATAATAAACAACCACTCCTCTATTTCAGTGGCTTCCAGCAACAAAAGTTTCTTTCCTGTATTACATCTTAGGAGCCGTAGTTTGCTGTGTTCTTCCCAGTCTCTTTCCACTCTGCAATCAAGCTTTAAAAACCAACCTTTGAGTGAGTCTCATGGTACAAGGAAAAGAAAACAATATCCACACCAGGCGAGGGTTCTGAAAGCTTCTGTTTGGATATGACAAGGTCACTTCCATTGCCTCTCCACTGAACACAAGTCACAGGGCCAACCTTGACATCAAAGGTGTGCAGCTGTCTACATCTACTAGACTGAGGCACCATAAGTCACATAAAAACACTTGGAATTGCAAATTATCTCACAGAAAGGAGAGAAACAAGTAAGGAAAACAAACAAAAAATGCCGCAAATGTGCTATTGTCTCCAAAAGTCCAAAAGAATCAGTCTTTTACATACTTCTCGGCCTTGCAGACACTATTCCTCTTTCTAATAGCCTTCTGCCCTTTGCTACCTGACAACTTTTAGGAAGATTCATTTCCCTGATGAAAGTATTTAGTACCTTTTTTGTCTTTCCATAATTGTATTCCCTAAGGCCCTATCATAATATTAACTATACGCTTGTGATGTATTTATTTTCAGTTACCTCTGCCTATAAACTACTTAAGGCTGGGACTAGGGAATGTTCTCTTTGTTACCTAGGTTCTGAAACTGTAAATGTTCAGTGAATATTTATACATCAATGACAGAACATTCTCAAGATCCATCACTGAGTGGACCATTTTATGTTTTATTTTATGACATTCTCTTTCTCCCTCTTCCCGCCCTTATTTCTAACTTTAACTAACATTGGTTGAGTGCCTTCTGTTTGGTCAACAATGTAGCATAAACAGAAGATGAATAATGCATTCTGCGTGTCATTCAGGGACCCAGAGTTAACTGTAAGATGGACATACTTGAACAAGGAGTTAGATTAACCTTAATACAAAATGTCCAGGCTGGTGATCCTAACATGGACCCGGAATCTGACAGTCTTAATATTTTACCAGCAATTCAATTGCAGGGCTTTCTATATTCCAATTCAGAGAATTTTGAATGAAATTATTTTCACTGTAGAATGTCCAAAGGAATTCTAAAAAATTTACCTTCCTGCCAAAATTCTTTAGTTGTGTTTTATGGTAAACACACTTGATTTTATTGTCAGACAGCTGTCCTTTGTAGCTCATACAAGACAATCATTTCCTTATCTCTATATTTATTGTTTTCCAAACTGATCTGTTAGCTTTAAAAAAAACCCTCAGCTTATTATCACAGTGTTCATCAAATCACTATTATCATCTTAACACCAACACATTTCAGTTATTACCAAGTTGTTGGTTGTTAAATAATAATTTATACTATAAATGTTAACAGTGTGTCACATCCCAGAAGGGCTCATTTGAATGTGATTAAAATAAGAACTAGTCATCTGAATTAATGTACTCTCTGGTTGAGATTAGGAAGAGAAATAGAAACACTTTTTCTAGACAGATGAAGTTCTGTGAGAACAAAAAGTGCCTTTGCAGTAACACCATTTCAGAAATAATGAAATATCTATGAGTTTGGTATTCTGTTCAAACCATACAAATCCACTAGGGAAAAGGTAAAGAGCTAATCTTTACTGGTGTAACAGAATTTGATGTTTTCTATAAAACAGGATTTTTCCATGACATAGGTTGATTGGGCCTGTAGACTAAAAAGAGTTAGCTAATAATCCAATAGTCCACCATATTAGATGTTTTTGAGAAAAACAATGGACTCAGTTCTCTGAACTGATTAAATTATTATCCTTGGAGTAAACTCCACTCTTTCCATCCCCCTTTTAACTCCCTCTGGTTGTAGAGAGTTTGTTGCATAGATTCCGAATGTCACACTTCAGAAGAAATCTTAAACAATCACTGCCTCCCAGAGATAGTAAACGAAATTGAGCGGGTGTTGAAAACATGGCAGGTCAGCAGCAATATATTAACTACCAAGTGTTGCATAAAAATGTACTTCAAAACATGGAGGATTGAAGCCAAATATGTTTCATTATCACAAGTAGAGTCTATGGGTCAGGCATTGGGAGTTCCTCAGCTGAGCATTTCTGTCTCAGGGCTTTTCATGAGCTTGAAGTCAAGATACTGGCCAGACTTGAGTCAGCTAAAGGCTTGCCTTGATGAAGAGAAAGAATGCACTTCCATGATGACTCAACCACAGGGACAGGCACTACTGGCCAGTTGTTGGTAGGACTTCCAATGTGAGCCATTCCACAGGACTGTTTTAATGCCCTTATAACATGGATTTCTCCAAAGCAAATGATGCAAGAGAAAGTAAGACAGACTATTGTAAAGATTGTTTCTTTCAAATTATTCATATAATCAGTATAATCAGGATTTAACTAGAGTGTCTCTGTCTTGGCATTATTGACATGTTGGGCCAGAACAATTATTTGTTGTGGGGAACCATCCAATGCATTATAGAGTATTTAGCATTATTCCTGGCTTCTACCCATGAGATGCCAGTAGCACTCTCTGCTCTCCAATTGTGACAACCAAATTGTCTCCAGACATCGGCAAGTGTGCCCTGGGAGAAAATGACCCCAAGTTACGAGCCGCTTGAAGCTGTTAGCACAGCCAATACTCAACTAACCTTGAAAGAAAATATAGTCAGCAAAGATGATAACCAAGTTTAGAGGTAGAAAAATCTAACAGGGCCATCAAAAAGAAGAAGAAAATAAATAAGAAAATAAAAACCTTCTCTGCAATCTATACAGTCTCAATTCAGACCCCAAACTGAAACCTGATATTCTATCTCCTATAAATATTGACTGATCCTTTCCCATGGTCTGGGGCAATGGCTCCTGAAAATAAGCAAGTGATTAATATGAGGTCCCAGCTCCAAATAGATTGCTCTTTTCTGTCCATTTTCTTAAATTTCCCATCTTTCATTCACATTCACCAAAAACTCAATAAAAGAACCTTAGGTAAGATAAATAAAATCATTAAAAATAAATAATTTTCCATAACACGTATAGTCACAGAATATTACTTTTTTATAGTACAAATTCACCTCTCAATAAATGTTTTTACTGAAAAGTTTGTATAGCATACCTCAGGATTCAGGGTATCATAGGTAGCTTATAAAACCTATATAATGTTTTTATAATGTAAAATATAGAAAAAAGCCAATAAAGATAGATAATTTAGCAATAATAATAATTATGGTAATGATAATGAAAACAATAATAAGTAGCCCAAATCTGAGAAAGATAAAGAATTTTAAAGTACCAGTTACAAAGCCTTAACTGAATGCTAAATATAGATTTAAATTTTATTTTGAACATCTTGAAGCCTAGAGAAAAATGGAAGATATGACCAGCATCATATTTTATACAAATATTTCACTCTTTGTAATTACCATCAGTGATTCTTTCTTCTTTCCTCCCCAGCCAGCCAATAAAAGTTGAACCGAAGTGGAAAAGGTGAAATTAGTTTTCTGAGTTAAAGATTGATGACTGTAACCACCATTAATTTGAATTTGTACACTGGTTTGTTATTTACTTGGATTTGAATTCAAGGTAAATAATATAAGAAATATGGTTTACAGTTGGAAACATGTCTACTTTTCTATGACAAAGATTGATGAAAGGGAAGTTTACAATTAAAATTTTATTAGTGTGAACCTTGAAAACAAATTAGTTAGTGAGTGGTTCTCTAGGGCTGGGAGAGAGGAAGAATGGTTCATAATGTTAACAGGAATTAGGTTTTTTTTGAAGTGATGAAAATGTTCTGTAATTAGTTATGGTGATAGTTTTAAGACTGTCAATATACTAAAAATCATGGATTGTACACTTTAAACGAGTAAATGTATGATATATGAAGTGTATTTTAATTTTTAAAAATTAAAAATGTATCAGTAATATAGATATATGAGTGGAAAAAAATCAAATGTAACAGATAAGAAAGTAATTTGATTGGACTTTAAAAAATGAAAAAATAATTAAGTCTTCTATCAATGAAATATTTATAAAAACAGTATTTTTAATTAACCTATATAAAAGTGGGACTTATGTATTTTCCAAATTGATTTATTTTCTCAATGCATTAGCTTATTGTTTTGCCATTTTGTAGATTCAACATGACATACTTTTTCAGGTAGGAACCATGACATATAATTATCTTTTACAATCTCAAAGTGATTAGCACAGTTTGGTAAACAGTAGAACTGTGTAATATAAACTTAGTGATAGAAAATTGGCATAATCTTAGTGACTTTTCAAATACTGACCTTGTTTCAGAATGTTAACCCAACCTATTAGAGGATGCTATAAAGCTAGAAATAAGTCCAAATATATTTAATAACAGATTAATATCCAAAAATTAGATCAATACGTTAAAAAAATGGGTTAACTATAAAATGGATTTTATAAGAAAACATTAGAAAGCAGGCAAACAAATAAAAGAAAACAGGTGTCAACTGATTAAATATCCAACATGAAAAACAAGGTTTAATTGCTGAGTTTGTGAAAATAACTTGAAGAGCCAACTGGCTGCAAATGTGTTGGAAAAGGGCCTGGCTACAGACTCAGAAAAACTCAGAGATGCATCTCAGCTATTTCCCTTAGCTAGATTCTTAAATGTTCTTAGTCACAGTTTCTAAGAACTCATTTAAAAGTAGTCACTCCTGGCCAGGCATGGTGGCTCACGCCTGTAATCCCAGCACTTTGAGAGGCCGAGGCAGGCAGATCATGAGGTCAGGAGACTGAGACCACGCTGGCTAACATGGTGAAACCCCGTCTCTACTAAAAATACAAAAAAATTAGCAGGGCATGGTGGCAGGTGCCTGTAGTCCCAGCTACTCGGGAGGCTGAGGCAGGAGAATGGCGTGAACCCGGGAGGCAGAGATTGCAGTGAGCCACCATAGTGCCACTGCACTCTGGCCTGGGTGACAGAGTGAGACTCTGTCTCAAAAAAAAAAAAAAGAAGAGTAGTCACTCCTTCCTCAAATTCTTTCTTACCCCCATTCTTTCTATCCTTTCCCTTTGCAACTTCAGTAAGCTATATGTCAAGTATTACATTATATCTCTATCACTTTAAGCTTCATTCTTGATAATTTTTCCCTGTTTTATCATCTAATTTATAAATATTTTCTTCAGCTCTATCTAGTCCACTTTTAGCCCATCTACGAAGTTTTGTTCTGCTTGTTTTTGAGTGCCGTTCACCTCTAGGTATGCTAAGAAAACAGAGTGGTCATTCAAACTGTGGGGTTTGGAGTCATCCTGACCTGGGTTTTAACTACAGATCTGCTATCCTCTAGTAACAGGCCAGTAGGACCTCAGGAGGTTCTTAGGGTTTAGTTTTTCCTCATCTAAATATAAGGAAAACAGCACTTGCCTCACAGACTTATTCTAAGCATTTGTATTAGTTCATGTTCTCCAAGATACAAATGCCAAGACTGCAATAAATGTCCAAATATGTAATAGGGGAGAAGCATGAGAAAGAAAATATGAAGCTGGATAGGCTGGGAAACAAGCCCGATGCTAGTGAAGATGAGAGGGAAGAAACATTCCTGGAAGCATCCCAGACCAGCATGAAGCCTAAAGAGGGTTCAGCAAGATCAAAGTCCACTGTCCGGGGTTCCTGGAGTCACAGTTATCCATAGTCAACATACACGTTTCCTGGAATGGACCTGCCTTAGTATCCCTGCCACACTCAGTCACTGGCTAAGAACATGCCCATGGGAAGAGTGGCCTCCATACAAATGTGATGATAGATTACAGAGCCAACAGGTGTCTGACCTAGTCAAGTAAGCACTCTATTATTGGAGGTCTTCAAGTCACATTTGCATGACTGCTATAGTGTTAAATAATTATTGATATGGCTTGGCTGTGTCCTCACCCAAGTCTCATCTTGAATTGTAACTCCCATAATTCCTACATGTCGTGGGAGAAAGCCGGTGGGAGGTAATTTAATCACGGGAGTGGGTCTTTCCCATGCTGTTCTTGTGATAGTGAATAAGTCTCACAAGATCTGATAGTTTTAAAAACAGGAATTTCCTTGCACAATCTCTCTCTCTCTCTCTCTCTCTTTGCCTGCTGCCATCCATGTAAGACAAGCCCTTCACCTTCCACCATGATTGTGAGGCCTCCCCAGCCAAGTGGAACTGTAAGTCCAATAAACTTCTTTTTTTTTTTTTGGTAAATTAACCAGTCTAAAGCATGTCTTTAGCAGCAGCGTGAAAACAGACTAATAAATTACATACAATAAGTGCTCATCACAGAGCCTGACAGAGCAGCACACTCTACTTCATAAATGATCAAGAGGCGGTCGTGCAACATTGGAGTATGGTGACTCAGTTCACTGCTAAGCCTGAGGCTTCCTCTGAAGCACCAATCAACCATTCCTAGATATCATGTTAGCAGAGGTGTTCTACAAATGTCAATAAACCATAGCCTCAAGAGTTACAGAAAGTAACTTAATAGAAAGTCTTAATAGAAGAGGTGGCATTTGATTTAGTTCTAAAGAATGAGAGCAACAGGAGAATTCCAGGCAGCCTTAGAGTAACTATCTTGAGCAAAGACTGATAGAAATACAGAGAGAGGGGTGATTAGAACATTTCTATGGTAAACATGCTTATGGTGACTCCTTTCTGGGAGAATTACCTGTTGGAAAGGTGTCTCTTCTGCATCATTTGAGAGTTGCAAATGAAAGAGACAACAGTGAGCACTGAAAATGACTCACCAGGGCTTCAGAGTAAATATGCACAACTTTGAAATTCAATACCAAACACTTTTCCTCCATGCCAAAGAACAAATTCTGTGTGCAACCCACCAAGGAGGCACTGGGTCTGGAGAAAACTCAGTCTGTTAAAAAAAACGTGTAGAATAGAGAATCCCGGGATTTCTATTTTAGCCACAGTTGAATCAGTCACCTGGAACAGGTCTTCTAACACACTGAAACGGCTCTCTTATCTTTACAATAGATGCTGGGGCTACTTACTCTCTGTGTCCATTATCAACCAGAAAAATGCTACAATTTTGCCCTGGGTAATCACTAAAATAAGTAAACCCTGAAGATTTCTGACTCAAAAGCTGTTTTATCCTTTTCAGCTCTCTGATTCTTATTTTTACTCCTAGGGGGAGAAAAGTAACTATTGCCATTCATCAAAGGTGAAAGTCATGAAACAGCTAATTGGTTTTGAATTTAGTCTCATCAGGGGGTCAAGAAAAAAATTTGGATCAGATTTGACAGTTTTGAGTGTGTCCTTAATGTTTTGTCTTTGAAAGAAAAGAGATGCATTTTTCAAAAGTCAAGGAGAAAATGATCTCCAAGGTATCTAACTTGCATATTAGAAAATATACCTTGCCTATCAAGGAATGTTTGAGTTTGTAGCAAAAGTGAAAGTCAACTCTCAGATAATCCAGGAGTGAAAGGGATCATGGACACGGATAGCAAAAATCATGATGGCAGAGCGTGCTGCGGAGATAACTAAGGGGGGACTAGGCCTGATCTTATTTTAATAGCTCTCCGATGCCTGCTCGCTGTGGGCCTAATTGGCTTGACATCCTCTCTTTTCCATCTAAGAACTTTCCAAAGGCAGACTTGTCATCTGTCTTCACAAAGCTTATAGAAGGAAAAACATGGAGAGACCCCACTCAGTGAAGGCCTCTATATCTCCCTTTGACCACATTCTGACTCCAGCTAAAATGCCAACGTCATCCCCCTAAAACCCCAATTATCTTGAAAAGCCAAGCCTAAAGTCTATGTTTCTTTATATCACTCCCTGCCGGAGTTTCTTGATTTAAACAAACATATGGCGATGGATGAAGCAGGGTAAGATAAACTGTATGTTGGAAGTAGGAGATAGTATTAATTAGAGGTTTTTAATAATGACCCGTCTTGAATGGGAAAGGCATCTCAATGTTAAACACAGAGAATTTATAGACCCATTATTAGTGTGGTCCTGGAAGACTGAAATTTGAGCGTTTATCTCAGATGACATTGCAGTCATTAAGCATAAGTTCTAAAAACTATGCCTATTAACAGATCTACCCTAGGTTTTATGACTTAGTGATAGCTGGCATATTAGTTAGGGTTTAAAAAAAAAAAAAACTTGGCGGAGGGGCAAATATGGTCTAGTAGAAACAGCTCTGGTCTGCAGCTTCCACTGAGACATATGCAAAAGGCGGCATGATTTCTGCATTTCCAACTGAGGTACCCAGATTGTCTCATTGAGACTGACTAGGCGGTTGATGTGACCCATGGAGAGCAAAGAAAAGCAGGTTTGGGCGATGGCTCACCCGGGAGCTGCACGGGGCAAAGGGACCTCCCTACCCAAGGCAAGGGAGGTGGTGAGGGACTGTGCTACCCACCTGGGGTTCTACTCTTTTCCCATGGATTTTTGGAATCTGCAGATCAGAAGATTCCCTCGTGTGCTTACACTACCAGGGCCTTGGGTCCCAAGCACGAAACTGGCAGACCCACAACAGTTGCTCGGGTCGGTGGCCATTCAGGCAGGCACTGAGCTGCAGGAGGTTTTACATACTCCAGCAGCTCCTGGAACTCCACGGAGGCAGGAGAGATGTCCATTCACGTGGAAAGGGGGCTGAAGCCAGGGAGCCAAGCAGCCTCCCTCAGCGAGTCCCATTCCCATGAAACCCCACAAGATAAGACCCACTGACTTGGAATCCCCACTGGCCAGCACAACAGCCTAGAGTCTGCCTGGGATGACTGAGTTCCTTGGGGAAGGGATCACTGCCATTACTGAGGCTCTAGTCGGCGGTTTTCCCCTGCCAGTGCTCGGGAGGCTGGGTGGTTTGGACTGGTCAGTATTCCCCACAGCGCAGTACAGTGGCTGTGACAGATCATGGCCAGAATGCTTCTTTAGGTGGGACCTGGATCCATCCATCCCCCCTCACCAGGGAGAGCCTCCCTGCAGGAATTCCAGCAACTCCAGCCAGGGATATACAGACAAAACTCTCGTCTCCCTGGGACAGAGCACCTCAGGGGAGGGGTAGCTGCAGTCTCAGGTTCAGTGGACTTAATCTTTCTTGCCTGCTTGCTCTGAAGAGTCTGGGTGATCCAGACAAGGGAGATTACTCCAGCCCAGCACACCAACTCTGCTAAAGGGCAGCCAGACTGCTTCTTTAAGCAGGTCTCTGATCCCATGCCTCCTGACTGGGTGAGAACTCCCAACAGGGGTAGCCAGACACCCCATACAGGAGAGCTCCGGCTGGCATCAGGTTGGTGTCCCTCTGGGACGAAACTCCCCGAGGAAGGGGCAGGCAGCAATCTTTGCTGTTCTGCAGCCTCCACTGGTGATATCCTGATGAACAGGGTCTGGAGTGGACCCCCAGCAAACTGCAGCAGACCTGAAGAAGAGGGGCCTATTAGAAGAAAAAGAAACAAACAGAAAGCAACAATAACAACAGCATCAACAAAAAGAGACACCACACAAAAACCCCATCCAAAGGTCAACAGCCTCAAAAAGCAAAGGTAGATAAATCCATGAAGAGGAGGAAAAACCATCACAAAAACACTGAAAATTCCCAAACCCAGAATGCCTCTTTTCCTCAAAATGACTGCAACACTTCTCCAGCAGGGGGACAGAGTGGGGCTGAAGCTGAGGTGGATGGCTTCAGAAAGTGGGTAATAGTGAATTTCTCTGACCTGAAGGATTATATTCTAACCCAATGCAAAGAAGCTAATAATCATGATAAAAGGTTACAGGAACCATTAACTAGAATAACCAGTTTAGAGAGGAACATAAATGGCCTGATGGAGCTGAGGAACACAGCATGAGAACTTTATGAAACATACACAAGTAACAATAGCTGAATCAACCAAGTGGCAGAAAGAATATCTGAGCTTAAAGACTACCTTGCCGAAATAAGGCAGGCAGACAATATTAGAGAAAAAAAATAAAAAAGAAGAAACAAAACCTTTGAGAACTATGGGACTATGTAAAAAGACCAAATCTATGACTGATTGGAGTACCTGAAAGAGATGAGGAGAATGGAACCAAGTTGGAAAACACACTTCAGGATATCATCCAGGAGAACCTTCCCAATGTAGCAAGACAGGCTGTCATTCAAATTCAGGAAATCCAGAGAACCCCAGTAAGATACTCCATGAGAAGATCAACCCCAAGACACATAATCTTCAGATTCTCCGAGGTTGAAATGAAGGAAAATTGTTAAGGGAAGCCAGAGGGAAAGGCCAGGTCACTTACAAAGGGAAGGCCATCAGACTAACAGCAGATCTCTCAGTGGAAACCCTACAAGCCAGAAGAGACTGGGGGCCAATATTCAACATTCTTAAAGAAAAGAATTTCCAACCCAGAATTTCATATATGGCTGATATCATTTGGCTGTGTCCCCACACAAATCTCATCTTCATTGTAGCTCCCACAACTTTCCTTTGTCATGGGAGGGACTCGGTGGAAGGTAATTGAATCATGGGGGCAGTTTCCCCTCTACTGTTTTGGTGGCAGTGAATAAGTTTCATGAGATATGATAGTTTTACAAGGGGCTTTCCCCTTTCACTTGGCTCTCATTATCGCTTGTCTGTCACCATGTAGGACGTGCCTTTTGCCTTCCACCATAATTGTGAGGCCTCCCCAGCCACATGGAACTGTGAGTCTGTTAAACCACTTTTTCTTTATGAATTACCCAATCCCAGGTATTTCTTTTTTTATTTTATTATTATTATACTTTAAGTTTTAGGGTACCTGTGCTTATTACCAGCATGAGAACACATTAAAACACCAGCCAAACTAAGCTTCATAAGTGAAAGAGAAATAAAATCCTTTTCACACAAGCAAATGCCAAAGGATATTGTCACCACCAGGCCTGCCTTGCAAGAGCTCCTGAAGGAAGCACTAAAAATGGGAAGGAACAACCAATATCAGCCACTCCAACAACACACTGAAGTACACAGATCAACGACACTATGAAGCAACTACATTAACAAGTCTACAGAATTACCCAACCAGCATCACGATGACAGGATCAAATTCACACATAACAATATTAACGTTAAATGTAAATGGGCTAAATTCACCATTAAAAGACACAGAATAGCAAGCTGGATAAACAGACAAGACCCATTGGTGTGCTGTATTTAAAAAAAAAAAAATCTCACATGCAAAGACACACAAAGGCTCAAAATAAAGGGAAAGAGCAAAGTTTACCAAGCAAATGGAAAGCAGAAAAAAATCAGGGGTGGCAACTGTAGTTTCTAACAAAATAGACTTTAAACCAACAAAGGTAAAAAAAGACAAAGAAGGGCATTACATAATGGTAAAGGCTTCAATTCAACAAGAAGAGCTAACTATTCCAAATGTCTATGCTCCCAATACAGAGGCACCCAGATTCATAAAATAAGTTCTTAAAGACTACAAAGAGACTTAGAGCCCCACACAATTATACTGAGATACTTTAATACCCTGCTGTCAGTATTACACAGATCATTGAAGTGGAAAATTAACAAAGATTTTCAGGACTTCAACTCAGCTCTGGATCAAGTGGACCTGATAGATATCTATAGAACTCTCCACCCCCAAACAAGAGAATATACATTTTTCTCAGCGACACACGGCACTTACTCTAAAATTGATCACATAATTGGAAGTAAAACACTCCTCAGCAAGCGCAAAATAACTGAAATCATAACAAACAATCTATCAGACCACAGCATAATCAAATTAGAACTCAAGATTAAGAAACCCACTCAAAACAACTCTACTACATGGAAATTGAACAACCTGCTCCTGAATAACTTCTGGGTAAGTAATGAAATTAAGGCAGAAATCAAGAAGTTCTTTGAAACTAATGAGAACAAAGAAACAATGTACCAGAATGTCTGGGACACAGCTAAAACAGTGTTAAGAGGAAAATTTATAGCATTAAATGCCCACATCAAAAGGCAAGGAAGATCTCAAATTGACACTCTCATATCACAGCTCAAAGAACTAGAGGAGAAAGAGCAAACACCAGAGCTAGCAGAATACAAGAAATAAACAAGATCAGAGTGAAACTGGAGAAGCTACAGACATGAAAAACCCTTCAAAAAATCAATGAATCCAGGAGCTGGCTTTTTTGAAAATAATCAATAAAATAAATAGATTGATAGCCAGACTAATGAAGAAAAGAAAGGAGATTCAAATAAACATAATCAGAAATAATAAGGGGGATACCACCAACCCCACAAAAATACAAACAACCATCAGAGAATACTGTAAACACCTCTATGCAAATAAACTGGAAAATCTGGAAGAAATGGATAAATTCCTGCACACATACACCCTTCCAAGACTGAACCAGGAAGAAGTTGAACCCCTGAATAGACCAATAACAAGTTCTGAAATTAAGGCAGTAATAAATAGCCTACCAATCAAAAAAAGCATAGAAACAGATAGATTTATAGCTGAATTCTATCAGAGGAACAAAGAAGAGCTGGTATTTTTTCTTCTGAAACTATTCCAAACAATTGAAAAGGAGAAACTCCTCCCAAATTCATTTTATGAGGCTAGCATTATCCTGATACCAAAACCTGGCAGAGATACAGCAAATAAAGAAAACTTCAGGCAAATATCCCTGATGAACATTGATGCAAAAATCCTTAATAAAATACAGGCAAACCAAACCCAGCAGCACATCAAAAAGCTTATCCACCACAATTGAGTCAGCTTCGTCCCTGGGATGCCAGGCTGGTTCAACATATTTAAATCCATAAACATAATTCATCCTAATCCTATAAACACAACTAAAGACAAAAACCACATGATTATTTCAATAGATACAGAAAAGGTCTTTGATAAAATTCAACATCCCTTCATATTAAAAACTCTCAATAAACTAGATATTGAAGGAACATACCTCAAAATAATAAGAGCAATTAAACCCACAGCCAATATCATGCTGGATGGGCAAAAGCTGGAAGCATTCCCCTTGAAAACTGGCACAAGACAAGGATGCCCTCTCTCACCACTCTTATTCAACATAGTATTGGAAGTTCTTGCCAGGGCAATCAGGCAAAAGAAAGAAATAAATGGTATTCAAATAGGAAGAGAGGAAGTCAAATTGTCCCTGTTTGCAGATGGCATGATCCTATATCTAGAAAACCTCATCAACTCAGACCAAAAGCTTTTTAAGCAGATAAGCAATTTCAGCATAGTCTCGGGATGCAAAATCAATGTGGAGAAATCACAAGCATTCTTATATACCAACAACAGACAAGCCGAGAGCCAAATCATGAGTGAACTCCCATTCCCAGTTGCCACAAAAAGAATGAAATACCCAGGAATACAGCTAACAAGGAAGGTGAAGGGCCTCTTCAAGGAGAACTAGCAACCACTGCTCAAGGAAATCAGAGAGGACACAAGCAGATGAAAAAACATTCCATGCTCATGGATAGAAAGAATCAATATTATGAAAATGGCCATACTGCCCAAAGCAATTTGTAGATTCAATGCTATTCCCATTAAACACCATTGACATTTTTAAATTCTTTCATAATTAAGAAAAACTTTTAAAAAATTCATATGTAACCAAAAAAGAGCTTGTATACCCAGGACAATCCTAAGCAAAAAGAACAAAGCTGGAGGCATCATGCTATCTGACTTCAAAATATACTATAAAGCTACAGTAACCAAAACAGCATGGTACTAAAACATAAACAGGCACATAGATCAATGGAACAGAATAGAGAACTCAGAAATAAAACTGCACATCTATAACCATCTGATCTTTGACAAACTGACGAAAACAAGCAATGGGAAAAGGATTCCCTACTTAACAAATGGTGCTGGGAGAACTGGCTAACTATATGCAGGAAATTGAAACTGGACCCCTACTTATACCTTATACAAAAATTAACTCAAGATGGATTAAAGACTTAAATGTAAACCCAAAACTATAAAAACTCCAGGAGAAAATCTAGGCAATACCATTGAGGACATAGGCAGGGGCAAATATTTTTATGATGAAATTGCCAAAAGCAATTGCAACAAAAACAAAAATTGACAAATGAGATCTAATTAAACTAAAGAGGTTCTGCACAGCAAAAGAAACTATCATCAGAGCAAACAGACAACCTACAGAATGGGAGAAAATTTTTGTAATCTATCTATCTAACAAAGGTCTAATATCCAGAATCTACAAGAAACTTAAGCAAATTTCTGAGAAAAAAAAAAGTGGGCTAAGGACATGAACTAACACTTCTCAAAAGAAGACAAACATGCAGCCAAAAAACATATGAAAAAAAACTGAACATCACTGATCCTTAGAGAAATGCAAATCAAAATCACAATGAGATACCATCTCACACCACCAGTCAAAATGATGATTATTAAAAAGTCAGGAAACAACAGATACTGGCAAGGTTGCAAAGGAATAGGAACACTTTTACACTGTTGGTGGGAATGTAAATTAGTTCAACCGATGTGGAAGAAAGTGTGGTGATTCCTCAAAGATTTAGAACCAGAAATACTATTTGACCCAGCAATCCCATTACTGGGTATATACCCAAAGGAATATAAATCATTCTATTATAAAGACACATGCACCCGTATATTCATTGCAGCACTATTCACAATAGCAAAGACATGCAATCAACTCAAATGCCCCTTAATAGCAGACTGGATTTTAAAAATGTGTTACATATACACCATGGTATACTATGCAGCCATAAAAAGGAATGAGATCATGTCCTCTCATTTGCAGGGACACGGATGGAGCTGGAAGTCGTTATTCTCAGCAAACTAACACAGGAACAGAAAACCAAACACTGCATGTTCTCACTTATAAGTGGAAGCTGAACAATGAGAACACATGGACACAGGGAGGGGAACAACAGACACTGGGGCCTGTCAAGGGAGGATGGGGGTTGTGGGAGAGCATTAGGAAAAATTGGTAACACATGCTGGGCTTAATATCTAGGTGATGGGTTGATAGGTGCAGCAAACCACCATGGCACACTTTTACCTATGTAACATACATGCACATCCTGCACATATTCCCCAGAACTTAATAGAGTAAAATAAAATAAAACATAACTAATAGGGATACACATATATTAGGAGATTCTATTTATCTGTCTATATGTCTTATTTTTTAAAATACCATATATATATATACACACACACCATAAATACCATATTTGGTATGTATATGTCATATATATATTTAAAAATGTACGATATATACCATATACAGGATTTTTAAAAATACCACGTATATACACATATATTCACACACACACACACAGACACAGAAACACACACATATATTTATATGGTATTGGTTCATGAGATTATGGAGGCTAATAAGTTCCAAATTCTGTCATCCATGAATGAGAGACACACACAGGAGAGTGGCATAATTCAAAGGCCTGAGAGCATGAAAGCCAATGGTTTAGGTGTCAGTCCAAGGGCAGGAAAGGATTGATGTGTCAGCTCAAACAGTCAGGCAGAGAGCCAGCAAATCCTCTCTTCCTTCATCTTATTGTTCTATTCAGGCCCTCAATGGATTAGATGATGCCCACTAACATTGGAAAAGATAATCCACTTTACTCAGTCTTATCAATTCAAAAGCTAATGTCTTATAGAAACATCCTCACAGAGAGACTCAGAAATATTAGATCAGTTGTATTAGTTCATTTTCATACTGCTGATAAAGACATAGCTGAGACTGGGCAATTTACAAAAGAAAGAGGTTTAAAAGTGGACTTACAGGTCCATGTGGCTAGGGAGGCCTCACAATCATGGTGGAAGGCAAAAGGCACTTCTTACATGGCAGGGACAAGAGAGAGAACTTGTGCAGGGAAACTCCCGTTTTTAAAACCATCAGATCTCATGAGACTCATTCACTATCATGAGAACAGCACAGGAAAGGTCCACCCCCGTAATTCAATTACCTCCCACCGGGTTCTTCTCATGACACATGGATATTGTGGGAGTTACAATTCAAGATGAGATTTGGATGGGGACACAGCCAAACCATATAATCAGTACAAAAGTAGTTGTGGTTTTTGCCATTGCTTTCAATGGCAAAAACCACAATACTTTTGCACGGATATATTATTATTTAATTGTATATCTAGCCATTCCATGATCTAGTCAAACTGACACATAAAATTAAAATTAACTATCACAGCTGTAATACCACAAACATTCATAATATCCCTTAATCTGAAAACAACCCCTCCTACCAATGTCTTTAGTCCCACCTCAATTGAGTTCTACTTGACAAACATTCTCTAAGACACATTTTATGCCCCAAGCACTGAGTTAGATGCTGAGGATACAGTTATGAATAAGACAGGGTCCCACTAACTCATAGGCCCATGTGAGAAGTAGCTGTAAGTAGATTATTTCAGTGTATTATTATAAACTCAGTAATAAAGATAGGCATTGAAAAAGCTACGAAAACAGGAGAGGGGGCCGGGCACGGTGGCTGACGCCTGTAATCCCAGCACTTTGGGAGGCTGAGGCAGGTGGATCACCTGAGATCAGGAGTTCTAGACCAGCCTGGCCAACATGGTGAAACCCAGTCTCTACTAAAAACACAAAAATTAGCCGGGCATGGTGGCAGGTGCCTGTAATCCCAGCTACTTGGGAGGCCAAGGCAGGAGAATTGCTTGAGCCGAGATTGCACCATCACACTCCGGCCTGGGGGACAAGAGCGAGATTTTGTCTCAAAAAACAAAAAAAGAAAGAAAACAAAACATAAGGATTCCCTAAATGAGGGGAATCTTTCTTCTATATTCATATCCAAAAAAATAGGATATCTATCATATCTTAAAAAACGCTCCTGCAAGGTGAGAATGTTATTGTTTGCTCAACAGTATCACTAAAAAGCCCTAAGCCATAAAATTATAAATTTCAAACTGACTTTAATTTTGAAGTTTAAGCAATTTCACCCACATAACAACCTCTAGAAATAGTGGCAACTTTTCTATTTCAATATAGGGTGCCAATTATCTCTTATAGCCTTTTAGCTTAAAGCAACAAACTATACTGACTTGATCCCCTTAGAATAATATGTTTTACTTACTAAATTCTTACATTTTCTGGTATTCTAGACTAGGGCATTGCTCATTCTCAACAGGGCACAGGTGAAAAAGGTGGAGAGTCTCCTGAAGCTAGGGATGGAGGTAAGGAGAAACAACGAAAGGCAGGAAGACATAGCTAGATAATGAGATGCTAAGCCAGCTCAGGAGTCAGAGTTTGAGTTAGGAGGTGATTAATAGCAAGGGTGTTTGGTTGTCAACTTTCTCTGAAAGCAGAGCAATCTCTGTGAGTAGGCCAGGCTAGTGTTCCCTTTGAAGCCTGGTCCACTGCTGGAAACCAGGTTGGTAACTCTTTCTGAAAAAGTCAATCTGACTAGCCAGGGAGGTAGTGCTGACCTCCACTCTCCCACAGGATGGCTGATACTGTATTATGCCCTGCCCTTCATGATTGGATATGGAAAGGAAACAAGCACAGCCACAACTGGTTGCACCACCTTGGTCTTTGGAGGTTACCATTAATCACACATTTAGAAAAAAGCAGCATGCCAGGAACGGAGAGAAAATGTCAGAAACATGGTGAGGGATTGTGAACATAGCAAATGGATTGCTATAGAAATTTTTAATGGAATATTTAAGATCTTGGAACAATAAAGAGATACTATGGAACAAACAAAGACAGGGCAAGATACATACGGATCAAGGAAAGCTCAATACCTTTGAACTTATTTAATGCTAAATGTTAAATTTTATGCCTCTGGGGTATTTCTTATATGGTCTATACCTTGCCTGTATCTCAGTTTTTCTCAAAGTAAGATGGACTGCTAATAATGCCTATTTTATTATAGAGTTCTGTGAAGGATTGTACAAACACATACACACACGAGTGTGTATATATACACATTTTAAAATTGTGGTGGCATGGCTCATAGAAATTCAGAAGGAATTCAATAAATATTCATTGCTGTTATTGTCTTTATTATTATTGTTTTTTTTTTTTTTTGCTTTAGTTCAACCATAACTCTTCTGCATTCCCAGTAATAGAGAGTGAGGGACCTGGCTCTTCTGCAGTTTTTCATTATCTGCTATGCCTCAAATTTATTATGTTAATCCAATCATTATAAGTTCTGCTTGGACACAAATACATATTAAATGTGATCCATGGGTCCAGAATTGTGATCGTCATTAGCTGACCCTTTCATTATGACTAAAAGAAGTATTTTAGTATTTTATTTTGTAGCTAGTGTCTGACGCAGTTTTAGTCTCCATGAGGTTACCACAACTGCCCACACTTCACAGAGAAGACAATTGAGAGTCAGGGAGGTTAACTCATAAAAACATCAAAACACCTGGGTAAATTGGAAGACCCTGGATTTGAAACGAGGGCTGTTGTGTGTGGAAGTTTGATCTCTGTACCCTTCCTTCTCCTGCTTCCCTATAATGTCCTCATCAAGAAGTCATAACTGAACCTCAGTTGCTCCATTTCTGCCTCCTGCCTTGCACTGCTTCCCAGCCCCAAGAAGTCATCGACTTGTGCTTCAGAAGGGTCTAAGGCATATTTCTTAATTCCACATTTGTTCACCATCCTTCTATTTCTTTCATCTGCTGAGCATTCAGACCTATCATCCCTCCGTTCCTTCAGTGAATGTCAACAGCCAGCTGGTGGAGCCTCCTTCACTCCCTCTAGTGAATTATCCCCCTAGATTGCTAACGCCTGGTGGTTCTCAAAGTGTGGTCTCTGGGACAGCAGCAGCAGCATAGCCTGGAAGCTTATTAGAAATACAGATTATCAGGCCCTATCCCAGACCTCCTGCATGATAAACTCTGGAAATAAGAACCTCTAGGTGAGCTTGATGCATGTTCAAGTTTGAATAACACTGTAATAGTTTAGTAATGTGAGCAACACACATATATACCCACCCCTTGTTCATTTGTACAATGCTGAATGAACCCTGTCTTGTTCCAATTCATGAAATCATGTAATGTAAAATTTTCTAAAATATGCTAAACTGTCACTGATATAAATTGAGCACGCTTATCAATTAGATGAGTACAATAAAATCGGACCTTTGGGAAGTGCTTGTTAATAGGATGGGAGTGGGGGTTGGAGAGAACACAGAGAGGACAAAAAATCGTTTGAACATATGAATACTGAGTTCTAAAGTAAATTGCTACATGTAAACGAAATTTAAGGAGTCTGAGTCACAAATAATACACCAGTTTTGAACACTCAAAAGGACTTATTCTTATGTTGATTTCTGGTGCATGTGCTCATTCACCACTTATTCTATACAACAAAGTCTAATTTTTGCTTTTCAAGTTCTTAAGGAAAACTATAGACCAATGCAGGAAATTGGGGAGAGGCCAATTCCCACAGAGACGAGGAAAATGTAATGATTCATAAAAGCTATAACCTGAGGAAGCACTGATTCGGGCCAGTGCTCATACAAAAAAAAAAAAAAAAAGTCTTAATGAGGGAAGAACAGTTAAACTTGGAGGAACTGAACAAAGTTCTTTCAAAAATCTGAAAAATTCAAAATTTTCAAGCACATATGGCTTGGACCCCCACATTTCAAAGAGGAGATAATAAACGTGTTTTTTCCCGGCCACCTCCCCCAAATGCACTTGTCACCATTCCCTTTCACATGCAGTTCCTTTTCTCTCCTCTACCTAAAAAATTCCTACGCATATGACAAGAAACTTGGGGAAGTGATCTTGTTTCTCACAATCCCAGACAGAGTTGCTGCTTTTCCTCTGTTCTTCCATTGTGCTCAACATTTTTCCAGAGAAGTGATTGTTATAATATCACACAGTTACACAGATTTTAAAATCAAGCTCAGACTCTGAGCTCCTTAGAAAGGGTGAGATAGAAAGAGTCAAGAAAGAGCTGCCGAATAAGCAGGACCTCATCTAGGGGCTCAAATATCTTAAATCTTTTTGTTCTAAAAAATTCAGAGAAACAGGAGAACAATTCCGCAATGTCAGTGCTAAGTAGGGCATCCTTGAGGCATATGCCTTCAGAGAAGGGAAGCTGGCCAGTTCCCTCTCCTAAATGGCTCTTTCCTCTTCTGTTCAGAACCACAGAAAGAGGCAGCCTATTACCATTATATTACTTTATCCCTCTTGAATTGCCCTTCCACCCCCCACATAAAACTCTTAGTGTCATCCGTCACCACACCTAGTCTAGCCCGCATTCAAGCCCTAATAAGTTTCTTTTTACCACAGGTGCTTATTGCTAAGACTTTAATGAGCTACAGATTGTATTTACTTCTCTTGTAAATTGTTCATTATCCTTGCAAGAAATGCCACTTTCTTGCCATTTCCATTACTGGAGATACTCAAACTGAATCACTTTATGTGTACTTTTATTTTATTTGCAAATCATATATATCCATCCTTCAATTTCAGTTATAGGATGAATCAAATATTTACAATGTTCTGATACCTTCAAATTTCTAAAATAAATTTTTCTGATCTTTTGTAAGCTGTAATAATTTTTTTCCAAAGACTATAGCACTTGGCCTTCAATTCGATTCATAAAATAACACAACGCATGAGGTGCATACACCCTAGAGTGGTGGAGAACAATGGCTCCAGAAACAGGCTGACATGCCTTTTACAGGGGCTGCTGATATTTCTAGGAGCGGGATATTTAACCTCTCTCATAACAATAATGGCTAATATTTATCCTAAACTCGCTTAGTGCAAGGTACTCTGCTAAGCACATAGCATGCATTATCAGCTTTACAATAACCATAATGCAAAAGTATTATTCTCTTTTAACAGATCAGGAATCTGAGACACAGAGAGGTTAAGCAACTTGCTCAAAATCACACAGCTAGTAAATAGGGGACCAAAATTTAAAGCCAGGCAAGGTGCCTCTGGGGTTCACTACTACTGCTTTTAAATGTAAGCCAACTCTTCTGTAAAATAGGGATAATAATATTACCATTCTCAGGGGTTCCTTAAAAGGAAAACCGGGGGGCTAAGATACACATCACAATGTCCGCCTGCCTAGCATGGAGAGAGGTCTCCTGAGAGAGGCCAAAATGAGGAACTTCCCAAGCACACAGGCAAGTGATGAATTAAAAGTTATGGAGAAAGAAAAGTCAAATAAATGATCAAGAATTTGAATGGGATATAGAAGTTGAGAGCAACTACACGTGAAATTTGGCAATTACAACCACAGTGCATGGCAAGCTTTTTAGGAATTTTCTAAAAACTTTTCAAAAATAAAACCTTAACATGTGGTTAGTTGTCTCTACCTTTTTGAAAGCTCAAATGCATCTAGTTGCTTCTTTACTCACCATTTTGGGAAATAATACCCGGTCCCTACTTGCAAAGCCCTGATAAAAGGAACACTCTTATCAGAAGTGTAAAAACATAAAACTTGTTATATCCAGTTTTCTATTCTTCTCAGGTTGTTCTTTTTTCCCCTGATCTTTCTTTTTGTATCCACCTTTATCTCCCTAATAATTGCCCAGCATTCTGGCAAAACTTTAAATGTTTTGCCATCATTAATGGAAGGAAGAGAAGTAACTTGTTAACTGTCATATCTGTACTAGGCATTGTACCAGGACCTTAGTGTAACCCACTCAATCCTCATAAACTCTGCAAGAAAGATCCTCCTATTCCATTTTACAGATGAGGAAATTTGCCTTAAGCCTGTGGAACTGACCTTACCCTTCAACTTGCCTGAGATCCAGACACAAACTCCAAGGAGTTCATTCTTACGTGAACCCGTATATAATACAGATTACATCACCAAAGAAAATCCCATGCATCCGTTCTAAAGAAAAATCCTTCTGTTCCCTTTTTACTTATTAATGCAGCAATTGCTTTTCTCTTGTGACTGTGTTTGCTTCTCCTAGGAAGAGACACCTGTCTTTGCTCAAGGTTTTTGTGACTACAGATTGATAAACAGTTTCTTTCTCTGGTTTCTAGACTTCATGGGGCTTGCTTGCTTTTGGGATCTGATGCCCTCAAAGGCAGAGCCAGTGGTCCTTATTAAGAGATTCCCAAGTTTAGAACTGTGTTTAGAACTCGAATTCCCAACATTCATTTGCTAACTTTTAATTAGCATATTTGCTAACTTTTAATTAGCATGGTTTGGCTAAAGGCAAGATACAGGTCCAATAAACTGAGTGCTGTCAGGTCCCCTTCCCAAATCTGGCCAGGTGCTTGTACGCAGGTCAAATAATCTCTTCTCTGTCTTACCATTTCGGCCTCTGCCATACAGAATGTTGTTAACATACCTTAATTCTGAATCATGATATTCCTGTTCTTCCTGAGGATTTTTTTTTTCCTCTGACTCTTACTTTTTTCTAGGGCTGAAATTAGGTCACTATTTCTAGAATGGCATGGTTTTATTTTCCTTTTTCCCTTTTCTAGGTTGCCAGCAATAAAATAATAGAAGCTGACGTCCTAAAATGGGAGATAGAGGAAAACTGCGTTCCC
Source organism: Homo sapiens (assembly GCF_000001405.40). Classification (NCBI taxonomy): domain Eukaryota; kingdom Metazoa; phylum Chordata; class Mammalia; order Primates; family Hominidae; genus Homo; species Homo sapiens. The sequence continues at coordinate 12,609,050 of NC_000004.12, forward strand.
ATTTTTATATCAGAAATCTAAGCTCCCCGAAGGCTCTAACAGAGATAATTTCCTTTCATTCTAAAATTGTCTCTAGAATAGCATATAGGCATAGAATATAGCATTTTTCACTGCATTTTTTTTAACATGTAGGTAGGTTGATTTCAAAGACTCAGATGAATCCCTGAGGAGATATTACCACAAAGGAAAATAACCAAAAAGACAGTATGCACTAAGCACTTAAGTGAGCTAGCAGTTTGCACTCAGTCACAAAAATGAAAATAAAAGCAATATGAAAGGGAAGAACACTGACCTAGGAAGCAGAATGCATGCATCTGACTCCTTCTGGAGTGTGACTCCACATTAGTCACATTGTCCATCTGGCCTGCTGCCTTCAGCTGCACAAAATGTCAATGGTGTTGTTGAGAGGTGACAGCATGCTGGCAGCGCTCGCAGCCCTTGCTCGCTCTCGGCGCCTCCTCGGCCTTGGCGCCCACTCTGGCCGCGCTTGAGGAGCCCTTCAGCCCGCCGCTGCACTGTGGGAGCCCCTTTCTGGGCTGGCCAAGGCCGGAGCCGGCTCCCTCAGCTTCCGGGGAGGTGTGGAGGGAGAGACGAGGGTGGGAACCGGGGCTGCGCGCGGCGCTTGCGGGCCAGCGAGAGTTCCGGGTGGGCGAGGGCTCGGCGGGCCGCATTTAGAGCAGCCGGCAGGCCTGCAAGCCCCGGGCAGTGAGGGGCTTAGCACCTGGGCCAGCAGCTGCTGTGCTCGATTTCTCCCCGGGCCTTAGCTGCCTCCCTGCAGGGCAGGGCTCCTCGGGACCTGCAGCCCGCCATGCCTGAGTCTCCCCCACCTCCCCCCGCCCCTTATTGCTTCGATTATTTATCTGCATGTTTATAAGCTCTGGCATAAAAAAAAAAGGAAAAAAGGAAAGGAAAAGGGGGAAAAATAAGCAAATAAACTAAAACTTTCCTTTGCAAGTAGAAAATACCCCTTATTGCTTCGATTATTTCAAGCTTAGAATCTTTCAGAGTCCAGAGGCAAGCATGAGAGTCATAAAAGATGAGGTTTGGTTTATAAAACAAACTTCGTCCTGTATTTCAATCCATTTGATCTCACCAGAGTACCAGCTCGGAGGACATTGTTTTAAATGTTATTTGCTCACGGCCCAGGCAAACAGACTTGCCTCCCAAAGACGTTACCTTGTTAAGAAATACAAGACCTCCCTAATAAAATCCAGGTGATTTATAGCATGTACACAGAGGAAACAAATTTGGGGTAAAAATTGACAGTTATGCAAGTACATCAGAAGTGCCAGCCGCTGCACCGAGGTTCCCTCTGGAAAGGAATTTGCCCTCTCGCTGGGAACCATCTGCATAGGAGTGGGAAGACCCACTCTGAGGAAATCTCCCCGTACCTGCATGCTAAAAGAATCTAAACAGACTCTTCTAAAGTCCTCTTTCATGCAGCTAATAAGACAAATAGTACTTTTAAATATTAATTCAGAATAAAAAATAATTGAAAATATCAATAAACATTCAGTGTTTTGAAAATTAAGCTTGAGTACGCCTTCCTGTAGGCATCCTTCTCCGATCATGCCCCACACCCATATGAAATGGACGAAAGGCTTCTCCTGATGGTGTGTATCTATGAGAGCATTCTCTGCTTATTTTTTTTATAAAAACTGATACACTGTAATTTAATTATTGCTTTTATTTCTGTTTTGTTCTCTTATTTGAATGTGTATTATAAATATGTGGTTCAGCTTGTGATGTATAATAGGCACTTAATAAATTGTTAAAAGAATGAATGAATTCACAAAGCACTTGCACACACCTTTTCCCATTTAATGAGTACAATTATCCTGCCGAGTGAAAGCACAGAAAATTGTATTCGTACCCCACTTTTATGGAAGGGAGGGAGCACAAAAACTCAGGAGCATGAATTACAAAGATTACAAATCAAGACAATGGCAGAAGGAGTGCCTCAAGTTCTGCTGTCTCAAGCTGCCTTGACTGCACATAGGAGGACTGTGAGTTTCAGGTCTAGTGCCCGCGTCTCCTCGGACTGTAAACGATGTCAGGCACCTGGGCATTCCTAGTCTTGTGGCTTTGAAAAAAAATTGCTAGACCCTTTCTCAACATTATCTATCTGAAGTAAGTGAGTAAGTACAGGTGAAGGTGTGATAGAAAATGAAATCCCTAAATAAGATAACATGTCAGCCATTTATAATCCATGCAGAATGGTAGGGCCAAAAGAGCCATGCGTTCATTTTTTCAGGGGGAGTCTATTGGGAGGATAATGATCTCGTTTCCACTCCTAATACCCAACCTTCCCTAGCAATTTACTCTCCACATTGTAGCCAAATGACCTTTCCAAAAGGCAAATCTGGTGTTCCCTAACTTAAAATCTTTCAAGGGCTCCTGGTATTGCAAACCTTTAGTTTTGTCACATGATCCTATGATGGGGTCCCTGTTCAGTTCTCCAGCCTCATCAGGACCCAATCTCCCTACTGTGTACACGCTTGTATCATTGATCTTTTACACTTACTCAAAACAAATATGTAATGAACAGTAGATAAATATACACACATATATGCATATTTCCTATGCATTGTGCATAGTGTATGAGCAAATGTTAGGTCTTTTGCAAAATGAAATAGCTTACATGAGACATTATTATAGCCATTTAAAATAGCGCCCCAAATGTAAATTAGTTTAACCATTGTGGAAGGCAGTGTGACAATTCCTCAAAGTCCTAGAACCAGAAATACCATTTGAGCCAGCAATCTTATTACTGGGCATATACCCAAAGAATATAAATCATTCTATTTTAAAGATACATGCACGTGTATATTTACTGCAGCACTATTCACAATAGCAAGACATGCAATCAACCCAAATGCCCATCAATGATAGACTGGATAAAGAAAATGTGGTACATATACACCATGGTATACTATGCAGCCATAAAAAGGAACGAGATCATGTCCTTTGAAGGGACATGCATGGAGTTGGAAGCCATTATCCTCAGCAAACTAACACAGGAACAGAAAACTAAACATCGTATGTTCTCATTTATAAGTGGGAACTGAACAATGAGACCACATGGACACAAAGAGGGGAACAACACACACTAGGCCCTGGGGTGTGGGGGGAGAGTAGCAGGATAAATAGATAACATGTGTGGGGCTTAATACTTAGGTGATGGGTTGACAGGTGTAGCAAATTACCATGGCACATGTTTACCTATGTAACAAACTTGCACATCCTGCACATGTATCCCAGAACTTAAATTAAATTTAAAAAATAAGACAGTACCCACATATTCAATTATTTTCTTATTTAGGAAACATCTATTGAGATCTATAGCTATAATTATACTTATATCTATTTCTTACTTGGGAAAGCCTGCCTGACTTCTTAGAGTAATATAAATCTCTCTGTTCTAGTCTACTAGAGGACTCTAGGACTTCATAGTTCTTCTTTCATAAGACTTGTCAACCTTTTTCAATGTCTACCTCCACAATAGACCGTAAGTTCTGTGAGGCCAGAGAAACTGTTCACCTTATTTATCACTACTCAGAATTTAGTAGAGTTCCTGTCACATAGCAAGTGCCCAATAAATGTCTATTGGAGAAATAAATGATGAAGAGATGTATGAATGTAACCTGCTGGGCTTGGGTCGAGTGAGGGAGATAGACAACAGAAATACAGCGTGATTAGTGTGATCAATGTTGTGAAACAGGATGGACAGCTATGGCTTTGTCTTTGAAGCATTCAATTATTTTTCTCTTACTTGCTTGAAGAATCAGACTTTCCTCTCTACTTTTGGCACCACTGGTTCAGGTAGCCTGACCCCAAAGCTTTGTCCTCAGGATGTGCGTATGCTGAACAAGATATTTAAATTTACTTCTGGGACTTTGATAGGAACTAATAGGCAAGTGAGAGTTTCTTCCCTCTAGAGTTGTCTGGTGGTAGAATGTAAGCCTAGATCTGCAGGGAGCTATCTTTCGACCACACACGGAGAGTCCACCTAAGAATGAAATCAATATCCGTGAAGGAAGAATTGAGCTAGCAAAACAGAGATCAAATTTCAAAGACACTGCAGGAACATTTCTGTGAGGTCAGGCCTAAATTTAGTCAGCCTCTTGACTTTGTATTTTAATTAAATAGTCCACTTTAACTGAAATTAAATTTAACTTCAGTTAGTTTGGATTGAATTTTTGTAAGCTGCAATGAAAAATGTTTGAACTCATTTATCAAGGCAAGCACAGGAGGCAACAGAGAACTCCATTGCCTACAGGTGGGAGAGAGGGCTGTCACGTAGCAAGTGCCCAATGAATGTCTATTGGAGAAATAGTCTACATTGGGGAGGTTTTATTTTCTGAAAGTATTAACAACTCTAGTTTGGGTTAAGCTACACATAAATCTTAGCCCAAACTAGAATTTTTAATATTTGCAGACAATTCACTTGAGCCGAACACTAATCATTTTGTGGACACCCATGCCTTTGATAGAGGGTATGAGCCATACAGAAATATATGACTTTATCTCCTAGAGCTAAAATATACCTGAGGCCCATACACATATTTATTCTGCATTTTTTTTCCTTTTTCACTTCCCAATTATCTAGGGCTTAGAGGGAAACATAATAAAGGTATGCACCTAACAGAATAGTGGAAAAACACCAGATTTGTAACCTACTCTGGTTATACCAGGTACAACTAGTATTAAAATATCATCGGTAAATTTATTAGTTTCTCTCAGTTTTGCAGACTCCCCACTTCCTTATCTGTAAGACTAGGACAGCAATACCTACTTCAAATGAATGGGATAAAATACAACAAATGTCTAGCACAGATCTCGGTAATAACAATAAGCACTTAAGAAACTTTAGTTTAGTTAGCTAAAATGTTCCCCTAGAGAATACTGGATCCTGAATTTTTGCTGGGAAAAAATTACATTATTTCTCTAACTTAAGCATAATGCCTAATACATTGTGGACACTCAGCATTTGTGGAGAAAATAGAAGTTTCTAAAAAGACAAGCATAGGCTCACTGGACCCAGTTTGTTTCCAGTCCATTGCAGTGAATTCTGCATTCACCACTTCACATATATTATGGGAACATCTCACCACAAATTCCAGTAGATGTGTTTTAGTTTTTATCACTATCCAGCATTAAATTCTGTGGGTCTTCTCTCTCTTTCTTTCTTTCTTTCCTTCTTTCTTTCTTTCTTTTTCTTTCTCTTTCCTCTCTTCTTTCTTTCTTTTTCTTTCTCTTTCTCTTTCCCTTCCTTTTCTTTTCTTTTCTTTCTTTCTTTCTTTCTTTCTTTCTTTCTTTCTTTCTTTCTTTCTTTCTTTCCTTCTTTCTTTCCTTCCTTTCCTTCCTTCCTTTCCTTTCTTTCCTTCCTTTCCTTTCCTTCTTTTCTTTCTTCTTTTTGTTCTTTGTTTCCCCTCTAGTGCCTCATCACTTGCACAAGCTTTCATTCCATTCATCTTTTACATTTTCACTATAATGATATATTATATTCCATTGCATCTTTGCTTAAAGCCTTTAAGTATTATTGTTGCAGGAAAGGGGTCTCAATCCAGGCCCTAAGAGAGGGTTCTTGGATCTTGCACAATAAAGAATTTAGGGAGAGTCCATAAAGTGAAAGCAAGTTTATTAGGAAAGTAAAGGAACAAAAGAATGGCTACTCCATAGACAGAGTAGCCCCGAGGGCTGCTGGTTGCCCATTTTTATGGTTATTTCTTAATGATATGCTAAAAAAGGGGTAGATTATTCATGCCTCTCCTTTGAAAACTATATAGAGTAACTTCCTGACATTGCCATGGCATTTGTAAACTGTCATGGTGCTGGTGGGAGTGAGTGTAGCAGTGAGGATGACCAGAGGTTACTCTTGTGACCATTTTGGTTTTGGTGAGTTTTACCCAGCTTCTTTACTGAAACCTGTTTTATCAGCAAGGTGTTTATGACTTGTATCTTGTGCTGACTTCTTATCTCATCCTATGACTCAGAATGCCTTAACTGCCTGGGAATGCAGCCCAGTAGGTCTCAGCCTCATTTTACCCACCTTCTATTCACAATGGAGTTGCTCTGGTTCAAACGTCTCTGACATTATCATCATTCATGCTCTAATTCACAATTCTTCAGTGTGTCGCCGAAGGCACCCCATGGTCTGTATTCTTCTCTATACACACAGTATCAAGCTACTCACTGTTCCCTGGTGATGGTGTACTAGCTCTTTCTCAAGGCTTCTGTGCTTTCACTCTGCCTGAAATCTTCTCCTCAAGCTGATCATCATTCCCAGACCAGCTCACTCATCCTCTGGGAATCCTCCCTTCCTGTGTGCTGAGCTCCATACCTCCTTCTGGCTCAGTTGATAACTCTCTCCTTGAGTCTTTTTCTGTAGCACATTCTATAATGGCACCTACCGTTTCCTTCTGCAGGTACTGTATGCTACAGAAAGAGGTCACTTTTTATTTATTATTCCTCCAATTCCCCAATCCAGCTGAGGAGATAATAAGTTACTGATAATATGGTGTTTAATGTATTAACTGAATGAAGCTGTAGCTCCTGCTAGACTTTCTAAAAGTTTGTAATGGAATAGTCTCAAATAGTTTCACGTGCAGAAATTAATTTTAATAAGCCATGAGATATAAATAAGGATAGTTGCTTTGCAACATCTTTGCATGGAGGTGTACAAATTAATCTGGAGCAAAAAGGAGATGAGAGAATGTAGCTTTCAGGAACTAGTGGAAAACTCTTTTGAGTCATAGTTTATATTGTGTCTTCTCTTTATTAGTAATAATAATACAGATCTTCTGGGCTGCAATTTAAGTAATAAATCGTTATAGTGACTAGGAATTTGGTGTGAGCATGAATTACAGGTGAAGGCACCAGTACTCGTAAATACAAGAAGATCGTTACTCATTGCACAGATATTTGTTGAGTATGTGCCCGGCACTGGGTAAAGGATATAGCTGCAGGTCTGATCCATGCCCTCAGGCAGGCAGAAAGGAATCCATGAGGACTCCCCGTGACTCACTGGAGCACCTCTTAGTATATTCTCTTCTCTAATTATTAGGGTAAAAAAATAGGCAGAGCAGCCACTGACTGAGAAGCACACAATACTCAGGCGGTCGGTCTCTCAGGGATGAGGGTCTGGGTTTGTAAGCCCTCATGACCAGAGGTGATGGTAGCTGGGGAGAGAAGGAGCCTAGAATGGACAATGAAGGAGGGAGGTGACCAGTATCAATCACAGCCCTGAAGGACACACTGGAGCTGAAGCCTTCTAGCTCCAGTGTGTCCTCTAACTTTCATCTTACAGCTTCCCCTCAATAGGAGAGGCCACCAGAATTCTGGCGGAACTGTTCCCTGAATGCACGTGGATAGATGAATATGGATGTTCACAGTAGAGTTCTGCAGTGGGCCTGGAGACGCACTGCTCAGATCCCCTTCATTAAGGCTGCATTATCTAGCCCTAGGAAGTGTGGTCAAGTGACAGTCTCCAGCTGCTATATTCTCCAGAGTCTGCCCCTGCTGGGGAGATCTCTGTTTCATGAAGGCCATGTCCTTTGCAAGGCAGCTTCCATCTGGTGACTGAATGAAGGGAGGTGAGTATAAAGCTGGCAGATCAGGAAATTGAGGTTTTCTAGTATGCATATAAGTTGACAGTGGGTAAGCTTTCACTGTATGAATATAAGCCTATAAGGGATGTGAATGAATGACACCTATTCAGGGATGGTCTTGATAGATAGTTGTGAGGGAAATTTATCCCACTGAGCAGAGATTTGGGTGGTGTCTTATGCCATTCTTGTGTCACTAGAAAGAAATACTTGAGACTGTGTAATTTATAAAGAAAAGAGGTTTAATTGGCTCACGGTTCTGCAGACTGTATGGAAAGCATGATGCTGACATCTGCTCCATTTCTGGGGAGGCCTCAGGAAAGTTACAATCAAGGCAGAAGGGGAAGGGGAAGCAGGCATATCACATCGCCAGAGCAGGAGCAAGAGGGCGAGTGGAGAGGTGCTATACACTTTTTTTCTTTTTTTCTTTTTTTTTGAGACAGAGTCTTGCTCTGTCACCCAGGCTGGAGTGCAGTGGCACGATCTTGGCTCACTGCAACCTCTGCCTCCCGGGTTCAAGCAATTCTCCTGCCTCAGCCTCCCAAATAGCTGGGATTACAGGTGTACAATGCCATGCCTGGCTATTTTTTTTGTATTTTTTGTAGACACGGGGTTTCACTATGTGGGCCAGGCTGGTCTTGAACTCCTGACCTCAGGTGATCCACCCGCCTCAGCCTCCCAAAGTGCTGAGATTACAAGTGTGAGCCACTAATGACCAGCTCACATGAGAACTCACTCACTGTTGTGAGGACAGTACCATGAAGAATGGCATTAACCATTCATGAGAAATCTGTCCCCATGATCCAGTCACCTCCCACCAGGCCCCATCTCCAACACTGGGGATTACAGCTGAACATGAGATTTGGGCAGGAACACAGATCCAAACCATATCAGGTGGTGCATTTGGTTATCTATTTTATATCAAAAAAGAAGTTCCCTGAGGTCAGATTATATATGAAACTTAGAGAGTGGCAAATGACCTGGCTGACTGGCAGGAGTGTGGAAGAAAAAAGATTGGAAGTTCAGTAACAAGTAGGTCTAGGGTAGAGGGATGTGGACAGACAAGAAGATGGAGGAGAGCACCAAGCAGGAAGTCTTTATATGTTGATTTTCACCAGTGAGCATTTGCCATGAAAGAGGCACTAACCAATTAAGGAGACAAATACCTTGGCCACATGGGGTAAGCCAGCTTCTATACTGGCCACCCCAGTTCTGGAAGAATTGGAGTATAAATGAAGAGGCCATGGTGACAGAGAGGAAGGATGTACATGGGCCCCACAGCATGGACCCCCAGCCCTGCTGTTAGCCAAAGCTGGTCTAGCTATTGCCGTGGCCAGAGTTCAACCTATCATCAAGAGTGCAATTCTTACTCTCCGTATGTCACCATTTCTTGAGGATACCAAGTGGCCACTTGATAGCAAGATATCTACATTGGATTCCATCCACTCTTAGAAGTCAGCGATTCATCTTGGCAAGAGGAGACAAATGAATACACATGTATTCTGGGTTTAGTTATCGGTTTTCCTTCCCTTCTTGCAAGGCCTCAGGGTAATTTTGTGTAGACCCCTGATTACAGGATCCACTTTTCATATCACATATTTTGCTATTTTTGACTCAGAATTGTATATATGTTGCAGTGTCACTGGTTAGAATACACGGGATGAGGAAACTGAAGGTAGAAACAAGAGTGGCTCTGCTTGCCATCTCTCCCAGTGACCCATGTGGAAAACCTGTGCTTCCTGTCCCCATGCCATGAGTGAGGGTATAATTAGCTTCTTTTACAACCAGGTCTCTCTCACACTCCACTCTGTCTCTGTGGCCCTCAGCTTATAGTTCTGCAAGGAGTCCCCTTAAATCTCTGCTCATCTGAGTTGAAGTGAGAGGAAAAGCATAATTTTTGTCACCACCATGAAAGGAAGGAGAACACTCTGGAACTCAGTATCTCTAAGGAAATGCTTCTACCTGGCCTGTCAAAGACAAAACTTGAGGTCTAAAGGACAGGAAGCCAACAGTGGAATGCAGGAGCTCCTGCTCTTCCATTCTTTGTTGTATTCTTGGCTTTTAGATGCCTCAGAGAAGACCCAAAAAAAGTCTTATTTTAAATCCTGTCACACGGTTAAAAACGTGTGCTAAGGATCAGACCTGTGGGCTTTGGATTCCAGGGCAAGGAACTGGAAGACATTAAAAATTCTTCAAACTAATTTTTAGTGATGTTTGTTCCTGCCTTTCTATTTATTTCTTTGTCTCTGCTTCCAGATTCTGCCAAAGCTCAGAAATTCTAATTGCACTGGCACTTTGAAGCCCAGCAGAAATTTGTTTTTTTATTACATGCCTCAAATAATAAATCAGCTCCTATTGATTTGAAACTTGACTGAGTTCTTCTAAAAAGACTTAAATTTCTTTCCTGGGTTTTTAGATTGGACCAATTTTACTCAGTTTTGAATTTCATTATGAATTGCCTTCTGCATTCAATGGAAAGCCGATTTCCCTCTCAACCCTACCAAATGCATTTCTCCAAATTGCAGCTGAACCTTTCTTAATGGGATGTCAGCAAACTCCATGATAAATATTGATCCTGTGTTCAGCGATTCTAAGCTAAAACATTTCCCATTTTCATGTGTTTCACCATTGTGGAGGCAAGTCCTCCAAAGAAGAGGCTAGTCTTCACCTTTCATCAAATAACTAGTATAATAATCTAACTAGTGGTATATAAATAATCTAACTAGTATAATTTAAGTAATCTAATGAGCCAGGATAATCTGAGAGGGTTTTCAAATGCCTTCTCCCAAAATCAACTGCTAGAACTTCAGTCCAAAATCAAAGGCATATTAAGAATTTTTTGTGTCAGTAAGAGGATTACAAAGACATATTTAATATATACACCCAGGAAGGAAAAGGAATTTCTTTTCATTGAAGGAAAATTGATTATTTAGCCTAAGACTACAAATGTAAATACCTTAATGCCATAGAGAATTTAAACTGAGAGGGGATAATGAAAAAATGTCATCCATTTTTTATTACTATGGCAAGAGACTTTTGTCTCTTTGCTCTCTGAGTCTTTCTAAATTCATCTCTCAACTCTAAGCATGTGAATCTTCGCCCCAAAATGAAAAGGTATCCTGTTAGATCTGAGCCCTCTCCCTCCCAATTTTAGTAGGTTCAATGGTTTAAATTTTCAAAGTCTTAATCTAGGGATCTAGACCCTTTGCATTCTGATTCCAGCTTATTCATACAGACTTATTTCCCCAGCTCCCCAAGAATCCACCCTTTCCTTAAGCACCATTAGCTGATTAGGATACAGAATATTACAGCTTTACCCTGTCTGCATCTCACAGCACCCAGTCCTCTCAAATATTTTCATAATTTATACATATCATAAAACAGATCTTTAGACAAGGATGTGTGAGCATACTTATTTGGGAGGTGATCTCTGGAAACAGGGCTGAGGGAATGGGAAGATCGAGACATGGAAAGGGAAACATGCATTATAAACCAGGTTCCTATGGTGAATGCCTGGGGCTCTGTGCTCCTGGGAATTTTCTATGGAACCTGCCAGGATGAGCTTCAGCATTATCTCTCTGAATGATGAAAGGAGAGCATCCACTCCCTGGCTCTCATTCTCCAGTAGTAAAGAATTCCCTTGCAGGCATTTATTCACCCACCCTCCTGAGCTATACCACTTACATGAGCGAAGCAGCCTTCAGTGGTTTGGGCCCATCTTCAGTGGTTTGGGCCCATCTTCCATTGATACTCAAGAGAAAGCCCAAGAGGTTCATGTTTGCTTTCCCCCTGACCCTGAGTTCACACACAATTTCTAGCTTCTTGTTTTACAGTTTTTCAGTGGCTCACAGGTTCTATTAATTGCCTTATGATGATTTCTCAAATATGATATGGGTTTAGGACCTCTTGGTTTCAGCTCCATAGCTAGTAGCTCTTCCATCAACTAAATGGTCTTCCCTATAATCACCAAGCAGTTCTTTTATTTTTACAAATGCTCAGAACTATCTTTCTATGAAGTTTATTTTCCCACCTCCTCTATTTAACCACCCATATCTATTTTGCTTATCAAATATGGCTTATAATTCAAAGCCTCACTTGGCTGCTGCATCATCCATGAAATGTTCTCTGATTTCCCCAATATGATATGATACCTCCTTTCCATTATTAATGCATTGCTGTGATTATAAGTAAAAGAGTATTTTTTACCCAATAAAATTCAAAGGTCAACTGAACATCCTGTGGTTTCAAATTCAAAAGCAGTAGAAAAATCACCCTCCCCAAGCATTCCAGGAATACTAGAATGGTGTGGGGGTGACTTACAGATGATCAGTTTCTGTTTCCTCTGATTTAATTTTGTTTGTGAGTCACTTGCATTTGGTGTCTCTATTTAGGCTCATGTCAAAACAAATCTGATATGTAGCTCCCTTCTCTTAAGTCCAGCAACAACAATAACAGTAACATAGCTCTCTATTAGCCTTTATTTGCCTAGAAGACTAACAAGGCTTCTAATGTATCATTGAAATAAAAAAATTTTATTGGCCATTCATGCCAATAGAGATTCAGATTTCCTCCATGATAATGAGCACCTTTAAATCTTCTATACCTGCATTCTGTCATGCCTCTCTCCCCATCAGTCTTAAATCTATGTTGATTTCACATGCCAAGTTTGTTTCTTTTACATCATGTTCTCAACCCTCAATTTCAACATCAGTGTGGCCATCAAGGGCAATTGATTTCCTCCAAGGAACACTGATAGGGCTAGTAAAATAATATTTTGCCTTTAAAGTATAGATATCAATAGAAGACAGACATGAACCTGATATCGATGACTTCTAAGAGAGAGTCTTGCTGGGTCTGACTCTACTTTAAAGGCTTAGACTTTTACCAGCACCTAGGCACAATAAGGCACTGAGATAATGACTCACTGAACACACAATACAAAACTGGTATGTTCTCAGAGTATCAATTTATGATGATAAATGTAACGATCTTGTTGGCCAGAGATATTCAGATCTCTTGTATATCTTTTCTTCTTCTGTGGCCAATGAACTTGGGAACCCATATTATAACTAGGAACTGTTATTAATTAAACTATGAGAAATCATTATGACAGGGAATAGCAACGTTTAAAATCTTTGTCATTAGTGCAATATCTTCCTGATACCCCTTGGCAAATACAGAAAGAACAAGGACCCCATAAAAAGTTAGAATTCCATAATCAATGGTAATTGAGCTATATATCTACAGTAAGTCCTTGCCAATGGCAAGTGATTGATTGGACACTGCTAACATTAATTTTTCTGATTCTTCTCTTTCTGTGTTACCTGCCATATCCAACCTCATTCTGATTGAGACATTGCTTTGTAAGTATATTAATATGTTCAGAAATGTTACTCTTACATCTTGTTGTCAGAGGAACCACCCTCCATTTCAGGACATTTTACAATTTTTCGCATTGTCTTTTATATGTTATCTTACAGCTTAATTTCCCTCTATTCCAAGCTACATATTTTGGTTTAGAAAAAGCACTGATACTCTATAATTGCTAGCTTTAATCTTAAAATTCTCCTTATATAAATAAAATGTATGTTACATTTTATTATTTCCCATTTTATTATCTATATGTAAGTCTGTAACATGTTTTACTCCATTGACATTTGCCTTATTGTAGATATTTTTCTATATGCCCAAAGTTTTCTCTTAAATTATGAACTCTTTGATGACAGGAACAAAATTTAAGGCCAGTTGAGTAGAGACCTAGAGGGAAGTTAACTACCCTACATAAGGCAAAATGTAAAGGAGCAGCTAGTGGTAGGCATTTTGTAGAGCACATGGAAAAAGGTGAAAAATTGTCTTAAAATATCATTAATAAGAACTCATATCATTATGTTGAAATTTGAGGAATTACAGATGCAATATTTTTGAAAAGGAATAATATTGTCCTCGATCCATGGCTATGCCAAACCAGTGAAGGGTATGAAATGAGAACAGTACTCACTGGACACTTCAAGGTGAATTGAAAGACCCAGAGTGACAGAGGAATTCCATTCAAGAAGAGGGATATGATTTGCCAGATGGAATGAAAAATACATTTGACGTCAAATGATTGACACGTATCATCACTGCATGAGTATCTGCAATTAAAAAGAAAAAGAGGTCAGGTGAAGTAGCTCAAGCCTCTAATTCCAGGAGTTTGGGAGGCTGAGGAGAGAGGCAATCCTCTCTCCTCAGCCTGGGCAAGATAGTGAGAACTCTTCCAACCTGTGTGACAGAGAGAGACCCTGTCTCAGATAGATAAATAAATAAATAAAGGTATGGCAACTCAAAGATCTAGGACTAGAAATGCCATTGGACCCAACAATCCCATTGCTGGGTGTATATCCAAAGGAATAGAAATCATTCTACTACAAAGATACATGCTCATGAATGTTCATTGCAGCGCTATTCACAATAGCAAAGACATGGAATCAACCCAAATGGCCATCAATGATAGACTGGATGAAGAAAATGTGGTACATTTACACAATGAAATACTACACAGCCATAAAAACGAATGAGACCATGTCCCTTGCAGGGACATGGATGAAGCTGGAAGCCATTATCCTCAGCAAACTAACACAGGAACAGAAAACCAAACACCGCATGTTCTCACTTATAAGTGGGAGCTGAGCAATGAGAACATGTAGACACAGGGAAGGAAACAACACATACTGGGGCCTGTCAGGGGTGGGGGGCAGTGGGGAGAAGGAGAGCATTAGGAAAAATAGCTAGTGCATGCTGGGCTTAATACATAGGTGATGGGTTGATAGGTACAACAAACCACCATGGCACAGGTTTATCTCTGTAAAAAACCTGCACATGCTGCACATGTACCCCAGAACTTAAAATAAAAATTAACATTAAAAAAAGAAAAGCAAAAGTGGTAAGTCTCTGGTGGTTAAAGCTTTAGGGAATTTCCTCCCAAGTTTGAGGTACAGCTCTCCCACTTGCTACTGAGACACATTGGTAAATTTCTGTTTCTTCATTTGTACAATGAGGATGATAACACCTACCTTTGAGAGCTGTTGTGAAGATGACATCATGTCGCTTCAGATTTATGGAGTACTAACTGTGGTCCAGGCACTCTCTAGACACTTGCTTGTAGCATTTCAAGCACTCATTTCAAGGGTACTGAGATAGTTGTCATTGCTTACCAGTATTTCATGCAATCGTTTTAAGGGTACTGAGATAGATGCCATTGCTTACCGTGGAGAAAAGGGAAGCACAGAAAGATCGTTCAGGGTCATGCAGGTGACACATGTTGGAGCTGGAATTTGAACCCAAGCATTCAGATCCCAGAGGATCCCCTGCTCTTACCCAGATGACTGACTTGTAAATGACTTACCATCTCATTAGTTTCTTTAAATGAGATAATGCACAAAAGTCTTTCTATCAAAGCTTAAAACATAAAAAACCATGAAAATTATTGGAATGAGTGTCAGACCACCTTAATTCTGGTTTTTGCTGTGCCACTAAACGGACGTGTAGTTTTGTGCAAACCAATTCTCTCTGGGATTCATTTCTCTCACCTGTAAAATGAAGCATTTTCTGTGACATTGCCTGAGCTTACTTTTTGCTCCAATGGCCTATGATTTCTATGCAAATTTAAGGGCTATTTATTAAACACCTTACAGGCTACACTGAGCACACCTTAAAGACTTTAAACTTTGTTTCCTGGGTGCTTAGTTTTACCAAGTATTTTAGAGAGGATGCTAGATTTCAGGGGAATTAACAAGGCTAGAAATTTCATTTGCATTTTTTTTGCTTGATCCAAGCACTAAGAGAAAGAGAAAAAAAATCAAGTAAAAATTTTATCTTTTTTTCCAGAAGGAGGCTCATAGCTACAGAGGTGGAGAGATTCCATTGCCTGTCCAGAGTGATCTTAAATGTCCCTTGAAATACATTGATCTGGGGTCCTAACATGTGTAATTTCATTTTTAGTAATGGTAGGTCTGCAGCATTAGTTGCAGTTGCCAAAAAAGGGTTGACATTTATTATAGGCTCAGACATGGAGAAAAATGATTCTTCACATGAATGCATTTGCCTAAAGCAATGATAGTCTCAGAGGGAAATCATAAACAGAAAGAAAATGCTACTTGACTGCTCCCAAATCTTGTGAATCTTAGATAGGCTGGAGAAGAAATAATTAGTGTTAAGAAGAATTTGCTTCTCTTTTTCCTTACCTCACTGCACTGGACTCTTTTCTTGTGCTCTGCCAATATCCCATTGATATTATACTTACCACCCCATGTATGCCAATGCCTTCTGCCAAAAGCACCTGACATTCTCTGCTCAGATTTTCTCTGCTGAGCATGGGGCAGGCCAGAGATACAAGGTAGTGGATGATCCTGAAAGCAGTCTTTAGGTAATGCCACATGACAAGTGATGGATAAGCATCTCAGTTTCCTGATCCCTGCAGCAGGAAATCTTCAAGGTCTGTTCTTCATGGCCTCCACAGGTCCTGAAGAAGATTGAGCCCCAGCGCCCATCTCAGTAATACATTCTTTTATTTATTTATTTATTTTTTTGAGGAGTCTCGCTCTGTCGCCCAGGCTGGACTGCAGTGGTGCAATCTCAGCTCACTACAAGCTCCGCCTCCCAGTTTCGCACCATTCTCCTGCCTCAGCCTCGTAAGTAGCTGGGACTACAGGCACCCGCCACCACGCCTAGCTAATTTTTTTTTGTATTTTTTGTAGAGACGGGGCTTCACGGTGTTAGCCAGGATGGTCTCTATCTCCTGACCTTATGATCCATCCGCCTCGGCCTCCCAAAGTGCTGGGATTACAGGCATGAGCCACCGCTCCTGGCCTCAGTAATACATTCTTAAATGCACTTTGTATTGTCATCTGTGATGGCTTTGAGAATACACCTGCCAGATCTCTGACTGCACATTGACTGAGAGCTCCAGCTGCTCTGCTCTTTTTTTAAAATAATTTTAATATTTTTGTTTTTCAACTTTTATTCTGGATCGGGGGTACAAGTGCAGGTTTGTTTCATGGGTATATTGCATAATGCTGAGGTTTTGAGTACAAATGCTTCTGTCACAAAGTACTGAGCATAGTGTCCAACAGGAAACATTGTAGCCCATGCCTCCCACTCTCCCCACTCTAGTAGTCCCTAGTGTCTATAGTTCCCACCTTTGTGTCAATGTGTATTCAATGTTTAACTCCTGCTTATACGTAAGACCATGCAGTATTTTGTTTTCTGTTCCTGTGTTAATTGTTTTAGGATCATGACCTCTAGCTGCATTCTTGTTGCTGCAAAAGACATGATTTCATTCATTTTTATGGCTGCATATTATTCCATGGTGCATATGTACCATATTTTCCTTATCCAATCCATCCTTGATTGGCAGCCGGGTTGATTACATGCCTTTGTTATTGTAAATAGTTCTGTGATGAACATATGAGTGCAGGTGTCTTTTTGGTGTAATGATCTATTTTCCTTTGTGTCTGTGCCCAGTAATGGGATTGCTGGGTCAAATGGCAGTTCTTTTTTAAGTGTTTTGAGAATTCTCCACACTGCTTTCCACAGTGGCTGAACTGACTTACAACCTCATCAACAGTGCATAAGCATTCCCTGTTCTCCATAGCCTCACCATCATTTGCTTTAGTTTGTTTTTTTTTTTTTTTTTTTTTTGACTTTTTAATAATAGCCATTCAGACTGGTGTGAGATGGTATCTCATTGTGGTTTTGATTTGCATTTATCTAATAAATAGTGATGATGAGCATTTGTTCATATGTTTGTTGGCAGCTTGCATATCTTATTTTAATTTTTTGCCTTTATTTTTTGTGTGTACATAGTAGCTGTATATATTTATGAGGCACTTGAGATATTTTGATACAAACATATATGCAAAATAATCATATCCTGAAGAATGAGGTATCCATCCCCTCAAGCATTTATCCTTTGTGTTACAAACAATACTATTAAATTCTTGTAGATGCTGGATATTAGACCTCCGTTGGAGACAAGGTTTGAGAATATTTTCTCCCATTCTGTAGGTTATCTGTTTACTCTGTTGATAGTTTATATTGCTGTGCAGAAGCTCTTTGGTCTAATTAGATCCCACCTGTCAATTTTTGTTTTTGTTACAATTGCTTTTTGGGGACTTAGCCATAAATTATTTGCCAAAGCTGATGTTGAGAGAGGTATTTCCTAAGTTTTCCTCTAGGAATTTTTCTTTTTTTCTTTTTTTTTTTTTTTGAGATGGAGTCTCGCTCTGTCACCCAGGCTGGAATGCAGTGGCATGATCTCAGCTCACCACAACTTTTGCCTCCCAGGTTCAAGTGATTCTCCTGCCTCAACCTCCCGAGTAGCTTGGATTACAGGTGTGCTCCACCGCACCCGGCTAATTTTTGTATTTTTAGTAGAGACAAGGTTTCACCATGTTGGTCAGGCTGGTTTAGAACTCTTGACCTTGTGATCCACCTGCCTTGGCCTCCCAAAGTGCTGGGATTACAGGCATGAGCCACCACACCTGGCCTCTTCTAGGATTTTTATGGTTTGAGATCTTTAAAATCTTTTACATTGAAATCTTTAATCTGTCTTGAGATAATTTTTGTACATGGTGTAAGGTAGGGGTCCAGTTTCATTCTCCTGTATATGGCTAGCCAGTTATCACAGAACCATTTATTGAATAGAGAGTCATTTCCCCATTGCTTATTTTTGTTGACTTTGTCAATGATCAGATGGTTGTAGGTGTGCAGCTTTAATTCCAGATTCTTTATTCTGTTTCATTGATCTATGTATCTGTTTTTGTACCAGTACCATGCTGTTTTGGTTACTGTAGCCTTACAGTATAGTTTGAAGTCAGGTAATGTGATGACTCTGGCTTTGTTCATTTGCTTAGGATTACTTTGGCTATTTGGGCTCTTTTTTTGTTTCATATGAAAGTATACAATAATTTTATCTAATTCTGTGAAAAATGACATTAGTCGTTTGATAAGAATAGTGTTGAGTCTGTAGCTTGCTTTGGGCAATATGGCCATTTTAATGTTAAAAGGCTTTTCTTTTTTTTTTTTTTTTTTTTTTTTTTTTTTGAGACAGAGTCTCGCTCTGTCACCCAGGCTGGAGTGCAGTGGCATGACCTCCACTCACTGCAACTCCACCTCCCAGGTTCATGACATTCTCCTGCCTCAGCCTCCCAAGTAGCTGGGACTACAGGTGCCCGCCACCATGCCTGGCTAATTTTTTGTATTTTTTTTTTTTTTTTTAGTAGAGATGGGGTTTCACTGTGTTAGCCAGGATGGTCTTGATCTCCTGACCTCGTGATTCACCTGCCTCAGCCTCCCAAAGTGCTGAGATTACAGGCATGAGCCACCACACCTGGCCCATTAAAATGCTTTGTTCTTAAATCCAACACTGCATTTGCACTCAGACCATACTTTCCAGGGACCTCTCCGAGTCAAAGACTGAGAGAAGCAGGTATACTAAGGCAGAGGTGGCATTCCTCTGATGGCTTACCATTGCCCAAGGATGGTCTGTAGGCTTTAACAAACTTTCCTTAGCAATTTAAGATGCTTCCACCCAACAGTCCCTTTTTCCTTCTCCCTTTACTAGGGATTAGACCTCAGCTGCAATCTGACTGCTCCCCTAGCATCTCCTGCTCCCTCCTGTTTTCTTTTATTCAGGTATTTCCACCTAATAAAATCCTTATACATGTAATCCTTCCTTGATGTTTTGCTTCTCAGAGGACCTGGAATAACATAGCTTCCTTCCCTTCTTTGTTTCATTTCCTTGCTCCCTACCAGTGTTTCCTGGGATGACCCAAGATACTGCTTGCATTTAAATCTGCCTCCTACTCCGCTATGGAGGAAGACAACTTAAGATGATCCTTCCTCCTTTAACCCATAACATCATGTAACGTCTACATTTATCCGACACACACACACACACACACGCAAAATGTGTACACATTCATCTTGTGGTACTTCACTACAAAATTATTTGAGACAATGTTCTGCCACAGGTTCACAGGGAGGGTTGGCAGACAATGTTAAATGCTGATATATTTTGGGAAGCTTCAGCAATTTGGGGAAAACAGCTGAAATCGTAGATGCTCCATATTAATTAATGTTCAGTTGACATTTTGAATTTCCTTGTCTATAAAAGAGAACCCCTCAGTGATGCCCCAAATCATTATTTCAAGGCGCTTATCACAATTCTTTCCATAGTTCATAAAACCATAAGTGGGATCTATATAATGTTGCTTTTTATCTGGACATATAAGTAGAATCCACCAAAAAGTTCAGCTTCTGTACTGATTGCAATGATATAAATTTCCATGACAGAAGGTGAAGATAATGGTAGCAAAATGATTTAACCTTTCTCTTTTGATAATGTTACCACCCACCATATAGGAGTTTACTATTTTTAACTGGAAGAAGGCCCTTTCACCTTCCAGTTCAACATGAACTGAGATTAAATAAAACACAAAAGATTGCAAAACTAATGTGGGAACATGGGCTTATTATAACCTGAATCTTGAACAAAAATAGGCACATTTGAGGTCATCTTGAGACTTCGTCTTTCTTCAATAATTTTGACTTTATCTGGATAATACATTTTCTTGAGTTACTGCTTATCAGATGAAGCCACAACTCTATAGTTACCCAGCAATCTAGCAACCAGTATCACTAATACAAGAGTTTTGGCGCTGGTAACATACTCTGGCTCTTACCCAGGCCCATGACCTCATGGCCTGAAGAAATTTGGACCTGCCAGGTATATGAGATAGTTGTGCCCTGCTCGTATGCTCTCCACTCATATTTCTGCTCCAGCCATTGCTAGTGCAATCAGTTGCAAGTAGGTAGAATCTTATGGTATGACCCCTCTGTTGCACCAAACATCTCATGCTGCCACATGAGTCACTTGTGACAATGAGTTAAGCCATTTTGACATATAGCCAAATATGGAATTATGATGGAGTTAATACTTGTATTAGTCCATTCCCACACTGCTATAAAGACATAACTGAAACTGGGTAATTTATAAAGAAAAGAGGTTTAATTGGCTCAGGTTCTGTGGGTTATACAGGCTTCTACTTCAGGGGAGGCCTCAGGAAACTTATGATCATGGTGGAAGATGATGAAGAGGAACGCACTTCTTCACATGACCAGCAGTGGAGGGAGAGAGTGAAGAGGGAGGCGATACACACTTTCAAACAATCATATCTCCTGAGAACTCTATCATGAGAACAGCAAGCAGGGAGGCCGCACACGTGACTTAATCACTTCCCACCAGGCCCATCCTCCAACACTGCGGATCACAATTCAACATGAGATTTGGGTGGGGACACAGAGCCGAACCATGTCAATACTCTATGGGACAATTCTTGTCCAATGGGAGATTGGAGCCAGTGGATAAATCCAGCCCTCTCCTGTCCTTCATGTGGAAAAGTTCAAGGAGCATTCTACATGACTCATGGCTCAAAAGTTTGCAAGTAGGGTTTAGCTCAAGAGGTCTGTGCCAGTGACAATCCCAATAACACCTTTAAGATATTCTGTGCTTTCTTCCTTGTTTCATTTTACCTATTTTCCCATTCTTTTCTTTGGAATTACTTCCTCAGATAAACTAGGTGATGCAAGCCATTGCCTAAGATTCTAATTTTTGAGAAATCTTGACTAACATTCTGACCTAGAACTCATGGGAGAAAAAATAAAGATAGAATCTAGAAAAAAACCTAGAGAAAGGGATTTGATATGGCTAGAGTTTGCCTGGAGTGGAGGCCATTCTAGAAGTTCAGTAGATAGAGGGGTAAGCATTTTGGCTCTAATTGCAGTGAATTTGAAACCCTAGGATACCCCAATAGAATTGGTGGGTACTGAGACGATGTTTATAATTTGGGGTACCAATGAGTTAAGTCTTGAGGTCAGTTTTTAGCTAAAAGTCCAGCCAAGCATGATAATCATAGCACTGCAAAGAAGAGATGAATATTCACTAGAAGTTTTGCAGAGCCTCTTGCCTTCATATGCAGCAGGAGCTCTTATAGTCAAAAACATGGTAGAACTGCCAAGGATGCATGAAAACAGCTACAAAAATGAAGATAAAATAAACCACAATCATGTATACTCTGTAAAATCATAAAATGGCAGATAAAAATAATCAAGACAGAAAATAAAAGGACAAGTATAAATAGTGAGGTTTAACTTAAATTCCAATTCTACTTCATTCCCATTGTCTTGTAGAGATATCCACCACGATATATTAAAACATGACCCTTTTTCTCAAGGATCGTGTTCTGTGTCAGCCACTGAGGATATACGGATCTTCGGTCCAGGTTCCTGGGTGATTACTGCAAACTAGGAAAGATGCCCCAGCCTCAGCCAAGTGACCTGGGGATGAGGGCAATATGCCGGTGGGAAACCAGACTACTAAGCAAGACCAAGGCAGAAGACTGTTTGAGCAGATCTGGCAGCCATGCAGTTAGGGAGGCTGTGATACAGTGAGGGAAGCATTCACTCAAGGCAAATCAGATAATGGACTTACGGCAAAACAGAGTGTCATAGACTCCATAAGATGTTTGGGGAAAAAAAAGATGCTAAGACACGAGCTGCTGTGTCCAGGACTTCCCAGAACCAAGGTGATAACTGCAAAGGCAGGAAAGGGTAGCAGTGCCTGCAAGTCAACCAGACTTGCAGCTGTGCAGTCTGTGGTGTACAGCATGGGCACACTGGAAAGAAGTCTTTCCCATCCAGCGATATCGATTTCTTGGGCATTCGTTAAGAACTAGGGCAGTGGTTCTCATGCAGAGGAGATTTTGCCCCGGGGAGATGATTTTGGCCATGATTGAAAACATTTTTGGTTGCCAAAAATAGGGAAGTTGCCACAGATACGGGAGTTGCCACTGGCATCTATTGAATAGGGAACACAGATGCTGTCAAACACCCTATAGTTCCCATAACGAAGATTTATCAGAACCCAAAGGTCCGTAGCCCTTCAGCTAAGGAATCCTGGACTAGGGTGTTGTTTAAAAGCTTCTCAGGGATTCTCAACAGGAGAGAGAAAAGGAACTTCCTTGACATAAAGAGTTGGGGAAAAGTTATATCAGCTAAGCACCTGCCATGTGCCAGGTCTAGCACATGACTTTTCTTAAACCTCACAACCAAGGATAGACATTGTAACTCCATTTTACAAAACAGGAAATAGGACCTCAGAAAGAGAAATTACTACGCAATAAAAAGCTCAATTTAGCTGGGGTTTAAACTCAAATCTGTTAAAGGCGAAAGCGGAGACTAGTTTTTTTTTTCCAGTTTTAAAATGTAAATCGTTTTCATTGATTTTACAATTCTTAACAAGGCAGGAAAATGTCATTATGCTCATGACTAGCTTTAAGCATCAATAAGTTTAGTCTGATTTTACTAGATTTTTATAAATATAAACATTTTGCTATTAGAATTCTTATGTAATCATTAAGATTTTGTTTAACACAGAAATATTAGGCATAGCTTTATTGGGAAGTTGAGATTACAGGTTATTTTCATTAGTGTCTAAATTTTTCTGAACTTTGCAATTTTAAAAATGATTAGCATATGTTAAAATTATAAAGTTGCCAATTAGGTTTATTTTAATGTGATATAAATACACAATTATTTCAAGATACACAGTAAATTGCACAGAGGACATAGACTCATTTATTTGGGGATTATATAGATTTGTTGGCTGTGAAATCTAAAATCAGAGTCCATTTATTATCACATGTAATTATGTGTTACAAGAAGTGGACACAAATTTAAAAAGAAAAACAGGTATGCAATTTATATTTCCAGGGGGCTTTTAAAATATAGTTTTGCCTAAACTGATCAAAATATTTGAGGTGCCTTCTCCTCAAAACTGCCTGTGAAGTTTCTCTGGGTAACCCCACAGCTGACTCTAATTTCATTTTCTCCACAATTATTCTACCCATTATTGGGTGTAATATCCTCCACAACTCCACTCTCACAGCGACTTGCTAGAATTTCTGCATTGTTGTTAGCTGTCTCCCCCGAATTATAAGTCCTATAAGGCCAGGTTTTATGCTTATTCAACTATATATCCCCTTATCACCCAATGCAGCGTCTTGCACATAGTCGGAAGCCAATAGATTCTTGCTTAGATGAAATAATTCTAGCCCTGGGGCCAAGGTGCTAACATTGCCATGATCTCGGAGAAGGAAGTGGTGGGGTATTGCAAATAGCGTCTATGCTTAGCAGGCACATTTATACGTAGGGTTAGTGCCCTCTATTTTTAATTTACTTGATTATTCTACAATATCGACTTTTTTTTTTTCTTAAATAATTCTTTATTTACATCCAAACATCAAAAGTCATTCAAGTTGAAGCCCTTCCCACAAGCATTAAGTTCTGCTCACAAAATGTTCAGGAACATTAAAAATCTCTGACATGAAAAATGTGTTACATCACAAGATTTTAAGATGAACGAAGTAAATAAATATGTAGCTCTGCACTTGTGGAGCAGCGGTAGGCAGACCTGCGAGACGACTCTGGCCCAAAGCTTAAGGCTGCATCATCCGTCAGGTGTGGATGAGATCCATCGAAACAGTGAGCGACGCCTGCCATCTACAGGCCACAATGTGTATTGCCGCATAGGTGCCAGTAGACCTTGAATTTAAGAAGCCTTGGGGGATGATACTCAGCGATGTGATCTCGAAGAGACTGTCCTATGTTGAATTATCATTCAATGTAAAAATATAATCAAATAATTATAACCATTAATAGATAACAGGTGACACTTCCCTTCACACTTTCCTCTGTGTAATTCTTACTTTACAAAATTGAAAATGAAGAGCTTTGTGTGTCTTCCACTTTTATTATCATCATGGTGCTTTGTCCTCCTTCACTTTGTGATTATCTCTGTATACGTCTGCCTTCCCCAGGAGCCAACTAACTCACGCGGTGCAGGGGACCCATATAATTCATCTATGTATACGCTCTTGCCTAGAGCAGGGTTTGACACATGGCAGGTATTCTACAAAGATTTGATGCATGAGTGCTTAAGGGAATGAATAAATAAATGAATAAGTAAATCAATCAAAAACTAATTATTTTCGAGTCACCTTGTTCTAAATTACATATAAATTTATGGAGAAAAACTGTAGTCTAACATAGATATATATGTATGTATACATGTTGAGCACAGTGTCTGCCCCACAGCAGGTTCACAGTAAACATTATCTACATTAGACTATAATGTATGTGTGTGTACATATATCTAAGCATATGTGTTCAGTTGGTTGTTTTAAAACTTCTGCAATAAATCAAGAGATTAATATTTTTTATTAAAATCCTTAAATCTGTATGTTAAGGATCTTGTGAGTTCAGCTTCAGGTCCCCATCTATGTCATTTTATTAGGCAAAATGTTCTGAAAGATTCATTCCATTTAGAAAGTAAACATGACAGCAAGGCCACAGTTATTACTTCTCATTTATTTTGTTCTTTTGGAGATTGACCATCTAGCTTAAGTCAGACAAAATGAGAACCAAGAAAAAAAATGTTTAGATAAAATCATTGTAAGAGAGAGAATATAAAAGAAAGTGGAAAAGTAAGATTAATATTGTTTTGCCTAAGAGACCTAGTTTCTCTCCCAACCTCTCCCCCACCAACACAAACTTGAAGAAATTTTTTGGATGTTTAAACTTAATTATCTTTAAAAATAAGGAAGCAATGCTTATGGGGCACAGCTGTGTGGCAGGCACTGTGCTTGGCATTTCTGTGAATTTTCACATTTAATCTGCCCAACAGGTCCAGCCCTAGAAGACACTTATTGGCAGATCCCTTTTATGGACCATGAAACCGAGTCTCAGAGAGATTATTTCTGCAAGGTCACGCTGTGGAAGGTACAGGGTTGCACTGGAATGAGCTCACACTGGCTTATAGGAGGCAACTCTTCATTCAGTAATGTCATGTTGGCAGCTTGAAGTCAGCCACAGTAGAATTATTTACAGCATGTCAATGAGCAATTGCTGCAAAGAAGTCCCTGTGCCTGCCTGGTTGTTAAACATACGCCAGCACACCACTGGTTAAGATGCAAAGATAAAAGTTTAAGAATATTTGACTTTAAAAGGCATCTTCTTCTAATAAACCACACTACCCAAGAGTTAAGGGAAAGTCTAGGTAAGGTTTATATAGCAGTTCATAGTTTAAAAAAACAAGACTTTTATGCATGTATAGTCTCCCAAAAATGAACCAGCTTTGTATTTCTCTCTGTATTTTTTTTTTTGTCATTCTTCCCTCTTCCTCTCCTTCTTCATCACAGTTACTGCCATATACTGAAGTTCTGCTGTATCCTGCTAGGTGTTTGCCATGAACTACAATATTTATAACACTGAGAAAAATAAAGCATGAGTCAGGTAAGCACAAAGCCCAGAATTACAACCAGGAATATAGAAGAAAGGTTTTATCCCTCGTATCTGTTATATGAGTCTTTTGTAGGTTTTTGTTTGTTTGTTTTTGTCTTTTCATGTGTGTGTGTTTGCAGACCTAACCCCTCATGTTTCTTCTTCTGAAATGTTCCCTTTTTCTTCAATTCAATTTTTCAACAAATATATGAGCACAGAGTATGTGCCGCACACTGTTCCACGTGCTAGAGATGCAATAGTGAAATCAGGAGAGGTTTCTGTCCTTGGGAACATCCCTTCTTGGGTAGGGAGACAGGACACAAAGCAGGAGAGACAGGACAGCAAGGTACCTAGCAAGAGGGCTGGGGTTTGAGTTCTGGGCCCACCACTTCCTAACCATGTGACTGTGGACAAGTTACTTAACCTCTTTATGCCTCAATTTTCTGCCATATGCTAAAAGGGGATAGCAATAGTCTCTATGTCTTAAAGTTGCTGTGATAACTAAGTTTCATTACATTAAATAGTATCAGGCATATATAAATAGTAAATGCCAGTATTTATTAGTTACTACTTTTAAGGAAACAGCTTAATTATAGGCTATAACTAGAGTTATGAAGGAAACACACCAAATACTGAGATTGGGTTGAGAGTGGAATATTTTAGATGAAGTCATCAATAAAGTCCTTTACGGAGAATTGATAAAAAGGATGAGAAGGTATCCTTCCTGGCATTGCTGGAAGAAGATTTCTAGATTAAGGAAGTGAAACTGCAAAGCTCTGAAATGTTGAGATGTTTATTGCTGAAGGGAATGGTAGAGTTCAGTGTGCTTGGGGCACAGTGGAAGCAGGTGGAGCAGAACAAGATGAGGTTGAAGTGGAAGGAGGGGACCAAATCATGTGAGGTCTTAGAGGCCCCCTTATAGAGTTCTGTTCTCTTTTTAACTACTTAATACCCTTCTTTCCTTCCTTCCTTCCTTCCTTCCTTCCTTCCTTCCTTCTTTCCTCCCTTCCTCCCTTCCTGTTGTAATTTGCTATATGTCTAAGAAAAAATAGGCTAGCTTTTTTTTTTTTTTTAATTTGGAAACTTAGCGCTAATCTTCACTTTCATTGAGACCCTATTTTCCAGGGCAATTTTCAGAAAGTGACTTTTAGAGGTAATTTTCTGGGCAGCAGAGATTTTTCAATAACTTCTGTGGAATCCAGGATCCTGGGTCTCAAAGGTACAATTGCTGAGTATGGTGTCCACACCAAGTTGCTGTTATCCTGACCTTGTAAACACCATGCAGGTGCCTGTCTCGTTGGCTGTCTCAAACTGCCAGAGAAAGCGGCAATGACAGTTTGGTTTCACCCAGTCCCTTGAGTTATGAGTAATTTTGCTAGAGTCTTGTCATTTTCTGGCGGATTTCATGAATTTGTGCTGAATTTGCAAACAAAGGCAAAAGGCAAACAATGGTCTAAGCGGCTTTGAGATTGCCTCATTAAACTGCAGCCTGCCAGAAGCTTTCTGCTTATAGCAATGAACACATCTGAGCTCTACAATGATGTCACCGTCTAAAACTCTGTTCACATCTCTTTGAGGTGACAAAGTCCCATGTGCAACTAACTAAAAATAAATAAAGTGAAATAAATAAGAAAGAGTAAAGGGAAGAGCAGAAAACTGCTCTAGCAAAGAAGAATGCCCAAGTTATCAGGAAAGCTAATTTTCAGTGCTATTGCTGCCATATCAGCCTTGTCACCAATAATCAGTTTGCCTAAGTTTTTCAAGACTCAGTGTACCTCTATGGAACTGGAATACACTGACATGCTCTTTTTTTGAAGATTCCACTGAATTCCTCAGGTGTATACCCAGGGATGGGGTCATGTGGCACACTATACAAAATATTTTTTAATTTCAGAAACATGCATTTGTGGTATTTTGTAAAATCCCTTTGAAAAATGTCTTTTTCAGTTGTGCTATACTCAGTTAAGTATGACTGTATTGACCTTAACTTGCATTACTCAGAAGACACTTTACTAGGCATATAGGAATAGATCCACTGGTGATGAGCCTACTGCGTGGATGACACATCACAGAGCTCGCCTGGTTTAATTCTCAGAGCCACCATATAGGGAAGGCATCATTAGACCTTTTCCTTTTGTAAAACTTTTATTTTAAGTTTGGGGTATGTATTAGTCTGTTTTCATGCTGCTGATAAAGACATACCTGAGATTGGGTAATTCACACAGGTAAAAGGGTTTAATGGACTTAGAGTTCCACATGGCTGGGGAAGCCTCACAGTCATAGCAGAAGGCAAGGAGGAGCAAGTCACATCTTACATGGATGGCAGCAGGCAAAGAGAGAGCTTGTGCAGGGAAACACTCATTTTTAAACCATCAGATCTCATAAGACTTATTCACTATTATGGGAAAGGCCCACACCCATCATTCAATTACATGATTCAAAAACCTAGAGGAATTACATTCCTCTAGGTTTCTCCCATGACACGTGAGAATTGTGAGAGTTACAGTTTGAGATGAGATTAGGGTGGGAACATAGAGCTGAACCATATCAGGGTACATGTGCAGGTTTGTTAAATAGGTATACTTGTGCCACGGGGGTTTGTTGTACAGATTACTTCGTCACCCAGCTATTAAGCTTAGTACCCATTAGCTCTTTTTCCTGATCCTCTCCCTCCTCCCACCCTACACTCTCCAATAGACCCCAGTGTGTTGTATTCCCCTGTATATGTCCATGTTTTCTCATCATTTAGCTCACACTTAAAAGTGAGAACATGTGGTATTTGGTTTTTCTGTTCCTGCATTAGTTTGCAAAGGATAATGACCTCCAACTCCACCTATGTTCCTGCAAAGGATATAATCTCATTCTTTTTTATGGCTGCATAGTATTCCATGGTGTGTATGTACCATATTTTCTTTATCCAGTCTAACATTGATGAGCATTTAGATTGATTTCATGTCTTTGCTATTGTGAATAGTACTGTAATGAACATATGTGCATGTATCTTTATAACAGAACAATTTATATTCCTTTGGGTATATACTCAGTAATGGGATTGCTGGATCAAACAGCAGTTCTGTTTTTAAGGGCTTTTCTTAAGAGTGGCAATTAGTAGAAGCAACAAGGATCAGTATTTCACAAGGCCATGTAGCCTAGGAGTAGTGAAGCTCGAATTCAAACACAGGTCTGGCTGATTCATAAGCCCAAACCAACAAAAACGAGCAAGATAAAGTAAAAAGAGAGATACACTGAGATGCAGAAGAAAATTTCAAAAGACTAGTATTTCATTAAACAAAAACTGAAGTCCTTAGGTAAATTATTTCCTCTTGCCTCTGTCATAAGTGATACTCATAAATTATGATGAAATAAACCCATTGACTACCCCATGTGCTTTTTAGAAAACTATAAGAGGTTATTTTTATTTTAAATAATAGGTGCTGTCATTTAAAATGACTTGCAGTCCATGAAATTTGTCACCCCAAGAGAAAAAGAGCTATAAGTATCTAATCCATTTGAAGAGTCTGCCCCTAACAAGTGATATCTGAATTCAAACCCCTCTAAGTTCAGGAGCCTAGGTTGTGCTCAAAGTACTCATCTGTAAAGTGGGGTACAAAGACTTAACTTCCTGGGTAAACGTAAGGCTTAATGAAACCATATGTCATGGAGCAGTATGTTTGGCATATCATATCTGATTAATAAATTCTTGTGATCTTCATTTCCTTTACTCTTGTCTGATATGGAATTCCATGTGATTGAAGACACAAAGTACTTTTATTTTTTTGAAAGTCAGGGTCTCACTCTGTTACCCAGGCTGGAGTGCAATGGTGCTATCATAGCTCCCTGCAGCCTCAAACTTGTGGACTCAAGTGATCCTCCTGCTTCAGCCTCCCAAAGTGCTAGGATTATAGGTTTGAGCTACCATGCCTGGCTAAAATAATGCATTTTTGACAAAGAACAGTATTCACATCCAGAGAAGCAGGCTGCCAACCTCCCAGTCCTTGAATTTCAAAGGGAATCCAACCTCCTGGGCCATTTTGAACCAAGCCTCTGCAAAGGTAGGGACCTTGTCCAGAGCAGTCTTGGTCTTGGCCTGTTTGACCATAACCATTTTTGAAGGAGGGGTGGCTTCCAAAGCAGAGGGGTTGTGGAAAAAGAAATGTCTCCCGCGACCCGAAGATGCTCCCTGAGCAGCAGCTTCTTTCTCTTTTCTCCCCTCCCCTGGTTGTTGTGCCCTCCCTGCAGGTCACCATAGATCTTTCAGTTTGCCCCTCTCTCTAAAAAATAGTGTAAAGTGAATTTCTCCTATAAAGACTCTTCCTTAGAAGACTGGAAAGTTATGGACTGGCCTTCCCGAAAACTATCTGTGGAACAAAAGGAAGTAGAAACTTCTCCCTGCAAGGAAGGCTTTCTCCCCTAAGGAGAGGTGCCCACCACCCTGCATCTTCCTATAGAAAGAAGTGGAGTTGCCTTTACTGGGTCAAGAGGGCACCATGTTCCTAATTGAGCAGAGGAAGACACCAGTACTCCCTAAGTCGAGTGGACCTGTGGTTTAGAATAGACCAGCTAACTGGACAGTATTTCCCAAAAGCCTCCCCAGATAATGTGAGCTAGACATGCTTTCCAGTTCACGACAAATGACCTGTGAGCTTTTCAGCTTGTTCCAGACTAGCTCTTCCCACCTTCCTCTCCAGAGTGTTGTCTCTTATTGTTGCTGCTACTGCTTCTACTGATGATGCATCAACTAGCTGGACTATGAAGAGATTGTCAAAGGAGGTACCCTGATTCAGTTCTGTGGTCCAAGTTTATGAAAAAACACAAGCCATTGGTGCTGCTGGCAATGACATCTCTGTTGCTTTGCTGAAACATCTCCCCACATCCAGCCACACCACTATCTCTATTCTTGCCACGGCCTCCCATTGACATTTCCTTGGGCTTACATTACCCTTCTTTCATGGGTGCCCACATTGGTCAATGCTGAGACAAAAGTTTTCTATGTTCCATAACCACCCAGTCACTGGCCCCTATCAGAGGCAGATGCATGTTTTTACATAGCTAGAGAAAGAGTTTCAGCATTGCTGCTGCCCAAGGTACCACCATGTCTGTTGCAGAAGGTGAAAGGATGCCCTTGATCATCCGTAACAGGCTGTAAATCCCCTCCAGCGCTCATGTTTACCTCATCTCCCCAGCACCCAACTCTGCCTGAGATGAGTGCTTTGCTTAATACTTCAAGTACAACCAAAACATCTTGACTCATGACCCCAGTGGTTTCGGTTATTTTCTATTAGGCTATGGTGAGCTCAAGTGATTGATACTCCTGATGCGAGTAATACAGATGTGTTTAGGAGTGGGACTTCTAGGGGATTAAGTGGGGTGATGCCTGTTGGGGGTCAGTGCCCTCCTAGTTGGGGGGTGGGGGCTAAGCTGGAGAGGTAGAAAGCTCAGAAAAACCCTGCGAAGAAAAAAATTTCTGAGGTAATAAATAGGATTATTCCGTATCGAAGGCCTTTTTGGACGGGTGGTGTGTGATGGCCTTGGTATGTGCTTTCTCGTGTTACGTCGCGCCATCACTGGTACATGGTTAGTGTGTTGGTTAGTAGGCCTAGTGTGGAATCATTCCCAATGATGGAAGCAAGCTTTGTGGCAATCCAAGTGTTCTCACCAAACGTAGACTAATCTCTGGGTTGATCTGAAACCTAACTCCTCACTGCAATGACCTGCCCCTTTCAGAGCAAGTCTGCTTTGCCAAGATGGAGAAGCTCTCATGGATGACCTGCATTTTCCCCAAAGTAACTCCAAAGACTGCCTGTCCTCTGCAATGAGCACAACTATGGGAATGAACAACTAACTGCTTCAGTGACTACTCCTTGAGAAATAGGTCTCTTGTGGCCAGAGATTCGGGCATGATGGTGATCAAGAGGAACAAGATCCAACTTAGGATCAGCCTAGAAAGAGTGAATCACACCCAGAGACTTGGGAGTCAGATGAAGTGGGAGCTCTGCCTCAGCCCATTCTGCCTCCTCAAATACTCACTGCAATAAATACCTCTTGGAACTATTAGGCTTTCAAAAATATGTCATACTGTATATTTTTGGAGGGTATTTGAAGATAAATAGAAACACAAATTTACTGGTACAATGTACCAAAGTTACAATTGCCATGAAAGAGGTAACTAAATATTTAGGCCTCCAAATATTGTGTTGTGATTGTTTACACCTGGCTCCTGAGAACAGCACTTTCTACTGGGTCTTTGTCTCTGTGGTCCCATTTAGCCAGTGAGAAACCCAAAGTGAGATTGTCTTCCCAGCCAAGGCTGGTAACCGACTGGAATGAAGAAGTCACAACCCACAACCTTAGTTCATTTTCAGTGAAAATGAACTTGAAAACAAAGCCCCAGACAACAGAATGACTTTCCTCTCAGCAAACATTTTTCCAGATCACGTTTTTTATTATTCTACACTTTACAGTCATGCCATGGAACATTGAGCCTGTGTCTATTTTATTACTGATTATTCAAAGACTGTCATGGTTGTATATGGATGGGTTGCACAAGTGGTATTTGTTTTCTAAAAAGAACAAAATAACCATTCAGTGTGAGAGTTTTGCCTGTAGCTGTAATAATCTTTTGTAAAAAAAGAAAAAAAAAGAAAAAAAATACCTTTCAGTACAATAGAGGAAAACAGGTTAGACAGTGATATAATTTGGCTCTGTCTTCCCACCCGAATCTCATCTTCAATTGTAATCCCTACATATCAAGGAGGAGAAGATATTGGATTATGGGAGATATTTCCCCCATGCTGTTCTCATGATATTGAGTGAATTCTCATGAGATCTGGTGGTTTTATAACTGGAAGTTTTTCCTGTACTCATAGACACCCTATCCCACTGCCTTGTGAAGAAGGTGACTGCTTCCCCTTCCATCATGATTGTAAGTTTCCTGAGGCCTCCCCAGCTATGCAGAACTGTGAGTCAACTAAACCAAACCTCTTTCCTTTAGAAATTACCCAGTCTTAGATAGTATCTTTATAGCAGTGTGAGAACATACTAACATGGACAGTAAGACCTAAGCTTTGAGCCCTGAGTCTTGAGTCAACAGAATAAAGATCTAGTCCTTGGAGAATAAGTAGAATCTTTTCCTGGGAGGTATTAATCTTATATAGACTGTTAGAACATGATTGAGGTTGTAATGCTGAATACAGTAAAATTCCCCTGCCACACATGAAGATTCTCCTACTACTAGGAGGATAGGGTTCAAGTTTCCTGACTTATACACCAACTGGGCATGCATTAAAGATTGGTAGAATAATTGAATAAATTAATAAGTAATGAAAATCAGCGATTGAATATAGAGTGTAATGACAGTCACATGGGCAGACAAATTAGAAGCTAGAAAATTATGAACAATACTCAAGACAGAGAAATGCCACGAATCAAGAGTCAAGACTCAAGGTCAGGAAAAAAACAAGGGGAAGCAACCAAAATAACAGGAGGAAAGAACACAGACAGGTCTCCTTAAAAGACAAGATTTGAGTCACAGAAATTTCAGTTAATATCCTAGTGCCACTACTTATAAACTCCATGACCCTTGTTAGATTACCTACTCTCTCTTAGATTAATTTGTATGAGATTAAGTCAATTTTCTCATTTGAGAAATGGTAATAGAAGGGGTGATTAAAGGATAACCTGAGATGGCATGTTTACTTCTATTAAGGCAATGTATCATATATAATATGTTTGAAAGATATATTAATTTTATTTTTATTATGAATCTCATCTATCAAATAGCAACTGTGTGTCAGCCACTATCACAGGAACTTGAAGCATAATGCATTTCTTTTTACTCCTCTGCTAGTTGTAGTTATTTTCCTCTCCCAAATTGTGCATAATAGGATAACTACACATACATACTGGCTTAAGCCATAGGTGACAAGCTTGCCTCTATTCACCTAGAAATGTCCAATTTTAACACTGGAAACATCTCAGCCCCAAGCAAATAAGAGTGACTGGTTTGTTGAATAAATTCTCTATTCTTCAATGAACATTCTTTGAGCTGCGACTGAGCCACGTAGTCTGCTTATATATTCCACCTGGCATCTGAAGTAAATCATCCATGCAGTTCCTATTCTCATTCCTCCATGAGAAACAAGCATATAGTTTCTTAAACATAAAGCAGAAAGTAGAATGACCACTATTCCTGTGGAGTCCTGAGGGTTACTGTGGAATTGTTGAATCACTTTAGTTGGTAACATCTTTGAACATGCGAAAGAAGAGGGTGTAAATGTACTCAGCCCAAAATGCCAAATGCAGTTTTAGGTGGTACTGTATAAAATTTATGGTAGTCTACTATTTTGACCTACAAAATAGCCATTTCATCTGTTCCGTAGAGTCTTCTTGAAGTGGCTGTTCAGTTCACAATAATTCTGCCCTTTCTGGAAGTAGCTCTCACATGGCTGTGGCCATGGCACTGTTTTTATAACCAACCCCTTCATGGCCATAGATGCCATAGGGGCCATAGGTAATGAATCAAAAGCAAGCACCTAACACAGTCTGATCCACCCAAATATCCAACCAAGTGCAGGGAAAGACAGAGAGACTGAAAGTTATCAAAGCTTCGTCACACTGATGATAGCTTTCCAGGTAGAGAATCCAATCACTTTACCTCTCCCATGTCCTGGAGTCTCCCTGGTTTCTTTCCTTTCCAGGTGACTGATGTCCCTAACCTATTCCAGCAGACATTTGAGTGTCCTCAACATATTTTCCTTCTTTTCTGAAGTTAACTAGGGCCAGATTTTATAAATAAAGTAAATAAACTAGTAGCAGATATTTGGTATCATATAGACTTCCTACCTGCATTCTCTAACCATAAAAATCCTTTATACCTACTCACCATTATATCACCAGTGCTATTAAAGCTCTTGTCATAGAACAGGAGTTTCACAAACAGTGAAAAGACAGCTAAATATATAAATAGAAGATATGCAAACTAACTGTATGATTTTGCTTTTACTTTTTTATTTCACTTGGAAGATGAAAGATACACAGTTTTTGGTTGATTATAAAATAGATCTCTGTACCCACCAGATTGGACAAGCACTTACTTAGAAAAAAAAATGGGATCAAATATCTGAAAATTATTTTCCAATAACCTCAGAGACAGGAGATATTCATGAAGTTAGCCCTAACTTTGAAAAGCTCTAGCACTAAAAGCTGGGGGAAAAGTTTGAGCAAACCTGTACATGACATTGAGAACTCTGGCTTTTTGTAAAACCTGTTTTCACAATTATTTTGCCTTCCAAATGACCAGTGAAACCATCTGTCCTTTGAATCACCTTAAAAGGTCAGTCTTGACAATCACATATGAAAGGACTCAATAAAATGAGGGTTTCACTGTTTCAATTTAAAACCAACTGAGATAGAGTTAGAAATAAGGTCAAGGGAAACGAAAATACTTTCTCTGCTATTGTTAAAAACTGTGTAGGTGGATGTGGTTAATTTTACAGCAACAGTGAGTTTCCTAAAAGCCTTCCCAGAATTATGCAGACCTGCCCAAATAATCATAAGTAGCTCTTGTCTGGGGTGAGTTCTTTACAACTAGACTTATTACAGGCCCTCCAGCACACCAAGCCACACCCTCACTGTTAATGGGCAGGATCCTGAAAGGAGAGAAAAATGAAGAACTGAGCCAAAATTGCTCCCATTTTTTTCATAAGTCATCAACAATGGGATCAGGATGTGGAAACTGGGAACAGGAAAGGAAGGTCACACTCATGGGTTTCCCTTCATGAGGAAGCAAGAAGCATGGGAAAGGAAGTTCCTCATTAAAAAACTGTTATTCCTGTGTTGCTATTTTTTGGAAAGTAAAGAGGTATGGTGGAAAGAGAGGGTCTTAGTCCATTTTCTGTTCCTATAACAAAATACCAAAGACTGATAAAGAAAAAAATTATCTTTTATGTTCTGGTGACTGGAAAGTCCAAGATTGAGGGGTCAACATCCAGCGATTGCATTCTTGCTGTGTCAAAACATGGTGGAAGGCATCGCATAATGAGAGATCAAGAGCGTATGTGCCAACTCGGAGTCTCTCTTACTCTTCTTATAAAGCCACAAGTCCCAACACAGGGCCCCAACCGTGATGACCTTATCTAGTCCGAATTACCTCCCAAAGGCCCCACCTCCAATCAACATGTGAATTTGGAATTTAAGTTTCCCAACACATAAACCTTGGGGAAGCATTCAAACCATAGCAACAGGTATGAATCCTCTAAAATAAAACAGATTTAGAATAAAATAATAACCTTGTCACTTAAATCTCTTATAAGTTACCTAACCTGTCTGAATACAGCTTTTGTATCTGTAGAAGCAATTCTGTCTACTCCCTTATAGGGATTTTGAGACTATAACATGAATGTGTCAAACATGATTTCTTGGATGGCATTTGATATGATTTGGCTGTGTTCCCACCCATATCTTATCTTGAATTGGTAGCCCTCATAATCCCCACGTGTCTTGGGAGCGACCTGGTGGGAGATAATTAAATCATGGGAGCAGGTTTTTCCTGTGCTGTCCTCATGACAGTGAGTGAGTCTCATGAGATCTGATGGTTTTATAAAGGGCAGTTCCCCTATGTAAACTCTCTTGCCTGCCACCATGTTAGACATGGCTTTTCTCCTCCTCCACCTTCTGCCATAATTGTGAGGCCTTCCCAGCCATGTGGAATTGTGAGTTCATTAAACCTATTTTTCTTTATAAATGACCCAGTCTTGGGTATTTCTTCATAGCAGCATGAAAATTTATTAATACAGCATTTAAATGAAATCATTGAAAAATAAAAATAATAAAATTATAATATCAAAACAGCTATAACAGGGCAGGGAAAGAAAGGAAGGTCAGTGTCCTAATCCAAGTTGCTATCCATGGTACTTAACATTTAATAAGAATTCATTATGTGCCAAGCATGACACAAAATGTTTATTTTTTGTTTTATTTAATACAGATAATAACCTTAAGATATAAGTACTGTTATGCACCCCTTTATTAAAAAATGAAAGCTGAGGATTAAAACAGCTACATAACTTCATCAAGATCAGTCAAGCAACTGAGTAAGAATTCAAACCCAGGTGGGCTGGGTTCTCCGATTGGACCCTTAACTACTGGGGCATATTGCCTCTTATACTTAATAAGCAAAGATAAGTTCTGTGAATGGATGGGAAGGAGAATCTTCAGGTAGCAATCATTCATCAATTTTAGCTCAGACACAGTAATAGTTAATTTGATGTGTCAACTTTACTAAGCGATGCCCAGATACCTGGTAAACATTATTTTGGGGTGTGTCTTTGGAAAAGATAAGCACTTGAATCGGGAGTCTGAGTAAAGGAGGTCATCCTCACCAGCGAGGGTGGGCATCAGCCAATCTATTGAGGGCCCAGATAGAAAGCTGAAAGAAAGGTAAATTCACTCTGTCTTCTGGAGCTAGAAAT
Source organism: Homo sapiens (assembly GCF_000001405.40). NCBI lineage: Eukaryota > Metazoa > Chordata > Mammalia > Primates > Hominidae > Homo > Homo sapiens. Next base: position 12,646,503 of record NC_000004.12, read on the forward strand.
CCATTTTCTCTCGCCTTCCGACAACAGAACTCCTGGTTCTCAGGCCTTTGCACTGAGGCTAAATTTTATCACTGGCTTTTCTGATTCTTCAACTTACAAATGACATGGGACTTCTTTGCCTCCATAATTATGTGAGTCATTTCCCAAAACAAATCCCTCTTATATATCTATGTATATCCTATAGGTTCTGTTTATCTGGAGAAATCTGACTCATAACAGGCACTAAGAAACCCTTGTCATCTTCACCTTCTGTCCCAAGGCTCACTGTGTTCCTACAGGGATGTTTTGTTTCCTCTTTGACACTAACAAAGCTACACACTTGGAATAATAGGTTGAACTTTGTGCATTGAAAGAACCCAACAAGCAGCTCCAGGAATAACAGCGCAGGTGAGTAGAAAGACTGATTCATAATGAAAAAGTATAACAGCAATGAGTTTCATATGCGTTGCAAATCTTGGCCAAGTGACAAGAATAAGAAAAGACTGTAATCTGTGCATATTTAAAAGTCTAAAAAAGAAGAATGAGTGGAATGCATAACACTAATTCCTTTTTTCGCTCTTTACTTTTTTATTTTTAAGTTCCATTTTGGGATCTGGGATAAATCCAGGAAAGAGACCACGGAGGGACTTAAATTTGAAAATGCCTTCAGATATTTAGGGTCAGATCCAGAGCTAAGATTTGGCGAGACTCCCACGGAGAAAAAGAATAATGATTAAAAGGCTGGGAAAATATCCCTCAGTTTCCTTTTAAGGATTTTGTCATGTTCAAACTGGATAAAGAAGGCTAAGTCCCAAGTCAATAGCAGGCTTATGTATACAGTATATTGTTGTCACGGTTCAGAAAAGGAGACTGGCTAAGACATCCTTAAAGTTATTCTATTCCCACTGAGGGAGCAGCCTTAAGTGACAGAAAGTGAGATTGAGTGTAATACCTAGTTTGAGTAAACCAATATGAATTCATTACTATGGGAATCAGGGAAATTTTAAGACAAATGTTTCTCATGAGTGTATCTGGGAAAAAAGGAATGAAAAACCTCTAGCAAATAGATCAACAGACTTAAGGGTCTACCTAATATTTGACATCATATTATTTATTCAAGGATAATAATTATCTTTTTGTTGAGATTGAATTTTTTCACAGTGAACTGGGAAATACATAAGAGATCTCAGTGCATAATAGGCCAAGCAATACTCTCAGCTCTCCAACAGCAGTTGTTTTGTTTTCTGAGACTGCCATTATCAAATTGGTTGCTTGTCAGCTCGTGTGCAAATTAAAACTACACTTGAAATTAAAGGTTTGGAGGTTGAGAGACAGTTTTGCTGCCAACTTTCTATGCACAGGGGATTGTATTATTTGTTCAAAATATTTACTTGTCTCTACCTCATCCACTCATTCAAGACCTCCTTGGTGCTGCTCCTATAGAAAAACAAAAATTCCACCATATTAATGCCTAGTCGGCCATGTGACTCACTTGGTCAATGAAACATGACATCCAAATGAACACAATCTTTTAAAATCACTATTCATTTCCACACTTTTTCTTTTCTCTTTGTTGCAAAAAAAAAAAGGACTCATAACTACAAGTTCTTTCTTCAGTCTGGATCAAAGAATGAAGAAGGAATGTTGACCACAGCCACAATTAACCAATAAATATTTTGAACAAGGAACAAACTTTGGTGTTTCTAATCCCTGAGATTTTGTGACCTTAAATTTCTCAATGTCTCTGAACTTAGTCTATACATAGCCTCTGAGCGGGAAATATATATGTGTGTGTGTACATATGTTTCACAGAAGCTATATATATATATATATATGTATTTCAAATACATATATTTGAATACATATATTTGATGCTGTATATATTATATACATATGTGTATATATAATATATACGTGTTTATAATATGTATACGTGTGTATATATTATATATACACATATGTATATATGTGTATATACTATATATACAATATATATACAATATATAGTATATATACTATATATACAATATATATACAATATATAGTATATATACTATATATACAATATATATACAATATATAGTATATATACTATATATACAATATATCTACTATATATAGTAGATATACTATATATACAATATATATACTATATATATACTATATATACTATATATACTATATATATACTATATATACGATATATATACCATATATACTATATATACAATATATATACTATATATAGTATATACATGTGTATATATATTATATATACATGTGTGTATATATAATATACATATATGTGTGTATATAATATATACATATGTGTGCATACATAATATATATATGTGTGTATATACACATACACACATATGTGCCCATATATGTATATATGTATACACAGATACATATATGTATACACATATACACATACATATACAAATGGAATAAAGTTATAAAGCACATATATGTATAGCTGCATTTATATATGCACACATATACTTATGTGTACCTATATGTGTATATGTGTGTGTATGTATATATGTCTGTGAAAGGCTGAATTGTATAAAAAGCTAAGTACTTACAGTTTAACAAACAAAAAAATACTAGATAGAAACATAGCTAAAATGTTGAATATCTTCTAACTTCCAAAATATTACCCTGAACATCTTTTAAAGTTGTCATAATTTCTTAATATCATCATGAATATTTATTGATGAATTTTACTCTAATAATAGCAGATGTCTATCTCTGTATTTGAATCCAAGCTCCAGCACTTACCGGCCATATGTATATGACCTTGAACAACTTACCTTATCTCGGTGTCTGGATTTGTGAATCTGTAAAACGGGCTAATATTTTACGCTGTTGAGTATTAAATTAATCAACATATCTAGTTCTTAGTTACTGACACACAAAAAGTGTTAGCTATTATTACCACAATAATTACCATGAGGCAGTCTTCTTTCGCAGAAGACAATTACCTCTGTACTATGCCATCCTAGTGTTTTTGTTTTTATAGCGAGGTCTCGCCTAACACTTTTTCACAGTCAGTGTAACTACTTCTAGTACCTCCTCTTCAATGTCAAAACTTGAAGGCTTTTTCATGTTTGCATGCTACCTCCTTGTTTTAGAGGAATTTTTAGCTAAAATTAGAAAAGAAGCCATTTTGGGGGGAAGGGGAAATAAGTAGATCCAAATATGTATTACTTTGTTTTTACTGGGTCAGTGAGAGAAAACTCAGAAGTCTTAAAGGCAATTCAGAAGCATTTTAACAAAATATCTGTTTTCACCAAAATAGCGGATATGATTTGGTTCTGTGTCCCCACCCAAATCTCACCTCGAATTGTAATCCCCACTTGTCAGGGGAGGGACCTGTAATCCCTACTTGTCAAGGGAAGGAAGTGATTGGATCATGGAGGCGGTTTCTCCAGGCTGTTCTCATGATAGTGAGTGAGTTCTCATGAGATCTGATGGTTTTATAACTGTTTGGAAGTTCCTCCTTGATTCTCTCTCTCTCTTGCAACCTTGTGAAGAAGATGCTTGCTTCCCCTTCTACCATGATTCTAAGTTTTCTGAGGCTTCCCCAGCCATACAGAACTATGAGTCAATTAAATCTCTTTCCTTCATAAATTACCCAGTCTCTGAGAATTCTTTATAGCAGTGAAAAAACGGACTAATACAATAACATTAAACAACAACTAGATCACAGATTTGACTGATTCTTTGGCCCTCAGCTCATGAGATTTTTCTTCTTAAACAATGTTAATGATTTTAGCAGAATTTCTGTTCCACATATATTGAGAATTTGGGGGTGGGGGTTCTGGGGAGTTTATTATCCAAAGTCAAGTGCAATGTACAACACCCAGTCATCACTTCTAATTATTGAAATGACCACTTCTCCTCTCGCTACTTTATTCCTGAGATGACCAAAGTGATGAAATTCAATTATGGTTACTCCTTTCTCATTTAGAACACAGATATTTGGGCTTTTGATAGACTCTACCAGAGATGCTACAAACCAAAGCAAGCAAAACTTTTCAAGGTACAGTATGCTATATAAACATAGCCTTCTATTATTTTTAAAAAATCTCAAGTGAGTGAAATGGACCTTCCTTTTGTTATAGAATGCACAGCTCAAGAGGAGCTCCCATGTGCATTTGGTCACAGATGAGGGAGGAAATGTGTTTTTATTTTTTAGAGACAAAGTCTTCCTTTGTTACCCAGGCTGGAGGGTAGTGGCACCATTCTATCTCACTGCAGGCTCAAACTCCTGCAGTCAAGCCATCATCCCCTCCCCGCCTCCTGTGTAGCTGGGACTACAGGTGTACACCATGCCCATCTATATATATATATTTTTTTTTTTTGAGACGGAGTTTTGTTCTTTGTTGCCCAGGCTGGAGTGCAGTGGTGATCTTGGCTTACTGCCACCTCCGCCTCCCGGGTTCAAGTGATTCTCCTGTCTCAGCCTCCCGAGTAGCTGGGATTACAGGCATTCACCACTGTACCCAGGTAATTTTTGTATTTTTATTAGAGATGGGGTTTCACCATGTTGGCCAGGCTGGTCTTGAACTCCTGACCTCAGGTGATTCACCCACCTCAGCCTCATAAATACTGGGATTGCAGGCGTGAGCCACGGCACCCGGCCCATCTAATTTTTTTCCAGAATTTTCTGTAGAGACAGGGTCTGACTATGTTGCCCCATCTGGTCTCAAACTCCCACTCTCATGTGATTCTCACACTGAGCCACAAAGGTGGGAAGGGCTTCCTGGCAAAACTCCAGCTGGCCTGTGCACTGGGAAGAATGAACATTGGGGTGGAGCCACAGAACTTCACACTGTTTGCAGCTGGGAGGAGTCTGGCCCCTCTTCTTCCTGTGTGGAATCTGAGATTCAACCTGCTACGTGGGAAGGGCACCAGCAGGGACTCTGGCTTTGTGGAGGGTCTCTGCTTCCCCTTTTCTTCTTTTTTACCCAATGAAACCTTGCCTTATTCAACCTTCAAATTGTCTGCAAGCCTACATTTTCACAGCTGTGTGATAAGGACCTGTCTATATATGAACTAAGGAAAAGCCCTATAACACCACCTCTGCCTCCCAATGTGCTGGGATGGGATTACAGGTTTGAGCCACTGCACTTGGTGGGAAAATGTATAAGAGCCCAAGAAGCAGAATTATCCAAATATCTTCTGGCATTCACTATGAATAAGAACAATGAAAGATTATCAATTTACACCAAAATGATTACATTAAAATGTCAATCTTATAAACAATATTAATCATGTTACTCAGAAAAAAAAAGCAGTTTTTACTGCCATAATCCCCAAATCTCAGTGACTTAAAGTAATAAAAAGTGTGTTTATTCTTCACAAGCCATTGCAGGTTGGCAGGGATGGGAGTTTACTCTGTATCTGACTTAATCAGAGTTCAGGCTTGGATATGGTCTCACCAATTTGGAAGATCACATGGCTCCGTATCACAGGGAAAGGCAATATGGAGAATCACATACTAGCTCTTAAATTATTCTGCCCAGAGGAGACACATGCACTTCCTTGACGTAAATAAGTATCCTGGTCATGTCTAAACTGGACTGCATGGGCGAACTAAAATCTGGCCCTATGCCCAGAGGAAGAAAACTGGAAATACTGGAGAACAGAACTAGAGTCCAAAATACTGAAAGGGTGTTACCTAATTGTTTAAGGTTAGCAAGACAACTTTTCTCAGTGTAAAACTCATGTGGTTCATGACAATGTTCCATTTGGGCTGTAGATTGTTCTGTTGGCTCTCCATTTGTTTACTGATAATTAATTAATTAATTTTTTAAAGTAATTCCCTCTTTGATTCAAATTCTATGGGAGGCATTACAGATTTAAATACAAACTTTCCACCCTCAATTTGCTCAATATTTTAGATAAGCTCGGGGTTCTCTGTAAAAACAAAACATAACCAACTCATTCTGGGAGAAAAGGTCATCTGGGCAGACATTCTGAGTGGGGTAACAAGAGTAACCGTTTATAATGAGTAGGTGTTACAAAAGGCACCTGGGTGGAAAGTGGCTGAAGCATCTATATTCCAGACTGGAAAAGAATGCATTCCAGGTGTTTATGGCAGGCAGTTTCTTGGGAATTAAATAAATTAAAATTTAATGTAAACTCAAGTGATTAAAAAATAATACCTTTTGTCTCAAAAAAAAAAACCAAAAAAAAAATTGAAAATTTGCAAACCTATATTTGTTATTTTAGAGGTTGGAGATCTGAGTTTGTTACAAATATGCACATGGAAGTGGAGGAATGGTCAACATTCATCACTGAACTATGTATCTGAAGGAACAGTGAATGGTGTCTTGCAAAAGATTTTGATATGCACAGAGGTTTCACCAAAGAATGTGAAGCAAATCCACCTAGAGAACTCAGAGCTTGCCCTGAGGCCTTAAAAGAACTTTCTTCTCTTTTCAATACTCCTGGCTTTCCCTGCAACCACTGTCAGAATTTTGAAAAGCCAGACTGCACTTGCAGGAAAAAACAAAAATACAGATGGTTGAGAACCTTAGGAAGTCAATTTGATAAGGCTTTATTCATTTAAATAATTAGGATTTTATGTTATAATCATCTGAATATGGGTCCATCTCCTTTTTACCTGCAGGACCATGCCTCCCTTCAAATAATGGGTGAGTACTCCAGAGTGCTAATAAATGCAAATGCATCTTTTCCCCACTGAGGACATGCACATTGTTGAAAGTGAGTGGAGATTAGCCAAAAGAGGAAGTCAAATTGTCCCTGTTTGCAGACGACATGATTGTGTATCTAGAAAACCCCATTGTCTCAGCCCAAAATCTCCTTAAGCTGATAAGCAACTTCAGCAAAGTCTCAGGATACAAAATCAATGTACAAAAATCACAAGCATTCTTATACACCAATAACAGACAAACAGAGAGCCAAATCATGAGTGAACTCCCATTCACAATTGCTTCAAAGAGAATAAAATGCCTAGGAATCCAACTTACAAGGGATGTGAAGGACCTCTTCAAGGAGAACTACAGACCACTGCTCAAGGAAATAAAAGAGGATACAAACAAATGGAAGAACATTCCATGCTCATGGGTAGGAAGAATCAATATTGTGAAAATGGCCATACTGCCCAAGGTAATTTACAGATTCAATGCCATCCCCATCAAGCTACCAATGACTTTCTTCACACAATTGGAAAAAACTACTTTAAAGTTCATATGGCACCAAAAAAGAGCCCGCATCGCCAAGTCAATCCTAAGCCAAAAGAACAAAGCTGGAGGCATCACACTACCTGACTTCAAACTATAATACAAGGCTATAGTAACCAAAACAGCATGGTACTGGTACGAAAACAGAGATATAGATCAATGGAACAGAACAGAGCCCTCAGAAATAACGCCACATATCTACAACTATCTGATCTTTGACAAACCTGAGAAAAACAAGCAATGGGGAAAGGACTCCCTATTTAATAAATGGTGCTGGGAAAACTGGCTAGCCATATGTAGAAAGCTGAAACTGGATCCCTTCCTTACACCTTATACAAAAATCAATTCAAGATGGATTAAAGACTTAAACGTTAGACCTAAAACCATAAAAACCCTAGAAGAAAACCTAGGCATTACCATTCAGGACATAGGCATGGGAAAGGACTTCATGTCTAAAACACCAAAAGCAATGGCAACAAAAGACAAAATTGACAAATGGGATCTGATTAAACTAAAGAGCTTCTGCACAGCAAAAGAAACTACCATCAGAGTGAACAGGCAACCTACAAAATGGGAGAAAATTTTCGCAACCTACTCATTTTACAAAGGGCTAATACCCAGAATCTACAATGAACTCAAACAAATTTACAAGAAAAAAACAAACAACCCCATCAAAAAGTGGGCGAAGGGAATGAACAGACACTTCTCAAAAGAAGAATTTATGCAACCAAAAAACACATGAAAAAATGCTCACCATCACTGGCCATCAGAGAAATGCAAATCAAAACCATGATGAGATACCATCTCACACCAGTTAGAATGGCAATCATTAAAAAGTCAGGAAGCAACAGGTGCTGGAGAGGATGTGGAGAAATAGGAACACTTTTCCATTGTTGATAGGACTGTAAACTAGTTCAACCATTGTGGAAGTCAGTGTGGCCATTCCTCAGGGATCTAGAACTAGAAATACCATTTGACCCAGCCATCCCATTACTGGGTATATACCCAAAGGACTATAAATCATGCTGCTATAAAGACACATGCACACGTATTTTTATTGCGGCATTATTCACAATAGCAAAGACTTGGAACCAACCCAAATGTCCAACAATGATAGACTGGATTAAGAAAATGTGGCACATATACACCATGGAATACTATGCAGCCATAAAAAATGATGAGTTCATGTCCTTTGTAGGGACATGGATGAAATTGGAAATCATCATTCTCAGTAAACTATCGCAAGAACAAAAAACCAAACACCTCATATTCTCATGCATAGGTAAGAATTGAACAATGAGAACACATGGACACAGGAAGGGGAACATCACACTCTGGGGACTGTTGTGGGGTGGGGGGAGGGGGGAGGGATAGCATTGGGAGATATACCTAATGCTAGATGACGAGTAGTAGGTGCAGCGCACCAGCATGGCACATGTATACATATGTAACTAACCTGCACAATGTGCACATGTACCCTAAAACTTAAAGTATAATAATAATAAATAAATAAATTAAAAAAAAAGAATATAGCTTCCAGAGACATTCTAATTTTGAACCCAGTCACTATCAAAAAAGATTATTTATCCTTGCTGAACTCTTGCTTTTCAACTCTACAGTGGAATCAATAACAAAATAAGAAATTTTGAGTATGAAATTAAATTAATCAAAGCAGATTATTTTGCACTGGTAACAATCTCTTCCGTAATACTTTGACATTAACCCTTTCTGAACTTCTATAAATGGAATAGCTTGTTCCACCCAATTTAACACAGCTTTATATCCATTCAGTGGCAAGCTCTCTAACAAAAAATTGCATGGTGTTTTACAATTGATCAAATCTTCTATGTATTTTTTCATTTTATGACTTTAACCCTTAACAGTCTCTATGAATGAGCCATTATCTCCAACACCTTTATTCACACTTGCACAAATGCGCCAAGTTTAGAGTGCTGTTAAGTGACAGAGTTGGATTAATCGGAAAATCTGGAATTCAGCTCACATTCTGACACATGCTTGGCTGTCTGATCATAGAAAAACCACTGGCTTCTCAGTTACAGTTTTCTTATATGTAAAATGGACATAATTATGATTTAACCATCCCATACAATTATAAGAGGATTAAACAATGCAATATAAGATATAAAGCAATTTCTCAATGCATGATGCTTCTTGTCTGTAATTTTACTTTGTGCTCCACAGTCTACTGTAAAGTCTGTTATTCTTTTTATACTACTCTCTGTTCAATCCACTTTGATCATCCTAGGAAAGGAATGTAAAAAGCTATATTAAGAAAATAAATACATATGTGTTATATATATTTAATATAGTTCTATAAAGATATATGTATATAAATAATAGTATTCATATTAGTATCAGCACAATATTCACATTATAAATTGCAATGATTATAAAATATATCCATTATACAGATTATATATAACAATTTCAATGATAAATATATCATTCATATTGAATATAAACATTTTTATATATTAATTACATGATATGCACAATGCACAATATGTTCCTATATTTTGTATGTGTGACAGGGAATTTTGGCAGGATTAAATTTGAACTGGGCATAGGTTGTATATGCAGAAAACTAAACATGATGCCTGTACTAAGATTAGAGTTAAATATACCTGAAGAGAGGGCATGAAAGCATCCCTTATCTCCACTCTCAGGAGCTTATACACACACAATGAACAATACCAGCCACAAGTATCTATTGTAAATTAATATTTACCTGAACACAAAGAGGCTTCCAAGGATAAAGGGGACCAATGTCCAGAGCCTTTCCTGATCAAATGATTGCTAATTTTGGCAACCAGTCCAGCTGAGGCCTCTGCTGTCCAGGTTTCAGATAATGTTGACTGAGAGTGCTTTTGGTAGGTAGAAGAAGGAGCATGAAAAGATGTCCATATCCTAATCCCTAAACCTATACATATGTTCATTTACATGGAAAAGGAGACTTGGAAGATGTGATAAAGTTAAGAATCCTGAGATGATCCAGAGGGGATGATCCTAAATTATTTACATGTATCCACTGAGATGACTAGGGTCCTTACAAGTGAAAGAGGGAAGCAGAAGAGGCAGAGGCAGATTAAGAAGTGACGACAGCACCAGAAGTCCAAGAGATGTAGCCTCAAGTCAAGGAATGTGGGCCACTCCTAGAAGTTAGAAAATCAAGGAATAGATTTTCCTCTAGAGGATCCAGACCACAGCTCTGTTAATATTTTATTTTTATCCTGCATGACCTATTTCAGACTTCTGACCTCCAAAATTGTGAGATACTAAATGCATGTTGTTTTAAGCCACTGTTTGTGGCAATGTGTCACTGCAGCAATAGGGAAGTAATACAGTGCTGTTTCCAGCCTGCAGAAATGCCTCTTGGCCAGTTTCATTGTCACAGGAGTTGTACTAACATGCTTCCCCTATATGCTAGTTTGAAGCAAAATGCATCAAAACTTTCCTGGCCTTTTGTAACCTAGGACACTGTTGTCCTTTGCTTCTGATGTTTTGCACATTGTGCACGTTCACATTTCACTGTTTCTGATTTCACTCCTAGCTCAGTGTCTTTGAGTCTTAGCATAAATCAAACGGGAAAATGAACCAGAGACAATGGGCATACCAGACTCCATGCTATACGTATAATCAGCCTCTCTTCTCCTATCCCACTTGGGACCAGAGACCTGTATATCTTGTACACAATAGTATTACCAATACACACCACAGTGTCTGACTTATGGTGAAATTTAATGCAGATTTATTGACTGACAGCCCAACCTTGGGCCAGCCTCATGCAGATATAGGCCTTCTTTGGGCTCCTTCTAGCTCTACCCCAGTGCTTGCTTTATGCCTCACACACTACCCCTCCCTGCTACTCTTTCAGAAGGCATAGAATGTGAGCCCTTTTTTCACCAGCCCTCATATGTGTTCAAGGTGATCAGATTCTAGAATAAATGTTGTTGTGAAGTCTTAGACCCAGGGGCCTGTGAAGGTAAGCTTTTTGGAAATAGAATTTTTACAGATGTAATTAATTCAAGATGAGGTCATATTGAATTCAGGTACAACCTAATCCAATACTTGATGTCCTTATTAGAAGAGAAAAATGTGGACACAGACACAAACAAAAGGAATACAACCATGTGTAAGCAGAGGCTGAGTTTTAAATTACACTGTCTTGAGCCAAGGAATGCTAGGGATGGCCGGTGGCCACCAGAAGCTAGGAGAGCAACCTGGAAGAATTTTTCCCTCAGAGCCTGTGGAAAAGCCCAAGCCTGCTTGATTTAGATTTCTGGCCTCCTTTAACAGGAGAGAATGAGCATCTATTGTTTTAGGCCACCCAATTTGTGATAATTTGTTACAGCAACCTCAGGAAACTAATACATACAGTTAGACTAATGCTAGGATCTTTGCTACTTGTGCATAACTTTATATCCAATCATCCATATGCATGTAATATATTACATCAATCCACATGCACAAAGCCACTCCACTTTTGTGTTGATTTGGGCTGACAAAGATGGATCTATTTTTGCCATCCCAGTAGGAGGGGAACACTCTGCACATTCCTCTGCCTGGCAGGGTCCTCACTGGGCTAACCTGCACTCATTGACATCCTCTGCTTATAAAGTGAATGTTAATGTGTCAGCACAGCAGTGTTCCTGTTAACTACTGATTTGTTTTCTCATTTGCGTAAACACAAACGGAACTCTCTGTGATGCTAGGGAAAGAAACCCTCATCAGGGAGTTTTATAGGTTGCATAAGTGTTTCTGACACCTGGGCTTCATTGTAGATACATAATCCAATGTCTGAGCTGCCCATTTTCTTTTGTAAACTAAAAGTTCAAAAATTTTACCACATGATGTTTGCTAAATCCTTCAGGGAACTAGACATAGTGCGTTAAAAATAAAACCAGGTAACCCCAACTCAGGGGTCCAACACACACTGTGGCCTTATTCTGATTAAAACAGCAGGATGTGCTGTGATTACACAATCTGAACAGTGAGAGTATATTCTGGAATAATCCTAAACTACCTCAAAGTCTCAAAACCAAGTAGTAATCATGGCAGTGCCCAACCCCCAGGCTGCTGTGTGAGGTGTATTTCAGAAGACTTCCTCTTTGTAACAACTATCTGTCAGCCCAGGGGCCATTTTCTCCCGTGCTCTTAATTGTATTCAGAGAATAGTGAGATTGTCAAATAATAGGATTCCAATCAGATGAGCAATGATTAGAATCAAATAAGGTAGAGGTCTTGGAAAAATAGGGAAGGCAACATTTCTCCAAATTGAAATAACATTTCCTAGACTATGGAGACTCTAGAAAAAGCCTAATATCCTATATTTGTAGATCATCAATTCAACTTCTAATCCTCTGCAATCATTCATTCAAAATTATATTTAAATACTCTAACGCACTATGAGTAAGAGAGGCCAGATATAACTAAAATGTATGAAATGCTGTCTTTCTATTCAAGGTAATGATTGTCAAAGGCCAAAGCTTTAATTTTACAAGGACTGTCTTGGAGTTTAAGAAATAATGTCTTAGTCTGTTTGCACTTCTGTAACACGTTACTACAAAGCGGTTAATTTATAGACGATAAGCTTTTTTTTTTTTTTTTTTTTTTTTACTGTTCTAGAGGCTGAGAAGTTTAAAGATGAAGTCACCAGCAGATTCAATGCCTGTGGAGGTCCTGTTTCCTAGCACCTTCTTACTATGTCACTAACACGGTAGAAAGGGTTAGGGAGCTCTCTGTGATCTCTTTGATAAGGTCACTGATATGGTTTAGCTGTGTCCCCACCCAAATCTCATCTTGAATTGTAACTCCCACCATTCCTATATATCATGGGAGGAACCCAGTGGGAGGTGATTGAATTATGGGGGAGGGTTTTTCCTGCACTGTTCTCTTGATAGTGAATGAGTCTCACAAGATCTGATGGTTGTAAACACAGGAGTTTCCTTGCACAAGCTCTCTCTGCCTGCTGCCATCCATATAAGATGTGACTTGCTCTTCCTTGCCTTCCACCATGATAGTGAGTAAGTCCATTAAACCTCTTTGTTTTGTAAATTGCCCAGTCTTGAGTACGTCTTTATCAGCAGTGTGAAAACAGACTAATACAGGCACTAATCCCAATTGGGAAGACTCCACCATCATAACCTAATACCTTCCCAAAACCCTACCTCCTAATACTATCACCTTGAGGGTTAGGATTTACAGCAATTGGAATCATTTTGAAATTGAAATCACCTAATGAATCTAGTATATATTTGTCACAGCTTTTTAAGGGATAGTTCTTTAGTGTCTTCTTGACTACCTTGAAGCACTTAGATGTATTGCTACACAGTTCTGAGTGTTAGGCACTCTGTTATTATTTGATGTGATAGAAACCATACTGTGGCTCTCCATGGTGGATTGATGATATTTTTTGCCACAAAACTTTAAAATTAGATGGAATAATTTTACAGGCAACACAAAAAAGAAGAAAAATAGCTATATCAATGAGCAACAAACATTTCTCTGTACATTCCATAAGAAAGATGAGGAAACAATTTTCATCACTCACGGCAGAAAAAAAGTCCATGAACAGTTGCCCCTTAAGTTCCTAAATATTTCTGTTATTTTTAAAGCCTCCCTTTGGATATATGGGTACATTTTACCCTTCAGCACAAACCTGCTGTTTGTCTCTTTTATCCTCATTCAACTGCATTCCTTTTCTTGTCTCTTGGATATCATCAAGAAAGGAAAGAAGGAAGGAAGGGAAAAGGAGAGAAAGAGAGGGATAAAGAAAAATAGAAAAAAAGGAAGAAAGAAAAGAGAAAGGAAGGGAAGGAGAGAGGGAGGGAATGGGAGAGAGAGAGAGGGAGGGAGAGAGGGATGAAGGAAGGAAGGAAGGAAAAATTTAAGAAAAGAAACCCTTATATTAATTAGTATTCACTTACTATTACCCTTCACTCCCAAACTCTTAACTTTGCCCCTGGAAAACAATATTCTATTTTCACTTTCTCTAGATGTGACAATCCCAGAGTCTTCATAGAACTAGAATCCTATAACATGTAGTGTTTTGTGACTGGCTTTTTTATTGTCACATGATATTCCATTGTATGAATATGCCACATTGTATGTAACCATACATCACTGATGGACATTTGAGTTATTTCCACTTGTTGGCTATTGTGAATAATGTTGCTATGAATATTCATATGTAATTTTTTGTAGAAGGTATGTTTTCATTTCTACTGGGTAGATATATACCTAGGAATGGAACTGCTGGACCTGATGGTAACTCTATGTTTAACATTTTGAGAAACTACTAAACTGTTTTCCAAGTAGCTGCACAATTTTACATTCCCACCAGCAGTGCATAAGTGTTCCAATTTCTACACATCTTCATCAACACTTGTCTTTCAATTGACATCTTAGTTATTGGATGTGTGTGTGGCTCGAGAGTATTATCACAGTTCAGGGGTTAACAGTTTTTATCTCACATTAAGCCAGAAACTTATGAGTCACTTGCCATTTCCTTTGCCAATCACTTGTGACAGAATAAAGCTATCAGGCACATCGTCCTTCCAGACATCCAAGGATAAGTGTGATTTTATTTTTATGTTTGGGTCCTTAGGAGTCCTCCCTGGACCAGAGTAGCCAATTGTTCTCTTAGTGTTTGGTCAGAGATTGTGCCATTGAGGCTTCTGGTCTGTGGTGATTGGAGTCTATATGTGTGGCTTGGGGAAGTACTCAAGTCTGTCCCATATTTTACAAGGATTCCTCCTGAATCTGTACAGCCTAACATGTGTGCACAAACTTTCTGACCTCCAGTGTAGACTCTCAACCCAGAAAAGCTTTTCTTAGCTTTCTCTTTCCTTGCTTCTCTCTATTAGACTTCTGGCTGGTCTGCTGTTTTGCTTGGATCATGGAGCTAATAGCTTCCACCAGTCAATGGTGTCTCTACCAAGCTCTCCATTGTGTGTGTATGTATTTTTTCTCTTATGATGCCATTAGGTATAGAATTCTCCAAGCTGTGTTCTAATATAGTTAGTCCCCTGAGGCAGAGCTTTGAAGCCCTGCAGGAGTTGTAGCCAACTGCAAAGTTAAGCAACAGAGTCTACACGAGACCGCTCTCACTTCTGACACCAACTGCAAGTTCTGATGGTTCCCCAAACTATCCCAGGTTCTATAATTTCCTAGAAAGATTCACAGATTTTGCTGAAAGTTATTACATTCACAGGTATAGTTTATTAGACAGAAAGAATGCAGATCAAAATCAGCCAAGAGATGAGACTTATAGGACAGATTCCAGGAAAAGTACCAGCCTCAAACCATCCACTTTTCTCTCCCCATAAAGTCACAGACACATTAATTTCCTGGCATCAGGAAATTCTGTATTATCCCACAATAATATATTTGAAGTCTGAATAAAAACTGCAGAAACACAGATTTTATCAGCTCTATTGTCATTTTCTGGCTAGTTCTTAAAGATGAATTTGAGGGTCAGCAAGTCTGAGACCTTCATTTCGGGGAAATTGAAGACAAAATACTTGTTATAACTTGTTTATTGTTACCCAGAGCAGGGTGGCGAGTTGAGACTAACTTCCAATTCCCTCAAGTCCCTGTGATAACTTAGCAAAAGTGGCCTGTTGGAGTGTTTGATACATTTTAGACAAAATGTATTTATGTGGTAAGATAATATTATTTTCTTGGAACCTTTGGGACTTTCTTTAAGATAGCTTCTTCTTCTATTCCTACACCCTCTACTCATGCGATACTAGTGTTCATATTTTTAGTTTTGATGTCCACACCTTTTATCTCCTTAAATATTGCTTAGTAAAAAACCCATTTCATATACAACAATTCTAACACAAATAGACAATGGTGATTATTACATTATTACTTGTGCTAATCTGTTTTTGCATTGATATAGAGGAACACTTGAGGCTTTATAATTTATAAAGAAAAGAGTTTTAATTGGCTGTTTCTGCAGGTAGTACAAGCATAGGTCTAGCATTTGCTTCTGGTGAGGCTGCAGAAAGTTTACAATCATGACAGAAAGCAAAGTGGGAGCAGGCACATCAAATAGAGAAAGAGGAAGGAAGAGAGAAGGGAGGTGCCATATGCTTTTAAATAGCCATATCTTACATAAACTCTGAGCAAGAACTCACTCATCACCAAGGGGCTGGAGCTAAGTCATTAATGAGGGATCAACCCCCATGATCCAGACACCTCCTACCAGGCCCCACCTCCAACACTGGGGATTACAAACATCTAAGCCATATCATTACCCATCTTGTTGCACAATTTAGATTAGAAGCCATAATTTCTTACCTTCTATTCAAGCCTCTTTTCAATATACCTCCCTTTGCTAATTATCATTTATTTCAAAATGAAGGAAAATGTATTGCCCTCCTCTCTTAAGCATTAATATGGAAAATCACAGCTTCTTTAGCTATTTATCCCTCCCTGTGGTCTTCAGTTTGATACAGTGTTAAAGCCCTCTGTCACCCTTCATTTTCTTTTTATTAGATAGGACAATGCTGTTATAACTCGACCTTCATTTGTCTTGTAAAGTCATGCCTTCACTTTTCCCCTAATTGATATTTAGGAGGCATGTAATTTTGGATTTTTTTCTCATCTATTCATTCTAGAAATGAGAGAAAGGTTAAGCATTATTTCTGGTGCCAAGCTGTTGAGAAGAGCCCAGAAACTCTTGTGTTCATAAGCAGGTACAAAAAAGCAAAAGATGCCAAGATGTTAACAAGAAAGATACCTCTGAGAACAAACCTTGTCTGGACCAGGGACAAGAGCTGGCATAATGGGCTGATCCCTTTCCCAATACCTCATCAGTGATTATGGAGTAAAAAGTGACCCAAATTATGAAGAGATTAGACAACCTTGCAGGGGAAGATGGGATGTCTTACTTTGTTTTGTTTTTATCTTATATGATTGTTGTTTAAATGAATATATTGGAACTAGATTGAATATGTGCACTGTCTTGCTTATATGAGATGGCAGAGATGACATCAGCATAATTTCTTATGTCGCGAGCCAGGCCATAAAGCTTCCCTCTTTATGTTACTACGTTTCCTCAAAGATCACAGCTGCTAAATGGGTTTACTGTTTATATTGTCCTTATGCTAATCTGGCTCAATCAAGCAAGATAAGTTTCATGTTGACAGGAGTAGATGTATCGCAAGATGGTAAAGGTTCGCTTCAGGGCTTGTTGTGTGGGTTTCTTTTCTTTCTTTCTTTCTTTTTTTTTTTTTTTTTTTTTTTGAGATGGAGTCTTGCTCTGTCGCCCAGGCTGGAGTGCAGTAGCACGATCTTGGCTAACTGCAAGCTCTGCCTCCCAGGTTCAGGCCATTCTCCTGCCTCAGCCTCCCGAGTAGCTGGGACTACAGGCGCCTGCCACCATGCCTGGCTAATTTTTTGTATTTTTTGTTTGTTTGTTTTGTTTTAGTGGACACGGGGTTTCACTGTGTTAACCAGGATGGTCTCAATCTCCTGACCTCATGATCCGCCCCCCTAGGTCTCCCAAAGTGCTAGGATTACAGGCGTGAGCCACCGCGCCCGGCCTTTTGTGTGGGTTTCTTAAAACACTCTGGGAAGAACTTTGCACGTGAGTTCACATTGACTATGCTTCTGGATTTTTTTTCAAAATAAATACATTTAATTGCTTGAAAAGAAGTCACCTTCTTTGACTTTGCTTCTGTTACATTTTCCTCACTTTGAATGAGTGTAGGTAAACTCGGATATTTTTGGACTTCATATAAAGAGGACATGTTGTTGAGGATTGATATGTATTTATGTATTTAATTATTTATATATATTTTTTGAGACAGAGTCTCACTCTGTCACCCAGGCTGGAGTGCAGTAGCGTGATCTTGGTTCACTGCAAACTCCACCTCCCGAGTTCAAGCGATTCTCCTGCTTCAGCCTCCTGAGTATCTGGGACTACAGGCGTGTACCACCACAGCTGGCTAAATTTTGTATTTTTAATAGAGATGGGATTTCACCATGTTGGCCAGGCTGGTCTCGAACGCCTGACCTCAGGTGATCCACCTGCCTCCCAAAGTGCTGGGATTACAGGTATGTGCCACCACAACTGTCCTATTTATTTATTTAGAGACAGAATCTTGCTCTGTCTCCCAGGCTGGAGTGCAGTGGCACAATCTTGGCTGACTGCAAACTTCACCTCCCAGGTTCAAGTGATTATCTTGCCTCAGCCTCCAGAGTAGCTGGGATTACAGGTGCATGACACCACACCTGGCTAATTTTTGTGTTTTTGAAGAGAAGGGGTTTCACCATGTTGGCCAGGCTAATCTTCAAATCTAGCCTCAAATGATTTGCTTTCTTTGACCTCCCAAAGTGTTGGGATTACAGGTGTGAGCCACCACGCCTAGCCAGGATTCATCTATTTTTAAATTAGTTGGATCCATTTATGTCAACCAATTCCATGGTATCAGTTAGGAAATGGCTTTCAGAAATAATCCTACTTCTCTACTGCCAATCATATGAATACATAACAACATGATAATTAAGGGCAAGAAATTCTTAGCATGATAAATGTGTCTTGTAGTACCCAGAACCAGGAGTACATTGATAATGTAAGAGAAATAACAGTAATTTACAGAAGCAGAATTTAGTTTGTGAAAAATTTTTCCAATCATCAGATAAATGAATTTCTAAGCAGATTTTATTTTCATTGTTGGCTTGTCAAAACTGATTTACTACTGCCATAAATATATTAAATAATGAAGCATATATAATTAAAAATACACAGGAAATTTTAAAAATCTTTTTGTGGGAATAACATAACAGAATATATCAGAATTCTTGTGTTCATATGGCATGGATCTATAGTAGTTCTACAAACTACAAACATGTTTGCAGCAGCTTATGGATGAAAGAAACTCAATGACAGTGTTGCAAAATTTTACAAGAATCCCAAATATATATTATATATATAATATCATATATTATATATAATATATGATATTATATATTGTATATATATTATATATGATATATATTTTTATATAATATATATTTTATATATTTTATATTTTACATATAATATATATTTTTATATATTATATATTTTATATATTATATCATATATATAATATATTTTATATATATTTTATATACAATATATAATGTATTTTATATATATTTTATATACAATATATAATATATTTTCTATATATTTTATATATAATATATAATATATTTTCTATATATTTTATATATAATATATAATATTTTTATATATATTTTATATATAAAATATATTATATATAATATATTTTATATATAAAATATATTATATATAAAATATTTTATATAATATATATTAAATATAATATATATAATATATAAAATATATATATTATATATAATATAATATATAAAATATATATATTATATATAATATATTATATAAAATATAAATATATAATATATTATATAAAATATATATATTATATATAATATATTATATAAAATATATATAATATATAATATATTATATAAAATATATATATTATATATAATATATTATATAAAATATATATATTATATAAAATATATAATATATAATATATATATTTTATATATAATGTAATATATATTATATATAAAATATTTTATATATATTATATATTATGTATAATATATATTTTATATATATTATATATTACATATATTTTATATATTATATATATTTTATATAATATATAATATGTATTATATATATTTTATATTATATATTATATATTATATATTTTATATAATATGTATTATACATTATATATTATATATTTTATATAATATGTATTATATATTTTATATATATATATTATATATTTTATATATATATTATATATTTTATATAATATATATTATATATTTTATATATTTTATATATTATATATTTTATATATTTTATATATTATATATATTTTATATATTTTATATTATATATTATATATTTTATATTATATATTATATATTATATATTTTATATTATATATTTTATATAATATGTATATTACATATTATATATTTTATATAATATGTATATTACATATTATACATTTTATATAATATGTATATTACATATTATATATTTTATATAATATATATATTTTATATATAATATATATTTTATATAATATATATTTTATATATAATATATTTTATATATAATATATATTTTATATAATATATATTTTATATAATATATATTTTATATATAATATATATTTTATATAATATATATTATATATAATATATATTTTATATAATATATATATTTTATATAATATATATGTTATATATAATATATATATTATATAATATATATATTTTATATATTACATATATTTTATATAATATATATTATATATATTTTATATAATATATATATTTTTATAATATATATTATATATATTTTGTATAATATATATTATATATATTTTACATAAAATATATATATTTTACATAATATATATTTTATATATAAAATATATATATTTCATATATATATTTTATAATATATATATATAAAATATATATATTTTATAAAATATATACATATTATATATATAATATATATATTTTATATATATAATATGTATATATTTTATATATATATATACACACAATAATACCTCTACTATGTTGTTAGTCTGAAGTATTTCTACATGATCCTTCATGGAGATGCCGAATGTTGAACAACGATGGTAGTAAGAAAATACTGAATTATTTTTTTTATTCTTTTCATGGAAATTATATGACCAAATTTTTGTCATAAAATGTAGTAATTAGTATGGAGCCAAACATTTAGAAAAAAAGTATTATAAGAGATATGTCAGGAAATTAACCAGTGAAAATAATATGCTATTGCCTTACTCCATTTGGGCAGCTCTAATAAAACCACCATAAACTTTGTGGCTTATAAACAACATTTATTTCTCACAGTATGGAGGCTAGGGAGTACAAAATCAAAGTGCTGGAAGACTTGTCTGGCGATAGCTATCTCATTCTTTATAGATGGTGTTTTCTTCCTGTGACCTCACATGGTAGAAGAAACAAGGTATCTTTCTGGGACCTCTTTAATAAGGGCACTAAACCCATTCATTAAGGCCCGTCCCTCATGACTTAATTACCTCCAAATAGGCCCCACCTCTTAATACTATCATAATGAAAATTAGGTTTCAAAATATGGACTTGGTGGGGACATAAACATTGAGACTGTAGCAGTTATTTTCCTAAACTTTTTGATGATGACAGTATTTATCATTGTTTAAATGTGACTTTTGTCAGTTTTTCTCCTTTTAATTAAATATTTATCTTTGAACCTAATTTTACATTTATAATTTTTTTTTGAGATGGAGTTTTGCTCTTGTTGCCCAGGCTGGAGTGCAATGGTGTGATCTCGGGTCACTGCAACCTCCGCCTCCTCGGTTCAGGCAATTCTCCTGCCTCAGCCTTCCGAGTAGATGGGATTACAAGTGCCTGCCACCACGCCCAGCTAATTTTTGTATTTTTAGTAGAGATGGGGTTTCACCCAGTTGGCCAGGCTGGTCTCAAATTCCTGACCTCAGGTGATCCACCCACCTCAGCCTCCCGAAGTGCTGGGATTACAGGCATGTGTCACGGTGCCTGGCCTCATTTAT
Organism: Homo sapiens; assembly: GCF_000001405.40. NCBI lineage: Eukaryota > Metazoa > Chordata > Mammalia > Primates > Hominidae > Homo > Homo sapiens. The sequence goes on from NC_000004.12 coordinate 12,668,380, forward strand.
AATTTTTATATTTATTTTTAAATTATGTCTTCAATTTTTATAAGGCTTTGACTTCTCAACCCTGGATCAGGTCCTTGCATGTGAACTAAGAGCATGAGACATGATCCTTACCTTTCTACGGTACTTACAGCTAGACAAAAGCAGCTTCACTGAAGGATTGTAGATAGCCTATAGCAGAACTTGGCATTTTTTCCTATGCAGTATATAATAATTACCTAGGGGCCCTGTTAAAGCAGAATACTGGAATCCATCCCCAAATATTCTGGTTCAGTAGGTTTTGATGGGATAGAGAATTTTGTTTCCTCTAAGTTCCAAGGAGATGCTGATGCTACTAGGATCACTCCTTAAGTAACAATGGTCTACACTCTAGTGAACAAGAAGTCACTGAAGAGTAGTCAGGAAACTAGGTGGGAACTGAGGGGATTAAACCTCTGCTATGTCGGCAGGGGTACTTGCTGGCTTATTAATAATAAAATAGTGGGATAAAAGAAAACAATTAAAAAAAAAACAAGAGTTATGTTGACTGACACCAAAGTTCTCAGCAAAGGAATTAGAGGGCCAAGATTTGGAAAGATAATGCAAACAAAAAAGGAGTTATGTTGAGCTGCATAAAACTCATTATATTTTGGAATAAATATCATGATAATTTTGGAATAAAGGGCAGGAGGATAAACAGAAAAGAGGAAGAACTCAGATAGGAGAAAGAGGCCGAGGTCTTTCTTTTATGGAGAAGGGTGACTCCTGACAACATTATGGTGAAGAAAGGACAGGGAATTTTCAAGGACAAGCATGTCTAATATTCCATTTTAACTTGTGTTGCTATATTGTAAATGCCCTGATTGCGTGAAGCATTGATAGAAGTCTACTGTATATGTACAGCCAGCTTTTCAGTATAGGGAGTAAAAGTATAGGGAAGCAAATAAATAAAATGAAATAAAGCAATGAGCCTTCCTTAACAATCATCACTTTACCAAAGGCTATGTATGAAGAGGAGCTCAAATCTCAAACTTTCAGGTAGATCAAAGAGCAGTTGTCAAATGGTATTTCTTGTTCTAGATCATTGAGGAATCACCCATATTCCCACTTATAAGTGGGAGCTGAACAATGAGAATACATTGATACAGGGAGGGGAAAAACACACACTGGAGCCTGTTGCAGGGTGGGGTGAGGTTAGGGAAAGTATTAGGAATAATAGTTAATGCATCCTGGGTTTAATTCCTAGCTGATGGGTTGATAGGTTCAGAAAACCACCATGGCACACCTTTACCTGTGTAACAAACTTGTACATCCTGCACATGTACCCCAGAACTTAAAATTAAAATTAATAAAAGAGCAGTTGTCCATTATATTATTAATTTATTGTGCAAACAGATGCATTTTAGAAAATAAATAGCTGTGATATTAACCATTGTACAAAGGCAAAGCATCTCAACTAGGGCACTTCTAGACACACTGGAGTGTATTGTTGCCATAACCACAGTGCAGTTGGACGTTGTGGAACTGAACATTAGTCACAATAGTGTGCATTTCATATGAGCAGATTTAAAGCACACAACTCAGGAGCAGATGGGGCACAAATCTCATATTTCCAAACTACACCAGAGAAAAGTGACTTTATTATAATAGTTTTCTGGGGCTGACATAAATGACAAAGCACGACAGACTGGGTGGCCTACATAAAAGAAATTATTTTCTTCCAGTTCTGGAAAAACACCAAGAGCAAAGTGTTTGCAAGGTTGGCTCCTTCTGTGGACTCTCTGCTTGTCTTGTAGGTGTCTGGCTTCTCAGTGTCCTCACATGGTCTTACCTCTGTGTGTATATACGACCAAATATTCAGTTCTTACAAGAACACCAGTCATATTAGAGAAGGGCCCACCGTAATGAACTCATGCTATGGACTGAATATTCGTGTTTTCCCAAAATGCACATGTTGAAATCCTAACCTTCAATGTGATAGTTAGGAGGTCAGGCCTTTGGGAGATAATTAGAAAATGGGGCTGGAACCCTCATGAATGGGATTAGTGCCCTTTTACGAAAAGATGTGAGAGCTTGCCCCCTCTCTCTCTGTTCTCTGCCATATGAGAATACAAAAAGATGGCCTGGGAAACCAGGAAATGAGTCTTTACCAGACACCAGATGGGATGACATCTTAATCTCACACTTCCTAGCTTCTAGAACTATGAGAAATAAATTTATGTTGTTTAAACCACCAATGTATAATATTTCTATTATAACAGTGCAAACTGACAAAGACAGCTCATTTTAACTTAATTATTTCTTTAAAGACCTTGTCTCCAAATACAGTTATGTTCTGAGGTCTTAGGGGTTAGGGCTTCAGCACATGAATTTTCCAAAAACATATTAATTCTGCCCATAATAATTACCTTTGAAGAAAAGAGAGTAATTATTGGATAACAAAAATAATAAATATAATAATATTAATAGTTTATTCTGCACATATTTATTGAGCAAACTATAGTTCTAGAAACTGAGAAGTGAATAAAACAGATAAAAGGGACAGTTCTGGTAAGCCAATGTAGGAAGATAAATAATAATAAATAAGAGGCATGGTTGATGTTAAATTATATGGAGAAAAGTCCAGTCAGGAAGGGAGTGGCAAGTGCTGGAAGGGAACTTAGTCCACCACATTCAATATGGTGTCCAGGGAAGGGCTCACTGAGCCGCAATATTTAGGCAAAAACCTGAAAGTAATAATAACACACAGTTGACCCTTGAGCAACACTGAAGTTAAGGGCGCTGACCCCCTACTTCAGTCGAGAATCCGTGTATTAGTTTTTACTCCCCAAAAACCTAACTCTTGGTAGCCTACTCTTGACCAAAAAGCCTTACCAATAATATAAACGTCAATGAACACATATTTTGGGTGTTATATGTATTATATACATTATATACTGTATTCTTACAATAAGTTATGCTAGAGAAAAGAAAATGCTATTAAGAAAATTATACGGAGGAGAAAATATATTTACTATTTATTAAGTGGAAGTGGGTCATCATAAAGGTCTTCATTACCTTTGTCTTCACATTGAGTTGGCTGAGGAGGAGGAGGAGGGGGAGAAAGAGAATAAGAAGAAGGAGGAGAAAGAGGAGGAGTGAGAGGAGGAGGAGATGGAAGAAGAGGAGGAGGAGTTGGTCTTGCTGTCTCAGGAGGGCAGAGACTGAAGAGGTGGAGGAAGTGTAACAGGAGGCAGGAGAGGGAGATAAACTAAGTGCATTATTGAAAAAAAATGTGCATTTAGGTGGGCCTGTGCAGTTCAAATCCATGTTGTTCAAGGGTCAATAGTGTACATGTGTATCTGTGTATGATCATAATAATGCTACACACACACACATATTATGTGTGTTATTTTTCCAGCTTTAGTGCTTATTGTATAGTAAGTGTGGTTCTTATTGTATAGTATGGTTCTAAGAACTTTACACTCAGTACATCATCTTTAGTTATTTCTAGAGCCTGATAAAATAGAAATGTTCACTATCACCCTTTGATAGATGATGAAATTGAAGTTCACAGACGTTAAGTAATTTTTCAAGATCACACAGCATAAGCAAAGTAGTTTTCAATATCAACTCTTCCTGGATCCAAAGCCAGTGGTCTTCTCCTTGTTCTACACTGGGCCTTTAACATATCTGTGTCTCCATGTTTTTTAGCTGGCAGAACCACACTCTCTCTACATATGAGGTCTCACTGAACCCCAGTGCTGCTTGACAACTATAACCTTTGGTATTCTGTTCAAGCCTCAGTTTCTTCATGTGAAATGGGGTTAGCCTCAGAGGTTTATGGTAAGTATTAAGAGCTAATTTTTCTTAACCATTAAGAATATACTGTCTGGGACATACCAGGAGCTCAGTAATGAGAATTGCCATAATCGTCATTATTATAAGCCTCTACCATTGCCATAAAGGACCTTCATAACCTCTCAACTAGGCAACATAACCCTATCTGTGAGATGAACGCTTTAGAGTAAGTTATATTCAAAATCGTTTCTACAACTAATGTATTATGAGTCTACATAAAATGTTCATTTGAGGAAAATGATGCTATTAAAATGCTAGAAGTGTAGACTTGTTTCTACATAGGGCATAGGCATGTCGAAGGGCATCTGACATATTTCTCAGACGAGAGTGAAGGTGAAAGAAATTATCTGCCATGAGCCTTTATGTCAATGAACACTAAAGAGCTTCATGATTTGTGTTCTTTTGTCTGTCCTACTTATAGTCAAAATTGAGAGTTTTACATTGCTAATAGGAACATTCATTCACAAATCAAGCCAGACATGACACAGAGCACATTCAAAGTGGGACTGGCACAGCCTGTGACAACCACAGACCACTGCATTTATCTATATAGAATTTTCTCAGCCATGAAGGGTAAAATAGGAAAGTTTCCAGACTTTCTTCCTCTAAGCCCTGTTTTTAATGTAATTTTCTTCAAATCAATGTTATGTTTTTAGAAAATAAAAAGAAAATCTAAATGTTAGGCAAAATAAAATAAAATAACAGAAAACTGAAAAATTACCTAGCCTTAGCCCTTATTCCTAGACAAGAAGGCCCAAAACATAGTTGTATAATTCTGCCTGAATGCTATCAATAGTTGATGACTCAGTATCTTAAATAGAGCCCTTTATGTTTTTTTCTAATTATTAGAACCCTTCTTGGACTTCTGGGCAATATAAGAGAATGTGATGAACCCTTACCCTGCAATACAAAGAGTAACAAGGATTCAAAGCGGTTCCACATGATAAAAGATCAGAGATAGGATTGCTGTGTGAAATAGGGGCCTGAAGTAGCTAGAAAAAGATACTGATAATTGTAGAAACCTCTGTCCAAGAGTAGACAATAATGGGTTGGTTGTCTGGGGTTGTAGGAAAGTGAAACAACAGTCCTATCATCAAAAAATTGCTGAAGGTGTATTGACTCACAGTTAATTATATTGCATTTCTCTGTATGGTAAATTATCTTTAAAGATAATTACCAACAATTCTTTCTCTTCCTTTTTCTATAATGTAAGCAAACTTGTGTGGATTGCTAACATCCACACAGTAGTCTCCACTAGGCTACCTAGAGGAGAACCAGAGTCCTCCCACTGATAGCCAGTCCCAAAGTCAGACATGTAGTGAACAACCTCCTTGGTTGTTCCAGCTGGGAAGTCTCCACTGTGCTCCTTGCTGGATGCAAATACATATCTTTATCTTATATCACATGAGCAAAAATAAGCAACAGCCAGGTTAAAACTGGAGAATCAGGAGCAAATAAATGATTGTTGTTTAGGCTACCAAATATTAAAGTGGTTTATTAAAGAGCAATAGTTACCTGCAATGCTGTGAAACAAAGCTAAAGCCACCAATGAGAGATCTAGTTCCAACTGAGGCAATCAATGAAAAGGCGAAAAGCATAAAACCACTACATGCAGAAGTAAGTATGAAGTTAAAAATAAAAATTAATACTACTCTCTTCCCTCAAGTTGAAATAAAATTTCAAAATTTATGAGGCCCACAAATTTCAACAAACCCAAGACAAAAAAAAATACTTCTGAGGAAATGAAAAAATAGCACAATCTTCAAAGGACTTAAAAACAGTTATATTCCAAAGCATGAACAAGATGAATAAAACATTCAAACAAAAAGTAATAGAAATAATTGGAAGCAAATGAAGGTGAATATAAAAAAATTTAGTAGTTCAGAAATGTATCCACAATTTTTTAAATAATTTTCTTAGAAAGTAATTTGATACTTCTGGGACACTTCTCTAGTCTGGAAGAAGAAGTAAATTATGAGGCATTAAAGAGAAATTCACCAAGAAAATCACACAGATAAATAAATAGGTGAAAATCATGAGAAAGGAAAGGAAAGTCATATAAATAAATAGATTGAGAAGTTCTAATTTAAAATACTGTTATAGGCACTGTAATATGTGGCCCACATCTGCCTTCAGTAAAAAAAATTTGCTGACACACTTTCCAGGAACCTTGGACTACCTCAGAATCTGCCTTCTGAGAAATCTAACAGGAGCTATTTGGTTTCAGTAGTGATTCATGAAAGTAGAAGCTAAGATGGGTTTTGAGCTGAGTCTCTCACCACCTGGCTGCCAATGGGGAATATATGTTTAGGTGGGTAGTTTAATTGTTATATAGCTAGTATGCCAACAAATATGACAAAGTGAAATAATAAGAATAATCTAAAACAAGGTAAAAAAGAAAAATATAACAAAGAGAAAAATGGAGAAAATAGAAAACAGCAAAATTTTTGATAGACCTAATCTAACTATATAAATTATCACATTAAATATAAATGTTCTAAATACCTCAAGTAAAAGGCAGAGATTGTCAAATTGGATCTTCAGAAAAGCAAGATCCAACTATATTGGTTCTATATTGTATGTAGCCTTATACATAATCTTGAGCTTTGTACTATAATGTGGGTAAGTTACTTTGAAACTTTTGGTACTTTTGGATTTGTTTATATCACATGTTAGGAAGGCCTTACACAGTGCTCAAACTAAGGCTAATGTTTCCTACTGCTGAGATGAAAATAAATTTTTCCAGTATGACTGGTGAGAATAGGCAGTATTCCTGATCTAGTGTGAGTTTCAGGCACTCTTCTCAATTACCCTTTGAACAGCCTTTCTTCAGCCTCAGACAGTTTCATCATACACATGCTCTGATCAATTTTCTGCAGAATGGAACCCTCTTCAGAAGGGTTGCAGTTATCTCTTTTCTGATATTCTGTCCTGCAAATGCTAGCCACCTTTGCTTTCATAGACTCTCAGCTCTGTCACAGTTTCCTCTCCCCAGGTCATGGACTGGAGATTTCTTCAAGGCAAGGAATATGGAAAAATCATAGGGTTCAACTCATGTTTTCTATTTCTCATTGATCACTATTCTTTTATCTTGCTTTATGTTCAGTGTTTTGAAAACAAACTGCCCCATATTATTTTTTGTTTAATTTTTTCAGTACCTTTGGGCTAGAGGGCAAATCCTGTCCCTGTTACTCCTTGCTGGTTAGGAGCAAAAGTGAGATAGGATACTAAGTGAACAAAAGCAGGGTTCAAACATTCTGAAACCATATTATCTCAATCAGGGCATACAAATGTTGGTAGGTTATACAGCCAAGAGGGCATAGGGCATCTGTTAAAAGTCAGTATTCTTTAAAAATTTACATCACTGAGAAAGATTCACTTTTTAAATGAGACAATAAAATGGTTTTTTGAATGTTTTTAATATTATGTGCCATCAGTAACTATAGCAAATTTCAAAACCCCATATAACCATTGTTCCTAAACTGTTTTTAAAAGTTACCTGAGGCTGAGCATGGTGGTTCATGCCTGTAATCTCAGAACTTTTGGAGGCCGAGGTGAGAGGATCACTTGAGCTCAGGAATTCAAGACCAGCCTAGGCAACATTTAGTGAAACCTCCTCTCCACTAAAATAAAATAAAAAAAAATAGCCAGGAGTGTTGACACATACCTGTAGTCCCAGCTACTCAGGGGACTGAGGCAGAAGGATCACTTAAAGCCTGGAGGTTGGAGGTAGAGGCTGCAGTGAGCCCTGATTGCACTCTAGCATGGGTGATAGAGTGAGGCTCTGACTAAAAGGAAAAGTTACCTGAACTACCACAGCAAACTCTCAGTACTGCAGGATATTGTGCCTTTTTTATAGAAATACAGTCCTAGTCAAAATCTGTTGAATACTACATAAACTACTAGCTCAAGGTAGTTCACATTTTCAACAATAGTCCACGTTACATTCCTCTTGATAATGACATATGTTTATAAATTTGGGTTTTTAATAGTTGCTAAAAGCAAGTTATTTGTAACCAATATGAAACAGGAAATTAGGGTGGTGGTATCCAATTTTATTTCCAGTATTACAAAACTATGCAGTGTTAGCAGATAGACAAATCTTATTAGTGAATAATTGTTATTATTTATAAATCAAATTAAAATATTATTTTATTTATGTGCATTATTTTTCAAATCGCTATATACTTTGCATACACCTATTGACTCTAGAAGTTAATATATTTAATAACTATGTAAGTATTTGATAAATCAAAATTTTAGACATCTATTTTGTCCTGGAAGTGCCATGAAAAACATTATTGTAAAATGAAGCATTCTTTGAACAAAGACAGCTGGGGCGCCTCTATCACAGATCAAGATCATACACACACACATATATATACACACACACGTGCACACACACACACACATTTACTCCCCCACAAAGAAACACCACACAATGTCAAATATTAACAGTGATTTACTTACACAATCAGAAACATCGCCCTTTGATGCTTTTGCTTAATCCTCCATTGCATTGCCACCAATGAGGACTATATGCAGTAAAATGGTCAAGACAAAGAGGAATGAATTAACAGATATATTCTTAGGGGCAGAGTAGGCAATAGAAAAATAAAAGGCAATGCTTCAACAAGAAAACTGTTAAAAGCACTGTTTTTGGCAGAGGTAGGGAGTCAGAGTTAGATGAACACTGGCAATAGACTTGATTTGAGGCAGAGATCCAGATCTAAAAGAGAAGACTCTTGGCAGTAAGATGAGATCAAATCATGAGCAATGGACTCACAGATGGGACTACAGACCCAGGATTGTGTAGGGAAACTTACCACACCAGCTGCTGAGGATGTGGGGTCCTGGAAACTCATTCAGGGCAGGCACTAGGGAATGGATGCTATGCAGACCATTATAGAAAGAGGGCAAGGAAGTTGTGACTGGAGGAAAAACACAAATTGTCTAACTAGTTCAGGGCTAAGTTCTAGTTACTAGCTCTAGGTCCAGAGCATGATTGATGTTGACCCTTTAAGCCAGAATCATGTCTGTTTAATAGTCCTCCTAATCAGAGGGAGGGTACTGAGCCAGACGGGGTTATGAGATCTCACCTTTGAAGGTGAGCTATGTGGTGGATAAATGAGGATGGAGATAGTTTGGTTGACCACATCTGATTTTGAGTCTCTATCCTGCCATTTGTGAGCTATGAAACCGTGAGTAACTCAAACTCTTGAGCCTCAGCTTCTTCTTCTATAAAAAAATAGAGCAATAGTTTCTACCCTACAGGACAATAATGAGACCCAAGGGACATTTTTCTTACCTAGGATTTGACCTTGCTGAACCTAGAGAATATTTGGATTTACTAAATTTATAAAATTGTCATTATATATTTCAGTAACCTCTGTGAAATATTTCTGAGTTCCAAACCACAATGTATCAAAACATCCTCCTTCATTGAGATTACCGCCATCTTTAAAGATCTACTAGAATCCTTCCTTGATGTGCATGAACAGAATTAATTGCTCCTTCCACAGTGTTTACATGTATTTTTCTTGGGCATCTTCCAGCCTTTCTATTCTTTATCCTTTTTTTGCTTTATCAAACACATATTGAATGTAACAATTAATGAAATATGGTCCCTTTCTCTAGAACAAGGTTTGACATATTTTTCTATTAAGAGCCAGATGTTAAATATTTTAGGCTTTGTGAACCACACATGGTCTCGCTTGCATATTCTTATGTCTAACAATATTTTTAAAAGGTAAAAAAATAATCATGCTCAGCTCATGGATTATAAAAGAGTAGTCTGCAGGACAGATTTCAAGATGGGCCATAGTGTTTCATTCCCTTTTGGAAAATCATAGTTTTGTGAGAAAAACAGAAGAGCAAATGACAAAAATGATGAGAAATCAAAATACAGGATGACACACACCACATATGAAGTTTTGGTAGCATCAAGAAGAAAATAGCCAACACTTCCATAACACCTACTAGGCATCAGTCTCAGATCTAAGTACCCTACACATATGACCACACTTAAACCTTATAGCAAACCTATGAAATAGGTATTATTTAACTCCTTTTTATAGATGACGACATTGAGGCACAGAGAGACTATATAATTTGTCAAAAGTCACACAGCCATGGAAAGGGAGGTCTTGTATTTGAACTTAGGGGATTTGTATCTAGCGTTGTCTTTCTTCTCGCTACTATTGGATTCTAAACTTCCTTGTTCTTCATCTCTGTGTCGCAAAAACTGTCTTTTTCACTACTGAAGTCACTGGTCCCAGTGAAGTATTACTTTGATTTTTTTCTTTAATCTCAGAGAATGTCTACAGAGGTGCTTTCTGAGGCCTTGAATGTACAAATCTACAGCACATCTTTGTTTAGTCATTAATGATTATCTAAAATGAAGTGGTCTGGAGAATAGAAGAAAGAAAGAGATTGGTTAAGAGTTTAAACATTCTATAGATCTTAAAAAAATAAAAGCCAAGCCCCCAGTCATATACTTAAAATATTACAAAATAATTTTAGGTTCTCATTAATGGCCAGAAAAAGGGTGCTAATCTTTTGGGGGCAAGGGATTCAATAAGTTTATGGTTAAGTTCTCATTGTAATGTTATGATGATTGTACTGGTGGAGGTAGTTTTAGGTGGTTGAGCTTCTCAACCAAAGAGTCAAAGAATCCAAAATAGAGATGACTACAATTATAATGATAAAGCAAAACATTTAGAATTTGTAAAGTACTTAAACAGATGATCTTGTTTAATATTTACTTTTTATTTCGGAATAACCTCAAAGGTTACAGAAATTAAATGAATTGTGCAAGATCACCCAGCTGGTAAGCATCAGAGCCAAAACTCAATCCCAGCTCTAAGCAGCCAGACCACTGCATTCTCTGCATCTGATATTCACCACGTGTGTGGCATCGTGGAATATAGAGTGTTCTCTTGCAATATGAATGTCCACCAGACGTGGCTGCAAGTCCAACTCTACCACTTAGAAGCGTGTAATACTGGGCAAGTTGCTTCATTTCCCTAAACTTCAGCTCTCTCATGTAATGTGAGGGTTATTTAAACATATACAATATCATGATATAATACATACATGGTGCATGTAATTTACTTGATATAAAGTGTACCTCCCTTTAAGAAATGTGACTAATCACATTTTACAGATGAAGAAAATGAGATGTTAAAGATTCTCCTCTTCCTATTCCTGAATTCTTGCTCTGTCCACTAGATGGTGACATCTCGGTAATCCATAGAAGATCTAAAGCAAAGGACTCTCTCTCCTATGCGCCTGGGTGTCTGGGGCTCATTTCCCAAGGGGCATTGTTAGAATTGATATTACCCACAATCTGTGGCCTTGAGATACATGTATATTAATCTCCCTTTTTTTCTGCCTTCATAGCATTTTAAAATGGACAATGAAATATTTGCAGAATATGCTGAGAAAATTACTTTGTAAATGTATCCAGATTTTACTGTTCATTCCTGGCACTTCTTGAACTGTCAGGAATTAGCCAACACTAAAAATGTCCCTTTAAATTTGAGATTGCACCTGCCTCTCAAAAGTGATATATTGCTTCTTACTGTGCTGACATGCTTGGGAGGCAGATGGTGGGTCCTATAACCAGCTATGACTTTTTTTCTCATACTAAGGGTAGTCAGGTCTACATCCCCACCTCTCATTATTGTAGATTGCAATAATGAATGCTAAGTCTGTCCTTTCCCCAGCTCAGAGCTTCTTCAAAAAGACTTGCAGTCAATCGTGTTTACCAAGTAGCAGTCGACTCAAACTCAAGTAATCTTCATTTACTACTTCTGTTGTTCCACTCCTAGGTATTTCTACATATAATTTTTAGCTTAACCCTAAAGCCAATCCTTTGAAAAAAAAATAAAGATAAAAGAACATAATTTACTGTTCACAGCCATAAAGTCAGTAAAGAGTATAGCTGGGACCCGCCCCGAACCCCCTCACACATATACAAGGAAATTTCAGCCAAATGCATACAATAGGACAAAAATAGATACACTTAATATGTGATAGGGAAAAACCCCAAGAAAAATATGGCCAAAATTCTGAGATTAACCGTACACTATTTGTGACAAGAACAAATGTTTTGACCAGATCTTGTGTACAATAAATAGTAATGTCTTGATATCTATAATATGTCAAGCACAGTTCTAGATTCCGAGGTGTAAGGATAAATCAGATCTTCACATTAGCCTCCAACCAGAAGGCCAAAATGGGGCCATAGGATATAACTTTTCTTTTTCATAAAGATTTAGAGATAACATTAGCCAAACACAAGTCTAGGGATTAGATGGTTAGGTGACTAGAATGCACCTGTGCTGATGACCAATGTCCTCTTCAAAGTTCCCAAGGTTGCCATAGACTATTCCAAAGATATTGCCGTACTTTAATTTTTATTCTGATTATCTAATAAATATATGACCAGTTTGTGAAACTTGAAAAATAAATTCATAAAGGAACTTATTTTAAAAACATCCCAGAATCCTGTACTTGAAGAAAATTATTAATATTTTCTTGAACTTTCTTCCAATTTTATACATATTATCAAAATCTTATAAATGGATGCATCATATCTCATTGTACAGGGCTATCATAATTTGCTTAACTATTCCCCTAATAAAGCATTTCTAATTTTTCACTGTTATAGATAATACTGCTGTGATGACCATCTTTATCTGTATTTTAGCTTTCTTGTTTCTGCACAATTCCATAAAAGTGTCTATTAAATATTTAAGCAAAGACAAATTTTAATTCTTTATGAATAATCTTAGATTTTCTTTTAAAATAAAATTGTGTTTCAAGTGCTGTGGGATAAAAGTTTGATGTGAAAATTCGGAAGGTGAAGAAGACGAATGACAGTAATTTTATTCCAGAATCATATGTGATTTTCCAGAAAAGAGACATTATTGTGTTGTGAAAGGTAAACAGAATCCCTACTTCCTTCTGAATAAAGTCATAATTCCTTAATCTGCAAAGGAAGTTCTCTCCTTCGTCCCAGAATAAACTATATTAAACAACATCTGTGGCCAGTTCTATCACTTTCTAGTTCCTGACATACCTTTCTCTATAATTTGCCATTTTCTAACTCATGTTGTGCCACCAGTTTTTCTATTATGTACTCATCACAGAATCCTTCTCTCTCATTCTCACCTCTTGAATTCATAACCTTCCCTTAATACCCTTCAGGTTTCAGTCAAATTTCTCTTTGCCACAACTGATCACTTTAGATAAAATTGACTCCAGCTCCAGCTACAGAAGTAGAACACAATTAAAACACTTCTACAGGAAATTATTTAAACATTCACTGTAATTTGATTGCATGCCTACCTCTATTGTAGGTCTGTGCACAACTGTCTAATCTTCTCTAATAGAGTTCTCTCTGAGGCTGGGGCCTATGTCTTTATAAGAAGCCTCGATGGAAGCCAACAGGATCCTACACAAGTGAGGTGTGCCTATAAACATGGTCAAAAATACGCTCTTGAAAGCCCCTTTTCCAAAACTGCTGTCATCAGTTCACCTCCCTTTCTTGCTGTTCTCCTCATCTTTCCTCCCCCAAACCTCTTGGCCATTAACCTGGCTTGCCACTGCTAGTCTTTTATATCCTGGCGTGGTCATCTCCTTATCTGTCCTCTAACCACCTGTAAGTCTGGTATGATCACTGCATTGAGATACTTGGAAGGGGATATAACACGAAATGAACTAGTTATAGAAAAAGAAAAAAATTAAGTAAGCAGTAACAATACTGGTGTTTTCTATCTTAGAACACTTTTGTGATGAGATCAGATAAGGCAGCCCATGTGAAAGTGATGCCACGCATTTGTCAAAAGCGCCCCTTTTTCATGAGTTGCTGTGGACTGTCTGTGTCCCCTTAAAGTTCATATGTTGAAACCCTTATCCCAATGTAATGATATTTGGAGATGAGACATCTGGGAGGTAAGTAGGTCATGAAGATGGGGCCCTCATGATGAGATTAGTGCTTTCATGAGAAGAGACATGAAAGAGCTCACTTCTTCTCTCTCTTTTCTCCATGAGAGGATAAGGCAAAAAGTCATCCATCCACAAATCAGGAAGAGTGGCCTTGCCAGGAACCAAATCAGCCAACATCTTGGTCTTGGATGTTCCAGCCTCCAGAACTATGAGAAATAAATTTCTGTTGTGTTGTTTAAGCCACTCAGTCTATGGTAATTTTGTTATAGCAGCCCTGGCTAAGAAATGAACGAACAACAATTCAGCATCATTTAATCAGGCAGCTTGTATTGAACCCAAAACTACTTCAAACTTTGTGAAATTGAACTAAACACACTTCTAAGTTCCACTTTCATCACATACTATCAAATTAGCGAAGACAGCTGCTGCATAATGCCTGAAGGGAACTGTCCATTGATCTGGCAAAATTTAGCGTCACTTGAGCAAGATGTTATCAGGCTATAGCAACAATTACAATGAGTCAGCTAGTGCAGGAGCATGGAGAGAGAGGTGAATATTAATGTATATTCAGAGGGAGCACCTTGAAATAAGATATGACAGAGGGTGAACAAAACACTGAAATAGTTACTATGAGCTTTGAAGTTTCCCAGACAGACCTTTAAATTCTAGTTATGTCATTTTTCAGCTCTTTGGGAAAGACATTTAACATATTTGATGCTCAGCGCTCATCCTAAAATGTAATTAGTTATATGAAATTTATAAATAATAATATAAAATAATCCACATCAATGTTATGAAGTGAACTGTGTTTCTTCAAAATTCACACATTGAATTCCCAAACCCCAGAACCTCAGAATGGGACTGTATTTGGGACAAAGTCTTTAAATAGCTAAGTAGGTTAAAATGAGGTCATAGGGGTAGCCCCATTCCAATATGCCTGGTGTCTTCATAAGAAGAGATTAAGATGCAGGCATAGTCAGAGGCAGGACCACCTCTGTGAAGACAGAGGTAGAAGATGACAGTCTATAAGACAAGGAGGGAGGCCTCAGAAGAAACCAACCTTGATGCTAGCTTGATCCCAAAATTATGAGAAAATAAATTTCTGTTGCTTAAACCATCCAGTCTACGGTACTTCATTATGGTAGCTTGAACAAACTAATACAATGTCTTAAGCACAGTACCTTATCCATAGTAGTGGCTTTCTGGTACATGTTACTTACCTTCATTTACATAATAATATTTATAATATAGCATGAATAAAAATAAATTTTAAAATGTTATTGTACAATAAATAGCTAAATATGACTTCTTCTCAAATTCTACTTAAAGAAGTTAAGCCAGTTATTTGCAATGAATGTTTGGTTCAAAATATTACCAGGGTGATGAAATATATTTTATTGAACTTGCTTTCTTATTTTTTTTTCTTTTTTAAGCTTGGAAAGGTCCAAAAGCCCCAGCCAGGTAGGAAGGAGAAAGCAATACCATGCTCTTGTTAGAAGAAGCTGGTGCTGTTCTGTCAACAAAGGTGATGGATAGAGTGGCCAAGGTCCATGCCCAGAGTGAAGAAGCTATAATAGGTAGGTCCAAAGGTGTGTCAAAAGAAAAATATTGCCTCAGAAAAAAAACAATTTAGAAGAGACAGTCCTTGCTAGGACACAGCTTCTACCACACCCTTGGCTAAACCCATGTTCTTCATTCCTGGTTTCCCATCCAGTCTTAGGATGCAGCCAACACAACAGCCCTTTTTCTCATCACTCTGGCTCCCAACCAGTTTGAGCCTGACCAAAGTCCCTGTCATGTTTAAAATATGTACTTTGCAGGCACCCAAATTATGCCAGGAACTATGAAATGCACCTCTGAATCTCCTAGAGAAACAACCACACTTAATAAACAGTAGGAGACAGAACTGAGATTCACATCCAGATCTTTTCCTTCCAAAGTCTGCTCTCTTTTGAGGAGGCTGCTACAGTGCTATGTGGATGATGAGATATATAAAATGTATATCTGGACTGTATAAACTTGAGAGAAATAAAAATGTACTAAGTATAAACATATTCTTCTAGGGAGGTAACGTAGAATAGGGGAAGACATTTATTCGTTCCCTTTTCTTTCAATAGTGACCCTTCCCATTTTGGCAGGGCCATTATCTACCATTTTGCAAAGCCAAATGAGGATGTGTGTGCAGAAGTCCCCTGCACATTCCAGCAGGTATTGCGGTTGAGTGGATAAGCAGTAGACTTTGGAATCTTATGATCCTGCTGTGAATCTGAGCCCTATAACCTTCTAAATTTGTAATTATGGGCAAGTCTCCATAGTTCTCTCAACCTCAGTTTCCTCATCTGTATTATGAGTTGTAACACCTTCTTTGCAAGATTTTGTGAGGATTAAATCAAAGACTTGATGAAAAATGTCCATATATAGTCAATGCTCAGTCATTCCAATTCCGTCTTCCCTCTATATAATTGTTTGAGACTGTATTTTTGGAATTCATTTTCCATAAGAAAATATATGTCACCTCACCATTTTTTACTTTTGTCCTTCTCTGTCCACTCTAGAGAGGACTCGGGAATGGCATCGTGACCACTAACATTCTTTTGAATAAATATTGGAAATTTTAAGAGCACTTCATGGATTCAAAACTGACCCCAAGAGGTGTTCCAGTATTTTGTTTTATTATTTGGCTTCATAATTTTCCCACTGTATTTCACTGCCTACCATGCTGGCAAGCAATATGGAACAAGGAAAACATAAATTAGGGGCCAAATCATCTACTGGAATTGGTCACTCATTTTAGGTAGCCTGAGGCTGCATCTGTAGTGTGCCAAAATAACCCATCCACACTGAAAGAGAATCTCTCACACTGCTCATTTGCCATCAAGAATCTGACAATTATTGTCATCTTTCTTTTATCTGTTCATGGATTTTGAATGGTGATGACAAGCTCTGTTGAGTTGTACAAAGGGGAAATTTGACTGGACATTTGATTTCCATTATCTCTGTTTTTAACTGGGTGGACTACGAGAACCAATAATTCACTTGTGTGTATATATTAAGGATTTAATATGGAGCCACAGCCCAATCATTTCCAAAATGAATTTAGCTATGTTATAGTAAATCAGGCAAATGAAGCGTGCTTCATAAATTTCATCACTATTAAAATAAAGGTCACATTCAAAGGAGAG
Source organism: Homo sapiens (assembly GCF_000001405.40). Lineage (NCBI taxonomy): Eukaryota > Metazoa > Chordata > Mammalia > Primates > Hominidae > Homo > Homo sapiens. The sequence continues at coordinate 12,685,332 of NC_000004.12, forward strand.
GGACACAAGTTGGAAATTAATGCCTGGTTGTAAATGTTTGGGGATTAGAAATTTAAATTGCACAGCTCAATTCTGTTAATATTGAAGTGCATACTTTGAAACACTGGCAGTTTCAATAAAGAGGATTCAAATGAAGGAGTAAAAGTTTTAAAGTTTCCTTCAACTGATTGTGAATGTAAATCACTTGGGAAGCACCTTTAAAATATGGATTCCTGGTCCCCAGCCTGAGGATTCTGATGTGGTAGGTCTAGGGTAGGGGTGTTGATTAATGCTCCATGGTATTTCTGAAAATCACAGCTATAAATGCAATTTCGGTTACTCACCTGCCTTGCTCCCTCCCCTCCCCTCTGGCTACACCTTCTTTGGGCCTTAGGTATTCCCTGCTCAGAATCTTGTAACAGATCTTGCCCCTCATCACAGGAATTAAAAGAATGTTATATTTGTGGCTATTATTAAATATAAAAATCACCTGTGTGATGAGTGTCAAATAAAAACAAATCCAGACTTATGTAAGGAGAGACTTTATTTTTAAAAGATTGATACAAGAAGGGAGAAAAGGCACACAAAATGTAGAGGGATTGATTTACCCATTTAAGCCTTCCGGGATCGTAGGGCTCAGGTAAATTTCCACATTTTCATGAGCCCATCATTGATTGACCTTATCATCTATTCAGCAATTACTGAGCATGCACTATGTTCCTGAAACTGCTTTTGATTTCTGAGATGCAAATGGATCTGTCATCAAGACAACTGCAGTCCAGTAGGAGAGACAGGTAGGTAAACCAAGTTGCAAGAAGTGCAATGAATTGTATAATTATAGAATGTGCAGGCTGGTTTGGAGAAAAAAAAAAGGGAAACTTCCTTTTCTTTTCTTTCTCTTGAGTGCCTTTGTGAAGATGAAGAGGAAATATCCATTTGTTAAGACTCATGGTGTCTCATCTCCCAATCCTCAATCCTCTCCAAGAGGTCTGACTGGTTGCAGAGCTTGAGAAGAGACACTGAGTAAGTTTTGTCATCACAGAATGATATCATGTTTTCTGTTCTGCTTGTGATAATCTGTTGATAAAGTCCTGGGCCCCTACAGAAAGGTCTATGGTTCCTCAACACTGCTCTGCTCACAAATGGGTGGGTTAGTCTACCTAATTTTGAGGATGACATTAGGACACAAGGTCCATTATTGAAAAGTTCTTGGCCAGGTGTGGTAGCTTATACTGTAATCCCAGCATTTTTGGGTGGTCGAGGTGGAAGGATTACTTTGAGTTCAGGAGTTTGAGACCAGCCTGGGGAAGATAACAAGACCCTCATCTCTACAAACAAATAAAAATTTAGCTGGGCATGGTAGTGCACACCTGTAATCCCAGCTCCTTGGAGGGCTAAGGCTGGAGGATCACTGAGCCCAGGAATTCAAAGCAGCAGTGAGCTACAATTCCAGCCTGGGTGACAAAGCAAGAGCCCTGCCTCTAAAAAATAATAATAATAAAATAGATGATATTTTCATCACTATTTCCCTTATATCCCTGGTGATCCAGTAAATGTTTAGCAATTGCTCTACGGGAGGGAAAAAAGGATGATTTACAGAATTTGAAGATTTATTTGGTGTAAATTTCTCCACCATGGTTGATTTCAACTTACTAGCAAAAAGTTATTGACCATAGGGCCGGGCGCAATGGCTCACACCTATAATCCCAGCACTTTGGGAGGCTGAAGCAGGCGGAGGTCAGGAGTTCAAGACCAGCCTGACCAATATGGTGAAATCCCATCTCTACTAACAATACAAAAATTAGCAGGGTGTGGTGGCGTGTGCCTGTGATTCCAGCTACTTGGGAGGCTGAGACAGGAGAATTGCTTGAACCCGGGAAGCAGAGGTTGAAGTAAGCTGAGATTGTACTACTGCAATCCAGCCATTAGCCGGGTGTGGTGGCATGCTCCTGTAGTCCCAGCTACTCCGGAGGCAGAGGCAGGATAACGGCATGAACCTGGAAGGCGGAGCTTGCAGTGAGCTGAGATTGCACCACCTCACTCTAGCCTGGGGGACAGAGTGAGACTCCATCTCAAAAAAAAAAAAAAAAAAAAAAGAAAACTAATATATCTATTAGATTTTTATATTACTTGTCTTGGGGTAGAGGGGTGTGTGTGTATGTGAACCCATTTTTCAACAAATTCTACTCCTCTCATGCATTTTTATGATAGTAGGTATTGTTTGTGTTTGTAAAAACCAAGGTAGAGGCTGAGTTGACACTCTTCTCACATGCAGTACCAGAGACTGCATGAAAAAAGAGACAGTATAGAGAAAGAAGAGGATGGCATAGAAATAACCATGTCACATAGTTATTTCTACACAGAAATTATTTCTACAGTTATCTACACAGACCCAAATGCTCTGATTTTTCTAGCAATTCTCAAGCTTCCTTTACCTTGAGAGCACAGGTGTTATTATCTCAATCTCAAGGGGCAGAGAGAATCTAGTGGACACCTAAGTACACGCATGGTGTGGTTTGAATGTGTCCCCCAAAATGTAATATGTTGGAAACATATGAACTTTTTTTTCTTCTTTTTTGGGGTATGCTGATTTCATATTCCCCTACCACAGGCTGGCTTTTCCATATAGCAAGGCATATGTGGTCATAAACAACTTCCAGGCTCACACTGACATGATGTCATTATATCAATGGAAATGTCTCTTCTCTTGTAGCTCCAGTATGAAAAACTCTTGGAAAGAATTCTTACTGACCTGCCCTGAATCAGATAGGTAACAGTATTGAGATGTGGGACATGTAACAGGGGGAATGAATTAATGTCATTATTTCAGGAGTGAGTAAATTCTATAAGGAGTAATTTAGTTCTCTTGCGAGTAAATTCATTCTCTTAAGAGTGGATTGTTATAAAAGCAAGCTTTGTTTGGTCTTACAGTCTCTTTCACATGTGTACAGTTGCCCTTCCACTTTTCTGCCATGTTATGACACAGTACAAATGTCCTAGCCAGAAGCTGCCACCATGTCCATGGATGTTCCAGCCTCCAGAACCATGAGCTAAATAAAGTTACAGTCTTTATAAATTACCTAGCCTAAAGCATTCTGTTACAGTAACAGAAAATGGACTAAGATAACACAACTGCAATTTACATTTCATCTTGCAACCATTGGAAGCCACTGGATGCTCTCAACATAGGAAATAGATCTGATCAGATTTGCATTCTAAAAATTCTGTTATTCTGAAATATTCTCCATTATAGTATGATTGACCATGATGGACGATTGTCTGAACAGGAGCAAAACAATGAGGATGAATACAAGTTAGGAGATTTTTGCAAGAAATTATGGGCAAGATCTTTTAAGAAACAAAATCAGAACAGTAGACTGGGCATGGTGGCTCATGACTGTAATCCCAGTACTTTGGGAGGCCGAGGCAGGTGGATCACTTGAGTCCAGGAGTTCAAGACCAGCATGGGCAACATACTGAAACCCCGTTTCTACTAAAAATACAAAAATTAGCCAGGTGTGGTGGTGCATGCCTGTCATCCCAGCTACTTGAGATCATGCCACTGCACTCAAGCCTGGGTGATAGAGCCAGACCCTATCTAAAAAAAAAAAAATAATAATAATAATAATTAGAACTGTGATAGTAAAAATGCATAGCAGAGATAGAATTCAAGATAGTAGTTAGTAGATAGAATATGTGGATTTTGATAACTACTGTCTTTCTACCATAAGGCTTCAGGTTAATCAGTCATCTTAGCCTGTGATCAACTGCTTCCTTTATTATGTTATCTTCAGTAAAAGGACTTCCAAAACTCATTAGAAAAGCAGAAAGCTGGAGTGAAAATAACATAGACTTTGAAATGATACAGGTGATTTAACCTAATTTTCCTCATATATAAATGGAATAAATATCTATCTTGTAGAAATTTCACAAATATAGCAGAAATTACCTTCAAGTACCTGGTATATTTAATCAGTATTTCTGGTTGCAATAGAGAGCAACACAATTCAAACAAATTGACAAGAGGATTTATTAGAAGGATACAGGAAAATCACACAGATGGGCTGAACAACCAAACCTCCACATAGCAGGAGCCAGAGCGGAATGGAGATCACAGGACTGAAAAGAGTACCTTCTTTTTTACAACCTCCACTCTTCTTTTGGGGTGCATGTTGATTCCATATTCCCCTACCACAAACTGGCTTTTCCATATAGCAAGGCATATGTGATCATAGACAGCTTACCGGCTCACACTAACATGATATCAATATATCAATGGAAATGTCTCTTTTCCTGTAGCTCCAGTATGAAAAACTCTGGGAAAGAATTCTTACTCATCTGTCTTGCTCATCTGTCTTACTCATCAGATATAGTCATGCTGGACAGGGAGATAGAAAAGGGCATATTTTTTTGAAAACTTTTCAAAGAAGCAATTCACAGAAGAAGTAGACGCCATTCAGGATAAACACATCAGTAGGTTCTCACCACATCTGGAATATATAGTTAGTGGCTAACAATTGATATCATATTAAATGCAATGTTTTGAGAGACACTAAGTGTTCTTATTAAATAATTAAAATTTTCATTCAGCTTAGTTATCTATGCTCTAATGTTAACACACTTACTATACTTCAATTGATTAAATATCAAAATATATCTTTATTAAGAAAGAGATATTAATACTCTATCTTTAAAATATTGCTGGAGATTTGGGATGGAAACAAGCTCAACCCTGTTTCCCACTGAAATTCCAACCAACAAACCAAGATAGGAATGAGTATCAATTAGAGTTGAAGGTCTCAGGTTTATTAATGTTTCAACAAAGCATAATCACTCCTAAATGCATAGTTTCTGATACGCTTTATCACAGGACAATCCTTGAACAAGAAAACAAAAAGCTATTTTTACCTCCAGCTTCAATGCCCCTAGGTGCACAATGCATGTTTTACAAAATGTCTACACCAGTAAAATGTTGCAAAGTTGCAGAGATCCTGGAAGCCCTGACAGGCCAGATGAGTATAACATACAGAAAAAAGAAAATTTAAGAGCAAGCAAGAAGGCAAAATCATGTGAGCATCCACTCAGTCTGGGTTCAGGCCAGTACGAGTGGTCAGAAGGCCAAGAGCATGACCTTTCCACAGTGCTTCTATTCTCTATTGAAATGCATCCCAACACAGGTCAGATTATTTACTCATCCTGCTTTGGGGAACAGAGAGAAGTAATATGTCTTCTCTGCCCTTCCCTGTAAGGTAGAGAAATTACAGGAACTTATTTTCTCTGTGCTATAATATAGAGAAAAAAAAGAGGAGGAGCAATTTCCTTCTAAAAAGGTCTACCTTTTGTCATTCACATTTAGCACAAAAGATGAAAGAACTCCCAACTTCACTTCCCCATCAATTCTTTCCAACCAGATGAGGATGTTACTGGGAATGTCTGTCCTGCTCCCTTCATGTAGTCCACCAGTACAGCTCTGAGGAACCCTTGCATAATCAACCAAATTTAGACATATGGCTTTCCTGATCCCTTCCTCCAAAATCATCTGATTCACCTCTCACTGCAGACCAATGTCAAGTGTTCCTACAGCATAGTCCAGTGTGCCCCAAAGATGATCACATAAAGAACAAGTTCTTGCTCCTCATTTTTCCTTATTTCACTTATTACATTGTCAGAGAAGCAGCATTGCCTTTGGCTCCTAAAGGCTTAGAAAGTTTGTTGGTCACATATGTATCTTTACCTTACCCTTTCCTAGTCCTTTGTGGGAAAACTAGTATGATGACCAGCACAGCCTTTGCAATATGCAAAATGATGTCCTCTCTGACATTGAGGCATTGTCTCCAAACTCACCTTTTGCACCTGGGATAGCTCATCTCCTAAAAGGCTGCCTTCTTAGGAGGCCTCTCAAGAAAATCTCACTGGCCCTCCAAACCTAGTCTACCTGAAGCTGCAGCAGTCATCCATCACAGAATGAGGACACAGCACTAGGACATTCTTTAGAACTTCAAAAATTCTAAATGCATCTTAGAACAACAGTCAGGGCCCATGTAACTATTGCTGACTTTGCCCTTTTAGCAATGATACATTTTGCTTCCCTTGTGATGGGTTCTGCTTTCAAAAGTTGCCATCTTAGTCTAAAGCTGAGTATAAGATTCCAAAGAGATGATTCTCAACATATTCCTTGGAATTTGAATTTATATGTAAATATGTATCTTCCTCAAGTTGTTGTGGTATGTGAATATATTGAAGGATCTTTTTAATGCTTTAAAGTTTTACCTTTTTTCTAACAAATCTAGAATATGTATTATTTGGTGTTGATTAGGTATGATGCTCATTCTGTAAAACAGTACCATAAGTAAATATAAGAAATGCTATGGGGCTTACAATGAATTTTCCATGGGCAATGGTGAAGTACAGAGTACGATCTTCCATGGCATTAAGTAATACTTTCTATGAGGATAATCTTGTAAGTGAATTAAGTCATGTCATAGAGTTTGTTCAAAACATAAATTACTTTTTTTCCATTTTTTCCAAGTTTTTAAACAGAATGTTTCATTATTATTACAATTATTAATGCTAAGCACTAAGAATTTGAGTAATATAAAAAGATACAAGGGACACAAAATTCCCACATGACATCTCCCCTCTACTACCACAGGGAAATAACCACAGCAACATTTTATAATAACATATTTTTCTTGATATTATAGACTCTGCATTTTATCTTGCCTTTTGTTTATCTATCCTTCTTACAGTAGTGATTTTGAAACTAGGCAACCAGTTTTTACTTCTACTAGTGGACGATCCTTGCTTTAAAAATGCTTTTCAGTCTTTATTTGCCTGTTATCAAAGTCCAGGAAAAAATTATCCCTATGAATCCAACTTAATCATTGATATAATGTACAGTTAGGAAGTTAAAAACAAATTATTTCAATTTTATTAACTGCATTTTAAATTAAAAAGTATTTAGACAGTATCAAATACATTTAATATTTTAATATATGTACATTTATTTCATTTTCATATTACATTACTATTATTTGCATTTAAATTTACAACCTATGAATAAACATTTCAATATATACCACCAAGCTTCTAAAATTATTTCTTGATTTTGTAATTTTGATTATTTTTAAAGAATCCTTTTACTCAAAATTGCATCTACTTATTCAATGTATTCTAGTTTCATATTGCAGACAAGAAATATAAAATAAGATTAATTATTACTTTGCATGAAACTTTTTATAACTGTGTCTTGTTCTTTTCCTTCCAGAATTCAGGTAAGTTTGTATTTAATTCGTACACAAAATACAATTCAGTTGTGTTTTGTGCCCTTCTGGTATGGAAAAATACATCCCTGATAAATTGACCATTCCATAGATAAAACTGTAAACAACAGATACAACACAAATTACTACACCTGAAAATACTGGAGAGTAAAAAAATAAAAAAAGTAGAAAATTCTGGACAAGCATCAACAATCGGAAAAATGCAATGGCATGAGATTAGCTGCCCTTGTTTATGACTTTTGGTGTGAGGGTAGATTGCAGTGGTCATTTGGGGACAGCTAAATCTCGGACAGAAGATTGCAGTATTTTTGCCTTGAAGAACTAATAAATAGAAAGAATTTAGAGTTAACACAGCTGCCAAAAAGTAAGAAAGAAGCATGAGAAATGAGAAAGCAAGAGAGGAATGACTCAAACTCTGTGCTAAACTCTATTGAGATTTCTGACTAAACCCTGAAATATGCATGTGTAAGGCAAACTGAAAGCTTTCTAATTAAAAATGAAAGAATTGAACTGAGATATGAGATGCTGCTGAAAAGACAAAGTTTTAAATTTAACTCTAAGTTAATTGACTATTAAAGCAACAACAACAAAAAATCAAAACTCTTTGGAGGCGTGCAACAGAATACAGTCTTTAGACCATAATATTTGAAATGCTATATATACAATCCAAAATTTTTCAATACATGCAAAAATAAGAACACATGATCAAAAGAAACAAAGAAAAACAATTTAAAAATTGCTTCAGATATTAGAATTCACACACAATAAATTTAAAGTACCTATTATAATTATGCACAGTGAATTTACAAGTTCCCTTTGCTATAAACAATGTAACATTTCTTGGAGAACTTAAATACATCCCATATAAATGGAGAGATACATATTATGATCACGGATTGGAAGACTGAATTTGTCAGTTATCTCCAGATTTATTTATAATTAAATGCAAGTCCTATCATACTTCCAGTAAGGTTCTTTTTTTAATGAAGTAAATAAACAAGGCAATTCTAAATATTCTATAAAATGCAAAGGATCTACTATATTCAAAACAATCTTGTAAAATAAGAAAAAAATCAGAGCTTAAATTACCTGATTTCAAGACATGATAAAGCTGTAGTAATCAAGACTGTGTAATATTGGTATATAAATTGACAAATGCATCAATGAAACATTTCAAAGAACCCAGAAATAGACTCACACATCCAAAATAATTTCAATATTTGACAAGGTGCTAAAGCAGTCAAAAGAGGAAAAGAAAACTATTTAGCAAATAGTACCAGGACAACTGGATATTTATACAGAAAAAAATAAACCTAGACCCTTACCTCCTACCATACTCAAAATTTAATTTGCAGTTGATAAAATATCAGAACACAAAAGCTAAAATTATGAAGATATCAGAGAAAAAATATAAGGAATGCTTTTTGTCCTTCCATTAGCCAATGGGGCCCAAGGTTAGAACAGGTGATTTGACGTGATTCATGGATGGGTCTGCAAAACCCAAAGCTGATAGATTCCCCAAGGCCACTGTGGCCATTCACTCTAAGGGTTCCTACATTTTGACTGAGACTTATGTGCAGTTATGATGAATCTTCAGTCCACTCCAACAGCATTTCCCAGCTGCATATTATAGACTCATGAGCCATTGGCTAACTGCATGGCCCAGTGACTTGCAGATTAATTACTGGACAATTAAGAGACTCCCTGTGTAAGAACAGGAACTATGGTAGTGGTTTGAAAACTGGTAAGGAGACCTTTTTGTCACTCATATTGACACCTGTGACAAATGACCATTCAAAAGGGAATGTGGATTGAACTTGCATGTTGACCTAGTATGTGTTCAGTAAATCACCATGATTGCCTGCTGGGTCCATGACAGAATGGGACATAGAAATGCAACTCAGGTGCAAAAATGGACTAAATCACAAAGACTAACTCTACAAGAAAAAGAAGCCAAGAATGGGGCACAGTCTTCTGACTTCTGCCACCAAACCTGGGGCATGCAGCGGTGAGTTAGGCCTCATCAACCTCATCAACAACACGTTTGCATAGGCCCCGTGCAAATGTGGCAAATTGACCACACTTGACTGCCAGTGCCTAGCCACAGATTCTAGTGGTGCCTCTCTGCCACGAACACATAGTTTTAAGATCCCAATATGATGAAATCACCACATATAAAACCCAGACAATTCAGCAAAGGGCACACTCCCATGGCATAACATGGATCCTTCTTGCTCCCCATAACCCCCAGGCAAATGGGGTGACAGAATGCAGGAATGGACAACTCAAGCAACAACTTTGCAACAGCCAAGAGAAGAACAACTTAGCTGGTGTTAGGCCTACCTACCAAAAGCCATTTGGGTATCAATCATTATACCCAGTGGAAGAGAAACAGCACCCCCACATAAGTTGGGCACTACTATGCTTGGAAGAGGTGGAGGACCAGGCATTCACCTAATTAGGCTGTTCCTGCAGAATCCCTAGTCTCAGTGTAGCCAACTGTTCTTTCCTTTATTTTTATTTTTTGCTGAAATTTACTCCCGGGGGTGTGGTTTGTGGTCCAGGCCTCAATGGTACCAGCAGTAGGACCTCCCAATTCAAACTAAGAGGCAATGCTACCTTTGGGAGTGTCCCAACAGTGGGACCCCAATTTGATGGCGAAGGGATGACAGACATTGGGGCACTAGGGTTCCCCTGGTCCCACTAAAGATTCCCAATCCTGTAGAAAGGGATGATGTTACAAGTGGGTGATGTTATAGGTATGGGGAGTTTCTTCAGGATGGAAATTCTTTACCCTGGTTGGACGATGAGGACTGAAAAGTTTGGATCAAGTAACAAGAACAATGGGAAAAGTGATAGATGAAAGCATCCCTGGCCTTGGGAGGTTCATGGAGTGGTAGGAGAGTGGAAACATTAATCTTTCCTCTTTTCATTCCTACAGAAGCTTTTGCCTTGCCAAGCAGGACCATACCCTGATAAGAATCAGCACAGTCATGTGCAGCAGAGAACTCAAACAAAGCTAGATTTGTCATCCCAGCATGAAGTCCCTCTGGTCCCACACTCCCATTATAATGACCTGGCCTACACACAATGACTTTAACTTTCCTCAAGCTCCAAGGCCAACAGAACTCACCAAACTCACTAGCCGAGGTGGTGATGGGCAACCAGATAGCCCTCAGTTGTTTGCTGGTGAAAGAAGAGGGCATTTATATTATTGGTGACATAGACGTGTGTGCATTAACAATTGGAGGAAGGCAGAAACCCAACTGGAGGCGATCTAAGCTCAGGCAGAATGATTGTCAGCTATATGTCTGCAGTTTCTCTTAGACTCTTGTTTTAGACTCTTTCATTGAGTTTGAGGCTTCCGGTTGAAGACTATTCTCCAGTGAGAACTGAACATCCTCCTGGGACTGGTTCTCCTGGTGACCCTGGTAAGGCACTATCTCAAAATGACAGAGGTACTCTGCAAAAAAAGAAAATCTCATCCACAGCATCCATAAGGTTTGTTCATGGTTCCCATCTGACCCAGCTCTGCCTCCAGATTCAGTGTAAACAGTTATCCTCCCAGATTGGATGTGCTTTGTCTGCTATTTCAGGGGCCAGGCATGAGTTAGAGGATTGACTGTTGGGAAAGGCAGTTCTGTGCAGTGCTTGCCACCTGCACTGTCCCAATAAAAGTGGTCTTGGGTGTGTAACTTTACTGGAAGATAAAGTGTCCTCATCATCAGTGCTAGGCTGGTCTCTCATGAGGGAATATCTTTCCCTGCTCCACGCTTGGTACATAATCCTTTATCCTGCTTAAGTGCATGTGTCGATGGCCCTTAAGCATGCCCTGAGTTGTCAGCTAGTGAAAAAAAGAAATAACACCTTCTTGTTGGCAGTAACACAAATGCCAGTTTCCATATTTTAGATCCTGGTGGCAGAGGGGGAGAAGCTCTTCTTCTGCAGCATGAAACAAGGTGCATGCAGCCATATCACCTCATCTGCTTCAGAGTGGATCCCCTGGCCATGGGAGACCAATGCATTGCCAGGGGCTGGATCTTGTGCACACACTGTCTACCCTCTTGCTGTAAATAAATGCCATATCACTTGATCCTGGTGTGTGCTTTTTCTGTTCTCCATATTATCATATCATGCAGTGGTCTCTTCCCTGACAGAGATTTATCTGCCTTTTGTCCTTGGATACATAGCCTGGCCACACAGAGAAGAGTGAAACAATTTTCACAACTTAGTATATGAAAGTTTATGTATGAGGACATAAAAAATAATATTCATTAAAGAAAAACATAAATCATATCTCATCAAAATTTAAAATACCTGCTCATCACAATATACTAAGAAAAATAATAGAAAGACTTAGACTTGGAAAAAATATTTGCAAAACATGTATCATACTAAAGACTGGTTTACAAGATTAATAAGAAACTCCAAAACTCAATGTTAAGAAGTCTAATTACCCAGTTTAAAAAATGGCAAATATTTTAATGAGCCCTCCATAAAGGAAGATATAATAAATGGCCGACGAACACATGAAAATCTGCTTATCATCATTAATCATAAGTGAACTTCAAATGAAAGCCACCATATGATACCACTACGCATGTATCAAAATGTTTAAATTTAAAAAGACATAACACTACAATTTGGCAAAGATGAGGAGCAACTCAAACTATCATCCATTAGAGGGAATGTGAAATTGTACAACCACTTAGGGAAAAGTTCTATAGTTTTCATAAAATCAAATACACAACTACTGTATGACTTATTAATTCCTTTCCTAGGCATTTGTCCAAGAGGAATATAAACATACTTTCACAACCACACAAGCAAGAGTTTTACATAAATGCTCATAGAAGTTTTATTCATTCATAGACAAAAACTGAAATTAAGGGATTGGATAAAAACTGCTGCATCAGAACAACAGAACGCCACTCAGCAATAAGAAGAAACATACACTGATACAAGCACTCACAAGGAGGAATCTCAAAACATTTGGGGAATGAAAGAAGACTCCCACAACAGAGTCCATATGTGTGGCTCCATTTATAAAATTACAGAACAGGTGAAACTAATGTAGTCTGCAAAAATCAGAATGGTAATTACCTCAGACGGGGGATGACGGTAGTGATTAAGGAAAGTATGGCATAGGGTAAAAACAGGTATGTGCGTTTGTCAAAACCCAGTGAATGTACAGTAAGATTTGCTCATTATATTGAACCTAAACTGCATATCTAAAGATAAAAACATTCTTACTAAATTTTGAACCCTAGTTAATAATATACATTCTGAAGTATTTAGTGGGGAGTGCACAAATGTCTGCAATTTACTTTGAAATGAATAAAAAATAAGACAGATTGACATATGGATGGGGAGAGGAATAGATGGATAGATATGCAATAAACAAATAAAATACCAATCCATAGTGTTAAAAATAAAGGTAGTCATGTTAAAATTTTAAAATTTTATTTGAGCATTCAATGTATCATGAATCTTGAGGGACCAGTCAGCAAGCAGTTTAGTGCACTACTGGAAGAGGAAACTTTTATAAGACGTTTGAGGAAGCAAGAACAAGAAAACATATCTGACTGGTTAGAGTGGAAAGTCCCTATTGAGAGGTTGGTTGTTTATTTCTAATTGTAAAGACTCTAATTTTGTTTTACTGCTTACATTGGGTTTCAGTTTGCTTACTAGCAACCTAAAGCTTGGAGCCTTCCAATTAATTTTCTTGCTAATAATTTAATCAAGGTGATGTGTATTTGGTGTTCGCTGTAACATTCATTCAATTGTCTTATATGCTGGAAATGTTTAATACTAAAATATTGGAAATAACAATGTTTAGGTGTTTGCTTTTTACATTTTTTTCTTGATATTCAACAAATATTCTTGACCAATAAATATAGGCATTCTGAGATCAGGAAAGTTCTCTTTACTTATATCTTAATTGTTATTCTCACCCTCTTTCTTTCTTTTTTTTTTTTTTTTTAATTTTTTTTGAGACAGATCTCACTTTGTCACCAACCGGGCTATAGCACAGTGGCTCAATCTTGGCTCACTGCAGACTCTACCTCCTCGGGCTCAAGAGATCCTTCCGCATCAGCCTTCCAAGTAGCGGGGACTACAGTCGCGCACCATCATGCCCAGCTAATTTTTCAATTTATTGTAGAGATAGGGTTTCACCGTGTTGGTGTTGAACTTTTAGGCTCAAACTATCTGCTCACCTTGGCTTCTTAAAGTGCTAGGATTACAGGTGTGAGCCCCGACACCTGGCCTGTAGATTGCATCTTTATTGCTAGTCTTCTACATCTGTCATCTTCTCAGTCATGATTTTCATCTCCTTAACCATTTTTCTCTAGTCAACTTTGTTATCCAGAAATGACGATTGATTTCTGCATTATCAGTTCTTACACTTGCTGTTTCCAATACCAATTCAAATTTTACTATTCAGTTTTTAATTTCAAGCTCACTTTTACTTCTTCAGCTCCTTTTCCAAGTCAGTCTGATTATTAGGCACCATTTTCTTCAATTCAATGTGTGGTTTTTTTTTCTCCTATTTTTTGTTTTAATTTTGTTTCAGAGTTAACATTTTCTTGTTCTTCTTTGAGAAAACAAAGGAAATATCTTTGAAGTATTTTTTATTTCTGGTACAAAATCTTTAAAGTTGTATAATATTTCTCCTGTAACAAGAGTATAGTACATTTTCTTTTTCTTATTCAACTTTATGGATCAAATGTTTTTGTCTTCCTGAAATTCATATGTCAAAGCCCTAATAATCCCCAATATGAGAGTATTTAGAGGTGATCTAGTAATTAGAGGTAATCTAATTACCTTTGGAAGGTAATTAGATTAAGTCATGAGAATGAGTCTGCCATGATGAGGTTAGTGCTCATATACAATGAGAAAAAGAGAGAAATCTCAGTGTTTTCTCACACAAACACATCCAGAAAAGGCCAAGTAAGGTCATATTGAAAAGGCAGTCATCTACAAGCCAGGAAGAGGGCCCTTAACAGAGGCCTAACCTGTTAACACGTTGATCTCAGACTTCCCAGCCTACTACTCTGTGAGAAATGTCTGTTGCTTAAGCCACCCAGTCTATGATATTTTGTTATGGCAACCAGAGCAGACTAAGGCATTCAATATGTGCTTTATCACCAAGGCTAGAAAATTTTAAAAGATTTACACACATTTTGATTAGAGTTACAACCAGAAACAGCATGTGCCAGTTACCAGATGGTCACGGCCTTTGCGATACTCAAAATAATGCCCTCTGTGTCACTGAGGCATTGTCTCAAGATTCAGCTTTTGCACCTGGGATAGTTCGTCTCCTAAAAGGCTACCTTCCCAGAAGGCTGCTCAGGGAAGCTCCACTGCCCACACCCCCAGCCTAGTCTATCTGAATTTGGAGCAGTCCTCCACTGGGGAATGAAGACTTAGCACTAGGACATCCTTTAGAACATTCAAAGATTTGAACTGCATCTTGGGAACAGCAGTGAGGGCTCATCTAACCATCGCTGACTTTGGTTTTTACCAAAAGGTGCAACTTTTCTGCTAGTTGTAGCTTGAATCTGTGTGTGAAATGAGAGGTGCCAAAAGAGGGTAGTATGCGAGATAAAATAATATTGTCTAAACACAGCCTCGAGAACACATAAATGTAAAATGATGGAAGTGGAGGAAGTTGCATCAAACACCATTGACCACTGGAAGACTCCAAATTCCTATATGTTAATATTAGAAATATTTGCACTTGTATGTTTAACACTTAGTTTGTTTTAATGTATCACTCTATACAACAGAGATGACAACTTCCAGAAAACAAATGAAGCACAAATAAGAAGAGTAGGAAGAACAGATGAGAGGGTAGTCCCTCAAGAGGTGATGACTATTATTTGTAGTGAGAAAATAACTAAGAGTAGTTCATACAAAATAATGAAGAAATGCATTTTAATTAATCAGAATGATAAGAACAATTGAATGGCTATAAATTTATGTAGTTAAATGTAAAGTATAGATTAAATAATATTGCAAAATTCCAAATAGAAACACTGTCCCAGAAAAGGATGCGTGAACGTAACACATTCCACCGTATGAAACACTAGAAGGAGGTTATACAAATTCAGCCATTGAGTGGACTTCTCTGTCTAGAGGCCCAAGGCAAGATATCAGGGCTGATATCAGGGTATTGGTTTCTGAGCTGGACCTGATCTCCTGATGGGGTCTCTACTCCAATGCCTGCTCCCAACATTATCCTCACACTGGTACTTAGAAAGGAGCATGGGTCTTAAATGACTCTCAAGATATTCAATGGTCTGTGGAATCTGTGCTTTTATCTCAGTAAAATTAAAGTTTATAAGATTGGGGATCCCTTATTACAAAAAAGATAGCTTTATAATTGTCGTGTCAGTAGCAGCCTTAGAACATTTACAGAGAAGGAAGGTGCATTCAGAATTGTGATCTGAAGGGAAGAACTTCCACATGACTTCCTCTGATCTCTTCAGGTGCCATGCTGTCTGAAATTCCATGATTGTGGCTTGGATCACGGACCTTCCGTTTATATCGCTCTTTCTTCAAAAGCAATCACAAGGGACGAAGGGATGAATTTCCTTTGTGTCTAGCACTTTGATGTGATTAATTTACCATATATTAGCTGAAGATAAGAACAATGTGGAAAAATGGAATCTCTGAAGGGTGAATACAGAGAATAAAGACAAAAAGAGGAGAGATGAAGACCTATGGGGAAAAGACTGAATTTATTTATGGTGCTGTACTGCTATCTGTGAAAAGCAGTATAGTGAAGTGGAAAAGATTCTAATGAAATATTGAGTTCTAGTCTTTTTTGTCTGTTTGTTTTTTAATTTTAACCAAGAAAGTATCTGTACAAGGTCACCTTTTGTTTTCTGATCTCTATTTTCATACATGAAACCAGACTAATAATAGCCACTCTACTTATCTCAGAAAACACTGCTTAAGATACTCCAAATGAAACATTTCACAGTGACCAAAGCAGCTTTGGTCAAGGTGCAGTTCTCATTTCCCTGAGATGTTTCCAGTCCAAAAATAGACATGAGAAGAAAGAACCAAAAAAGAAAAGACAGCATAAACTCTGAAATAGAAAAGCAGCTTTGATCAATAAGAATGTATTGAACAGATACCATGGTCCCGTCTACCTTGACTTGGAAATCAGAAATATAAGATGCAATTCCTGCCCAAGAAATGTGCAAAACACTTTTTTGTGTTACTAACATTTATCAAGAACTTACCCATGGCAGAAACTATGCCAAATACTTTATTTCTTGCAATCCTCACAATTGCCTTATAATGTTGATAATACTTCCAAACATTATAAACTATATAAATAAATTCTATTAGTGGTTCCCAAATTTTGGTGTAGATAAATTCACTTTAAGAACCTTTTATAAAAGCACAAGAGTTATGTTCCCAAGGATTCTGATTCAGCATGTCTTCAAGATAGCTTGGGAATTTGCATCTTTGGCAAACCCTACAAGTAACCTGAAACGGGTGGAATACAGACCACTTATGCAGTAGCTCTTCCATATATTGTTAAGTGTGAGATGCTGCGGGACACAGAGATCCTGGAGCCAACATTTTGCAAATATATCTGATTGCAAGCATCACCTGAATCACCTGTTAAACATACAGGGTCCTAGGCTTATCCCTTGGAGATTCTAATTTAATAATCTGAAGATAAGCCAAAGAATCTGTATTACTTTTTAAAAGCAATCATCGTCCCAAATGAATCTTATGGCCACTCACATTTGTAGTTTAAGTGAATTGTCCCTGGTTACCTGGTAATATCCTATGAGAAGAACTAAAACCCAGTTCTGCAGGTTCCCAGGCCAGAGTTCTTTAAGTACATTGCATCCTTTAAAGAAATACGCATGACTACTCAGCCATAAAAAGGAAAGAAATAACGGCATTTGCAGCAACCTGGGTGGAACTGGAGACCGTTATTGTAAGTGAAGTAACTCAGGAATGAAAAACCAAACATCGTTTGTTCTCCCTCATAAGAGGGAGCTAAGCTATGAGGATGCAAAGGCATAGGAGTGATACAATGGACTTTGGAGACTTGGGGGAAAGCATGAGAGGGGGATGAGGGATAAAAGACTACACATTGGGGACAGCTTGGGTGATGGGTGCACAAAAATCTCAGAAATCACCACTAAAGAAGTTATTCATGTAACCAAACACTACCGATTCCCCCAAAACCTGTTGAAATAAAAAAGAATATAAAAAGAAAAAAAGAAATATTTATGGAGTCTGCACAGGTTATGACACAGCCCCAATTCAGAAAAGTGTGAAGGGTGTGTTGAGTCCCCTTTTTTCATGCAGGAGTTTCAGGTGTCCTGTGCTTAGTCTCAGAGCTGTGGTCCAGGCGCACTGTTTAAACCTCATCACAAAGCACTTCCAGCATGGACATTGTAGAATTGAATGGCTGCATGAAAAATCTGATGAGGGGTAAAAACAAATCCGTGAAAAGTGTCGTCACAGTTACCAAAACTGCTTAGCCAGCTGCAGGAAGCAAACAAATCCACTGAAACATTAACTCAGCCAGAAGGTTCCAGCTCATTGAAAGCAGGCTCATTTGTTTTCCTATTACGGCTGAACAGCATCTACCTGGGCTGTGTTCGCAGGGTTCCCGCAGCATCATGACAGACGTGGAGAAGGCTGACGGATTTATGACACACTGCCTCGATGACATATTTACCAAGTCTTGCTTGCAGAATTCCAGGAGCGGGAGGGCCAGAAGCTCAAAAAAGAAGAGGCCTGCTGGAACTTGAGCTCTCTGGGAAACTAATAGGGAGAAGGCTTCTGATGAGAGAAGTCTCTACTGAAATGCATGTTTAGGCAGCAGCACTTCTTATGGACAGAGGTTTCAGACTGGAAAGAGTTCTGCTGGGTATCAGGAGGAGGAGGTATGCCTTCTGGCGTTGAGGCTTCCTGCCTACATCACCATGAGGAAGTCACCTGACTTCTCTGAGCCTCAGTTTCCACATTGTGAAAAATAATATTAAGCCCCTTTCTACTCACAAGATTGAGAATGGTATGCCACAGAAATGTAAGGGCACTGTATATCATTACATATTCTAGTATTAAACATAATCATTATATATTCCTCATATATACTCTGTATATCATTACATATTCTAGTATTAGAAATAGTCATTTTATATTTCTTACATATACTCTTTATATCATTACATATTCTAGTATTAGAAATAATCCTTTATATTCCTTATGTATACTCTATATCATTACATATTCTAGTATTAGAAATAATCATTGTATATTCCTTACATATACTCTGTATATCATTATATATTCTAGTATTAGAAATAATCCTTTATATTCCTTATATATACTCTGCATATCATTACATATTCTAGAATTAGACATAATCATTATATATTCCTTACTTATACTCTGTATATCATTACATATTCTAGTATTAGAAATAATCATTATATATTTCTTACATATACTCTTTATATCATTACATATTCTAGTATTAGAAATAATCCTTTATATTCCTTATATATACTCTGTATATTGTTACATATTCTAGTATTAGAAATAATCCTTTGTATTCCTTATAGAAACCCTATATATCATTACAGATTCTAGTACTAGAAATAATTGTGATATATTCCTTAAACCTACCCTGTATATCATTACATATTCAGTATTACAAATCATCCTTTATATTCCTTATATAAACCCTTTATATCATTACAGATTCTAGTATTAGAAATAATCATGATGTATTTCTTATACCTACCCTGCATATCATTACATATTCTAGTATTAGAAATAATCCTTATATGTCCTAGAAGACAAGATGAGGCTAGAGACTATTTTTGAGAACTAATTTTCTTATTCTGTTTTTTTTTTATTTGAAAACAAAATGTCAAATAGAAGAGCAAGGAAGAAGGAATATGCCAAACTTTCAGCAAATATTGTACTGAGGGAGCTTTATGTAATTTTTCTCACTGAGTACTAATGAAACCCTTGTGACTTAGAGACTACAATCTCCACTTTGTGAATGAGGATACTGACACTCAGAGAAGTTAAGCAATTTGTCCAAAACTGCACAGCTTATTAGAAAATCCAGGATTTGAGCTGTGCTTGAGATGAAGTAGATGTTCAACAAATTATTTTTAAATTAAAAAAGGAACGACTGTCCCTAAAGCCAGAAATTTTTTCCTACTGTAATGCACATTTACACGATAGCCTTTATTTGTCTGAGTATCCGTTCATGCTCATCTATTCATTCAACATGCTCTCCTTTACTAACTGTGATGTGTAGGTCTCTATTGGAAATATAAAGGTAAATGAGACAAAATTTATTTCCTTGAGAGTTCGATAGTGCATAAGAAAGAAGTTGTACAGGAATTACTATAACATAAGCCCAAATATGTTGAGCAAATGAAAATTCCCAGAGATGCATTGCAGCAGAATCTGGAGGGATATTTAGGGCATGGCTGTACAGAGATGGGAGGAAGACAACACAGGCACCAGGAACAATCTGAACATGGGCTCTGGGGCAGCATTTAATACACGTCCAAGAGACAGGCATAGTTTAAAGGAAAAGTGGGTGGTAAGTTTGGTGATTTGGGTAGGATGCGCCTGCCAGCTTCTGTATCTATTTGGTAGCTGGAGCATCTGTCCAGCACCCCTAGATGCTCTCATCCTCAGTACGCTTTCTTCAGTTTCTTTGCTGCTAACTGGTAAAGGGAAGAGCAAATTGAGGCTTCAAAGTCTTCATTTTTTGAAAACATCTATAGATGACCAGAATGTCATTTTATGACCTCAGGACATACCAGTTTCCTCTACCAGTTGGAGTTTAGAAGAAATCTGTATGGCATTCTTACGTGGCAGTAATCAGCTAGAGCTGAAACATTAAGACAGCTCCGATAGAAAGATGAAAGGATAAAAGTTAAGTGTGCTGCCGTATATTTTATTTGGCCTGTCACCTCCATTTTATTCCAGGAGGTGTGTAGGAAAAGTGAAAACGCAATACTGGCAGTGATACATTTGGAGAAGCCAAAATTAAAATTCAACTCTGGGAAAATATTCATTTTCTGCCTCAGATTCTTGCAAACATTAATGACAAGACTATCATATTACAAATGAATTTGATTAGCATAACTCTGCCTAATGAATTAATTCCTTCTGTGGAACCAAGGTAAAAGTGTTTTTCTTCCCTCTTAATTATCTGTAATAGAGGCAGATTTGCTAATAGAAGTTATTTTTTTCACATTATGATGTATTTATTCAGTGGATTCTTACCTTGTGCGTAGATGAGTGAATAGAGAACATACTTAATCTCAGTATATGAAAATGTGGCCCTTCCATCTTCAGAACCAGAGGAAGCAAAAATTATTTTTTTCAGTTTGTTCTTAAGAAATTTATGGTCACATTAAGACGATATGTTACTCAGAGATATTTGATTTAAAAAAATCATTTTTTCTATGCCTTCATGAGTCTAAGAAAATGAATAAATTTTTACTTTGCTTTTAAAAATGAAAAATAGCACTGACATTTGCAAAGCAATCTGTCAATATGCATCAAGAAATTTAAAAATGCTTAATCTTTTAGAGCCAAAAGTTTCATCTCTGGTATGTGTCTTAAGGAAATAATCCTAAATATAGAAATTACAATGTGTATTTCAAGTACCATGTCATTTATGATGAAGGAAATAATTAGATAAGACTGAGATGTTCAAAAATAAGAGGGGAGTTATCTTTTAATGAAATAGCAGATATTTTAAAATGATATTCGTAAAGACTATACAAATTTGTTATAATATGGAAATGCTCATGGCATAGTAATAATGACCATGAGAACAGGTAGTAGTTATTGATCATTAATTTGTCCAGTGTTTTACATGCAATATTGCAGCATCACATAATCTCAGTAAGGTGGTATTATCCTTATTATCAGCACATATCTGATGACAACGCTAAAGCCTATAAAATATGAGAGATCTGTCCACGGTCAAATTAGTTTTGAAACCAGATTCTGCATTGTGCTGAGTCCCCAAGACCACCCTGAAGTCACCTACTGACTATAAGGAGTCACAGAACTCAAAATGGCTATTATACTCACAGTTACAGCTTATTACAGCAAAACTATAGTGATAAAAATCAGCAATGGCAAATGTGATAAAGTTCAAGAGAGACCAGGCACAATCTTCCAACTGTCCTCTCTCCCTGGGGTAGTACAGACAGGGCCTAATTCTTCCAGCCGAACTGTCTCCCAACATGTGAGTATTGCCAACCAGGGGAGCTCACCTATGCCTTGGTATTCAGGGTTTCCATTAGAAACCAGTCATATAGGCATGGATACCCATTTGGCTGACCTTAGTCACTCAGTCTCCTGCCCCTCCAGATGTCAAAGTGATGCAGCATAGCTCAAGGTCCCCACCCAAAATAGCATTGTTAGTATAAACTAGAGTGGCCAAAGTCCCCAGGTATACAAAGACCTTTTTATCAGGCAGGGTTTTCCAAGGGTTTAGAAGTTATCTCCCAGGAACTGGTCATGAGCCAGTCTTTTCTTTGGAATGTGCAGAATTTGAACACCCCTGACATGCTGGGCCAATCCTTTGCTGTACAAAAACCAACCAGACAAAAACCAGAGCCTGAATGTTTAGTCATTATGGATTCTGCCAAGCAGGAATCCACAGCCCTTTGCTGAGTACCTTCTGTGGGCCAAGAGGGTGTCTTATATTAAGGGTTATGAGGTTGAAAAAGAAATATTCCCTGCTATGGTAAGATGGACTGACTAGCAAGTCACTGTTGACTAGCATGTCATTGTTGAACAGCAAACCAATATTGCAAGTGGTACATGAAGGTAAAGAGACATGCACAGTGAGGAAGTAGGGCAAAGGCAGCATCCGGCAACACTGAAGGGAGAGAGGAGAAGGCTTCCCATTGAAGGTAATAGTTGAAATAATCATTAAATTGCAAGTAATAGTCAGGTAGAAAGATGTCTCTGGAGGGCTGTGGGGGAGGCAGAGGCACAGTAAATCTCATGAGTTAAAAGTAGTTAAGGTATTATTGCTTGTAACTGTATGTGAATCTATAATATCTCAAAAATTTAAAACAAAGTTCAATTAAAAATAGTGGTTAGCATCAGCTGGAATGAGGAGTAGAGAGAGGAGAGAGGCAAAAGTTAACCCTAGATGGGCAAATACAAGCAGATCATTAAGGGGCTTTGTGTTTCTCAGAAATGATGTATCTATTACAGGGAGTGATAGGCAGAAAGGTTTTAAGCCCAAGAGTAAGATGGTACTATTTTCACTTCATTAAAATAAGTCTAGCAGCAGAGTGTACCTTAGACTGGCAAAGTCTTGATGGAAGGTAGGCAGACTAGGTAGGTGGTGACTGCAAAAGTTTCCACTGAGTGAAAATGAGTTTCTAAACTAAGACAGTAGTTGTCACAGTAGAATACAAAGACATCATGGAAAAAGGTATCAAGAGGATTAGGATTTCATGAATGATTGGATATGGAAGTCTAATTATTTTATTTTTTTTTGAGACAGAGTCTCTCACTCTGTCACCCAGGCTGGAGTGTGGTGGCATGATCTCAGCTCGCTGCAAACCCCGCCTCCCAGGTTCAACTGATTTTCTTGCCTCAGCCTCCCGAGTAGCTGGGATTACAGGTGTGTGCCACCACCCCTGGCTAATTTTCATATTTTCAGTAGAGATGCATTTTCACCACGTTGGCCAGGCTGGTCTTGAACTCCTGACCTCAGGTGATCCACTCGCCTCGGCCTCCCAAAGTGCTGGGATTACAGGCGTGAGCCACCGAGCCCAACCAGAAATCTTATTTTTTTACCTTTGTGTCCAAGGCCAAGTAAATAATAATATTCAATTACATATGAACTGTAAAAAGGGAGCAGTTTTGGAACTGTAATTGAGACAATGCTGTATAGTCACCAAACTTGTTTACTTTCCCTCTGAGGCTCCCAGGAAGACTGAATTGCAGATCTGTGTGCCCAAGTTCCAGCTAATGAAATGTGGGCATACACGGGGAGTGCCACGTCCAGGACCAGCCTATAAGATCTCTCACAGGCACTTCCATGCTTTTTTTCCCCTGGCTTCCAAGTAGGAGAACTCCAGGGTGACATTGGAGCCGCAAAATGGAAGAAGCTTGGGATTCTGAATCACTACTGAAAAGGGAATCACCCAGCATGCACTAGATCATAAGGTGAGTGAGGAAAAATTCTCTGCTGTATTAAGCCTGTAAGGTGTAAGGTGTGATAATGTTTTCAATAGAAGTTAGCCTGCCCCAACTAAATTAGAAATAGGGGGTTATTGTGAAAACAAAACAAAACAAAACAAAACAATCAACAGTAGAAACTCATCATAATAAAATCAATATAATTAATGTCCTTTCCTTTGCAGCTGATCACAGGTGACAAGAAAGATATGGCTGGCTGAATGTCTAGAGAGCCATGCTTTACAGTAGCAAATAATCTGGCAAAATTTCATGATATTTAGAGGGCATGATATTCCATGAGTTTAAAAAGTGGTTATAAACAGATTTTACTACTGTGTACAAATTGTTATTGGTTGTATTTGGCAAGGATTAAATATAAGAAAAAAAAGTCAAAAGAATTAGCTGGTTAGTAAGCAGAAAAGAAAGAAAATGCAACAGTCCAAACATTCAGAATAGTACGGCGTTGAAAAAGCCAATTATTAACAGGCCCCAAGTGTAAAAGATGAAATTTTTAAAGGGTTTATGTGAAAGATCTGAAATAACTTCTTAATTTAACAAAAATACTCATTCCGGTGGCAAAGATCAGAATAAGGATGCGGCCTTCTTATGTATTGTCTCAGAATGCATCAAGATATTAGCTATTCTTTTCTAGAGAAAGAAAGAGACGTCACAGCAAAGAAGCAAAGGCATAAATCAGACTAGAGAATCATGACTTTGGAGAGAACTTTGGGTATGGTAACTGCCACACTACACTGACTGAAAAAATAATCAGACATCTGCAAAATTGTGAGGAAATTGTTTTGCCAAAAGTAAAATGAAGTTAGCATAAAAATAATAATAAAAGGAAAAAAGTATCTCCAACACTCAAAATAATTCTGCAACCACCTATCTTTCATGAGCAGAATCAGGCTAAAAAAGCTGCGAAGTTCTCAGGAAGAAAATATTCCTAATTCCTCTTCAGATGTAGTCAAGGGAGATTATAGTACAAAGGAACCCTCTAGAAGGTGGAACTGGTGTCCTCAGACTTCAATGAGCAGAAGACTTTCTATATGAGACCAGAGTAAAAACACAAAGGGGAACTTCTCATTCCTCTTAAGGTAGAAAACTTTCATAGTTTTAATTCAGTAAGAACTAGAATTACTATGGCCCAGGAGCTGATGTATGTTCCTTCCATCTCCTTTGACCAAATGCAAGTTTTATTGCAGTTCCCTGCATCATTCTATAACGGCTGGCAGTGGGGACTTGTAGAGAAAAATAACTCACATTTTCATTCAGGAGTCACTGAACTGCAAGGAACAGTATCTACTCTGATGGAAAAGACCATGTATTCTCATAGACCTGGGCTTTGGAATGGATGCTTTGTTTAAGTGGGACTTTCAGTCACTGCCCCTGGGGAGAAGGTAAAGTTGGCTATACATGTGGGGTTAAAGGGCCTTGTCTCTAAAAAAATCCCAAGTGGTGCCCCTGCCCCTTTTCTTCTTTCTGCCATCCCACAAAAAGGAACTTGAAGCTTAAAGCCTCCTGTGAAATATAGAAGAGGTATAGCACTGAAATAGCCTGGGTCCCTGAATGCCTCCATGGAGGCTGGCCTTCCCATGATAACCTTGAACTAAGACAGCACGAGTACTTAACTTTTCAGGGTTTGCATGTTACAGAAACTAACAGGAATTATTCTAATACGGGATGAAAGACTATGAGTTAAGTTTTGAACATGATGAATTAGAGATGCCCGTGAAACACTGAGGCTGAGATATAGATAAAGCAATTGTATTCTCTGTGTGTGTGTGTGTGTGTGTGTGTGTGTGTGTATAAAAGACGTAAGATAGTCACTAATTCTTTACTACTCCCTCCATTGAAAAACAGAGTCTAATTCCTTTGAATCTAGACTGTGTACAGGGACTTGCTTGACAAGTTCATGTACCCAGTGAAGCTAAGTCATAAAAAGCCTTGTAGCTTCTGTCTGGGTTCTTGTATCACTTGCTCCAAAAGCTTTGAGTGACCATATAAAAAGTCTGACAACCAGGCACAGTGGCTCATGCCTGTAATCCCAGCACTTTGGGAGGCCGAGGTGGGTGGATCACCTGAGGTCAGGAGTTCGAGACCAGCCTGGCCAACATGGTGAAACCCCATCTCTACTAAAGATACGAAGTTAGCTGGAGGTGGTGGCACATGCCTGTAATTCCAGCTACTGAGGAGTCTGAGGCAGAAGAATTGCTTGAACCCAGGAGGCGGAGGGTGCAGTGAGCCAACATTGTGCCATGGCACTCCAGCCTGGGCAAAAAGGAACAAAGCTCTGCCTCAAAAAAAAAAAAAAAAAAGTTTGACTACCCTGAAACCACCATGCTGGAGAGGCCATGTGTAGGTGTTCTGATAGACAGTCCGAGCTGAGTTTTCTAGCTGTTGCCTCCAAGGTGCCAGGCATGCCAGACATGTGAGCGAAGCCTTTCTGGAACCTCCAGACCTGTCCTCCTGCCAGCTGAATATTCCTGAGTTGCTACTGTCAATAAATGTTGAACAAAAGAAGTGGTATGCTGGTAAACATGCCCTTGGAGGAAAAAAAAATGAGTTTAGTGTTTTCTGACTTCTGTGATATAAATACCCCCACCATGGCTGGCTTTATGCTATTGAAGGTTTAGCTATAAAGCTCACAAATTTCTTGAATATTTAACAATTGGCTCTTCTGAGCTGATGCAAGCCAACTCCAGCATGTCTTGCTCAAATTTCTGAATCACAAAATCATAAGGTATAATAAAATGTCTCTTGCTCCAAGACACTAAGTTTTGGTAATTTTTTCTACAGCAATAGACAATCAGAAGAAAAGATAAAAGCATATATTTAGTAAGATTGTTCTATTGACTCCAAATCAGGGATTAGAAACCAAATCTGAGGACAAAGATATATACAGGACTTACACATTCTAAGAATAGCTGCAAACATTTGCAGTAAGAACCTCTTCAAGGCAACAAAAATCCAGCATCTCAATTATCATCCCCAAATTTCTATCAATATATGAAGATGGCCAAGGCAAGGAAAGGGGTTAGTGGTGGTTTTGGTAGTGTGATGCCGCCTGCTATCCTTCGCAACCATAGGTCCAACCCTACCGTAATCCAAATGGTCCCTAGACTAAAGAAAGCCTACTATCCATGTCCTTTCTTGGGCATCTGCTTCTAGGCAGCAGATAGGTTGATCTGCTCTGCTCTTATCTGTGCAGGTGGACAGAGAATTGGAATGAGACAAAAACATAACTTCATCCATTTACTTTGTGTATGGAGATTACATGTAACTTTAGACAGAACCTTCATGGGAGAGCAGAATAGGCAGAAAACGTGGTGTAGCATGTCAGAAAGAGAGTGGCGGTTTTGGTATGGAGAGACTAATCAATTCCCTTTTGAGGAAAGGGATCTAAGCTGAGATCTGAGCTTGCTGATTTGGGGACACTAGGGGTTGAAGAAGAAAGGGATAGCACTGAAGGTGATAACTAAAGAAAGCCCAATGAAGAGACTATCAGCCAGGTGGAGTGGCTCATGCCTGTAATCCCAGCACTTTGGAAGGCTGGGCACATGAAGGCCAAGGCAGGCAGATCACTTGAGGACAGGAGTTCTAGACCGTCCCGGCCAACATGGTGAAACCCCATCTCTACTAACAATACAAAGATTTATCGGGTGTGGTGGCACAAGCCTGTAGTCTCAGCTAGTTGGGAGGCTGAGGCAGGAGAATCTCTTGAACCCAGGAGGCAGAGGTTGCAATGAGTGGAGATCACGCCACTGCACTCCAGCCTGGGTGACAGAGCAAGACTCTGTCTCAAAAAACAAAAACAAAAAAACAAAAGACAAAAACAACAAACAAACAAACAAAACAATCTACAAGGTGGCTGGCATGGTTAGGGAAACCAGCTCCAGATGAGAAAGCAGCCAAGGACTGGCGCAGCAGGAAGGGGAGGAGCCTTTACCAGGACCTGGCAGAAAGCATGATCCTACGAGCTATGGCCTCAAGTGGAGGCACGTAGTCACTGGTGAGGATGAGGAGGAGGGCGCTCTGAGTCTGTTCTGGGTAAGTCACTGTGAAGGTCCTCAAGGATATTCAGCGAACATTTCTGGCTTTTCATCTTCCAGGCAAATAGTGGAGTCCTTCCTGGCCCCTTCATTGTTACGTGGGGCCATGCCATTATTTCCAGCTAGGGTGTGAGTGGACATGATGTGTGCGACTTAAAGTCACAGAACTGAATGATGGGATTGGAGACCTTCAGTACTCTTCTTCCCTCTGCATAGGGACAAGGCACCTTCTGGATCACAGGTATTTTATAAACCTAGGCATTGGAGCAAGGGCACTCAGAACAGAGCCCTGAGATGCCCTCCAATGGGGACAGACTAGAAGCAAAAAGTAAGCCTTTGCTTCTTTAAGCCACTTAAATTCTTTTTAACTATAGTGCAATAGCTGTCGTGACTGATAAGACATTTAAACTGAGACTTGTAGAACAAAAATGAGCTGTGGGATAGATTTTACTAAGTTAGAAAATGGTAAATGAGAAACCATCTTGACTGAGAGTTGCACTGAAAATGTGTTTGATAAATGGCTGAAATCCAAACAATGAAAACAATAGAACCATACACTCAAAACACATATGTTCTGGTCACTGATTTGCTTAGAATGATTAGGATATATATATAAAATATATTTATACAATATATAAAAAATATTTATTATATATTATATATTTATATAATAAAAATGTATTATATATTATAAATATTTATTATATATTACATATAATATATATCATATATATTTATATAATAAATTATTTATATCATAAATATATATATGATATATACATTTACATAAATATATATATGATATGATATATATTTACATAAATATATATGATATATATATTTACATAAATATATATAAAATATATATGATATATATATTTACATAAATATATATAAAATATATATGATATATATATTTACATCAATATATATGATATATATATTTACATCATAAATATATATGATATATATATTTACATCATAAATATATATGATATATATATTTACATCATAAATATATATGATATATATATTTACATCATAAATATATATGATATATATATTTACATCATAAATATATATGATATATATATTTACATCATAAATATATATGATATATATATTTACATAATATATATGATATCATATATTTACATAATATATATGATATTATATATATTATATAATATATATGATATATATATTATATAATATATATGATATATATATTATATAATATATATGATATATATATTATATAATATATATGATATATAATAAATATATTCATATTATATATAATATAATAAATATATATCATATATATTTATAGAAATTATATATTATATTATATATATTTATATAAATTTATATTATATCATATATTTATATAAATTATATATTATATCATATATTTATATAAATTATACATTATATCATATATTTATATAAATTATATATTATATCATATATTTGTATAAATTATATATTATATCATATATTGATATAAATTATATATATTATATCATATATTGACATAAGAAATTATATATATTATATCATATATTGATATAAATTATATATATATCATATATTGATATAAGAAATTATATACATCATATATTGATATAAGAAATTATATATATTATATCATATATAGATATAATAAATTATATATATTATATCATGTATATTGATATAATAAATTATATATATTATATCATGTATATAGATATAATAAATTATATATATTATATCATATATAGATATAATAAATTATATATATTATATCATATATATAGATATAATAAATTATATATATTATATCATATAGATATAATAAATTATATATATTATATCATGTATATTGATATAATAAATTATATATATTATATCATGTATATTGATATAATAAATTATGTATATTATATCATATATAGATATAATAAATTATGTATATTATATCATATATAGATATAATAAATTATATATATTATATCATATATATTGATATAATAAATTATATATATATTATATCATATATATGATATAATAAATTATATATATATTATATCATATATATGATATAATAAATTATATATATTATATCATATATATTGATATAATAAATTATATATATTATATCATATATATTGATATAATAAATTATATATATTATATCATATATATTGATATAATAAATTATATATATTATATCATATATATTGATATAATAAATTATATATATTATATCATATATATTGATATAATAAATTATATATATTATATCATATATATTGATATAATAAATTATATATATTATATCAATATATATTGATATAATACATTATATATATTATATCATATATATTGATATAATACATTATATATATTATATCATATATAATACATTATATATATTATATCATATATAATAAATTATATATGATATCATATAATAAATTATATATGATATCATATATAATAAATTATATATGATATCATATATTTATATAATAAATTATATATGATATCATATATATTTATATAATAAATTATATGTTATATTATATATTTACATAATAAATTATATACTATATATTTACATAATAAATTATATATATTATATTATATATATTTATATGATATTATATATTTACATGATAAATTACATATATTATATTATATATATATGTATATATCTCCCATTAGTTCTGTCCCTCTAGAGAACCCTCACTAATACAAAGACTAATGAAATGTAAAAGTTCATCTTTTTTTACATTGGCTGGTTAGAATTCTGCCACTTATGCCTATTCAACTTATGGAAGTTCATAAGTCTAATATCTTATAGCACACTTGACATTTGCCAACAACACTTCACCAACATTTGGCTTTAGCCAACTCCTATATAAAGGCCATTTTTTAGTAGTAGCCATTCTGACTGGTGTGATATGGTATCTCATTGTGGTTTTGATTTGCCTCTCTCTAATGATCAGTGATGTTGAGCTTTTTATTCATATAACTGTTGGCTGTATGTATGTCTGCTTTTGAAAAGTGTGTGTTTATGTCCTTTACCCACTCAAAAAGTAACAGATGCTTGCAAGGTTATGGAGAAAAAGGAACCCTTATACGCTGTTGGTGGAAGTGTAAATTAGTTCAACCATTGTGGAAGACAGTGTGGCAATTCCTCAAAGACCTAAAGACAGAAATAACATTCAACCCAGCAATCCCATTACTAGGATTGTCATGGGATTACTTGCTAAATATCCCTATCCAAACTGGTAATCCATTACTGGGTATACAAATACAAAGGAATAAAAATAATTCTATTATAAAGACGCATGCATATGTTCATTACAGCACTTATTTACAATAGCAAAGACATGGAATCAACCTAAATGTCCATTAATGATAGACTGGACAAAGAAAATGTGGCACATACACACCATGGAATACTATTGCAGCCATAAAAAAGAACAAGATCATATACTTTGCAGGAACATGGATGGAGCTGGAGGCCATTATCTTTAGCAAACTAATGCAGGATCAGAAAAGCAAATACCACATGTTCTTATAAGTGGGAGCTAAATGATGAGAACACATGGACACACAGAGGGGAACAACACACACTGGGACCTTTCAGAGAGTGGAGGATGGGAGGAGGGAGAGAATCAGGACAACCAACTAATGGGTACTAGGCTTAATACCTGAGTGATGAAATAATCTGTACAACCCTCATGACACAAGTTTACATATGTAACAAACCTGCACTTAAACCCCTGAACTTAAAATAAAAGTTAAAACAAGAAATAAAGAAAAGTCAATTTTTAAAATTTATAAGCTAAGAGCTTTCTTTCTAAGACTTTAAACGTTAAGCTTCCTATAACCTAACATATTTTACTTAACATATTTTAAATAGAGGTAAACTTGTAATTTTGAGTATTTGAGTTTCATTTGACTCATCCACCTAACTCACGGCTATGGAATAAAACTCAAAATAAGATAGTCTAATACCACACAAAAGGAATATTGTTTCAATTCAGTTCTACACTCATGTATTTATTGATTTGTGGGAATGGGAAGAAACTTTGATCCCACACTTGGAAGTGCCCCCACTTTGAGATCCTGCTGCATTATATATTTCATAATAGCTCTTTTGATATGACTTACTGTTCCTACTGGATTGTAACTACTTAAGGGCAAGGGCGAGGTCTAATCCTTAAGTGCCTTGTAAAGTACTTGGCCTGTGGTAGGTGTCTTTGAGCCACTAGTGTTTCTGAATGAACAAATTGATTTGGCAACCTGAGACACAGAATGACATTTCTGAATCATAAGTCTAACATTTATTAGCCAGGTAACCTTGATCAATGTATATATGTGATCTTTTTATTTGTGTGTGTATGTGTATGTGTCATATACAACACGTATGAGTTTTTAAAATGTCCATTTTTTCAAGAACAATAATTAAGAGTCAGACATTGTGAAGCATTCTTGCACTGAAACACAACTTGTTATTCACTTTCTCATGCAAACGCCATTTATCAGTAGTGGCCATCTCTCCCAAGGAATTACTTGCCCAATATCCCTACCCAAAACATATGGCTTTGGATATATTTAAGAAGCTTCATTTTCCTTGCTATCTTTGTCTGCACGTTTTTTATTGTCATCTGAGTGTTAACAGGTTTCTGGGAATCAATAGACGCTTTGCAAAGGCATTTTCTAGACCTCAAGGACTGGTACATCTTATAATTTGCTTCTTTGCTTATGCTATTCCTTTTCTTCCCAGTTGCACCTCTTCAGAGAGCTAGTGGCATTTCAACGAATGCTTGTCATTGGGAATAACTTCCCACTTTCAAAGGATATAATAATGCTGCAAAACATTACATATTTCTTTCTTGCTTATTTATACAACAAATATATCTTCAGTGTCTATTGCCAGTAAAGCCCCAAGAGTCAGGAAAACTAGGAAGCCTCAGTTAAAACCATCACCTTCACAGAGCCCATAATTATTTAGGAGAGCAACAGAGATCAATAAAGAGAGAATTGCAACATGGTGTGATAAAGAAATATCTTTATCTGTCTGTGAAGACATTATGGGATTACAAAAGAGTGGGACCATATCCAAGAGGTACGGAAACGATCTTGGAAGCCTTCCACAAGAAACTGTATTAGAACTAAACCGCAGAGATAAATCTGGGTTTGGGAGCAGATGGGAGGATAGATCCCTTAATGTACCCTCATTCATTTAATCAATATTGGCTTGGAACCTAGTCTGTGTCATATGCTATACAAAGTATCAAAAACATGACTTTGAATAAGAGAATCTACCTTCTTCTCAGCCGTCAAAGATCCTATTGCCTAGTAGTCAAGTGTTAGGGTATGAGTAACACAAGTCATGTTCAGAACACATAGCAGAGTTGGATGTGGGCAGGGTGGGCTTGGGGATGCAGCTCTGTGTGGGCTCCAAGTGGCTCAGATGCCAGACAAGGAGTGAGAAGAGAGGAAGACAGCAGCACTCACGGCAGATCCCAGAAGCTCTCCTTTGTCAGGCCAGGAAAACCGGGAGACAAAGAAACCAACCACTTCGTTTTCATTCATCGCAACAAATACTTAAATAGCACCTTGATGTGGTTTGGATGTGTGTCCCCACCAAAATCTCATGTTCAATTGCAATCCCTAATTTTGGAAGTGGGGCCTGGTGGGAGGTTATTGAATCATGGGGGCAGGTTTCTCAAGAATGGTTTAGCACCATCCTCTTGGTACTGTTCTCACAATAGTAAGTGAGTTCTCATAAGATCTGGTGGTATAAAAGCGTGTGGCACCTCCCCCGTCTCTCTCTCTCTCTCTTGCTCCTGCTCTGGCTATGTGAAGTGCCTGCCCCTTCTTCACCTTCCAGCATGATTTTAAGTTTCCTGAAGCCTCCCCAGAAGCTGAGCGGAACCCAGCAGCACGCTTCTACAGCCTGTGGAAT
This sequence comes from Homo sapiens, assembly GCF_000001405.40. Lineage (NCBI taxonomy): Eukaryota > Metazoa > Chordata > Mammalia > Primates > Hominidae > Homo > Homo sapiens. Next base: position 12,718,853 of record NC_000004.12, read on the forward strand.
CATGAGCCAGTTAAACCTCTTTTCTTTATAAATCACCCAGTCTAAGGTGTTTCTTGGTAGCAATGCAATAATGGATGAATAAATACCCAGGCACTGACAAGACAATTATGAGACAACCATACTCTGTGTCCTTAAGTATCTTGCTTCCCAGCAGAGGAGGAATTCATATACCAAGCTCAGTTCCAGGAAGTTTTCATAGAAATAGAAATAAAGTGAGGCCTTCATTCCCCCATTCGGAAGAAAATGGTTCCAACCAAGGTAGAGTGAATGGGATAAGAGAAGACCAGAGAAGAACGGATATTTGCTAAATCTTCAGGTCTGGTAAAGTTTCATCCAGTAGATAAAAAGCAAATCCACTGAAAGGAAGGGAGGAAATTAAATGATGATCAAAACGATTATAAAAATACCCTAATTCAAAATCGACTATGATGTAGAAATATGTCACTTGCATAGGCTTCTAATGAACTGTATTCACCATGCAGAGATCTGCAAAGATGGTTCAGCACACATGTTTAGATAAAAAGCACCCTCTGAAATATGTTACTACTTTTATCTGACTCAGCAGTGGAAATCTAGGATTATCTCTCAGAGAAAAGAGATTGTCCTTGTCTCCCTACAGCAAAATGGTATTTTTGGAGTGAAGGAAAACTATCAAGGGGCTAATTAAAAAGAGTTACTGAAGACAGGGTGCAAATCCAAGAGCTGAACAGTCAGAATTTGGGAAGGTGCTTTGCCTCCGCAATGTCTTCATCAACAGAAACAGGCAGTGTGCCTCTCGGAAAGCTGAAGAGTTAAATTCTTTAAGGAACAAATAGAAGAGGCCTACAGAATTCCACTTTCTACATAAAAAGGCACCTAAATATAAAAAATAAAGTGATTTAATATCGCCCTTGGAACCCAACTAGATTCCTTTGAAAAAATAATCTAGTTTTAAGTTAGGTCAGAATAGCAAGACAATGTTCCAAATACAGAAAATTTTTAAATAGTTTATTTCAATACATACTTACGTCTCTTGCGGGAAACTAATACAAAGATGGTGATGAGTTCCTATTCTCACAAAGTTGCTCATTAAATAGAATCAGTTCATGTATTTAATGATGATTCTTTGAACCTGGTGCTCACTAGGTTTGCTAGATACAGAGACAAGGGACACACAGGTCTTCTCTGCAAAAGATATCACCTTATAAGAAGGAGACGGGAGCACAGCAGTTGTAATATGATGTGAGGTCTGCAATAGAAATACACACACGATGTTAGGATTGCAGAGGAGAATCAAGCAAGCCACTCTGCAGATGGGGGATAGGAGATATCAAGAAGGGCCTTGAAAGTAGGGGAGGTTGCAAACAATTGTAAAGTAGGAGAAGATGTAAGACAAATAGGACAAGGTAGAGCAGCAGAGGGAGAAGCCTTTCGACCTTAGGAGATAGCATCAGCAGACACTGAGAAGCCAGAGGAATGTACTCCAGCCAACTGGTCAGAGATCGTGGAGCACAGAGCACTAGTCAGTGTGTGCTGAAAGACAAGATGGAATAGGTAGAAAGGCACCACTCCAGTGGGGTCTGATGTACCCTGCTAAGATGTGTGGGCTTTTCCTATCAGCAACGGGGTGACATTGAAGGGTGTGAAGCGAGGAATTCAAGTGATAAAGATTGAGGGGAACAAGACTGATAACAGAGCCTGGTTAGGGGTGTCAGAGCCCTGGGTAAAGGTGGGCTCTGTTGCCCAGAGCTGACTTATCTCATCACTTAACCTCTCTAACTTCCAGTTTTCTCCTCTGCAAAATAGACATAATAATACTTACCACAGTACTTGCTACAATGACTCAATTAGAAAAGACATAGTATATTCAATTAAATAAGGTAAAGGAAGCCCTTCCAGCACGAACAGTACACGGTAAGGACCAAGTCAGTGTTGGGAGGGTTGTGTGACATGGGATGTGTGATATGATGAAATTTGAGGTGGCATTTAAATTAATATTTTTAATAACTATGTACTCATTGTATACTGGAAAAATTATAATTTCATATGAAACTGATGTTTTCATTCATATTGTTGAGCAAAATTTTAGCTAAGTTTGAAAAGATTAGTCTATTTTTAACTACATGAATAATAGTGGAGTTGCTATAGATATATGACGAACACAGCAGAAGAAATTCTGAGGTGGTTTGAAAATGTAGGAAGTTTAGAAAACCAAACTACCACGGGTAGCTTTCAATAAGGCTGTTGAAAGTGATACTTACAGGAGAAGATGGGATTTAAAGTAGGTCCACAATCACATGATGTGAAGGAGCGATCAATTTGCAAAATACTTAGTAGGGCAGTCAGCATGAGTGGTGATTATTTGAATGGAGGAGAAGGAAAGAAAGAAGGCATCTGATGAATGAGAACCGAGTCTGGTGATTGTCCATTTGGACAGTGGGGACCCAAAGCCTTTTAGTCGCTTAGAGAATACAGGGGAAATTGTGTTTAGATGCAAGCATTCCTCCTGTGTCTGCCCTGCCTATTGGATATTAATGTAACAAGCCAGATTTATAGGCTTAGAGTTCACAAAGGTGATATGTTACAAACGAAAGATGAATATCTGAGAATTTGTTTTTGTGTGTTTTGTTTGTTTGCTTTTGTTTGTTTGAGACAGAGTTTCGCTCTTGTCATCCAGGCTGGAGTGCAATTGCACAATCTCAGCTCACTGCAACCTCCACCTCTCGGGTTCAAACGATTCTCCTGCCTCAGCCTCCTGAGTAGCTGAGATTATAGGCACCCGCCACCATGCCCAGATAATAATTTTTGTATTTTCATTAGAGACAGGGTTTCGCCATGTTGGCCAGACTGGTCTTGAATTCCTGACCTCAGGAGATCCACCCGCCTTGGCCTCCCAAAGTGCTGGGATTACAGGGGTCAGCCACCATGCCCAGCCTTGTGTGTGTGTGTGTGTGTGTGTGTTTAATGTTTATTTAGCATTTACTATGTACTTTGTCATACTAGACAATGGATATACAATTTTAAGTTACACAGATATATTCTATCTTCCTAGAAGTTTTGAAGAGGAAAAAAATCCTAAACAACCCATGAAATTGTATAATTTAACATCATAACTAGTGTTATGGAGGAAAATGGTGGGAGGATATAAGATTGAGATTCTGTCAGGTGCAGGGAAGGCTGGGCTCCTTTGATGAAGAAACTCTCAAGTAAAACCCAATGGTGAGAACCAGCGAGTTGGGCAAGGAGTGTTTCGCATGTAGGTTGGGGCTGAAACTGTGAGAACAGCCATAAGGACCTGTGATAAAAATAAGTAAACTAAAGTAGCAATAAATTAAAGGTCAATTCTGAAAATTACTGCTCTTTGAAGAAGCTGAGAGGATCCTACAAGGCATGGGTCTCAGAGAGGCACAGGAGAGGGTAGGCTCCTAGAGTAGCTGAGAGCTCTGAAGAGGAGGAAAAAAGTCACCTTGTCAAATGCTGGCAAAAGTGGCCAATAAAACAGGGCCAGCTGAGCATGGTGGCTGACACCTATAAACCCAGCATTTTGGGAGGTCAAGAAGGACAGTTCACTTGAGGCCAGGAGTTCAAGACCAGCCTGGCCAACATGGTGGAACCCTGTCTTTACTAAAAATGCAAGAATTAGCTGGGCATGGTGGCACACAACTGTAGTCCTGGATATTTGGGAGGCTGAGGCACAAGAATCACTTGAACTGGGGAGGCAGAGATTGCAGTGAGCTGAGATGGTGCCACTGCACTTCAGCCTGGGTGACAGAGTGAGACCTTGTCTCAAAAAAATTAAAAAAATAAAAGACCAATTTTGACTTGGAAGAGATCTCCCCAAATAATGTTGATTGAGAGGAGAATGAATGGAGGTTGTTCCCATACCTCCAGCCCCGCTCCATGGGGGTCAGGAGAGGATGTGGGGACCTGCTGGTAGTTGTTAATTGTCATGTGACCTTGGATGCCTTGTGATTCTTCTCCGAGTCTCAGATTTTTAATCTGGAAAACAAGGTCAAAATATTGTTTTAAAAACATGCCAGATACTATATAAGTGCTAGATAAAGAAATTAGAAAATGTACATTGACAGATGCAAAAGAAAGTAAAATCGGATATGGTTGGTACTTGTAACTTCAAAAATGCCAAACAAATGTGGATTTCCTTTTTCTTCCCCATCATATGTATACAGCACAACTCAAATTATCACCTTGGGGAAAAAAAGAAATGAAAAGTGGAAAAACTAATGAACAAACAACAAGAACAAAACTCCCTTTGATGTCTAAGTAAAGAACTGATATTTTCCTTTCCTGGACTCCCATAACAGTTTGTAAACACCTGTCTTGTCATACTAATCATGTTGGATAATAATTGTTGTTAATGCACCTGTTTTCCTCTCAAAAATAAGATTTATTTTCCTGGCTATGCATTTGATTTGTGTTTGCACTTCTAGTGCCAAGCACAAGAAATGTGCAATTTTCAATTTTGATGAAAAGCTACCATATGTAATTAGAGTAAATTAATGATCCCCATGGAAATAGTATTATTTCATACATTTTACATTGATAACCTGATACAGCTCAGATAAATGATGTGATTTGCCCACAGTCTTCCAGCTCATTTATAGCAGAGCTGGGATTCCAACCCCATGCCCTTTGAGTTTAAATAGCATGCTATTTTAATACCAGCATTCTGAGAAGTGAGAACATGAAAGAAAGATGGGGCCAGACAGAAAGTCGTGTGGGTCTCTAGAAAGCAGGAGAGAGGGGTAAGTGAGTGCAGAATGATTCTGCTCCTGCCCATCTCATTCTCTGCATTTTCAAAGCAGGGTAAGTATGCACACAGTTCAGAATTACCTCCATAATTACACATAAATAAGTAGCCCAGTAATTAAAACATGAACTGCAAAATACCAGGGTAATCATTATCTTTGGTGATGGAAAGAGAAAATAAGATTGTACGTGGAGACTTCAGCTCTCTGTAATGATTTGTTGTTGTTTTTCTAAGAGCTGAAATGATAGCATTTGTTAAATTTAGATGACGAGTACACAGGTGTTGATGTATTCCATACTTTCCTCAATATTTGAACTATTTCAATTTTTTTTTTTTTTTTTTTAAGACATGCAGTGTCTCTCCATTCTCTCGTCAGCACACAGGAATCTGGCGCCCTCACAAGTTCACACAACAGAAAAACAGCAGGAACAAAATGACTTTCAACCAAGACCAAAGGACAAAGTGAGGGGCGGCAAGATCCCAGCAGGAAGGGCAACAGGGTCTAGAAGAGAGTGAAATTCTTATGAGGAGAGTTGAATTTTAGGGTAGAGAGTTTCTGAGGGACAAACGGAAGGTCTACTCTTGGGAAGCCCCAGAAGTTTGGAAGGAAGGACGGCCAGGCTTTGAGAGCTGTATCTGAACTTTTGAGATTGCTCTGCTTCCCAGAGGCAGCGGGGTAACTGTCCTACTGTTCAGTAATCAATCTTTATGGGAAGAGTCTTTCTTCTGCACTAGAAAAATTGAAATGCCCCCCAGAAAAAGAATTGGAAACTTTTCTTTCCTCTCTGTAAAAGCCTGATAATCCTCTGATAAACTTCTCTAGGCAAAGAGAAAAAAACTTCCCCAGGCAAAGAGAACAAAAACTTCCCCATTTCCATTGCATATCAACATTAACAACAACATGTCAACGCGAATGATTTTCTAAGCCTTAGAAAGCAATAAAAATGTGGAGACACAGCGCAACGCCCCTGAGATTATAACGCTCATATCTTATAGTTTTTAGCAACTATCTGTTGTGTGTTCACACTGGATAATATACATTTTTAGACATTCAGAATTGACACTCTTCCTCCTTTATGCCAGAAAAATAGATGGTATTGACTCAATGCTGTCACCTTGTGGTCATATATCATCAGTCGTCTGAACTGGAGGATTTTTTTTTTCCTCCTTATCTCTTAGTTTGTGATTTCCCAGAGCAGAAGTGGTAATTAACATTTATGGAGAAAGTCCTTTATTTTTTCTGATGAGATATCAGGTATTTTCATTAATTTTCACAATGCAATGAAACATCACCTTATTTTCTAGTCTTGTGGGGAATGGGGAACAGGCTGAAGGAGGATAGAAGTCTTGCAGAATGCCTTGGAGCCTGGCACTGTGGAGGTGAGATTTTAGACTCAGAACTTCTGATTCCACATCCTCCTCTTTTCTCAGTGTACGGCATACCCCTAGGAAAACTTGTCTGTCTGTCTTACGAGACAACAAGCTACTAAGTTGTCATTTATATTTCTGGAAATCAAATAGATATTTAAAATATCAGATAGATGCTTAAAATTCATTCATTCATTCATTCATTCATTCGTAAAACACATATTTGGCAACTACATGCTGCCAAAGCATTTTATTAGGTCATGCTGGAAATGGAAACTAATCACATAATATCAGCTCTTTGGTAACAGCCTAGAAAAGATGACCACAAGCAGAACTAAGACATCCTAAGCAGCAGCAAAGAGATCATCATGGCCACTGTGCAAATTTCACATTATAAAAAATGGTCACTTGGAAATAATTGAGCATTGAATTTAAATTCTCTGTGCAGCGGCCTCAGTTCTCTAATTTGATGTGTGAAAGGCTGGCAAGATATGCAGATGTGTCCCTTGCCCAAACCATTTGAGCATTTCAACTTACTTTGTTGTAGAGCTGTATTAGTTAGGTTAATTAATGCTAACTGCTGCCACAGAGAAGCCCAGAAATCTCAGTGGCTTCATGCAATAAAAGTTTGTTTTTCACTTGTATCACAGTTTGATGTGGATTCAACAGCTGTTTTTTTATCTTGTACCTTGTTTCATCTTGAATCTCCATCTGGAAGGCATGACCCCCAAGGTTGCTGCAAAAGGGAGAGGAAAGAATGGGGGAGGCGTGCCAGGCCTAACAGTCACTTTGGTTTTCAGGCCATTGACTGGAATTGGTCCTGTGGCCCCATCTAATGGCAAGGGAGGCAGAGAAACAAGGGGAGTGGCATCAGATGCAGGGAGCCTAATTATACACCAGGGACAAAATCAACATAAGTGACAGGTTGCCTATGAGTTTGCATTCTCTGAAAACTTGGGCAAAATAATTATGAAAATCGGCAAATGAAAAAGAATGGAATAATCTCTTACTAGGAAAACACTGGTTGGTGAGTGGTAAATATCCATTTTCATAAGGAATACTAATTCTTCCCTTAACATTGCACATTGCATTATGTCCGCTAGTGAAATAAAAATGCACACCTGGCTGGGCGTGGTGGCTCATGCCTGTAATCCCAACACTTTGGGAGGCCGAGGCAGGCAGATCACCTGAGGTCAGAAGTTTGAGACCAGCCTGGCCAACATGGTGAAACCCGGTTTCTGCAAAAATACAAAAAAAAAGAAATTAGCCAGTCATGATGGCGGTTGCCTGTAATCCCAGCTACTCCGGAAGCTGAGGCGGGAGAATCGCTTGAACCCGGAAGGCGGAGGTTGCAGTGAGCTGAGATCACACCATTCCACTCCAGCCTGGGTGACAGAGCGAGACTCCATCTCAAAAAAAAAAAAAAAAGAAAAAGGGACGCCTTTATTTTTCTAGAGTTGTACTTGAGCACACCAGGAACCGCCTTGCTGTTACTTTCATAGTATTGCATATTGCCTTCATCAATGGTTTCTTAAATAGGTTTTGTTGTTTTGTGGCTCTCGTTATAATTGTACTCACTGGTATGTCACACTTAATTGTGCCTACTGGTTTGTGGTTATATGAAGATGGCAAAATGGTTTTTGTTTCCCACACTGTCACACTTGCTGAAGGAAGAGAGAGACAGAGAGCGCACCAGAGAGAAAGAAAGATCTGTGTATGAAATCACACCCCCAAATTTATCAGCAGTATAAAATTATCATTGATCTGATTATTTAATTATATAAGTGATTGCATCTAAAGCCAGGTAGCTTGGGCTGCCTTCACTTTCTCCAAAACCCACATGTGTCTGAAGTCTTCTTAACCTCAACACAGAAGAAAGCCAGTTGGAATTAAATAACTATCAAGCCTAGGATGAAAATGGCAAGACCCCAGTTGGAAGAGGATCAGGTCTAAATGACAATGTGAGAGTCAGGGAAAGATGAACCCCAAGGCAGAGCGTTTCTGAGGGTCCAAGAAAAGGCACCTCTTAGGCAGCCCCAAAAGTTGCAAGCAAAGCCCACCATGCCTTATTCTGTACATTTTTCAGGACCCCAGCTAACCACAAACATGATCTGCTTGCTTTCAATTTTTAGGGTTGATAGTGGAGCTTTCTATAGTGGAGCTGCTGAGACCATCCTGCCATTCCAAGATTAAGAGCACAGCAAAGGGCTTACATAACATAACATTTAGAAAATCAACCAAATGACGTAGTAAGTTGCATACATGCTTTCAAGATCTAAAAGTGCTTTCCTTCATGGAGTACTCACCACAGGGTTTTTAGGTAAGCTAAAGCAGGTATACTAAGCCCGACTTTATAGACATGGACGATTAGCATTCGGAAAGATGTTGAAAGTAGTACAAATGGGTGAGACAGTTATAGAACCTGGGTCAACTAACAACCCCTTTCACACTGTGGTTTTAAAATATGTAAAAAAGAACAGTATTTGTTAAAACTTGGTGTAGGATTCTAGGCATTAGTTTTCAGAGCATATAAATCTCTACATCTGAAATTTATTAACGAGAAACACTACAGTGGATTCGCAAGTAAGCTATGCTCACTTGATGAAACATTACAGAGGTATTAAAATAATCATCATAAATATTGAATTATAGTATAAAAATGCTTAAAATAGTAATAGTATGCGCAAATAGTAAGTGAAAAAACTCAGGATACAAAATTACAAGATCGCTGTATATAGGCCTATAAAATATGGTTGTGTATAATGAAGACAGGAAGAAAATAAAACTCAACATTCATTGTGGTTGTGTTATGGTGGGATTAGGAATGCTTTTTTTCTTTTTTCTTTTCTTCTCTGAACTTCTGAAATATAATGCCTTTATAACTTTTAAAATAATAAAATTATTATTACTATTAGTAATTATATATTAAAATGTAATACAATTTTATGTATTTTACATGAATATACTACATTTAATTTTTTTTATTATTGTGGAAAACACCCAATGCCCCTTTACTGTGACTGATTGGAAGAATCAGCTACATTGAACTGAATTGAGGGACTACAATTTTGCTGTTATTGTGGTTGACTCAAAGTAGTCAATCGTGATTCAGAGTATTAAATCAGAACACAGGTTTTCTTAAGTCATGATAGGTAGTTAGGTGGATAGATAGATAGATAGATAGATAGATAGATAGATATGCCTATATTCCACTTTAAAATACGAAGTTAGGGGGAAAATGCCCTCAATATGTCATTGAGATATTTTCCTATCTTCTAAGATGTCTTTTACTTAGAATCCAAACGATATGAAACAATTTTGAAAATTCAGAAAAGCAGATGTCATCACTCCTGACAGTGCCCTCATTCCTCTTTCTCCAGCATTTTTCATTTTTTCCCAGAGGAACTGCAGAGCCAAGCCCCTGGTAATGATCACCTGAGGTTTGGGATGATCTCATTAGTTCCAAGCAAGTGTTCAGCAAATGCTAAACAGGCATGCTGGGGAGCGCTGTTTGGAAGGTAATAAAACACTCATTAAGTCTGTGTGCCCATGGATAGCCTCCCAGTTTTGCTGATCTGCATGATGAATTTGCATATCCAGTTCTGAAATAGTAAATTATTCATAGTTGACACTGGAGGGGGAAACGACTGGAATCATTCCTATAATAATTGCTCTACTTTTGGGTGGGATGAGGTGGGGGAAGGAAATCTAACATGTCTCCCATTGTTGCTGCTTTCAAAGAGTGACCATATCCTTGAAAGCTCCACTAATAGAGAGAAAACGAGAGAAAATATAAATTAAAAAAAAAAAAGGGTTTTCAAATTTATTTTTTGTTAAACAGAAAGAAAGTGAAGAGGAAGGACGGAAAAGAAGGAGATGAGTGAGAAAATTCCTAAATCTCAAACGATCAGAATTTTTCAGCCACATTTCAAGGTTTTCATACTTAAAAGTATTTTCTCCAAATTATCACTACCTGGGGAAGAAGTGCTTCCTGTCACCATGCTGCCTTTTATCAATAAGAAATAGAAGGTTACAAGATTTCAGTAAGAAATAAGGAAAAGAAGTTGTTTGTTGACTAAACCAATTTTAGGCTCAAAAGAGGACACAGGTTGTCAACCATGATTCTATTGTAATCACAGAAATGTCAATGTTGGTTGATAGATTAGTCAATTGTTGGATTCATTCATTCACTCAAGAAACACTGAGCACCAAACCTGTCAGAATATATATTTTATATATTTATATTCAGTCCTACACTTTACTTTTTTGTGTTCTTTCTGTGTGTGAGTTCCCAGCCATTCATTTATACAGCATTTGCTTATAACCTATTGTGTGACAGGCACTGTATTAGGCTTTATAGCTTTGTGGGTGAGAGACACACACCCATACTTGAAAGTAGTCAAATAGTCATATATTTATAAGCTAATTACATATAATATGAAGTATTCTTTCTTTCACTAATTTGACTACTACCAAGAAGACCTGAATACTTGGCATTTTAAATGACCCAAATGTATAAAAATATTAAACTTAAAGTATAATAAAAAAAAAAAAATTAAAAAAAAAAAAATATTAAAAGCAACCAGCAGAGGGCAGAACACCCTAACAAAAGGGAGACGTGTCTCAAGTCCTAATGCTCTCTCTTCAGGTGGTATTATTGCCTGGTTCATGCTAATTTCTTGGGATCTTGGGAACACCCTTACAGAACCCAAGATTTGGTTCAAGGGCTACCAAGGTCTCCTAACTGCTTGTCCATCACTACATAGCCAGTATAATGGTTAGGAGCTCAAACTCAACAAAGACTTGGGTTTGAATCCTGTAATTTCCTTTACTGAAATGTGACCTAGGGTGAATTATTTAACATTGTGAACCTCAGTCTCCCGCTCTGAAAATGACAATTGTACTAATGCAGATTTTGTTTCATTAATCCTCATTTTGTTGCATTAGTGATAAAGAGACTGTTAAGAGAACTAAAAGACAATATACCTAGTAAATATATCAATTAGATTATTATGTCAAATATTGAACTTTTGAGGTCACTGTTGGGATCAGTCCTTGCTCCTTCAGCCTCATTGTGAAGAATAGGGAAATAAAGTTACTCTCTTTAGTAGCAAATTGGAGATTCAATTCTAGGAAGCAGGTAAATGAGGCAGCATTTACAGGAATTCTCCTGTATGCCAGGCTCTGTATCAGCCATTTTGGGCATTGTCCATTTTCATGCTGCTGATAAAGACATACTCAAGACTGGGTAATTTATAAAGAAAAAGAGGTTTAATGGACTCACAGTTCCACATGGCTGGGGAGGCCTCACAATCATGGCAAAAAGCACATCTTACATGGCAGCAGATAAAGAGGAAATGAGAACCAAGTGAAAGGAGTTTCCCCTTATAAAACCATCAGCTCTCATGACACTTATTCACTACCATAAGAAAAGTATGGGGAAACCACCCCCATGATTCAAATTATCTCCCACTGGGTCCCTCCCATAACATGTGGGAATTATGGGAACCACAATTAAAGATGAGATTTGGGTGGGGACACAGCCAAACCAGATTAGGCATCATCTCTTTTAATGCTCAGAAAAAGCCATTAAGTAGGTATTATTCTAGGTTTATACATGAGGCAACTGAGGCTCAGAAAAGCCAGGTTATTTGACCAAAAATATAAACCTAACAAGCAGTTTAAAATGTGATTTAGCCCTAGGACCTTCTGACTGGAGAGTCCACATTTTTCTATTGCACCACTAAGCTTACAGCAATGCCAGAATAACCTCTCAAAAGATTGACTTCAATCATTTAACTTCTTCACTGAAAACCCTTTATTGAATGGTTAATTGCTTGGATTATTCATTCATTTGTTCAATAAGTATTTACTGAATACTGTGTGCTTTACTAGATGTTGAGATTTCAGAAAGGAAAAATAATACAGTCTTTCTTCTCAAGGAGCTAAACTTACTGGGGCCAAATATATCAACAATTATCATTCAGGAGTGAAAAATATATATTTTTTTAACTTGAATAATATGACATACAATATAAAAAGTCTTATTTTTTGAAGGTATAAGCCAGGGTGGGGGCTGCTCCAATCTCTTTTTAAGACAGTATCTGCTATGATGAGTGGCTGGCCGACAGCCTTCAGATGTTACTTCCAGATCCACCAGGATGTTCACTCAAAGTCACACTCTCCTGGAGATGTGCCAGTCCAGGACACTCCTGCCCAATGCAGGACTCTTCTAATAGGCAGCCTCTACTCTAGACTCTCCTTTTGCCCTAGTGACACCTTCTAGGAGCTGCACTGTGGTCAGAAGCTCTTTCTTCCCAACCCATTCTCCCTCTCCCCGTTTGTAGGTATCAGAACTGCATCATGACCTAAAGGCTCTCCTTAACTTTCTCCTGTTCCCTCTACCCTTTATTCCTCATCAACACTTTCTCCAATAAATCTCCTGCAACTGAATTCCATTATGGTATCCGCTTTTCAGAGGACCTGCGCCATCACAGAGGCAAGTTGGCCAAATCTTCTTGGAAAAGTCAAAGATGAATTGTCACAGAGGGCACTTGAGTTTAGATTGCAGGACTTCACAACTAACATAAAGCCCACTATGGCCCATAGAGTAAGAAGTCTGGAAGTCTGCAAATGGTGACTTCTTTGATATACACACATACAGACACAGATACAGAAACACACACACAGACACACATCTTTGAGAATACAGTAGTTGTTTAATATGTCTCTTGAGAAAAGAAGTGACTGATCACGATGTCTAAAACAAACATGCAATGCCTGGAACAGGCAAGTCTTTTAACCCCCATGTCCTGTTCCTGCAGTTCCCTTTACCTGATTGATCATTCTTACTCATCTCCAAGACCATCCTATGGCCACATCTCAAAAGACCATGCAAAATGAGGCCTCTCCTTTTAATTTTCACAGAACTGTGCTTGGGCCAGCCTTACCCACATTTTACTTGCCTCATAGTATACTTCCCACTACACACATGTAGTGTGTACTATTTCACAGGTAAATCTTAAAGTCTAATTCTAAGAGACCTAGCCATGCTCCAAGCCAGCTGGATGTGGAGGAATAGTAGGCAAGGAAAGAGGGAAGGAGAGACTGCCTGAACATTACATCATCAGGACCAGCCTTCACTTCATAAAGGTTATTAGACCAAGAGACAGCCCCTGACCCATCATAATTGTCTCGTGGCCAGTGAAGAAGCCTGACATATAAAGTTGTGTTCAAACAAGGTCAAACTAGACTGATCATATTCTCTCAATCAAGAATATGAATAGGGCCAGGCATGGTGGCTCACTCCTGTAATCCCAGCATTTGGAAGGGGAGGCTGAGGCAAGCAGATCATTTGAGGTCAGGAGTTTGAGACCAGCTTGGCCAATGTGGTGAAACCTGGTCTCTACTAAAAATACAAAAAATTAGCTGGGTGTGGTGGCATGTGCCTGTAATCCCAGCTACTCAGGAGGTTAAGGCAGGAGAATCGCTTGAACCCGGGAGGCAGAGGTTGCAGTGAGAGGAGATCTCACCACTGCACTCCAGCCTGGATGACAGAGTGAAATTCCATCTCAAAAAAAAAAAAAAAAGAATCTGCGTAGACAAAAAACACAGAAAATTACAGAGTTGGCAGCGTGTGCCAATATATCAGATGGAATCGTGTAAGTCGTGAGGGTCACCGGTGTTCTGAAGTTATGGGAAAGCTGAATTTAAGAGTAAGAAAGCTAAAAATGAAAAGTCTCTTTAGTCAGAAATTTTAAAACAATTAAGTGGCTAATAAAGTGGGTCCTCAAGTCAGGTGCCTACATTCAAATTCCAGGCTTTGCTTTCACTGGCTTTATGACCTTGGCAAGCTATAGCCCTCTCTACTCCAATTTCTTCATCTGTAAAAGGAAGACAAACATAGCTTTCCCTCAAAGAACTCAGATGGGGACCTATGCTAATCAGCATGTCTCATCTTTAAGAAGGGGGAATAATTTGGATCCCTGCCAACCAGGAGAAGACAGTTTGACTCTTGGGGAAATGAGCTGCCCGCCTTACCATCAGCCATAAAGTCTAGAATGGCTGCAACAGCATTTTAACACCATATAGAGAACCTGTCTCAGGAAGAAGCCAATAAAATAAGGAGACTAGAGTCAAGTAAAGAATGGAGAACCAGGTCCTGTCAAGCACGTCTGAAGTCAGCCCTACATACAGGCTTTTCTGTCACGTGAGCCAATGTCATTTTCTCACAAGAAAGCGGATTAACTTTTATATCTCCTGCAAGCAGAAGAGGTGTAACTGGTGTGGTTGGTTTGCAGAGCTCCTTAGATCTCCAATGGACACCAATGGCTGGTCCCAGTGAGCACTAGATTTCTGCACTAGAAGTTCTTTTTTTTTTTTTTTTTTTAAGTGTCTCCTCTTTCCAGTTTCCTCTGTAAAATTCTGTTATATTTAAAAAATCCTAAGTGAGTCTATGTTCTTCAGATTCGAAGGTGACTGACTAGCCCATTGACTTGTGTTGACCTGTTCTCCCACTATATTATGATAAATGCAATTAATTATTCATCTTTTAATTTCCTATAATGGTGGTTACCAAACTGAGTGACCTATCAAGATGACTTGTGGAATTTCTGTAACAAATTTTGGTGCAGGGGCAACTTCACGAGTGTACAACCTGTGCGGTCACATGGGACTGCATGTTTAGAAGAGTCTTGCATTTGGGTTCATGCACTGCTGCCACCATCTTGGAATTCCTAATTTTTTTTTAACAAGGGATCCCCATGTTCATTTTTCCCTGGGGCCCACGAATTACGTAGTCAGTCCCACTTCTGTGCCTCACATTTCAAATTCTGCCTCAGAAACTCTGTGGCCAAGTCTAGGAATCAGCATTTTCCTCAATGACTCCCACAGGGTCTAACCTGCAACACTATCTCAATCTGTATCTGGTTAAATGAATTAAAAAGTTGAAAATAAACTAATTTGTTTAAATGCGCTTGAGGGAAACATGTTCATTCTTGTGAGTGGCTTTAGGCCTTGAACAGTCCATAGATTCAGAGATCCTGGGAGTTAGAAGGGTCTTTAAGATCCTCTTTCCAACTGCTTCTCTGTGAAATCTGTATATTTGAATCCCCAGGGCAGGTAAAAAACAAGCAAAAACACCAATGCCCATACCCAAGCCCAGATCTGAGAGGTCTGAATTTAGTTGCTCTGGGAGGGAGCCTGGAGATCATCATTTGTCAAAAGAGGTTTCTAGCATATAACCAGGTTTGAAGACTATTGAACTAGGGTAATATTTTCATTTGAGTAAATGAGAGACAGAGATTAAGTGACTTATCCAAGGTAATACTAAACACCAGGGACAGATCAATAGTAATTATTGAAGTCCATAGTTATGAGAGAGTGGTGGATCAGAAAATAGTTTGCATAATCTGTCCCTCCTTTCCCTTCTAGATACCTGTGATCAGAACTGGCATCCTGTCCACTTTGATTGAGACTGCTGTCCCCATCAAATGAGGCTGATAAATATTGTTAATTGATTCTATTCTGTTTCCTACTTTCACTTGCTCTAAGGAAATTGTTAGAGCAGAATCACTACCTACCACTAGTCATTAAGTCATATAGTATTTTAAACGGTGGATTAGAGTAAAAGGAACAAACGTATTAATGACTCCAAGTGTCATTAAAAATGGAGTCCACAGAGGTTGCACTGCAGAAAGACACCCCTGAGACCCTCTCTTGATAAACACAGCTGAACTAGAGCTCTGCCCACACCAGTGACTGTTTCTCTAGGCTTGGATTTAGTCTCAAGGTAGGTCATGAAAGGTCAGGGCAAGTCAGTTTAACTTCCCCAGTGGCCAAAGTTAGTCATCTAAAGCTTTGAGGTCACAGGTGCGGCACAGAAGAAAAATCAAAACAACTGAAAGGTCAGCTTTTTTTGTCTTCTAGGCTTGACTATGTGAATTTACAGGAAGCCAGGAACAGAAAGATTAAAAGAGGAGAGAATGCTTACTTTTCCTCATCATAGTTATCAAGTTGTGTTATAACTGTTAATTTACTTGTCTGCTATTCTCACTGAAATTTTAACCATTTATTAGACTGAGGAGCCCTAGTATCTGCAACTGCAGATGAAACATAGAAGAGGATAAGCAAATGCTTGATGAATTAACAATATTTACCCATGTGTTTGTATATGGATATTATCTCTGTGTAATAATGTTAAGTTAAATATTTCTTGTAGATACTATTTAATTTTCTTGGGTTTTGAGATAGGATCTCCCTCTGTTGCCCAGGCTGGAGTGCAGTGGTGCAGTCATAGCTCACTGCAGCTTCCATCTCCTTAGCACAAGTGAGCCTCCCTCCTCAGCCTCTAGAGTAGGTGAGACTACAGACACGCACAACAGCCAGCTATTTTTAAATTTTTGTAGAGATAGGGTCTCTCTATGTTGCCCAGGCTTGGCTCAAGTGATCCTCCTGCCTCAGCTTCTCAAAGCGCTGGGATTATAGCCAGGAGCCACCACGCCCATCCTACAATTTAAATTGATTTTATTTTTTAAGAGCTGTTTCAGTTTCACAGCAAAATTGAGCAGAAAGTACTGAGAGTTTCCACATGCACCTGCCCCCACACAGGCATGGCTACCCTGCTATCAACATCCCACACCAGGGTGGTACATTTTTTACAATCGATGAACCTACATTAACAAGTTGTTATCACTGAAAGTCCAGAGTTTACATTAGTGTTCATTTCTGGCGTTGTACATTCTATGGGTTTGACAAATGGCATGTATCTACCATTATACTATCACACAGAGCCATTTCACCGCCTTAAAAATACTCTGTTTCACCTACTCATCTATTCCTTCCTAACCTTTGACAACCATTGACCTTTTTACTGTCTCCATAGGTTTACCTTTTCCAGAATGTCATATAGTTGGAAGCACATGGTATGATATGGTATGTAACCTTTTTGGATTGAATTATTTCACTTAGTAAGATGCATTTAAGGTTTCTCCTTATCTTTACATGGCTTGATAGCTCATTTTTTAAAGGGATGAATAATGTTCTACTGTCTGAATGTACCACAGTCTATCCATTCACCTACTGAAGGACATTTTGGTTGCTTACAAATTTTAGCAATTATTAGTAAAGCTGCTATACATGTCAGTGTGCAGGAGTTTGTGTGGACATATGTTTTCAACTCATTCTGGTAAATATTTGTGAGTGCAATTGTCAGATGTTATGGCAAAAGCCTGTTATATGTAAGAAACTTCCAAACTCTCTTCCAAAGTGACTGTAGCATTTTAAAGTCCTGCCAGCAGTGAATGAGAGTGCTGGTTGCCCTTGCCAACATTTGGTGTTGTTAGTGTTTTGAATTTTGGTCATTCTAACAGGTGTCTGGTGGTATCTAATTGTTATTTCTAACTAACTTTTGAGTTAAATGCTTACATTTCTTTAAAAAAATAAAAAAACAATATTTTAAGTGATTTATTAAAATAAATACCATGTCAAATTCACTTTTTACAGTAAATATTACAGGTGGCTGCATATAAAATTAATATATACAATAGTTTCTCTAGAAAAAATCTGATGCAAGACAACAAAATAACCACAACAGCAAAAGAATAATTACCTATAGATAAATTTTTATAGAAATTTAGCAGGATCGAGATGAGAAAATACTTAATAAACTACTAAGAGAGACCCATAACAAGACTAAAATAAACAAAAAAGCATACTTGTGTTTGGATAAAAAGACTCAATATCATAGAGTTTCAATTCTTTCTAAATCTATAAATTTAATGCAATAACAATAAAAAAGTATATTTTTTAGAACTAGGCAATAATAAATCTAAGTTTCATGTGGAAAAACAAATAAACAAGAATGATAATAAATGTACTGTTGCATTTCCCTGAAGTGCTTTTCTAAGCATTACAGATGTATTAAATGATACACTTTCATCAATAACATTATTTTATTCCCATATTTATATATGATGACTTCAACAAACAGAGAGGTTAAATAACTTGTACAGGTTTATACAGTTAGTACATGGCAAAGGCTGTATTTGAACCCAAACATTCTGTCTTCAGAGTCCAGAAGTTTAACTAACATACCTCATTCTAAAAGAACCAGGAATATTTGGCCAGGTGTGGTGGCATGCCCCTGTAGTTCTAGCTACTTGGGAGGCTGAGGTGAAAGGATCACTTGAGCCCAGGGAAGTTGAGTCTGCACTGAGCTGTGATTATTCCACTGCACTCCAGCTTGGGTGACAGAAGGAGATTCTTTCTCAAACAACAACAACCAGAAATATTCTGGGTGGAAGGGAGAGTGATACAGTGGACAGGTCCTATATAATATTAAATATCACAGAGCTTATTAAGAGTAATAATGACACATGTATATGCAGACACAAATCAATGGAAGAGCATCCAGAGAGAAATTCAAACATATATGAGAGCTTAGAATATGAAAATATGTCCTTTTTTTTTTAGAAAAAATAAAGAAAAAAAGAGTATGAAAATGTAACATTGTACATCAGTAGAATAAAGAGATCCTGTTCCATAGATGATAGTGGAATAAACTGGAATAAATATCAAATTATGTCCCCATCCTACTCCTTTCATCACAATAAGCTCTATATGGTTTGATGATTTCAGCTGTGTGTGAGTGTGTGTGTGTGTGTATACTCACACACACACATATATATGGGCAGATGGTAAATAGAAATTTAAAAATGGCTCTTATATACCTGAAAATATGCTCAGTACTACTTGTTATATGCAAAAAGCAAATTAAAACAACAATGCATGAGATGGTTTGGCTCCGTGTCCCCACCCAAATCTCATCTCAAATTGTAATGCCCATGTGTTGAGGGAGGGACTTAGTGGCGAGGTGATTGGATTATGGGGGCAGTTTCTCCCATACTGTTCTTGTGATAATGAATGAATTTTCATGAGATCTGATGGTTTAAAAGTGTGTGGCAGTTCCCCCTTCACTCTCTTTCTCTCCTGCCACCATGTAAGACATGCCTTGCTTCCCCTTCACCTTCTGCCACAATTGTAAGTTTCCTGAGGCCTCCCCAGCCATGCAGAACTGTGAGTCAATTAAACCTCTTTCCTTTATAAATTACCCAGTCTCAGGTAGTTCTTTATTTCAGTATGAAAAGGAACGAATACAATGCAATACCATTTTTGATGTAGCTTGGCAAAGATCAAAAAGTTTGAGAACACACACTGTTGGTAAGGGAAAAAATATACTTGTACATTGTTAGTGGAAATTTAAATTGGTTCAAACTATATGGGATTTTGCAGTAGCTACCAAAATTTAGATGCACGTACCATTTGATTCAGCTATTTGGCTTGCAGAAATGTGTCCTCTACATACCCTGACATTTGTGGACAAAGACATTTATATATACATGGATATTAAGGCCATTATTGTCTATAATATCACACTATTGAGCCTAATGTAAATGTGCATTAATAGAATACTGGTTAAATAGATTATGGCATATTTGTACAATAATTGGCTAAGCAGCCATTCAAAAGGGTGAGGCACTTCCATATGAATAAATATGGAAGGAGATCACGACACAGTGTTAAGCGGAAAAGGCAAATCAAAGACAAAGAATAAAATATATCAGAATTTCTCTAAAATAATACATAAGGGGAGAAGAAAAAGTAAGAGGTAAAATCGCTTTTTAATAGAATTTGCTGCTGTTGTTTTATTATTTTATTATTTTATGTTGTACTTAAAGATAGAATTGAATTACTCATAACTCTAAGTTCAAGCCATATTATTATTATTGCTTCACACACTGCCATCTTTTCCATTTTGTAATTTGTATTATTTGTTTTTAATAATTTATTTGAAATATAATGAACACTGCTAGGCCAACCACATAACCCAGAAAAATTACTAATAATACAAATAACCTCTAAAACCTTAATTAAAATTTGCATCTATTTGCGATTTACATCATTTGGACTTTGAACTATGCACAGACATTACATACCTAAAAAATAACTTTGAGGATAATATGATCATAAAATAATAGAAAATGTTGAAAATATCAACTTCTACTAAGGAATAATGGGTTGTATTCACATCTCAACTAATAACAGGAGTTTTAAAATTTATGTTTGTTAAAAGCAAACAAAGGAATATATGTGAGTTTTTAAAAATTTATGTTATCTGAGCCTCTTCTGTTTACCATATTCTTAAAAAAATTTCCTGAGAGGCCAGGCATAGTGGGTCACACCTGAAATCCCAGCACTTTGGGAGGCCAAGGTGGGTGGATCGCTTGAGCTCAGAAGGTTCAGACAAGCCTGTGCAACATGGCAAAACCCTGTCTCTACAAAAAATACAAAAATTAGCTGGCCATGGTGGCACATGCCTATAATCCTAGCTACTCAGGAGGCTGAAGCAGGAGGATCACTTGAGCCCAGGAAGCAAAGGTTGCAGTGAGCTTAGATCTCTCCACTGCACTCTAGTCTGGGCGACACAGTGAGACATTGTCTCAAAAAATAAAAATTAAAAAAACTGAAAGAAAAATTCCTGTGATAGAGTTCACTATTAACTTTTTGCTAATTTTGTTTACGTGTAAGGTAAAGTGCATAAATCATGAATGATGATTGCACAGCTCAATGCCTTTTCACACACGTATCCACAAAGCAAATCAGGATCACTCCATCACCATAGAGGCCCCAAGCATGTCTGCATTCCAAAAGGAGGCACTATGCCGATGTCTATACAAATTGGTGTTGCCAATTCTAGAACCACGTGTAAATGAAATCACAGGGTACTTCCCCTTTGGGATCTTCTTTCTGTGCTCAATTTAATGCCCATGGTGTTCATCCACATTGCTAGGTGTGGCAGTAGTCCATTCTGCTATGATGTCTAAGCCTACTATATGTTCCTTACAATTTGTATCTTTTACTACTGATGAGCACTTATGCCTTCCAGTTTGGAGATATCATGCCTAGTGTTCATGGTTATAAGAGGACTGCCAACAGCAACTGAGGAGATATGCATCTTTCCTCATGTTTAGTGGGAATGAGTGGTATAAGAGTGAGGAAAAAAAAATCCAAGGAAACTCTAGCAACTCTTTCTTCATGTCTCATTGATAAGAATTCTGTCATTTCTCTGTGTCTGAAAATCTCTGGTAAAGGGGCTTGAATCACCTTTTAGACTCAGGCTCCCCTCTTAAGCTGGTAAAATTCTCCAAACCACATGTGTGGCTTATCAGTAGGGGAAGGGGAAAAGACAGATGTTGAAAGTCAACCACTCTGTCCAGCATCCAGAGGAGCTGAGTGAGGCCATGTTAGTGCTCATATCATCTTCCCTTTTAATCATTCATTACATCAGTTTTTATTAAAGTGTGATATATGTACCATTGGTAATATCAGAGTGAGTGCACAAACATTTTTAATAAATAGTAATTTTTATTTTACAAGTATTTTTACTTATGATGAGTGATACAGTTTATTGTAGTGATATATCTTCCTTTAAAACAGGGGTGTCCTCAAATGTCCATCAATGATAGACTGGATTAAGAAAATGTGGGTCATATATACCATGGAATACTATGCAGCCATAAAAAAGGATGAGTTCATATCCTTTGCAGGGATATGGATGAAGCTGGAAACCATCATTCTAAGCAAACTATCACAAGGACAGAAAATCAAATGCCACATGTTCTTACTCATAGGTGGATGTTGAACAACGGGAACACATGGACACATCACACACTGGGGCCTGTTGGGGGCTGGGAGGCTGGGGGACTGGGGGAGGGATAGCATTACGAGAAATACCTAACGTAAATGATGAGTTGATGGGTGCAGCAAACCAACATGGCACATGTATACCTATATACCAAACCTCCATGTTGTGCACATGTACCCTAGAACTTAAAGTATAATAAAAAATAAAATGAAATAAAACAAAACAGAGGTGTCCAATCTTTTGGCTTCCCCAGGCCACATTGGAAGAAGAACTATCTTGGGCCACACATAAAATGCAGTAACACTAATAATAACTGATGAGCTAAAAAAAAAAATCACAAAAAATTTCATAATGTTTTAAGGAAATTTACTTTTTGTTGGGCTGCATTCAAAGCTGTCCTGAGCCACATATGGCCCATAGGCCACAGATTGGGCAAGCTTGCTTTAAACTAAATTTACTTAAATGAAAAAGGTGAGTCACTTTAAAGATCAAACTATCAAGTTAATTAGTAAAATCAATTAGTAAAAAGTTATATGTGTGTCTGTCTGTGTGTAGTGAATGTATACACAGACACATAACTTACATGATCATAGTAATGATCTTATTAAAAATAATGTCCTCAATATGTATTGCATAAGAGATGCAGGGGTATTACTGGGATGTCATGATTATAAAAAAAAATAGATTACAAGTGTATTTCAGCTATTAACTATCCCAAGGGTCAATCTTCGGATTTATTTTTATTTATTTATTTTTTATTTTGGAGATGAATTCTTGCTCTTGTCCCCCAGGCTGGAGTACAATGGTGCGATCTTGGCTCACTGCAACCTCCGGTTCCCGGGTTCAAGCGATTCTCCTGCCTCAGCCTCCCGAGTAGCTGGGATTACAGGCGCCTGCCACCACGCCCAGCTAATTTTTGTATTTTTAGTAGAGACAGGGTTTCACCAGTGTTGGCCAGGGTGGTCTCGAACTCCTGATCTCAGGTGATTCGCCCACCTCAGCCTCCCAAAGTGCTGGGATTACAGGTGTGAGCCACCGTGCCCAGCCTGGATTCATTTTATTTATCAATATGCACTTCTTTGATGAACTCATTTAGTCTCATGACTCTGTGTATGCCCTAAACCTCCAAGTTTGTATTTTCAGCTTAATCCCTCTCTCCTAAATTGCACACCTGTTTCTCCAACTCCTTTCTCGACATCTCCCTTGGACATCTTCATAGTTATCTTCATAGGTAACCAAAACCAAACCCCAAAGCTGCTTCTTTCATGATCTACCTCTGTTCTGCAAATGGTAACCTTCATTATTCTACTTCCTCAGGCCCATATACGTGGTGTCATCTGAGTCATCTTTAGCTATAAAAGCCCCGTACACAATCCATCAGTAAATCTTGGCTGTACTTCAAAATGCACATGATCTGACCACCTCTCACCAACTCTGAGATCCCTTGTGCCCCCATGCTATCCAAGCAACCATCTTTTTTCACTTGGATTACTACAACTGCTTCCTTAATTATTGTCCCCATTTCTGGGCTTACCCCTCTACTGTTGATTTTTTAACAGATGATCTTAAAATGTAACAGATACAATATCAGTCTTCTGTTCAAAACCTTCCATGACTTTCCATTTAACACACAACAGAAGCTGATATTCATATGCTATTCTACAATGTCCTACATAATGTGAACCTCCCCACCCAGCAACATAATATTCTGATTCCTCATGTTGTATATTCTTCTCTAGCCACTCTGAACTCTATGTTTTTTCTGAAAAAAAAATGTTATTGGGTGTTTTTTTTCCTTACTCCCTCTTCCTGGCATGCTCTTCTTTCCTACATCTTTCCCAAATATCTTTCCTATATTCTTCAGGTCCTTGATCAAATGCCACTTTTTTAATGAGCTCCTCTCGAACCATGCAATTTAAATTTTCATGCTGACCACAACTCTATCTTTGCTTGCTTTATGTTTCATATTGCACTTACTATGCTATTTGGCATATCCTGCTATATTACCTGGTTATAGTTTATCTCCTCCCTTTAGAATATAAACTCCATGTGAGCAGAAATGTTTGTCTGTTCTGCTTACTGCCACATTCCTTAAAACATTGTCAGAGTCAGACATCTAGCAGACATTCAACAAACAGATGTGAAATAGGTGAAAACTGCTGGGTTATAGTAGTAAATGAAACAGAATAAGGACCTGATGTCATGGAACATCCATTCTCTTAAGAGCAGACATGCAAAATAAAATAAACAAATATATAATATGATGACAGAAAGCGCTAATTTTAGGAAGACAAATAGAGCAAATCAAGATAAGAAAATGATGAGCTGTGTAGCATGGGTTCTTACAATCATCAATGAATTCCACCATGGGGTGATATTTAAAGAGAAACGTGAACAAAATGATAGAGCAAGCCATATAAATATTTTAAAGAAGGTGATTCCAAACAGATAAAAATAGCAGATATAAAGTCCCTTATTTAAGAGAACATGTGAGGTAGGCAAGGAATAGAATAATGGTAGCAGAGAAAGAATGAGCGAGAATCTGATAATGGGAATGAAGAAAGACGTAGCCAAGAGAAAGACATGCCCTACATGTAAATTGTGCTGTGATAAGAGGCCAGTCTTTTTTCTTATTATGATTATACTTTAAGTTCTGGGGTACATGTGCAGAACGTGGAGGTTTGTTACATAGGTGTATACATGTGCCATGGTGGTTTGCTGCACCCATCAACCTCCCATCTACATTAGGTATTTCTCCTAATGCTATCCCTCCCCTAACCCCCCACCCCCTGACAGACCTCAGTGTGTGATGTTTCCGTCCCTGTGTCCATATATTCTCGCTTTTCAACTCCCACTTATAAGTGAGAATATGCAGTGTCTGGTTTTCTGATCTTGTGTTAGTTTGCTGAGAGTGATGGTTTCCAGCTTCATCCATTGTCCCTGAAAAGGACATGAACTCATCCTTTTTTATGGCTGCATAGTATTCCATAGTGTATATGTGCCACATTTTCTTTATCCAATCTATCATTGATGGGCATTTGGGTTGGTTGCAAGTCTTTGCTATTGTGAATAGTGCTGCAATAAACATACGTGTGCATGTGTCTTTATAATAGAATGATTTATGATCCTTTGGGTATATACTCAGTAATGGGATTGCTGGATCAAATGGTATTTCTGGTTCTAGATCCTTGAGGAATCGCCACTCTGTCTTCTACAATGGTTGAACGAATTTACACTTCCACCAACAGTATAAAAGTGTTCCCACTTCTCCACATCCTCTCCAGCATCTGTTGTTTCCTGACTTTTTAATGATCGCCATTCTAACTGGCGTGAGATGATATCTCATTGTGGGAAGAGACCAGTCTTTGGGAGTGTCCAAGCAGGAGTCCTGTGACCTGATGTGCATGCGAAAAGGACCGTCTGGTGGGTGAAAGCAGGAGGAGCATGCCATGCCAGAGTCTAAGAGAAAAGTGGTGATGGCCTGAACCATGGAGGTCGCCACGAAGGTTTTAAGAAGAGGTAGGGTTTGGGATGCACTTTAAAGGTGGAGCCGACTGGGCTTGCTTATAATGATGTGGATGTGAAGAAAGAGGTGGGTTAAGGAAGACTCAGAGGGTTGTGATCTGAGCAACTATGTAAATATAGATGACATTTTCTTAGACTAAAATCTCCAAAGGAGCAAGTTTGAGAGGAGGGTATAGAATGCAATATTACTTTTGTAAATTTTAGATGCCATTAAAACAATCATGTGAAAATATCAAGGAGGAAGTTAATTATTAAAATCTAGAGTTTAGAAGTCAGAGTGGGGCCAGAGATTGATTTTGAAGTTATTGGTGTATGTACTATAATTATTATTAATAAATTTCATATATTTTATATATATTCTCAGGAATTGTATTATAATTCACACAATGACTTTAACAAAGAAATCATTTTTGGATACTCACAGTGGCCCAATCAGGCCAGCCTTTTAATCTCTATTTTATAATGAAACAAACTGAGGCTCAAAAGAGTTAAAAGGCTCATCTCTCTCACCTGTAGTTAACTTCCCAGAATTCACTGGGCATGTGCCTCTGTCCTAGTGAAAGACAACTGAATAAGACAAACTCTATGCCCTCAAGCTGCTCCAAGTCTAGTGAATGTGTTAAGCAATGTAAACAAATAATTGTACTATATACATTCTAATTAATGGACTTAAACCTCAACCTGTAACTTTAGAATTCAAATTTCATGAAAGATTTTTTTTTAAATAACACAAGTAAAAGAGGAAAGCAATAAACTACACTGCTTTTTCAGCCATTCGTAGCATTGGAACTCTACCTTGACAGTGGCTGTTCTAACAGAGAGGCCATCCCTTTGCCACACCTGTCAGCTGACTTCTACTCCTCTTTGCTCTAACTGCCTGTGTCGTTGGCCTACTAGACACAAAGGTTTTTAACCAGCGCGAAGCCTTTGTGCTTTGCTTGGTGGCACAAGCTGCAATATGTGAAGTCAATCCACTCTCTAAGTCCTTCTTCCCTTCCCAACCAGAGACATAATAGAAATACCAAATAGGAATATATGAATAGCAAGTAGGAACAAATATAATAATAGCAAATAGAAAGTTCATAGCTTCAAGTGAGGCAGTGCTAACCTGCTTTACACTTCTTGACCACCACAAAGCCTTGTTACTGAGTGTTTCCTTACCACTGAATGGGCAGTGAGCTCACTTTCTCCCAGTACTTGATGGCATGGGGGTTATCTTGACTTGAATGGGGAACTGGACAAAAAGGAGAAAGCAGTAAAAGAAGCTTCGGAGCACAACAGCCCTTGGTTCAAATCCTGGTGCTAAGTCTCAGGGAAAATCCCTTAGCAAATTGCTTCATCTGGCTATGTTAAATGAGTGAACAGCGAATGAGATTCTGTATATAAATTCACAGCATACCTGCCTCCTACCCCCTGCTCCACCCAGTAAAATAGTATGAAAGTCATCTTTCTTAACAAGAAATCCAGTTCCCCAACTCACCAGGCGCTTCTGGACATAACTCTTGGATTTCAACTCAAAGAAGCAGGCTGACCACTGAGCTGACCAGTGGTAGCCCCACTTCAGAGACAGACCTGGCTGACAGAGAAAATAAACTAGGTGAGGAGTTGTCTCCAAGGCAGTTTTATAAGTCAGATCCTTGCTAACAGCCAAAGGAAAACAGCAACTCTTTCTCCCCACTTCCCAAACTCTGTGAAATACGGTATATTTTCCAAAGTCAAGTGCTTACGGTTCTCTATTGCCTTAAGAAGCAGGAGGCCGGCAAGGAAGGGGCCTTGGGGGACGCAGGGAGGGGAGATCTATGACACATTGTTCTGAGAAGGTGGAAGAAGGATGACGGAGGTGTGTGGTCCTGCAAAGTATAGGCCAGGCGATGCCTCCCTCCCCCAGAAACTCATTTATCACCTTGATGGTTTCAGCTCATTTACAGCCAAGTTATTGTCACCCTTAAAATAATGTGGCTTGACAGGGAAAAAATGAAATCCTTGTGAAAAGTTACATAGTCATCACACTCTGGAGTCAAAATATAGACTGCAGTATCCAAACACCGGGGCCTGGGTACGGCGGGGGTGGTATTTCCTCTCTCCTGCAGGCTTTGGTTTTAGAACAGGACATTAACATTTATGTCATGTTAACGTGCACCTAGGCATGGCGTGTGGCCTCCTGCCATGGACACAGAGAAACACATGCCCCAGCACTGCCTCAGCACGACCGCCAAGACTTTCAGTATAAATGGAGACGCGTGTTTCCTTGCCCAGAGAGTTAATAGCGGGCGACGACATAAATGTTTGGTCATCCCCCAGTGCACAGACTCCATTTCACATGTCAGGGAAGTACTAAATCTTGCCCCGCTACAAGCAGCAACTGATTTTTGACATCAGAACCAATTAAGCCAAAGCCTTCTCAGCTTGGAACCCCCAAAACATCCTAGGCACCCCCAAAACATCCTAGGCACCCCATTTAACTAGCTGTGTGACCTTGATTGACTTTCGTTAGCCTCAGTATCCCCAAGTGTAAAATGGTGATAGCTGAGTGTACCAGCATTGTTTATTGCAAAGAGGAAATACAAAACTGTATGCAAAAGAGTTTGTCTTGGTTTCTGGCACACAGCAAACATCCAGTACAAGGGATTTTTCTTCCCTTCCAGTTTCTGTCTTGTCTTTAATACCTTTACATCTGGGCTCTAAGAACCTCAGTCCCATAGAGCAAAACTAATTTCCTATCACTGCATAATAGTCAGAACCTGCCAACATGACTATGTGCCTTGTTTTCTATTCTGCACAGCCTGGAAGGAGACCAAAGCAACAAGGAGAGCCATCTCACTGGAGAGGCAGGACTGACTGGCTAAAGGAGCCCAGTGAAGAGGTGGCAAGTACCTGGGGTGCAGCGCCTATCCCTCCCAGCAAGCCCTCTGCCTCCCACCCACTGTCCACTTTGCTCCCCAGAAAGATTGCAAAGCATCACATAACTATGCCTTTTCTGCTTTAGCTTCATCTGCCTGAAATTCCTTCCTTTTATTTTCCCTTGCTGAGCTATTCATCTTTCCAGAACAGCAGTCGGAACTCTACGTCCTCCACAAAGAGCTTTACAGCTCCCTCTGACCTTTTGGGGGCCCACTCTGTATCCTCTCCATGGTTCTATCACTTTGTAAAACACTGAATTCTAACTGTTCAGTTGCCTGCTCCTCACCTCATTCTCTCTTGCTGTTTCATAAGGGCGGGGCTTTGTCTCTGTTTCTGTGGTGTCCCTAGCACCTCTCCCAGTCAGTAGCGCACATACATTCCTCAGGAAATGTTTGGGAAAATGTATTTAAACATATGCAGTACAGATAATTCTACAAAATCATAGTCGTTAGTTGATCCCATGTAGTGTGTGTGTGTGTGTGTGTGTGTGTGTGTGTGTGTGTAACAATGAATAATCTGTAATATAACTAAGTCTCTTAATGAGCCATTTGTAATATGTTTATAAATCTCTCCATATCCATATATGTTTCAGTTACAAAGAATACAAAGAGAAAACAGAAAGCAATAAGCAAATCTGGATTTCACTCAATAAACAAATATTTACTGAGAGGCACCTGTAAGAGTCTGAATAAAAGATGGGTTTTAGTCCTCGCTCAATAACTGAGTGTGTGATCTTAAACAAATCACATCAAATTCACTAAAGTTGATTTTTTTTTTCTCCGAGACGGAATCTTGCTCTGTTGCCCAGACTAGAGTGCGGTGGCACGATCTCAGTTCACTGCAACCTCTGCCTCCTGGGTCCAAGTCATTCTCCTGCCTCAGCCTCCCAAGTAGCTGGGACTACAGGCACATGTCACCATGCCTGGCTAATTTTTGTATTTTTTTAGTAGAGACGGGGTTTCACCATGTTGGCCAGACTGGTCTCGAACTCCTGACCTCGTGATCTGCCCACCTCAACCTCCCAAAGTGCTGGGATTACAGGCATGCCCATCCACTAAAGTTGATTTTCTATTAACTGAAAATGAGAAGAATAATACCTATATTGTTTACCTCAAAATTCTCTGAGGATAAAATAAAATGCATATAAAAGCTTATTAAAAACAACAGTGCTGGATAGAGGAGCCAAGATGGCCAAATAGGAACGGGCCCGGTCTACAGCTCCCAGCGTGAGCGACACAGAAGAGGGGTGATTTCTGCATTTCCATCTGAGGTACCGGGTTCATCTCACTAGGGAGTGCCAGACAGTGGGCGCAGGTCAGTGGGTGCAGCGCACCATGCATGAGCCGAAGCAGGGCGAGGCATTGCCTCACTCGGGAAGTGCAAGGGGTCAGGGAGTTCCCTTTCCTAGTCAAAGAAAGGGGTGACAGACGGCACCTGGAAAATCGGGTCACTCCCACCCTAATACTGCGCTTTTCCGACGGGCTTAAAAAACGGCGCACCAGGAGATTATATCCCACACCTGGCTCGGAGGGTCCTATGCCCACGGAGTCTCCCTGATTGCTAGCACAGCAGTCTGAGATCAAACTGCAAGGTGGCAGCGAGGCTGGGGGGGTGGGGTGCCCGCCATTGCCCAGGCTTGCTTAGGTAAACAAAGCAGCCAGGAAGCTCGAACTGGGTGGAGCCCACCACAGCTCAAGGAGGCCTGCCTGCCTCTGTAGGCTCCACCTCTGGGGGCAGGGCACAGACAAACAAAAAGCAGTAACCTGCAGACTTAAATGTCCCTGTCTGACAGCTTTGAAGAGAGCAGTGGTTCTCCCAGCACGCAGCTGGAGATCTGAGAACGGGCAGACTGCCTCCTCAAGTGGGTCCCTGACCCCTGACACCCGAGCAGCCTAACTGGGAGGCACCCCCCAGCAGGGGCACACTGACACCTCACACGGCCGGATACTCCAACACACCTGCAGCTGAGGGTCCTGTCTGTTAGAAGGAAAACTAACAAACAGAAAGGACATCCACACCAAAAACCCATCTGTACATCACCATCATCAAAGACCAAAAGTAGATAAAACCACAAAGATGGGGAAAAAACAGAGCAGAAAAACTGGAAACTCTAAAAAGCAGAGTGCCTCTCCTCCTACAAAGGAATGTAGTTCCTCACCAGCAACGGAACAAAGCTGGACAGAGAATGAATTTGACGAGCTGAGAGAAGAAGGCTTCAGACGATCAAACTACTCCAAGCTATGGGAGGACATTCAAACCAAAGGCAAAGAAGTTGAAAACTTTGAAAAAAATTTAGAAGAATGTATAACTAGAATAACCAATACAGAGAAGTGCTTAAAGGAGCTGATGGACCTGAAAACCAAGGCTCGAGAACTATGTGAAGAATGCAGAAGCCTCAGGAGCCGATGTAATCAACCGGAAGAAAGGGTATCAGCGATGGAAGATGAAATGAATGAAATGAAGCGAGAAGGGAAGTTTAGAGAAAAAAGAATAAAAAGAAATGAACAAAGCCTCCAAGAAATATGGGACTATGTGAAAAGACTAAATCTACGTCTGATTGGTGTACCTGAAAGTGACAGGGAGAATGGAACCAAGTTGGAAAACACTCTGCAGGATATTATCCAGGAGAACTTCCCCAATCTAGCAAGGCAGGCCAACATTCAGATTCAGGAAATACAGAGAACTCCACAAAGATACTCCTCGAGAAGAGCAACTCCAAGACACATAATTGTCAGATTCACCAAAGTTGAAATGAAGGAAAAAATGTTAAGGGCAGCCAGAGAGAAAGGTCGGGTTACCCTCAAAGGGAAGCCCATCAGACTAACAGCGGATCTCTAGGCAGAAACTCTACAAGCCAGAAGAGAGTGGGGGCCAATATTCAACATTCTTAAAGAAAAGAATTTTCAATCCAGAATTTCATATCCAGCCAAACTAAGCTTCACAAGTGAAGGAGAAATAAACTACTTTACAGACAAGCAAATGCTGAGAGATTTTGTCACCACCAGGCCTGCCCTAAAAGAGCTCCTGAAGGAAGCACTAAACATGGAAAGGAACAACCGGTACCAGCCGCTGCAAAATCATGCCAAAATGTAAAGACCATCGAGACTAGGAAGAAACTGCATCAACTAACGAGCAAAATAACCAGCTAACATCATAATGACAGGATCAAATTCACACATAACAATATTAACTTTAAATGTAAATGGACTAAATGCTCCAATTAAAAGACACAGACTGGCAAATTGGATAAAGAGTCAAGACCCATCAGTGTGCTGTATTCAGGAAACCCATCTCACGTGCAGAGACACACATAGACTCAAAATATAAGGATGGAGGAAGATCTACCAAGCAAAAGGAAAACAAAAAAAGGCAGGGGTTGCAATCCTAGTCTCTGATAAAACAGACTTTAAACCAACAAAGATCAAAAGAGACAAAGAAGGCTATTACATAATGGTAAAGGGATCAATTCAACAAGAAGAGCTAACTATCCTAAATATATATGCACCCAATACAGGAGCACCCAGATTCATAAAGCAAGTCCTGAGTGACCTACAAAGAGACTTAGACTCCCACACATTAATAATGGGATACTTTAACACCCCACTGTCAACATTAGACAGATCAACGAGACAGAAAGTCAACAAGGATACCCAGGAATTGAACTCAGCTCTGTACCAAGCGGACCTAATAGACATCTACAGAACTCTCCACCCCAAATCAACAGGATATACATTTTTTTCAGCACCACACCACACCTATTCCAAAATTGACCACATACTTGGAAGTAAAGCTCTCCTCAGCAAATGAAAAAGAACAGAAATTATAACAAACTATCTCTCAGACCACAGTGCAATCAAACTAGAGCTCAGGATTAAGAATCTCACTCAAAACTGCTCAACTACATGGAAACTGAACAACCTGCTCCTGAATGACTACGGGGTACATAACAAAATGAAGGCAGAAATAAAGATGTTCTTTGAAACCAACGAGAACAAAGACACAACATACCAGAATCTCTGGGACGCATTCAAGGCAGTGTGTAGAGGGAAATTTATAGCACTAAATGCCCACAAGAGAAAGCAGAAAAGATCCAAAATTGACACCCTAACATTACAATTAAAAGAACTAGAAAAGCAAGAGCAAACACATTCAAAAGCTAACAGAAGGCAAGAAATAACTAAAATCAGAGCAGAACTGAAGGAAATAGAGACACAAAAAACCCTTCAAAAAATTAATGAATCCAGGAGCTGGTTTTTTGAAAGGATCAACAAAATTTATAGACCACTAGCAAGACTAATAAAGAAAAAAAGAAGAATCAAATAGACGCAATAAAAAATGATAAAGGGGATATCACCACTGATCCCACAGAAATACAAACTACCATCAGAGAATACTACAAACACCTCTACGCAAATAAACTAGAAAATCTAGAAGAAATGGATAAATTCCTGGACACATACACCCTCCCAAGACTAAACCAGGAAGAAGTTGAATCTCTGAATAGGCCAATAACAGGATCTGAAATTGTGGCAATAATCAATGACTTACCAACCAAAAAGAGTCGAGGACCAGATGGATTCACAGCCGAATTCTACCAGAGGTACGAGGAGGAACAGGTACCATTCCTTCTGAAACTATTCCAACCTATAGAAAAAGAGGGAATCCTCCCTAACTCATTTTATGAGGCCAGCATCATCCTGATACCACAGCCGGGCAGAGACAAAACAAAAAAAACAGAACTTTAGACCAATATCCTTGATGAACATTGATGCAAAAATCCTCAATAAAATACTGGCACACCAAATCCAGCAGCACATCAAAAAGCTTATCCACCATGATCAAGTGGGCTTCATCCCTGGGATGCAAGGCTGGTTCAATATACGCAAATCAATAAATGTAATCCAGCATATAAACAGAACCAAAGACAAAAACCACATGATTATCTCAATAGATGCAGAAAAGGCCTTTGACAAAATTCAACAATGCTTCATGCTAAAAACTCTCAGTAAATTAGGTATTGATGGGACGTATTTCAAAACAATAAGAGCTATCTATGACAAACCCACAGCCAATATCATACTGAATGGGCAAAAACTGGAAGCATTCCCTTTGAAAACTGGCACAAGAGAGGGATGCCCTCTCTCACCACTCCTATTCAACATATTGTTGGAAGTTCTGGCCAGGGCAATTAGGCAGGAGAAGGAAATAAAGGGTATTCAATTAGGAAAAGAGGAAGTCAAATTGTCCCTGTTTGCAGACGACATGATTGTATATCTAGAAAACCCCATTGTCTCAGCCCAAAATCTCCTTAAGCTGATAAGCAACTTCAGCAAAGTCTCAGGATACAAAATCAATGTACCAAAATCACAAGCATTCTTATACACCAACAACAGACAAACAGAGAGCCAAATCATGAGTGAACTCCCATTCACAATTGCTTCAAAGAGAATAAAATACCTAGGAATCCAACTTACAAGGGATGTGAAGGACCTCTTCCAGGAGAACTACAAACCACTGCTCAAGGAAATAAAAGAGGATACAAACAAATGGAAGAACATTCCATGCTCATGGGTAGGAAGAATCAATATCGTAAAAATGGCCATACTGCCCAAGGTAATTTACAGATTCAATGCCATCCCCATCAAGCTACCAATGTCTTTCTTCACACAATTGGAAAAAACTACTTTAAAGTTCATATGGCACCAAAAAAGAGCCCGCATTGCCAAGTCAATCCTAAGCCAAAAGAACAAAGCTGGAGGCATCACACTACCTGACTTCAAACTATACTACAAGGCTACAGTAACCAGAACAGCATGGTACTGGTACCAAAACAGAGATATAGATCAATGGAACAGAACAGAGCCCTCAGAAATAATGCCGCATATCTACAACTATCTGATCTTTGACAAACCTGAGAAAAACAAGCAATGGGGAAAGGATTCCCTATTTAATAAATGGTGCTGGGAAAACTGGCTAGCCATATGTAGAAAGCTGAAACTGGATCCCTTCCTTACACCTTATACAAAAATCAATTCAAGATGGATTAAAGACTTAAATGTTAGACCTAAAACCATAAAAACCCTAGAAGAAAACCTAGGCATTACCATTCAGGACATAGGCATGGGCAAGGACTTCTTGTCTAAAACACCAAAAGCAATGGCAATAAAAGCCAAAGTTGACAAATGGGATCTAATTAAACTAAAGAGCTTCTGCACAGCAAAAGAAACTACCATCAGAGTGAACAGGCAACCTACAAAATGGGAGAAAATTTTCGCAACCTACTCATCTGACAAAGGGCTAATATCCAGAATCTACAATGAACTCAAACAAATTTACAAGAAAAAAACAAACAACCCCATCAAAAAGTGGGCAAAGGACATGAACAGACACTTCTCAAAAGAAGACATTTATGCAGCCAAAAAACACATGAAAAAATGCTCATCATCACTGGCCATCAGAGAAATGCAAATCAAAACCACAATGAGATACCATCTCACACCAGTTAGAATGGCAATCATTAAAAAGTCAGGAAACAACAGGTGCTGGAGAGGATGTGGAGAAATAGGAACACTTTTCCACTGTTGGTGGGACTGTAAACTAGTTCAACCATTGTGGAAGTCGGTGTGGTGATTCCTCAGGGATCTAGAACTAGAAATACCATTTGACCCAGCCATCCCATTACTGGGTATATACCCAAAGGCCTATAAATCATGCTGCTATAAAGACACATGCACACATATATTTATTGCAGCATTATTCACAATAGCAAAGACTTGGAACCAAGCCAAATGTCCAACAATGATAGACTGGATTAAGAAAATGTGGCACATATACACCATGGAATACTATGCACCCATAAAAAATGATGAGTTCATGTCCTTTGTAGGGACATGGATGAAATTGGAAATCATCATTCTCAGTAAACTATCGCAAAAACAAAAAACCAAACACCGCATATTCTCAGTCATAGGTGGGAATTGAACAATGAGAACACATGGACACAGGAAGGGGAACATCACACTCTGGGGACTGTTGTGGGGTGGGCAGAGGGGGGAGGGATAGCATTGGGAGATATACCTAATGCTAGACGGCAAGTTAGTGGGTGCAGCACACCAGCATGGCACATGTATACATATGTAACTAACTTGCACATTGTGCACATGTACCCTAAAACTTAAAGTATAATAATAATAAATAAAACAGTGCTCTATAAATCCAAGAGGTATTCTATATACTTATTAGCATATATAACTATACCTTGTGGTGATTGTCCCATATGATTACTGACAAATTTAATGAAGAGGTAATTAATGAAAAATGTAAGAAGTTAACTATATTTAAAGCAAAGTCTAATTTAAGTGATGTTAAGTGATGTTTTTATTCACTCAGTAGAATGCTACAAAATTAAAAACAGGTTTTAACAACTAACAGACAAATAGAAAGTCCTTACGATACATATTTGGTTTTAAAAAGGTAGGACCTGCAATTGAATATACACTACAGTAGGCACTTTACAAATTAAATATGAGCATATGAGCATAAGAATTTACTGAAATGTAAAAAATAAAAATAAAGTCTTTAGGTTGGCTGATAGCAAGTGGTGCTAGGCTTTTTTTTCTTTTCCTTTGTTTTTTTTGTTTGTTTGTTTTGTTTTTGAGATGGAGAATGGAGTCTTGCTCAGTCACCCAGGCTGGAGTGCAATGGCATGATCTCGGCTCACTGCAACCTCCGCCCCCTGGGTTCAAGTGATTCTCCTGCCTCAGCCTCCCGAGTAGCTGGGATTACAGGCACTCACCACTATGCCTGGCTAACGTTTTGTATTTTTAGTAGAGACAGGGTTTCACTGTGTTGGCCAGGCTGGTCTCAAACTCCTGACCTCATGATCTGCCCGCCTCCCAAAGTCTTGGGATTACAGGCGTAAGCCACCACGCCCTGCCAGGCTTTGTCTTCTACAATCTAATATGCTGTTCTTCTTTTGCAAGTAAAGATTATGGAATGTTTTTAAAATTTAGAATTGCACAATATTAGAATAGCTTTCAAAACCAATTTTTTTGTTTTGAAATATTGACATTTAAAAGGAAATTTTAAATCTTTTCAATTAACAACTCACTGATTATATTTAGATCATTGGAATTGTGTAGGAAGTTGCATTTCATTTCAATAATTTGGATTATTCTGTAAGAAATACCAGTATTTCAAATTCAGTGACAAGGGAATTAAATAAGTATATGGTTATTAAATAAGATTATGATAAACTTTAATCACTTCTAGTGCTAATATTATATAATTAAAACAATATCATAAGGTGACTTTTGTTTTCATCTCTTTACAAATTACTGGCATGCATACAGATTTATCCAAACGTAATATTTAAATACTGAGTGAGTCGAAGTGGAAAGCAGAAGAGAAAATGAATCTGCATATATTATATTAGCAAAGATCTCTTCAGGTTTGGTTTGAATATGTCCCCCCAAAAAGCATGTATTGGATACTTACGCCTCAATGCAACACTGCTGGAAGTTGGGGTGTAACATGAGGTGTTTAAGTCTAGAGGGCTCCACCTTTAGGAATGGATTCATGATGATTATAAAAAGGCTTAAGGATGGGAGTTTGAGCTCTTGCTTTTTTCTAATATTCTCACCTTCCACTACAAGATGATACAGCAGGAATGCCCTCACCAGATATCAGCCCTTTGCTCTTGGATGCCCCACTCTTCAAAACTATGAGCCAGCACATTTCTGTTGTGGAAATTACCCAGTCTCAGATATTTTGTTCAAGCAGCACAAAATGAACAAAGAAAATTTCTGTAGATTTAGCAATCCAAGAAGTTAAAGTTGTCACAATATCTGTTGTCTTAAGCCCAGGTTTATTGCTAGACACAATATAGACATGACATATTCATATATTGTCCTCTGCAAAGTGTAATACAACATTGGCTGAGTATGCATTTAGAACACAAATGCTCTGGTTCAAATCCTGTATCTATAATCTACTTCTTAGATTTGTTAGTTAAACTCTGTGAATTGTTATTTCTTTTAAGATAAAGAGGGTAATATGTACCTTGTTAGTCTTATTAGGAATAAATGGGTTAGGCTGGGTACAGTGGCTCATGCCTGTAATGCCAGCACTTTCAGATGCTGAGGCCAGAAGATAGATTTAACCCAGTGGATAGCTTGAATCCAATATAGCGAAACCCCACCTGTTGTATATATAGTTGTGTATATATATACAAATATATACAAATAAATTAGCTGGGCGTGGTGATACCTGCCTGTAGTCCCAGCTACTTGGGAAGCTAAAGTGGGAGGATCACTTGAGCCTAGGTCAAGGCTGCAGTAGCTACAATCATCCCACTGCACTCCAGCCTGGGCAACAGAGTGAGACCTTACCTCAAAAAAAAAAAAAAAAAAGGGTGATTAGATGTGATGAGTAATCCTGTAACAATGAATAATTTATAATATAACTAAGTCTTTTAATGAACCATTTGTAATATGTTTATAAATCTCTCCATATCCATATATGTTTCAGTTACAAAGAATACAAAGAGAAAAGAGAAAGCAATAAGCAAATCTGGATTTCACTCAGTAAACAAATATTTATTGAGAGGCACATATAAAAGCCTGAATAAAAAACACAAAGATATTAAATATACAAAATAAAATACTGGAAAGTTAAGTTCAGAAGAACCAATATGTAAATAATAAGTTTCAGAGAGAGAAAAGAGAGGAATTAAAAGCAGGAAATTAAAAATGTAATAGTATAATAAAATTTTCTCAGTGCTAAAGGATATGAACTTCTCAATTGAAAAGACCTACAGAATGCTTAAAACAACAGATAAACAATGTCCTAGGTAAAATATTGGCAATATGACCCATGGGCCAAATCTTCCTTGCCATCTATTTTTGAAAATAAAAAAAGTGTTTCATTGGAACACATTCATGCCCATGTGGTTATGTATGCCCATGTGGTTATGTATGCCCATGTGGTTATGCACATAGAGACTTATTTCAGTTTTTTTGTTCATATGTTTGTTTTTATTAATGGACAGAGAATATAATAAATGTTTTACATTTTTAATACATCTAAAAAGTGAGAATTGGTATTTCCATTTTTTTTTAAATTTTGAAGAATGGCTTCTAAATTACCTTGAGGAATTCAAAAATAATTATACTAAATCCAAACTAGCCAAATTAAGTGCCTGACAAAGATTCTGCAGAAGGAAAATAAGACAAATGAAGTTGAGCACAGAAGGGAAAAATAGAAGTAGGATATATCACTAATTTCATAATTTGGTCTTCTTACACTCCAGTCCCACTGC
Source organism: Homo sapiens (assembly GCF_000001405.40). Lineage (NCBI taxonomy): Eukaryota > Metazoa > Chordata > Mammalia > Primates > Hominidae > Homo > Homo sapiens. The sequence goes on from NC_000004.12 coordinate 12,757,415, forward strand.
AAGATAACCACATAGCCTAAACAGTTACTCTTAAAATATACATGGGGAAAAGATAAGAGTGTGTGTGTGTGTGTGTGTGTGTGTGTGTGTATTTATTTATATAAGCATCTATATAACCCTGTGGGTATACATATATGCACACACACATACACAGATATATATACACATATAAATATATATATGTAGGCATGTGTTACTTAACAACAGGAATACATTTACACGCTGGGCAAAACATCATATAGGCAATTTTTTCAGTGTGCAAACATCATAAAATGTAAAGGATGTAGCCTACTACATGCCTAAGCTATATGATATAGCCTGTTGCTCTTAGGCTACAAACCTGGACAGCTTGTTACTGCACTGATACTACAGGCAATTGTAAAACAATGATAGGCCAGGTGCAGTGGTTCACACCTGTAATCCCAGCATTTTGGGAGGCCGAGGTGGGTGGATCACCTGAGGTCGGGAGTTTGAGACCACACTGACCAACATGGAGAAACCCCACCTCTACTAAAAATACAAAAATTTGTCAGGCGTGGTGGTGCATGCCTTTAATCCCAGCTACTCGGGAGGCTGAGGCAGGAGAATTGCTTGAACTAGGGAGGCAGAGATTGCGGTGAGCTGAGATCATGCCATTGCACTCCAGTCTGGGCAACAAGAGCGAAACTCCGTCGCAAAAAGAAAAAAAAGGTGTTTATATATCTAAACATAGAAAAGGTATAATAAAAATACCATATAAATCATAAAAAATACACCTGTATAGGGCACTGTATTAATCCATTTTCACTCTGCTGTAAAGAACTTCCTGAGATTGGGTAATTTATGAAGAAAGAGGTTTAATTGTCTCACAGTTCCATAGGCTTAACAGGAAGCATGACTGGGAGGCCTCCCATCATGCTTACAATGTAGGGAGGCCTACAATCATGGCGGAAGGCAAAGGGGAGGAAGTAAGCACCTTCTTCACTTGGTGGCAGAAGAGACAGCAAAGGGGGAACTGCCAGACACTTTTAAACCATCAGATCTTGTGAGAATTCACTCACTATCACAAGAACAGCATGGGGGAAACTGCTGTCATGATCCAATCACCTCCCACCAGGTCCCTTCCCCAATATGTGGGGATTACAGTTCGACATGAGATTTGGGTGGGGACACAGAGCCAAACCATATCAGTCACTTATCATGAATAAAACTTTGCAGACTGGAAGTTTCTCTGAGTGAATCAGTAAGTGAATGTGAAGGCCTAGGACATTACTTTATACTGCTGTAGATGTTATAAACACTGTACACTTAAGCTACACTAAATGTATTAAAATATATTTTCTTTCTTCAAAAACAAGTTAACCTTAGCTTACTATAACATTTACCTTATAATGTTTTTCAATTTTTTTTAACTTTTTTGACTCTATCGTAATAACAATTTAAAATACAAGCATGCTGTATAGCTGTAGCAAAATATTTTATTTCTATATATCCTTATTCAATAAGCTTTTCTCTTTCTTTTTTTGCTTTTTAAGCTTTTTTATTAAAAAATGAAGACACTAACACACATATTAGCCTAGGCCTACACAAGACTGAGATCATCAATAACTGTCTGCCACCTCTGCATCTTATCACACTGGAAGGTGCTCAGGAAGAATGCAAATGCAACTATCATCTATGAAAACAATGCCTTCTGAAATACTCCCTGAAGCATCTGTCTGAGGCTGTTTTATTCTAACCTTTTTTTAATAAGTAAAAGGAGTACACTATAAAATAATGGTAAACATATAGTATAGTAAATACATAAACCAATAATATAGCTATTTATTATAATTATCAAGTATTATGTACTCTACATACTTGTATGTGCTATATAATTCATACAATGACAACACAATACATTTGTTGATATGGTTTAACTGTGTCCCCTCCACAATCTCATCTTGAAATGTAGCTCCCACAATTCCCATGTGTTGTGGGAGGGACCTGGGGGGAGGTAATTGAATCATGAGGATGGGTCTTTCTTGTGCTGTTCTCCAGATAGCGAATAAGTCTCATGAGATCTCATTGTTTTATAAGATGGAGTTTCCCTGCACAAGCTGTCTCTTTGCCTGCTGCTATCCATGTCAGATGTGACTTGCTCCTCCTTGCCTTCCACCATGATTGTGAGGCCTGCCCAGCCATGTGGAACTGTGAGTCCAATAAGCCTCTTTCCTGTATAAATACCTAGCCTCAGGTATGTTTTTATTAGCAGCATAAAAATGAACTAATACATTTGTTTACACCAACATCATCACAAACAAGTTGGTAATGCATTGTGCTACAATGTCACAATGCCAATCACCTTACTAAGAGACAAGAATTTTTCAGCTCTATTATAATCTTATAAGACATCATCATTTACACAGGCTGTCATTGACCCAAATGCTGTTATGCAGCACTTGAGTGTATATAAAGTTACTTTTTGTATTACTTTTGCTCTATTTTATCTTTAGATTCTGAAGGAAGTATGTTAAAATCTCTTGCTATGATATAAGATCTGTTCTTTTTCCCATGAATTCTGTTAAGTGTTTACTTCACACACAACCGTCTATGTTGTTAGGAACAAATATGTTTATGACTATTATATTTTTATTGAGAGTTACCTATACAAATAAAATGGATCTGTTAACAGTGTTTGTAAAGTCTTAATAAACTGAACAATAAACTTTATTTCCATTATTATTTGTATATGTTTGTATTCAGTTATTTTTAAGTTCTCTTTTATTTGGCTTTAAGCATATATTTTATAATTATTATATAGCCTGGTTGTATTTAACCACTCTGAGATTCTACTGTTTAATGGGAATTTAAAACTGATGTTTGTGTGATTGTTGGTATGTCCGAATTTAAATGAGCAGTAAACCCACAAGTATGTAGAAAATGAAAGAAGATAGAACATTAGCACAATCTGAGAAGTTACAAGTCAGGTGAATTGATAATAAAATAATCAACAGCTCCAGGGAAACTCAATCATAAATCAGTAGAAGGAAAAATGAGATCAAAATGCATTATACAACAAAAATTATATAAGGCTCATTAATCTGTGACCCTTGATTACTGGTAATGAGTCAGTGGAAAGAAAGATAACATGGCTATAATAAAGCAAATTGGTGGAAAGTTTTTTATAGTTCTAAACATCCCCCACTCATTTCATAAAGTTAAATGACTACTGTTGCTTTGGTCTGGCAAAATATTGTATATTACTTCTCCGGAGAAAAGGGCCTATGGTCTTGGGGCCAGGAAGTATTAATAAGGTTGGAGGTAGAAAAGGGAAAACAAGGAGATTTAGTTAGTATTTGTGGTCTGGCTGTTGAGCATCCTGGTGTGCTTTTCTTACTTAGAAACCAATGTTCCCACCACCATTGCCAGAACCTTCACTCTCCAAGTAGGATTTTAGTGAAATTTCTGGGCAGTCTCACCAGCCCGAGAGAAAAGGCACAAAGGTATCAACATTCAAAGTTTTACAACTAACAGGCCCTATTAGATATCTTCTGGATGAGGTTAATATATCACAGGATCCACTGTATAATTTAAAGCTTCCAAATCCCAAATTTTTAAATAATATTTGACAAATAAGAATTGCAAATCATCTGATTAAAACTTATATAAAAGATTTTTATAAAACAAACAGAAGACAAGAAACTTGCAGGAAATAAGATTATGCATTGATATCGTTTATGTTTCTAGAGTTAAGAGAAGATATTACAGTCACGAAAGAAAAACAGTGTGCATTAAAACAACAATTATTATAAAATAAGAGCTATTTGAAAATTTTTATTTTTTTGAAATTTTTAAAAACAATAGAAATTTGGAAAAATTAATATGAATAATTTTGTCAAAACAAAAATGAAACACAGATATTAAATATGCAAAATAAAATTGGAAAGTTCATTTCAGAAGAACAAATATGTAAATAATAAGAGTTTCAGAGGGAGAAAAAAGAAGAATTAAAAGCAGGAAATTAAAAATGTAATAGTAAAACAACATTTTCTCAGAACTAAAGGATACGAGTTTCTCAATTAAAAAGACCCACAGAATGCTTAAAACAATAAACAATGACCTAGGTAAAATGTTGGCAATGTGACCCATGGGCCAAATCCAGCTTGCCACCTATTTAAAAAAAAAAAAATGTTTCATTGGGACACATTCATGCCCATGTGATTATGTATTGTCCACGGGCTGCTTTTACAATATGACAGTGTTGAGTAGTTGTAGCACAGGCTGCATGGCCCACAAAGCCTGAAATATCTATTACCAGACCCTGTATTAGTCAGTTCTCACACTGCTGTGAAGAAATACCTAAGACTGCATAATTTATAAAGGAGAGAGGTTTAATTGACTCACAGTTCTGCATGGCTGGGGAGGCCTCAGGAAACTTAACAGTCATGGTGGAAGACAAATGAGAAGCAGCCACCTTCACAGGGTGGCAGGACAAAGCGAGTGCAAGCAGAGGAAATGCCAGACTCTTATGAAACCATCAGATCTTGTGAGAACTCACTCACTATCACGAGAACAGCATGAGGAAACCACCCTCATGATTCAATCATCTCCACCTGGGCCTGCCTTTGACAGGTGGGGATTATGAGAGTTGAGATTTTGGGCGGCGACACAGAGCCAAGCTATATCAAACCCTTTACAGAAAAATTTTGCCATTCTCTTACGTAGGGCAAAGCACATCAGAAAATGTTCAAACAGTCAGGACAAAGAGGAATTTCTGTAGGATTCTAGACCAATAAATAATTTAGGTCCTATATACTGAATCAAGAATCAAAATAGCTTTAAATAACAGCATTGGAATCTAGATGGCAAAAAAATAGCCTTCAAGTTCCTGAAAGAAAGTGATTTTCAATCACTAGAATTCTATACTCAGCCACAAATTAATTGTCAAGGTGGAAGAAAGATCATTTTATAGATGCATGTTCTTCAGAATAATCTCTAAAACACCCATCTCATTTCAGGTAGCTACTTCAGAATTTGCTCAGCAAAATAATATAATAATAATAATAATAATAATAATAATAAAAGAGTAACATACAACTTATAGATAAAGAAACATATGACTTATAGAAATAAGAGATCTGGTCACAAGAGAAATGTGAGGCAAGAGAAACACCAAACGGTGAAGACAGAGCTCAGGTTAACTGTGGTGGTCATTTTATTAGGAATGCAAAATTGACAGAATACCTAATTCATCTGAATATCTCCAAAACATTTTTGAATTGTAAATAAATGACAAATATTAATTTTGATGAAAAAAATTATGCAGGGGAAAATTTTACTGAGGTTTACCATTTGGCTCAATTATGAGTAGCACTTAAATAGTTGTAATTTTACAAATGCTGAATATTGATTTAACCAAATTACTTTATAACTACATTGAAATTATAGGGATTTGTTAAGGATGTGTATATGTGGTGAAATGGTGTCATCTGGAAAGGAAGTTATTTTCTTATCTATTTGGTGCATGTCAAATGATAATACAGAATACTAAAAAATGAAAGTAGCAATAAACATATGATATTTAGAGACCTACACATAATACAAAAATAATGAGTTGAAAAAGATAAAGTGGCTGGGATGATGAAACTGGAAGTGGAGGACTGTGGGCTGCCATTTTGTAAGATAAAATAAACAAACTTACAGAATTAGCTGACTGTTTAAACCATATACCTCTATTTTTTAAATAAATATTTTACTTACTGCCCTGGTACAACTTGAGTTTGTAACACAGTAACCACCAGCCAGATTAAGACACCCAAATATCTCCTTCATTTTTCTCACCTAGAACTAACACCTTCTCCCAAAATACAACCCCTTTTCTGACTTTGAGTCCCACAGATTAGTACAGCTTGTGTTTGCACTAAATGTAGGCGAAATCATACACTATTTAGCTTTTTTATTCAACATTATGATGTGTGTGAGGTGTGCTTATTTCCACTGTTGTGTAGTATTGCATTATATCAATATACTAGAATTAATTTATCCCTTCTTCGGTGGTTAGACACATAGGTTGTCTCCATCTGGATACCTTACAAATAATGCTGTTACGAACTTTTTTTTTTTAGGCGGAGTCTCGCTCTGTCGCCCAGGCTGGAGTGCAGTGGCGCGATCTAGGCTCACTGCAGGCTCCGCTTCCCGGGTTCGCGCCATTCTCCTGCCTCAGCCTCCCCAGTATCTGGGACTACAGGTGCCCGCCACCACGCCCGGCTAATTTTTTTTTGTATTTTTTAGTAGAGACGGGGTTTCACTGTGTTAGCCAGGATGGTCTCGATCTCCTGACCTCACGATCCGCCCGCCTCGGCCTCCCAAAGTGCTGGGATTACAGGTGTGAGCCACTGCGCCCGGCCGAACTTTTTTTTAGATAGGTTCTTGCTCTGTCGCCCAGGCTGGAATGCAGTGGTGTGAACGGGCTCACGGCAGCCTCCACTTCCTGGGCTCTAGTGATTCTCCTACCTCAGGTGCACTCCACCGCGCCTGGATAATTGTTATTTGTTTGTTTGTTTTATAGAGATGGGGTCTCACCATGTTTCCCAGGCTGGTCTCAAACTCCTGTGCTCAAGCAATCCTCCTGCCTTAGCTTCCCAGAGTGCTGGGATTACAGACGTGAGCCACTGCGCCCACCTGTTATGAACATGCTTGAACATAATTTTTGGTTTATGTATGTAAGCATTTTTGTTGGTGATTAAAATTGTGGGGTTATAATAAGGTATGCACATGGTCAGATTTAAAAGATATATATAAATGAAACCCAAATTCCCATCATAGTGGGAGATTTTAGATTTTCAACCACATCTTTTGGTAAATGACATGTAAAGCAGTCAAAATTTAATCAGAATGTTGAAGATGTATATAACACAATTATCAAACGTGATTATAATGTTATTCTTTTTTTCTGTTAATTTCTGACTCATGTATTATGAAGCTATCTTATCAAGAGGATACAAATTTAGAAGTGCATCTTTTTGATGGATTGATACCTTAAACCTAAAATATTCCATTTTTATTTTTGCTGAAAACCGTCCTTTAGTAGTTTTTTTCAACCAAGATCTGTGGGTAATTATTTTGTTATTTGTGTGTCTAAATATTATTTTAATTTGCCTTCGCTATTAAAGGAATTCAGAATCACAACTTGGTGTAGTTGTTTACCCTGATTACTTTATCCTTGTTAATCTGTCTCTTCAGCATCCATCACTTCTCATGGGAAATCTAGTTTTAATCTGAATTTACTATTCTATAGACATTTATAAGTCTATTTTCTTACATTGTATTTAGGATTCTTTTTAAATTTTTATGGTTCTATAATTTTATACAATGCATCCAAATATATATTTTTTTAAAAATATTTTATTCACACTTGAGAAAACTTTTCAATGTACAGATTTTAAACTTTTCTCCCTTTCCACACCATCTAGTAGATCTATGATAGAGCTTCTCAAACTATGTCTTGAGTTCTCTTTAATATTTTTTATATTTTTATGAATCTGTGTTGCATTTGGATCTTCAGGTTTAGTGTAAAACCCATTAACTCTACTATCAGTGCTGTTTTTTCTCAGTATTTAGTCAGCTTATTTTTAAAACACATTTCACGAGGTACATTTGCCATTTCCAAGGCTGTCAATTGCTTCTTTGTCAAATGTACCAATTTTTGTTCGATGGTTTCCTTGAATCATTCTAAAGAAAACATTTCATCCTTTAGAATACTATTTTATGTTTGAAAATATATAAAAAATTAAATGTAAACTTAAATTTTGAGTTAAAAGATAAATTATCATTTATATACACTGTACTGACTCAAATGTATATTACCAGTCTCTTGGAAGTCCCCTTTCAGGTCCCTTCCCAGCTGAATTTTATTCCTGCCACTGCCACTGGAGTTAACACCTAACCTAAATTCATTCTAATAATTTCCTCATTTATATATGTTCCATATATAAATAGAATATATATAGTTATCATTATATTCTATAAATAAGCTATATATATATTCCATATATATGGAATATATTAAAATAAGAAAATTATTAGAATATATATTATATAGTATATAACATAAATAGCCTATTTGTAGAATATATAATATCCTAAACAATCATATACTATTTAGAGTTATTAAACTTTAAAAACTTATTTATTTCATATTTCATGTCTTCATTATATTATGTCTGATATTAATGTGGTTAAATCAACTTTTTTGTTTCGCATGTGCATGGTAAATATTTTTTCATCTTTTGAATTTAACCTTTTTATTTCTGTGTATTTTACATATGTCTTTCCTAAACAACATAAAGCTGGAATTTGTTTCAAATCCACAGTGACAACTTTCCCCTTAACTAAATTGTTGAGTCCCTGCACATTTTTTACAGTAACTATTTTATCTGAACTGAGTTTAACTATTTTATTGTGTGTTTTCTTTCTGCCTCATCTTTTCTCACTTCTCTTCCTTTCTAGCCATCTTTTTGTGTTGATCGATTTTTTTTCTTTTTCTCCTTCCATATTTCCCCTCTACTTGTTTGTAAATAATATACTCTGTGCATGTTATTCTAGTGATTAGAGGAACTGTATGACTAGCTATCCTTGACCTAACAAATTTAAAATTAATCAGCGTCTTCACTCTCTTTCAAAATAATAAAATGACTACAGTAATAAACCTTAGATTACTTTAAATCCATTCGCTATTTCCCAAATTATATATTATTTTTGCTTAGTATTTTAGTTCTTTTTCTGTGTTTTCTCACAAATTAGACATTATCGTTATTTTATGCCAGTGTTTGAAATTATCCACAAACTAACTGGTATATTTTCTTGCCATTCTTTTTTGCATTTGAGATTTTTTATCTAGAACCATTGTCTTTCTGCCTAAAGTACTACATCCTTCAGAATTGTCTTTAGTAACTGGTAAGTTCTCATTTTTATGTCTCATTTTACTCTGATTCTTAAAAGATATTTTACATGTGTATACAATTCTAGATTGGTAAATATTACTTCCTCGGCATATTTAAAAATTATTTCACTTTCTTCTGTCTTTATTTTTTGCTACAAATGAGTCCATTATGTGTCTTATAGACATTTTTGTAGGTATTTAGTCTCTTTTTCTCCCTCCTGGCTGCTCTTAGGGTCTCTTTTTCGTGGTCTTTAAATGTTTTATAAGTGAAGAGTTCCTTCAATTCGTCCTGCGTTGTGTTCATTGTGCTTTTATAATCTAAATATTTTTTTTTTCAACGATTCTGTGAGGTTATTATCCTCTACCATTCTGACCATTGTCTCTTTCCTGTTATCTTTGGTATGGCCTCTGCAACCCTGACAAGAAGATGTTAGAGCTTCTCATTTTATTCTCAATGCCTCTTAACTTCTCTTCGTGGTGTTCTTCTGCTTCTCTGAGCCACACTCTAAGTTATTTCTCCAGCTTTGTATTCCACTTTAAAATTTCTCTCTTCAACTTTATGTAATCTGTTCTTTAATCTATCCATTGAGCTTTTAGTTTCATTGTTACATTTTCATTTATAGAGGTTTTAGTTCAAACAATTTTATTATTCTTTATTTATTACTCACCACTGTGGATTTTCTGATAGCTCAAAACAATTTTGCTCTGGTTTTTATGCATGACCATGTACGTTTAATATATGTTTTTAAATATTAATCTATTTCTGGAACAGAAAAATAAAGATGATTCATATGCTTATGCTGTCATTGTTAATTTGAAGGCAATTTTCTTTTTCTTACCTTAAAACAAGTATTAATCTCTCCTTATCTGTCTTATTCCAAAGTCTGAGCTCATTCATTACTACCATCTAAATGCATGTCTATTATTACTGTATAGCATCTATTCACAAAAATGTTTTGAAACTTATTTTTTATTTGACATAAAAATATTCTTATATCTTGAAACTATTTTTAAGAATAAAATTATCTCTAGCAAGACTCTCTATTAGTGTACTATAAATACTTTGAGGATGTAATTTGTTATATGGAAGTTGACATTTTCCTCATGTTTATTTGTTCTTATTAATAATTTTTTGAAACAAATTAATGATTACTAATTACACTTAATATCTTACCTTTGAGATATGTACTTTTTAATGATATTTTCAAATTTAACCTGTAGTAAGCTTTGTGAAAGTCTGTAAATGCATATCAATAGTGCCTAAAAGGCTTATAAAACATAAACCTGTAAATTTGTTTGTACTGTATTAGTTTATCCTAGGGAACATCAAATATACATTGAATTTTTATTTAAAAAACTATGAAAACTGCTCATTACATTTCATATATCTAAAAAAGTAAGAATTATTTGCTAAAGTAAGACATGTATTAAATTATGGTGCATCTATATGATAAAATATTCGGCTATTAAAGATAATAATTTCTAAGAGGAATATTTAACTTTGAGAAATATGCATATCATATGAAAAGTGATAAACACAAAAAAACAAAAAATATACACTATTCCACTGTTCCTTTTGCGTCTATCTATTTATCTATCTGACAAAATCCTGGAAAGAAAAACAAATATGTTAAAGTGTTAAGTATAATTTTTCTGCATGATAAAATTCTGTTATTTTTCTTTATATTTCCAATTTTTAAAAAAATTATAATAAATATTATATTGAAATTATAGGAAAAAGTTCACATTTTTATTATTATCACATAGCTATGTTCAAAACTGGGAAATGGCAAAATTAAGAGAGGGAGACTGAAAGGGAAGGAGAAGAGAAAAAGGAATGAAGGAAGGAAGGAAAGGACGGAGGGAGGAAGAAAGAGAAGAAGGAAGGGAAAGAGGGAGGACATGGGATGCTCTCTATACTGACATATTCTCTTTTACTTTTTAATATATACAGTAAATACAAAACTAAAGGACCTGGTGTTGATCACTGCAGGCACTTAAAACTCATCAGTTCGAGTCTGCTAACATTTAGGAAAGCAAACAGCCAACCAGGGGTTCCAAATAAAAGCACAGGGCAGAAGTCAGCAAAGATCATTATGGCAATCTTCAAAGGCTGGCTCAGACCACACATTTGGTGATAGCTCACATGGTCACCATTCAAGAATTCAGAGAAGGAACAAGAAGGGGCCAGGTTTGGGATGGGGGAGGGCGTAAGAGCTATTTCCTGTACCAAAAACCTGTAAGCTTATAAAGAAACTAAGAGATGTCACATTTGAAAGGGACTAAAGTAAACATTTCTGAGTTAGAGTGAGTGGTGCCAGTACATTTCTGACTTGGAATGAATCTTTTCTTTCTCTTGTTTGCCATTGAAAAGTTATCTGTACCACTAATACACAGTTATAGCCATAATATTTTGGTTACCAGAAGGAGAATCTGCTCTGATTATCTTAAGTGAAGCATGCTTTATTAAAAAGACACTGCTGAGTCTCTCATGTCAAAGCCAATCTATTTTCTAAGAGCTGCTGTTATTGTTATCTGTCTTGTGTCTCTCATTCTAGCCTCTCCATTCTGCTTTTGTCTGCAATTGGCTTTCTCTGTTTCACTAACAGCTCCTCTCCTCTCCTCTCCTCTCCTCTCCTCTCCTCTCCTCTCCTCTCCTCTCCTCTCCTCTCCTCTCTTCTCTTCCTTCCTTGAAGCTTTAGCTTCTTATACTGCCAACAATGGATCCAACTCTATGTGAATTCTTGGTTCCATGTCCACTATTCTCATCAATTCCTTCTCTCAGTGCTACTGTTCTTAATTTTTCAGAGAGGATTCCATCGCCATGTTGGATCAGTGTCACCTATTGTACAATCAATGGTGGTATAAATTATATGGGTGTAAGGGGTGGGACCTCTTGAAGGCTATGTATGAAGTGTTGTCTCTCTACTAAAGTTAGTGGTTGACATGTCTGCTGCATATACTTCTTAGGAAAAAGCCATGGCTGCTTGGCAAAGTTTGATTATAAGGTAGGTATCAGACACAAAGGAAGAATTAAAGAGGGACATGTTTATTGAGTATCAGAACCTATATGTATGGTGGCCACTTAATTATATGAGCTATTAATGTTCTCACAGCGCTTAACAATTATTTAACATCTATTACTGAGCACCAGGTGCTTTGCTGTATGTCATATCATTTCATCCTCATACGAATGCTTTGGAGTTGGCATTGCTGCCTTATTTCACAAATGAAAAACGTAATCTTTAGGATTTCGAATCATATGTCCAAGGACACACAATAGAAATAAAATTCAAAGAAAACTCATGCCTGTCTGACTGCATTAGGTAATGTTTTTCTTAAAACCTCAGTTTAGCCTAGAGTCAAGCACTGATTTACTGTGTGATCTGGTATAACTCACTTACACTCCAGCCTTTATATTTTTCATCCATAAAGTAAGAATATTCTACAAAGTATCTCTAGGGTCCATCTACATTATACCTTTTATGAAACTTTGATAATATTTTACTTATTATTTGGTTTTATCCCATTTTTAATTCATGTCTCCATTTTTTAAATTTTAGTAGTGATTCTAGTAAGCACACTAGAAATAAATATCGGTAATTAAAAGTAAAGATTATCTGCATTAAAATAATAAAATGGTGGTTCCAACTTCACCATTAGTAACTCAAGATTTTAAATATACAGCATCAAAACTATGAACAAATCATAGATTATTTCAATAAAAATTAGCCAACGTAAGCTGGTGCTTTCTTCCTTTTCCACAGCCACTGAAAGAGACACTAAGAAGAATCAGACATAGACTGCTCTATTGAGCAAGTGTTTCTTGGACATACGAGTAAATGCAGATGAAAGGATGGGATGTTAGAAAGAGCAGACAATGTTTGGAGGATTTGAAAAACTTCCTAAAAGGAGTAGCATTTGAAATGTGTTTTGAACATATTAGCCAAGAGTAATTATTCATCAAAATCAGTAATAATCACTACACATTTTAAAGAAAAACCAAATGAACTCTTTAAGTTGGTTTGAAATAACTTGATTTTCACATTTTATATTTTTTACATAAGTCTAAGCTCCTTAACATAGAAAAATGTTTGTAAACAGCAGCACCTAGAGACAAAACTTAGAGAATTCTGATTCCAAGACTCAAACCCAGCCAGCTCCTTGGGGGAGAGCACATTCAGAACCAGAGTGCAGCTGCAAGGCTGTTTCCCTTGACTTGTGTGGCACAGAGCTGAGAGAGTGTAAAGGACGGGAAGTGATGTGGAACCGGAATTCAGAATGATCCAGGTCCCACTGCAGTAAAAGTCTGCCTGAGAAGCAGCTGAGTACATAAAAGCTCATAAAGAAAACCAAAACAATGATATTCCCCATTGTGACTGTTTAGTCTTTCTGTAGAGACTCATGGGGTCCTGGCTATTATCTATTTTTAATATCACTTGACCTGAAAATTTATGCTACCATCTGGTAGAAGAGGAATATTTTTTTCTCTAATGTGAATATGGGTGAAGAAAAATGATGAGGGAAGAGTCATAGAATAAGTCACTTAGTTTTTGACATTTTAAATGTAACTAGACACATTAGATATTCTAACCAATAGATCAATCATTTGGTGTGTATCTACTATACTATACTTGTTATACTGTGGCACTGAGATTTTTTTTTTTTCTTGAGATGGAGTCTCACTCTTTCACCCAGGTTGGAGTGCAGTGGTGCAATCTCAGCTCACTGCAAGCTCTGCCTCCCGTTTTCAAGCAATTCTCCTGCCTCAGCCTCCTGAGTATCTGGGACTACAGGTGTGTGCTACCACACCCAGCTACTTTTTCTTTTTTTCTTTCTTTTCTTTTCTTTTTTTTTTTTTTTTTTTGTATTTTTAGTAGAGACAGGGTTTCACCATGTTAGCCAGGATGGTCTCAATCTCCTGACCTCGTGATCCGCTCGCCTCAGCCTCCCAAAGTGCGGGGATTACAGGCATGAGCCATCGCACCCAGCCATTTCTTTTTTTCTTGTTTCTTTTTTTTTTTTTTTTTTTTGAGACAGAGTCTTGCTCTGTCGCCCAGGCCAGAGTGCAGTGGCTCAATCTCGGCTCACTGCAACCTCTGCCTCCTGCGTTCAAGCGATTCTTGTGCCTCAGCCTCCTGAGTAGCTGGAACTACAGGTGCCTGCCACCACATCAGGCTAATTTGTGTATTTTTAGTAGAGACAGGGTTTCAGCATGTTGGCCAGGCTGGTCTCGAACTCCTGGCCTCAAGTGATCCAACTGCCTTGGCCTCCCAAAGTGCTGGGATTACAGCTGTGACACACTGTGTCTAGCCCCTGTGCCACTGAATTTTCAAGTGGGAAAGTGTTGAATCTAATACTCTGTTGTATATGTATCATCTTTTCCTTTAAAATAGAAAATAAAACTTCCTTTTGGAAAGTTATTGCTAATTGTTTTACTTATTTCATTCCGACTTACCACCATTTCCTCACCTTTCATTTGAATCAATCAGACAATTATGCCTTTCTACAGGAACTGAACTAACGATCTCATGGGATTCAACTTAATAGTCACAATTCAGTCATTCAATCAAGAGTCCAGTGTAGGGGCCTAGTAATTGCTGGGGGCTCTGTTGGATGCCTACCATATAGAAGCTCTTACTGATGCCATCAGGGGTCACAGAGCCAAAGAATCAGGTGAATAATTTAGGATGCAATTGTATGTGCACATGTGCGGTACAGAACACACACCTGCTTCATAGGTGTTACGGAGCAGGGTGAGATGAAATGTATTGGATCAAAGGAAGTTGGGGGGTGAGTTGGTGACTAGTGCATAGTGCTCAGAGAAGTTCTCTTGGAGAAAATAATATTTGTGCAAGAGTAGTAAATATAGACAGTAATTTGCCAAGTGACAAGGGAGAAAGGTCACGCAACTCTAATGACCAGAACTGACATTTTCATTTTACGTTTCCATTAAATTAACCATTTAGACTGTACAATAAAAGTCACAATATGAATGTAGAAGACTCAGGTATCCAGTGTGCAAGACAATGATGCTGAACGTACCATGAAGCAAATTTTCACCGAGTGCTGTCCTGCCTTGTTGTTTCCCTGTGTTGCAGTGATGAAATGGGATCTATCCCTCTTCCGACGATCCCTTTCCGTGGAAAGAACTACCTTAGCACAATCCCTCTGACCCCTCTGTCTTCTTTATAGCTCTAGGAAGAGGAGGTGACTATCTAATTGGTGATTTAATTATCATGTGATCTAGCAATCCCACTTCTGGGTATAGAGCTAAAGGAACAGAAATCAGGATCTCGAAGACGTATCTATCTGCACTCTTATGTTAATTACAGCATTATTCACAAAAGCCAAGACATAGAAGCAACCTAAACATCCACCAATAGATGAAATGATAAAGAAAATGGGGTATATACATACTATGAAATATTATTGAGCCTTAAAAAGGAAGGAAATCCTGTCATTTGCAACAACATGGATGAACCTGGAAGACATTACGCTAAGTGAAATAAGCCAGACACAGAAAGAAAGGTACGAAATGATTCTAACTTATAAGATGAAACAAAAATAGTCAAATTCATAGAAGTAGAGAGCAGAATGGTAATTGTCAGGAGCTGGGGATAGGGGGAAATGAGGAGGTTTCATTTAAAGGGTACACAGTTTCTGTTAATTAATACAAGATGAGTAATCCTACATGTATCTGTACAACACAGTGCCTATAGTTAACAACACTGTATTCACACTTAAAAATGTGGTAAGAAAGTAGATCTTACGGTAAGCTTATCACAAAATCAATAACTGTTATGAAGATGGTAGGAGAAAACTTTCGGAGGGTATGGGTAGGTTTATTGCATAGATTGTATAGATTGGGTTGACAGTCATGGATGTGTACTTACCTCCAAACTCATCAAGTTGTATGCATTAAATATGCACAGCTTTACTTTCTGAGTGTCAATTAAACCTCAATAAAATAGTTTAAAAATAAATAAAGATAAAAACTACAGGATGCAGTACAAAGAACAACAAAAAAGAACCTGGACGTGTGTGGCTAGCTCCCTTCCTTTTTTCTTCTGCTTTGCATAGCACAGAGCTCATGACTTCCTGTCAGCCCTTATGCTGGTGGTCCATGAATCTGCCTGAAGCTGGAGTGCAGCAATACAGAGTCATATGTCCAAACAGAGGGACTACATTTTTCTTACATGAGCTTTATTTGTTACAGAAGTGATATTTTAGCCAATATCTGCCTTACTCCTTTGCATTATATTTCAACTGATTCAGAATGTATAATGTTTTTTAATCATCATAATCTGGTCTTCTGACAGTAAAAGTAACATAAAAATGCGGTTATATGCTTTGATCTTCAGTGAAATAATCCTGGTGTGAGCCCCTATTCTAACACCTCTTACTGAGAACATTTTGGAAAGTTGCTGAATGCCTTTGAGCTTCAGCCTCCTCATCTATACTATGGAGATGTTTAAAATGATAAACTGGCCAGTCCCTTTTAGCTAAGAGGACTTCTAGCAAGTTTCCAATGTTTCTTACCACTCATTCATTCCTTCACTCTTTCTTTCTTTCAGCATAGAAGAGTAGATAGAGCATGCACTCTGGAACCAGACGGTGTGGATTTGAATACCGGCTCTGCCACTTGAGCCATGACTTTGATAAGTTTTATAAGTTCTGTATATTTCAGGCACTCCATTGGTAATTTCAGGATAATAATAATATCTATATCTGAGAATTGTTGTTAGGATTAAATAGGCTAATATTTTTAAAGTGCATAGGAGATTGCTACTAATATATAAAAATACAATACATATTTTAATTAAATAAACTAAGTATAAAAAAAGAAACTAACATTGGGTTATGGGCTGCTAAAGGCACAAAGAAAGAAAAATGATACAAACTTTGCATTTAAGGAATTTAGTATATTTTAAACTAACAACATTTTGTGGTAGTGGATAAATATTCAAAGTCCCAGCTGCCCAAGGAAGCAATTTCTACCAGATAGTTCTGCTCACCTGCTAACCTTCACCTCATCAGGAGCTGCTGGAGAGAGTAGACTGCGTGGCTCCCCAGCATGCGATTGAAACTGGTTACCCAGCACCTGTAAGGTGAGTCTAATGTGCCTGTGGTTCACATCCCAGTCACAGCAGACACCTGTGCCTCCCAGATTATCACTAACTTCATCCACGTGATGCTATGTAGAGCCTTCGGTCAGGTGCAAGCCCTTATTCTGTAATCCTTTAAACTTATTATTAATGGCCAGCAAACTCTCTGATATCCTCAACCATTTCTCAAACATTTAGTGAATCTGACGTCCCCTGACATTGCCACTCTGGTCATAGTAAGTTCTCTTATCCCAGCTGTTCAAGAAGCAGTTCCTTGACCAGATGCTCTTGGGACATCTCTCACCACTGGGTGAGCAGCCATTTCTAGTAAAGGCTGGTTATTCTCTAACATCCCAAGAAACACTGCAGGAAACATAGGTGACCTCTTTACTACCCTTTGCTCTTCCAAATGATATCTCCCGCATTTTTCTTCAAACCCCAAGATCCTTGGATGCTTGTGACACCAGATTTTACTGCCCACTGTCTTTCACGATTGCTGCTCTCCAAGAGTCCCCCTTTACTTCTCCAAATTAATTGATTATCTTAGCACCTGACCCATTGTATTTTTTGACCCACTCTTATTGCCATTCTTGTGTAGGTGTTCTTCCTCACTTCTGTTGGTGATCCCACACCAATGTCTTCCTGGCTGTAGGAGCAACGTACATGATTGCAACCTGCTTCCATGGTTGCAATAATGGCACTGTCTCTGAAATATCAAGTGTAAGCACACTACCCCATGACTATCACCTACCATCATTCCAGATTTGCCTCTCCTATGATCCATCTTCCATCTCTAGCTACTTCTTTCTTTCATTGAAAATTCAATCTTTTGGCCATTTTCTAATTGCTAACCACCCACCTTGCCCTTATTTCCTTCCTTGCAGCTTAGATTCCATTGTCCATCATTAAGATTCCTCTTTATAAACACTTCCACCCTCCTGGATTTTTCCTCCCTCCTGTAAAAATTTAAACTCTTGGTAAAGAAAATAATTGTTTATTCTTCTTGTAACTAAGTAGTGGATTATTGCTGGAAAACAACAATGGCACAGAACCATGCTATGTCTATGGTCTTATAGTCCATTAATAATTAAAATTCCAGATACTATTACTTCAATAAATTATATCATATTTCCCAAGTACATTTGATTTTCCAATCTCCAAAGAATTATTATTTCATAGCTCCTTTTTCTTTTCAAATCTCCTATAGGCATTTCTCTCTTGTTCTTTCCTGATGACCTTACCTTTCTTATTTATACAAGTAATTGAAGAGGACCTTTTTCATTTTGCCTTCAATATAGTCATTTTTTTTCTATTGTTATAGATGAAGAGACCCTGCTTCTAGCAAAAGCCAATGGTTTTATTTTTTCTGAATCCCATCTTTTTTCTCCACTTTACCTTTGTATCTTCTTTTTATCTTTTTTTTTTTCATTTCTATTCAGTCATCTCCATGAGTATGTAAACATGATTTAGTATGTTACATGTTTTAAAATATTTCTGTCCTGAACACACATTCCCCACCCATTACTAGTCTATATCTCTGCAAGATTTTACAGCAGAATTTCTGAAAAGCCTTGTCTCTCATAGCTGCTGCTATAACTTCAACTCAGAATATCTCCACAACTTCTACTTCTCACCATAATCCCACTCACAGTCCTTATCAGTACAGAAACTACCCTACTTGAAAAGATTTTACTTTACATTTCCTCTTAAAACATTTAGGTTGAAAGATGTTTTTATGTATACTCAGATTAACATGTATAATTTTATATAAATAAATAAATAAATAAATAAGGTTGTATCAAAAGTGTTGTGTGGTTTTTTTTCCTGTGTATGGTTTTCTTGCTTCCTTTTATGTCCTCCTTTTTATTCTAACTAGTCAAATGAACTGCCCTTGCCATGGTGATCCCCCAGTGTCAGAACTTTGTTAAATCAATGTTTCTTCTTTATTTTTCATTTTGATCTCTCATCAATTTTTGATATACTTGAGAACTCCATCTTCATTTAAGCACTTTTTTCTCTTGGATTGTGTGGCACTTCTTTATCCTAGTTTTACTTCTAATTTACTTGCCTTTTCTTGGCTTCTTTTGATGGAACTGTATGTGTTGGCTTCCCTGTTCTCTCTCCTGGGCATCTTCTCTTTCTATGTACTCTCGTTAGGTTATCTCAACAATCCCTGTGCTTTTAAATAGTATCTGTAGGCTAAATCTCTACCCCTGCTTCTACCTCTGCATGTTTCTTCTAAAACCCAAGATCACTGGATGCTTGTGACCCCAGATTTTACTATCCACTTCCTTTCACCATTGCTGCTCTCAAGGGTACCATTTACCTCTACTTATAACTTCCTATAGCTTCACACTTCTTCTTTATTTCCACTTAAATTTCTAATAATAATTTTGTACTTACCATGATCAAAGTAGAAAACCTAATTTTTTCTCCAAAATCTGCCTATTCTTCATACTTCATCATCTGACTGAATGACTTCAGCAGTTCCAGGCTTTTCAAGGCAAAAATCTAGGAGTTATATTTGATTTGTCTCCTTTTAAATCCAATATATTAACAAGTCTTGTCAAATTTACTTCAAAACATATCCCAATCCCATGCAATCCTCACGACCTCTACTAGCAGCACTCATTTTCTCACCATTGTTATCTCTCATGTGACTCCTAAAACAGTCTCCTAACCCATGTCTCATATTTTCTCATGTCTCTTACATTCTGTTCCCCAAACAGTACACAAAGTGATATTTTAGAACTTCAAATGTAAATTTAACATTCTCCTATTGAAGTCATCCCATGAATCCACATTTAGCCCTAATTCACAAATTCTTCAGTGAGCTGAGTCCTGCCTCCTTCACCTTAGTCCATAACATTATTCTACGAAACCCCCAGTTAGAACTAAGTTGTTCTTCTCTGATGTATCTGGCATTCCAAACTCATTCATTCTCTAGCCCCTCTATATTACAGTCCCACTCACAATCCTATTCCATATAGAAACTACCCTGGTTTGAAATATTTTACTTTATATTTCTTCTTAAAATCGGGGTTTAAAGTTTTTTCCTTATGCATGCATGCATATATATACATAGGGATAGTTTTACATAAATAAATAGGCAGGGTACAGTGGAGCATGCCTATAGTCACAGATATTCAGGAGGCTAAGAAAGGAAAACTGATTTATCTCAAGAATTTGAGGCCAGCCTGGGCAACACAGCAAGACACCATCTCTAAAATGTTTTTAATTAAAAATAAATAAATAAGATTATATAATGTGCTGTGCTTTTTCTATATGCTTTGCTTTCTTGCATTCTTTCCCTTTCTTCTTTCTCTCTGTTGACCTTCTCTACCTCCCTAACAGAAGGCTTGGGCAATATGGTCAACTGATTTTAAAAAGTGACTCAAATTCTTCACTTCTTTCTGTATCCATCCTTTTTGCAATGTGTCTTTGCAGCCTTGCTCATCATCACATGGAGATGATTCCCCTTGCTTTGAATCTTGGCTGGCCTTGTGATTTACTTTGACTAGAGGAATATGGCAGAAGTAATGGTGTACACATTCCATACTTAGCTCTCAAGAGGCCTGTGTACTTCTCTTTGACCTCTTAGGCTCAACTGACTATGTGAAAAGCCTGAGTAAGCCTATTAGAGGATGAGGTACCATGTAGAAGAGAATCACCCTAGACCAGCCATCCTGTACCATCTAATCCCAGTTGACCCACCTACTGACCTCAGCTGCATAATGAGCTGAACTGAGATCAGCCTAGCCCAGGACAGACCTAAAAAAACTGGTCTGTGGATTCATGAGCAATAATACATTTTTATTTATTTATTTATTTTTATTTTACTTAAAGTTCTGGGATACATGTGCAGAATATCCAGGTTTGTAGGACACGGATGAAGCTAGAAACCATCATTCTCAGCAAACTAACATAGGAACAGAAAACCAAACACCACGTGTTCTCACTCAAAAGTGGAAGTTGAACAATAAAAGCACGTGGACACAAGGAGGGGAATATCACACACTGGGGCCTGTCAGGGGGTGGGGGTCAAGGAGAGAGAGAGCATTAGGACAAATATCTAGCCCATGCGGGGCTTAAAACCTAGATGATGGGTTGATGGGTGCAGCAAACCACCATCGCACATGTATACTTATATAATAATACATTTTTATTGCTTTAAGCTATTTGGTTTTCGGTCTTTTATAATACAGCATTATTGTGACAATAAAATACTGGTTCAATCAGAGAAAGGAAAAGCATTCTAGCTATTTCATTAGGAGAAACTTTATCACACGGAGTTAGACGTTTCCAAAACTACTGGAGGGTGTTGGGTAGAACCATAACCAGCTTTAGGAAATCAGCAAGCGCAGGAGTAAGAGAAACCACTCACTTATCAACATTCTCAGCCGCTTGCCCACCAAAGGAAATGGTTTTCAGGAGCTTTCCAAGAAGCAAGGCAAAATTCACAGTGCAGTCTGTCCACATGATGCTCTCCAAGGTTAATAATGGCTTCTTCCTTTTTATCTTCTGGATAGGGTACAAATGCCTCTCATTTGCAGAGCCTAAACTGAAACACTGCTGACAGGGTTGCAGATAGTTGAGATTAGTCACAGCTAATTTTTTGTTCAATCCTTCTTCATCTCTATCATTTTTATCTTAATTTATGTAAATAATTTATAAATTCTTCTGTATTGTCTCCATGTTCATGTAATTATAAAAGGACAAATATATTCTCACACATCTAAACACAGATATATATGCATGAACCTATAAATATATAGGGCAATGTTGTCACTATTTTATACAAATCGAACTATAGCCAAGGCCTTGGGAGCCCACACCTTGCATCAGTGAGGCCTGGATGTGAGACATGGAGTTCAAGAAAATTATTTTGGAGCTCAAAGATTTAATGATTGCCCTGCTGAGTTTCAGACATGTATTGGTCATGTAACCCCCTTTTTTTTGGCTGATTTCTCCTCTTGGAATGAGTGTATTTACCCAATGCCTGCACTTTCATTGTATCTTGGAAGTAACTAACCTGCTTTTGATTCTATAGGCTCATAGATGGAAGGACCTTGCCTTGTCTCAGATGAGACTTTGAACTGTGGACTTTTGAGTTACTGCTGAAATGAGTTAAAATTTAGGAACTGTAGAGAAGGAAGAATTGTATTTTGCCATATAAGAACATAAGATTTTGGAGGGTCAAGGGGAGGAATGATATGGTTTGGATTTGTGTCCCCGTCCAAATCTCATGTCTAATTGCAATCCCCGGTGTTGGAGGAAGGTCTGAATGGGAGGTGATTGGATCGTGGGGGCAGATTTTCCCCTTGCTGTTCTTGTGATAGTGGTTGAGTTCTCATGAGAACTGGTTGTTTAAAGGTGTGTAGTACCTCTTCTTTCTCTCTCTTTCTCCTCCCCCAGCCGTGTAGGAAGTGGTTCCTTCCCCTTTGCCTTCCACCATGATTGTAAGTTTCCTGAGCCTCTCCATCCATGCCTTCTGTACAGCCTGCAGAACCATGAGCCAATTAAACCTCTTTTCTTAATGTTACCCAGTCTCAAGTAGGTCTTTACAGCAATGTGAAAACAGATTAATACAAATTATAATACACATATTACACTACATCTTGCTTCTCACTTAAAAAATCTTGTGAAATGTCTTCTAGTAAACTAATATAACCCTAATTTACTTCTTTTGTTGGAGTACTGTATTTATTGGTGTAACTAGCTAAGTCAAATTTTCAACTTTTCATGAACTGTTAATACTTTTCCATTTTTCCCATTATAAAGAGTCTGCAATAGACATATTTTCACACATTGTTATTTAATTGTTAAAAAGTATAGTCCAAGCCGGGCATGGGGGCTCATGCCTGTAATCCCAGCACTTTGGGAGGCCAAGGCAAGTGGATCACTTGAGGTCAGGAGTTCAAGGCCAGCCTGGCAAACATGGTGAGACCCTGTCTCTACTAAAAACACAAAATTAACCAGGTGTGATGGCACATGCCTATAGTCTCAGCTACTCAGGCGGCTGAGGCAGGAGAATAGCTTGAACTGGGAGGTGGAGGTTGCAGTGAGCCTATATCATGCCGCTGGGTGTCAGAGGGAGACTCTGTATCAAAAATAAAATAAAATATAATAAAATAAAAAAGAAAGAAAAAAAAGAATAGACGAAGATGGAATTGTTTCATTGAAAGTTATATGTATATTTTAGTAAATGTTTCCAGATTGCCTTTCCAAAAGAGCATTATAATCCACATCCATTGATTATATGTGAATATAGGTTATTTGTATTCTTGAAAATAGATATTATCAATAATGTCTGGCATATATATACAATTTCATAATAATAAATGGAAAATACTATCTCATATGCTTTAATCTGCATTTACCCACCCACAAAGGAGTTGCGTATGTTTGCTGGTCATTTGAATTTGATATTGATTTTTATATATACATATATGTTCAACATGGTGTTAAAATTCATTAACACAGTGTTTAGGAAGGCAATGCAAGCCCTGAGCTATACTGCTTGTGTTTAAATGCTGTGAGCTTTTTTTTTTTTTGAGCTATGTTAGTCAGATTATTCTATTAAGTTGCTGAATTCATAAAATTACCTAGGGATGCATCCCTGATTTTTATTATCAGAGATGTTTAGGAAAAATGAATTCAACCGAAGTCTTTCTACCAGTTACCAATGATAAAGACAGAAGCAGAGAGAAAATACTAATCACCCTTGTTCTCTTTCATCTTTATTCATTTCAGTTTTGAGGTCTCTCTCCTGAATAATTTGTTGTTTGATTATAGTCCTTGCTTTAGTAATTTCTTCCGTGGTATTAGTAGGTGATAGGCTCTGAATATTTTAGTAGCTGCAAGTATCATTTCCTTTCCCCTATTGGGGTGATGGAATATGGTTAGTGAGACATTACTTTTCCATAAATATTTGTAGATATTATTTTACTATCTTCTATTTTCTACTCTTTCCTTTACATTGTCCAATTACCAAACTGGTTTCTTGATTTTTTTTATATAGCTAAATTGCCCTTTGTTTCTGGAAGTGGGGGTGTCTTTGTTTCTGGAGTCTACATTTCCAACTATCTCTCTGTCTATTCATCTACCTTTTCATCTTTATCCCTGAAGTGCATAAATTTTATCAGGAAATGCCTAGGTATGTATCATCTTTTATCAAACTATTCATTCTACAGATTCGAGTCTTTCTCCAACTCAAAAGAAAAATTTCCTCATGTCATGTGTTTGATTATTTTCTATATGTTTATTTGATGTTACGTAGAAATCTTATTTGCATTGTAGGTCCTTTATATCTCTTATTATTTCCCGTATGACGTCTATCTCTTTGGGTTTTGGAGGTACATTAAAAATTAAGGCAGTGCTAAATCACAATTATAAAAATAAAGTATAATGGCTGGGTGCGATGGCTCACGCCTGTAATCCCAGCACTTTGGGAGGCCGAGGCGGGCGGATCACGAGATCAGGAGATTGAGACCATCCTGGCTAACACGGTGAAACCCCGTCTCTACTAAAAATACAGAAAATTAGCCAGGCATGGTGGCGGGCGCCTGTAGTCCCAGCTACTCGGGAGGCTGAGGCAGGAGAATGGTGTGAACCCGGGAGGCGGAGCTGGCAGTGAGCCAAGATTGCACCACTGCACTCTAGCCTGGTTGACAGAGCTAGACTCTGTCTCAAAAAAAAAAAATAATAAATAAATAAAAATAAAAATAAAGTGTAATTACATAGAATTGTACTATTTACATGATAAATCCAAGATTAATTAAAAATATAATATTTAAAGCCAGTGACATGAAATTTGCACTAGAATTGGAATACTGGGAAAATGTAAATGTATGATTAATGTCTTCAATCTTGTCAGTGTATTTCTGTGACAATAAAAAACTCATTTACAGATTATTGTCAAGTCTAAAATTGAGGTCAGCTCATAGACAAATGATGGTTTAATCAACCCTTCAACCCCATTTTGTGTTAAGTTTTAAGATGAACAAAGTACTGTGGGTGACTGGTTTGAAAAAAGTCTTTACAAACAAAGGGTTATATACCTGGGCATTGACATTTGAATAGGAGTTTGTTGGGATGTCCTCTCCATGTTTGGCTTACTGCTGCTTGCTCTGATCCACAGCCACCACACCCATGGCTTACTGCTTTGTGTTAATAAATACCTAACAGTTTACTACATATTTTCATGTAGGATGATGGCATGATTCGAGAAGTAGTTCAGATCTATTATCTATTCACTACAGCTTTCAGGCTATGAATTATTGCCATCATTGAGCCTGGTGTTGCCCCATGTACAGAGAGACTTTGGCAGGGATAGGAGGGATTTATGAGAAGAATAGTTGCAATAAGGAGTGTTTTTGAGCCACTGCTGCTGTCCCCTCTCCTCACCATTTCCACCTTTCCTGCCACTCTACAATGAGTTTTTAAAATGTATTTTTTTATTTTAATGGAATATATTAACTGATTTTATGACAGTCAAAACATTGTTAATAAATGAGAATATTGTAATGTAATGAATATATACATATATGCTATCTCATTTCAAAAGTGGCATTGAGTTACAAAAATATAAATTATATGGCAAAAGAAAAAAAAACCTTATAATTAAACAGTAAAATGAAGCAAAAGAGAGCTTATGAACAGAAACACATGCCCAAAGGTTTTTATTCATTCATAAAAATAAAATGCAGACTGAAATTGTATCTTAGAGCTTACCAGCATACAAAGCAAAAGGGCAATAGCTGCGTATTGTAATACTTTTTCTCTTTCTTGCTCCCATTGCTAATCAATTATCAAGTCCTGCCAATTTTACTTCTTGTAATGAATCCATACACATCTCTTCAGCTTCTTCACAACTGTCTGAGCACCAGCCAGTGATGTCTCTTGCTCAGCTTGTGACAACAGCCTCATCTGTATTTACAATGTAACACTCTGATCTAGCCACAACCTATTTACTTTCACTTAGTAAGCAGCAAGGCTTATTTAAGGATGCAAATCTAATCCTGTCTTTCCCTTGATTAAAATCCGCTAGTACCTTCTTTTTGAATAGGGAATAAAAGCTTCCAGGGCTTTCGAAGTTCTGGTCCCACCTCTTTCCCAAACGTCTTTTTTTTTTTTTTTTTTTTTTTTTTTTTTTTTTTGACTTAGTTTTGCTCTTGTTGCCCAGGCTGGAGTGCGATGGCGAGATCTAGTCTCACCGTGACCTCCGCCTTCCGGGTTCAAGCGAGTCTCCTGCTTCAGCCTCCCGCATAGCTGGGATTACAGGCATAAGCCACCTTGCCCGGCTAATTTTTTTTTTTTTTTTTTTTTTTTTTTTTTTGAGACAGAGTCTCCCTCTGTCGCCCAGGCTGGAGTGGAGTGGCGCGATCCTGGCTCACTGCAAGCTCCGCCTCCTGGGTTCATGCCATTCTCCTGCCTCAGCCTCCCGAGTAGCTGGGACTACAGGTGCCCGCCACTACGCCCGGCTAATTTTTTTGTATTTTTAGTAGAGATGGGGTTTCACCGTGTTAGCCAGGATGGTCTCGATCTGCTGACCTTGTGATCCACCCGTCTTGGCCTCCCAGAGTGCTGAGATTACAGGCGTGAGCCACCGCGCCCAGCCTAATTTTGTATTTTTAGTAGAGATGGGTTTTCTCCATGTTGGTCAGGCTGGTCTCGAATTCCTGACCTTGCATGATCCGCCTGCCTCAGCCTCCCAAAGTGCTGGGATTACAGGCATGAGCCACCCCACCAGGCCATTTCCCAAGTGTCTTAATCACCTCCTACCATCTCTCTAGCCTCCAGTCTTGTCTGTTAATACCTCAGCAGGGCCAAATTCTCTCTTCATAGAGGTATTTTCTGTGCTTAGAGTGTTTTTTCTCCATCCGCCTTCCAAATCCCAAAACTCCCTGCTCATCATGCCAATTTTGTCTCTAGCCAAAGGCCATGAGGGGGGCCCCTGGGGGAAGGTTAGTTTTTCCAGGTTGTGCTCCCATAGCAGCATGCCTTCTCCCAGTGCATATCTTTCCAATAGATTCTAAACTCCATTCATGCAGAGACCATACGGAGTTTTCTTCACCACTGTAACCTCCATATCTATCACATTACCTGACGTTTAGTAGGAGCTCAAACTCATGTTTGTTAAATGCATGAATGAATAAATGAATGAATGAATAAATGAACACCTACATGTCTTATTTCAAGAGTCATAAACTGTAAAGTGATTGGAGTGTAAATCTTTTGCTAAAGAAACACTTTGAAGAATTAGAAACTCAAGATCTAAAGAGGGGAGATTGCAGTCTTCTCCTTCTGGCATTCCCTTCATTTTTCTTCCTTTGGTGGTCCACTTGGACTGCAGCCATGAGTCTCTGGTGCCCATTTGTCTCACATTATGAACTGATGTGCTCCATAAACCACCCATAATATGCTGGAATATGGCTCCTGGGCTTTCACGTTCACCGTGAGAACCTCCTGCTCTGCTTACATAGCATCTTTATTATTTACTCAGAGTTATGGAGCCCCAGGTCAGGATAAGTCAGAGATTCTCTCTTCAGAGTCAGATATTTGACTCTGTTGCTACTTAAACACGCCATTTCTACTTGAGGTATCAGAGACTTTTACCACTATATGTCTTATCTGCAACCACTGGGAGACTACTTCCCATAAATCAATACAGCAAATATTTATAGAGTGCCTCATACAGACTCAGACTTCAGTGGGTCTATAGAGACTGTCTAGTCAAGCTTTCTTATTTTACAGAGATGACAACAGAGCCCTGGTGGAAAACTGGGAGTTCTGCTCTCTGGTCCATTAAATAATTCTCTATGCATGCAAGAAATATAAAAATAATTAAGGTGCTCTCCATGTCTCAGATAGCTTACATATTGGCAAGAGAGGGGGCCAAACAAGTAAATTGGCAGCATTAACATATATTGACTGCCTAACAGTGATTGGCATGTAGTAGGGAGATAATAATGCTCTCTTAAATAAATGGACAATTACATGAATGAATTAGCTGACAAATCAATCAAAAAGTCATATAGTATGATACTTCCGAGAGCTCTTTATATATACGGGACTGTTTATTATTAACTGCCGCCCTCTACATATTAAGTTAATGAGAAGGAACAGTTATTATAATGTGCTTACTATTGGATCTTCCATGCCTCACACGGTACACAGAACGTAGAACAGTTCATGTTCATTATTTGTTGATTTCGTGTTTGAGGATTCACCTACTGACTAAAATTAATTTGTGATCCCAAAATCAATACTTATGGTGCCTTCACAGTCAGTCTCAGACCTGCACAGGGATAAAATTTGAGTCTCCTGACACACAGTCTCGGTTTCTCAGCCAAGGTCAACAGAAGGTGACACTCTGCCTTCTTCTTTCAGCTCTCATACTATAGACAAGTGTTTTTCTCATCGTCTACCTAGTGTCTGTGTTATGCAATTATGTGTGTTTTGTTGGTGATTTCTTTATATAAATAATTCCAAAGCGAGGTGCTGTCTAGTGTTCCTAAGTGCAAGAAGGCTGTAATGTGCCTTATGGAGAAAACATCATGCAATAGATATATTTGATCAGGCATGAGTTACAGTGCTGTTGGCTGGGAGTTCAGTGTTAATGCAACAACAATACACAATTAGTAAAGTGTCTTTAAAGAAAATGCTCAGAAAACAAAGACTATGTATTGGTTGGTTGGTGAAAATCTTGTGACCAGAGGTTGGTGAAAATCTCATGACAGAGAAACCTAGCTCTGTATTTCCCCTAAAAGCGATGTTTCCGCATTCGTGAATTCAGTGTTTGTGAATGTAACTACTGTTGATATTGAGAACTGGCTCTCTGTGCTTAGTAAGTACAAAAGAAAGGAAGGAAAGAAGGAAGTCTACCAGTGGCAGATGAACAGAACTTTGTGAGAAGACAGAAGACTTAAAATGTCATACACAATACCCATGACCTACAACTACCTGATAATTACGGTCTTCCTTCAGTATCCTCCAAGGATTGTTTCCAGGGGAATCACTGATAATAAAACCCTTGGGTGCTGAAGTATCTTATATAAAATCATGTAGTCTTTGCATATAATCAACACACATCCTTCTCTGTACTTTATGTCATCTCTAGGTTAATTATAAAACCTAATACAATGTAAAAATGCTATGTAAATAGTTGCCATACTGTATTCGTTTTTTATTTGTATTACTTTTTGTTGTTTTATTGTTTTCTTTCTTCTCCATATACCTTTGATCCGCTGTTGGTTAAATCTGCGAATCTGGACCCCGGGATATTGAGGGCTGACTGTATTGCGCAGGGACAGCACCTAGGAAGGCATACTATCATGAGATGGTGGTAGCACTCTCCAGGAGTTCGTGCTTACAGCAGAGTCCACACAAGTCATTAGGCAAACCACCTGCTACCCAAGTTCAAAGCTATGCTTTCCAGATTTGAGCTGTGTGATTTTAGGGAAGTTTAAATAAAATAATAAACATAAAACATCCAGGGCCTGACATAAATTCAGCATGTAATAAATATTAGCTACTTTTTATCTTGTTTAATTTCAACTGATTTTTTTTTTTTTTAAGACAGAATCTCATTCTGTCACCCAGGCTGGAGTGCAGTGGGACAATCAGAGCTCACTGCAATGTCAGTCTCCTGGGATCAAGAAATTTGTAGAGACAGGGTCTCGCTGTGTTACCCAGGCTGGTCTCAAACTCCTGGGCTTAAGCCATCCTCCCTCCTTACCCTCTGCAAGTGCTGGCATTATAGGAATGAATCACCCTGACTGTCCCTAAATTGATTTTTTTTAAATCAGTGGTTTTATATTGTAGCTAAAAATTTTTGCTGAGGTACATTTCCCAACTTAAAAACCTAATTCTGCATCCAAATCCACTTTCTGTTTGCATATGCCATGAGGTTTTTTCTAATGGTCAGCACTCTTGATGTTAACCCAGCTTCTTATTTGCCATTTTGAAAATTGGGTCCCCTAAGGCTTCGGAACTACAAATAGTTTGATTTTCAGCCCACACAGATCTTGGCAGCATAGCATCCCTCTTGATTGCTCTGTCCTTGGAAGATAAACACAATTTTAGTGACTGTTTGCCATTTATTGATGTCAAATAGTTTGGCAACAAGGCAGTGATTCCAGAATTTTCTGCCACTTGATTTGAACCAAGAAATAACAGCTCCCTCCCTTTATTATTATTATTATTGTATTAATTTTTTAAAGGAGTGAAAAATCAAAGGAGAGAAGCTTTGATTTTTTTAATTTAATTTTTATATTATTATTATTATTTTGAGATAGAATCTCACACTGTCACCTGGACTGGAGTGCAATGGCGGGATCTCAACTGACTGCCACGGTGGGATCTCAGCTCACTGCAACCCCTGCCTCCCAGGTTCAAGCGATTCTCCCTCCTCAGCCTCCTGAGTAGCTGGGATTACAGGTACCCACCACCATGCCTGGCTAATTTTTGCATTTTTAATAGAGAGAGACAGGGTTTCACTATGTTGGCCAGGCTGGTCTCAAACTCCTGACCTTGTGATCTGCCTGCCTCAGTCTCCCAAAGTGCTGGGATTATAGGCATGAGCCACCGCTCCCAGGCTTTAATTTTATTTTTAATTGACAAATAATAATTGCATGCTTGCCATTAAAGAGCTATATCTAAAGGTCATTTTTAGCTTTTCAGTTGTTTAGTCCTACAGAAACTGAAAAAAAAAAAAAAAAAAAAAAAGAAAGAAAGAAAAGTTTTCTCCCAGGTCAGAGACCATAGGTCACTGCTACTTCCGCACCTGAGAACTAATTCTAATTTCCCTCTAGTTTCCTTCACAAGCCACATGCTAGACGTGGGAAAACTAGGCATCCCTAACAGAAAAGATGTCATGCTAGAGAGAATATGGGCAGGTCTTGCTCACAGTAAATGACATATTTTTCACTTTTTGTGGGTAATATCTCTTTTGTAACTTTGTACTCGTCTAGTATTAGATAATACATTGCTACTAATTTCAGTGAAGATGATTGGGTTTGCTTCTTTTGTTTTAAACAAACCCTCTAAAAAAGAGAAGTCAGTTCTCACTGTTTGGAGAGGCAAGAATGGATTGACTACTAAGAGCAGAGACGTATCAGTGAGGATTCAATTTGGCTGCATGTAACAGTGTACTCAACACTCAGGCTAGGCGTGGTGGCTCATACATGTAATTCCAGCCCTTTGAGAGGTCAAGGCATGTGGATCACTTGAGGTCAGGAGTTCAGGACCAGCCATGACCAACATGGTGAAAACCCATCTCTGCTAAAAATACAAAATTATCCAGGCGTGGTGGCGCACACCTGAAATCCCAGCTATCTGGGAGGCTGAGGCAGGGAAAGAGCTTGAACCTGGGAGGCGGAGGTTGCAGTGAACTGAGATCGTGCCATTGCACTCCAGCCTGGACAACAAGAGTGAGACTCCTTCTCAAAAAAAAAAAAAAAAAAAAGAGAGTTCAGTTTTTCTTTTAGGTAAAATGAGTCCAGAAACAGGCAGATCAGGCTAGCATGATGGCAAGTCAAAGATATCTCAGAGACCCAAGCAACTTCTATCTGCCCCCACTAATTTTAACAGGTGATTTTCATCCTCAGTGTTGCTTCAAGGTCACAAAAATGATTTTTGCAATTGTACCTATTATCTCTGCACTACAGGTAGCAGGAAGGAGAACATTCCTACTGAGCAGAGCTTACCTCCCAGCTAAATAAATCAGGTCTTTTTATTTAAAACTTATCAGAGGCTCTACCTAATAATTTCCCCTTAGGTCTCATTGGCCATTCTTATGAGCAAGGAAGGCTAAAAAATGTAGGTAGTTGATATACATAAATAATTTAGCTGTCTGCTTTGCCACCTCATATGGAAGTATTTGTAAACAATACGGAAAACAAGACATTGAGAAGCCAATAGATCTTTATTCCTTTGGAAGCTTTTCTGATTTGAGTTCTCTTTTAAAGACATAAACTGATAAAATGCCGAGTACAGTAAATATATGTATAAGCCAGACTCGTTCCCATTACAGACTCAATCTTGATGGGATGGGGTTGGATGCAATGGTGAGGGAGTGACTATACTATGGACAGCTAGGAATTTCCTAGGTGAACCTGTTGGGAGGCTCTTTCTCTTGCCCTGCACCCACCTTGAAGTTTGTCTCAACAGGAGGCTTTATTGAAGTTTTCATGAGGAGATTGGGATGGAAATGGAGGCTGCATGGTTTAGCCGACTAGGCTTCCATAACAATATATCATAGACTGGGTGACTTACACAGCAGACATTTCTTTCTCACAGTCCTGGAGGCTAGAGGTGCCAGCAAACTCAGTGTTTGATGAGGGTGCTTCCTGGGTTGCAGCCAGCCACCTTCTTGATGTGTGGTCGCGTGGTCTTTCCTCGGTGTTTGTGTGTAAAGCTGGAGAGAGATCTCTTTCTTCTCATTATTCTTATAAGGGCACTAACTCCACCATGGGGGTCCCACCCTCACGACCTAATCTAAATCTCATTACCTACTATAGGTCCCATGTATCAGTCAGTGTTCTCCAGAAAAACAGAATAAATAGTAAATAGATAGATAGATGGAGACATACATACATACATACATACATATTATAATATTATAGGAATTGGCTCAAATTATTATGGAGGCCAAAGAGTCCCACCATCTGACCTCTGCAAGCTGAAGAACCAGAAAAGCCAACAATATTATTCAGTGTGAGCCCAAAGGCCTGGGAATCAGGAGAGCTGGTATCTGACGGCAGGAGATGATGTCTCAGATCAAACAGAAACAAATTTGCCCTTTGTTCATCTTTTTATTCTATTCAGACTTCAACAGGTTGGATCACGCCTACTCACATTGGTAAGGGTGATCTTTTTTATTCAGTCTCCAGATTCAAATGCTAATTTTTTCCAGAAACACCCAGAAGTAATCCTTTGGTAGCTATTGGGGTATTCCTTAGTCCAGTCAAGTTGATGCATAAAATTAACTATCACATTTTGCCTCCAAATACTGTCACACTGGGGCTTAGGACTTCAACACATGAATTTTGGAAGGACACAAACATTTTACCCGTTAATACAAATCAGAATTTTTTCAACACTTTTACACTTTTATTTTAGGTTCAGTTGTACATGTGAAGGTTTGTTATTAATATATAGGTAAACTTGTGTCACAAGGTTTTGTTTTACAGTTTATTTCATCATCCAGATATTAAGCCTTGTACCCAATAATTATTTTTCCTGCTACTCTCCCTTCTCCCACCCTCCACCCTAAAGTAGACGCCAGTGTCTGTTGTTCTCTTCTTTGTGTTCATGACTTCTCATCATTTAGCTCCCATGTACAAGTGAGAACATGAATTATTTAGTTTTCTGTTCCCGTGTTAATTTGCTAAGGATGATGACCTCCAGCTCCACCCATGTCCCTGCAAAGGACATAACCTCATTCTTTTTTATGGCTGCATAGTATTCCAAGGTGTATATGCGTCACATTTGCTGTATTCAATCTGTCATTGATGGACATTTAGGTTGATGACATGTCTTTGCTATTGTGAACAGTGCTGCAATGAACATTTGCATGCATGTGTCTTTATGGTAGAATGACTTATATTCCTCATGTTGCAAAGAAAAGAGAACACTTGTACACTGTTGGTAGAATTGTAAATTAGTTGAACCATTGTGGAAAGCGGTATGGTGATTCTTCAAAGAGCTAAAAAAGGAACTACCATTTTACCCATAAAACCAGATTTTATATGGAAAATTTTTTCTGAATTCTTTCTCTTTATCCTCACCATTTTCTCCAAGTGTCCTATGCTCTTTCCAGAAAATCCTGTTTTCAGCTTCTCCAGCCACACTGGCTCTTCTTCCTCACAAAATTCCAGTCTCCTGCAGAGCTCACTTGGCAATGCAGAAGTTAGTCAAAATTTCCCCAAATTGAAATTGCAGAGGAGAGTAGAGGAATTTGGGCCCACACTTTCTGATGCAACAGCATGGCCAGAGGTACCTGAAAGGACTTCTGAGAGACATGAGCCATACAGCAGCTTACCAGAAAAAGAATTTTTTAAAAAAGTCTCAACAGGAAGGCATGTTGAAAGAGACACAGGAGGTAGCAAAAATGTGGCTCAAAAGGAACTTAGAGCAATTAGCATGTTAATTCTTTGGTGAAAAAAATAAACAGATATTGCCCCTCTTTCCTGTTCTCATAGAATTTCAGTCTAGGAGAATAAGCAGACAGTATGTGTGTAATTACACAAATATGCTCTAAGATCCATGAGGACATCGCTTTGTCTATTTTTGCTTACCATTGTGTCCCCCAAACTGGGAACTGTGCCAAGCACGCAGGAACTCAAGAACTATTTATAGACTCAGAGAAGGGAGAGAGGGAGAAGGAATAAAGATGACGCTTGACGATTACTAGGTCATATTTGAGAAGGGGCCCAGGAGGAAGATGAGATATTCACAGGAGCCTCTCATGGTAGATGATATCTGTTCAAACCACTGAGGGAAGAGCATGGCGGGAAGACGGCAGAGACTCGGGCGATGATGGCGAGAGGCTGGAGATGGGGCAGGAGCTGGACCACCTAGGCCTTCTAGGCTCGCTCAAGATTTTTCACTTGGCTGTTCAATACTATGAGTAATTGAGTTTTCCTCCTAAACCTCCATGTGCAATTTTTGGACTAAATTAACTATTAAGTCTTTTTCAGTGTTAGCTTATTATCATCCAATCACTTAAGCAATCTTTCTGAGTCATTCCAGTTTGATTAGAATAAAAGTGCTCCCTATTCACAATAGCAAAGACATGGAATCAACCCAAATACCCATCAATACTAGATAGACTGGATAAAGAAAAAGTGGCACATATACACCATGGAATAATATGCAGCCATAAAAAGGGATGAGATCATGTCCTTTGCAGAGACATGGATGGGTCTGGAAGCCATTATCCTCAGCAAACTAATGCAGGAACAAAGAACCAGGCACTGCATGTTCTCACTTATAAGTGGGAGCTGAACAATGAGAACATATGGACACATGGTGGGGAACAGCACACACTGGGGCCTCTTGTTGGGTGGAGTCGGGGGAGGGAGAGTATTAGGAAAAATACCTAATGCAGGTTGGGCTTAATACATGGGTGATGGGTTGATGGGTGCAGCACACCACCATGGCACATGTTTACCTATGTAACAAACCTGCATATCCTGTACGTGTACCCCAGAATTTAAAACAAAATAATTTTAAAAAAGAATAGAAGTGCTCCATCTCTCAGGTATTTTCCTCTTCTCCACATGTTTTTTCCCTGAAGGGTCCATGAGGGAGAAAGCCTACATGACATAACCAACTGCGTATATGGGGTAGGAGGTGAGGTATACCCCTGGACTCTGTTGGTTTTTTGGTACACAGTGGTGGCCTGATTTCTGTGAAACTATCCCTAACCTTCTTAGTCACCTAATCCTGCAGCCTCTTATGCTGCAGTCTGTAACTAGTAAATTTAGGGACCTATTTTTTTTTTAGCAATGCTTTTTAGGAGACCCAGCCAAGATAGTCCTGGTAGACCAAGCTCCATCTAGGAGCCACTGGATATGACTCCAGAGCCTGAGCTTCTAACCATGTCCTTTGTCATGGAGTCAATTCTTTCTGACAGAGCAGCTCTGCAACAGGCCAAACATTTCTCCACATACCAAAAGTCCTCCTGGCAACTGCAGCCAGCTTAGATTCTCTTTGGCCTGCCCATGTTGTCAGCCTACGTGGGAATGTGTCCAGCTTCTGAGCTCTCAGCCTTGAGGAAGTTTTATCCTTGAACCCCAGAATGAATGGAAAAAAAAGGTGGGCCACTATGTTACACTATTTCAGGGAAAGACACATTTAAAAATTATAATTTAAATTATGCACTTTGTGTTGGGCCATATAGAGATTCTGAAGTAAGAGCCTCTGGACCTCCTTGCTATACTCAATGTATCTACCACAGTTTACACTCTCTGAGCCTGGGGATGAGAAGTGAGTAGTCACGGGTCTAATTGCATCCCTCGGGGTCAAGCTTTCTTCTTGTTTCTCCTACGCACTCTTCCATGGAGTGACCCATCACCTCACAGGCAGATGGGGCATCCTCTGTAGTGTCCTCCCTGGCTCCATTGTTAATACATGTTGAGAGGGAGAACAACGTGTATCTCTTGTGCTCCGTGTCACATCTTTTTCTACCTACCCTTTTACTCTAGACATTGTTTCAGCAATCAGTTGCAGACAGGTGTGACCTGATTATGCCTTGCTTCTGCCACACTGTGTAAGTCTTGCCCCCAGGACTTCTAAGCCTCTGTAGCTTGAGAATCCCCAGAAATGCACTCAAGCATTCTGAAGCATGCCCTACCCTGGAAGTGCTAGAGAAAAAAGTTCCTACCCTTAGGGAAATTCATAAGCAAAGGGGTTGATAACCAGGGCATGAGGCTAATCAGGGGGTCTCCAGTGGGATTGAGCCTCAGCACCCACCCTCCATCAGATTGTGTGATCAATCTGAAAACATACTTTTAAATTGACTTTTCTTTCCCTTTCGCATATGCAGTCACACACACCCTCTCTGGGGTCTTTTCCCAAAATAAACCCCCAACTCCACATTCTTCTTGCCTTGGGCTTGTTTTGGAGGAAGCTAGGCTAAGATGGAGACCTAGAAGAACAAAAAAGTCCATTTTCATGAAAATAACCTGACTTAAAACTACATAATTTAATTTTATTTCAAAAATTAGAGTATTATCTCAGTGTTTCTCCTAGTGTTTCTTTTACAATCAATACAAACTCCATGAAAGGTGGCATGGGCATGTAGATAAGAGCATGGACACAAAATCCAGGCAGCCTCTTCCAATCCTGGCTCCTTAAATGCTGTGGCCTTGAACAACTTATTTAATTTTTCCAAGCTTCAGTTTTTCATGTATATATATTACACATATACATATTATATATACGTATATATTATACATATTATATATACGTATATATTATACATATTATATATACGTATATAATATATATTATATATGTATACATATTACGTACATATACGTAATATATATACGTATATTATATATTATGTATATTATATATGTATATATAATATATATAATATATACTTTATTTCAATGAATCTTAAAACTTATCTTTTAACTGAGGCCCAGAAAATGAAAGCAAACTGCTCAAGGTCCCACAAGATCTCATATCTCCTGTCCCCCAATCTAGTGCATAATTTTTCCCCAGACTGGCAGACATCAAAGAGAAGAGATGA
This sequence comes from Homo sapiens, assembly GCF_000001405.40. Lineage (NCBI taxonomy): Eukaryota > Metazoa > Chordata > Mammalia > Primates > Hominidae > Homo > Homo sapiens. Next base: position 12,794,691 of record NC_000004.12, read on the forward strand.
ATTTTTTGTTCAATTTGTGCCCCACTAAAGATTCTCCCAAAGAACATTCTAAAGTGAAAATTCTAGGGTAACAATGGCAATATGATGGTCTTCTCTCTTTCTTTTAAGACTAGATATAAAATTATTTATTTCTTAGCAGTCTATAGTTAAATAGAGTTTACAAGGTGTTTTTTGATATCCATCATCTCATTTTATCAACAAATAAACTCTGAAAAGAACATGGAATAAAAGTTTCTAGCTCCACTTAGTAGATTAATTCACTCATACACTAATTTATATATTCATTCACTTGTTTTTTAACTCATTTTCTGTCGATTATGTGCCTCACATTGTGACGGGCAATGAGAATATATAGATGAGCAAGCTATAGCCCTATCCTAAACATTTTCACAGTCTAGTGGAAAAAAATAAGCATGCAAACAGAAAAAAAAATGCAGTACTAGTTCTATGATCAAAGCAGCTATGGACTGTCTTGAGGATACAAAGAATGAGATAATCCTACATGGGGATAGGGTGAACAGGGAAAGGACTGAAGCTCGCTCTGGCTTCAGCGATGAGAGCTTTTCGCTAGATAGCTAATAGATGCAGGGAATTCTTGACCAAAAGAACAGAACACACAAAACCACAGAGAGATGGAAAACCTATTATTCAGGAACTAAAAGTACTATGGCATGTCTGAATCATAGTGTGCAACAAAAAGTAGGATATGAAAAAGGTGGAGGAGAAGAGAGGTTGAAGAGGTGAAGAACAAATTATAGTGGTTAATCTGTAACTGGTCAAAAGGAGATTCTAATGTGTATTACACAAGAAGATGCCACAACCTGATGTTCGTTTTACCAAGTTCACTCCAGTAGTATCAGGAAAAGTGGACTTGTGAGATAGAGGTTAGTGGCAATAGGGCCAGTTAAGAAGCTGTTGCTGTCATTCAAGAGAGATGATGAAGGCATAACTTAAGGCAGAGCAACGAGATAGGAAGAATACAGATGTTAGATATTTTAAAGAGGTGGAGTTGTTGGATTACCATCACTGACCGCATGCGAAAGATGATAAAAGGAATCATTCAGAGTAACTCCCACATTTATTTCATAGATTACTGAGTGGATGGTGTTGCCATTGTTCCATATTGAGATGTTAAGAAGAAAACAGTAAGGAACAAAAGACAGTAAAGTATGGACATATTGACCTTGAGTTATATAGAGAAATAAGCACTTACTATTTGACTAGTTAGTCTACAGTTTAGCACAGTTAAGGATTGTGGTTAGAAGCCTGGATTGGTGGTTCATTACCAAATAGATGGTCATTGAAGACATTGAATAAGATGACATTGCTTAAGAAAGGTTTGCAGAGTAAAAAGTGAAGAGAACTGAGCTCAGAACTCTACCATCTGAATGAATAAAGGTGGATAGAAGGAATAGACCCCATGAAAAGTTTAAGGTGAAATATCCATAGAATTAGGTGGAACAAAAAATTAAATTTAACTGTGAAGGAAAGGAGAAGGGTGTTTCTTAACCTACACAGGGACTTAGAGTCCCAGAAGGGCATTGCTGCTGCTGTGTTATGGGAGACTCAAGCATTTACATTGGCTATAGAGAAGAAGCCATTTTTTCAATTCCAAGGGAAATGTTAAGTCGGGTTCTGGTTTTACATCCCAGGAAATATCAGAAGAATGAAAAGGTGAGTTGAAACAAAGGAATGGAGAGGGCTTCATGTTTGTATTAGTTGCCCATGGTTGCCATAAGTTGGATTGCTTAAAACAACAGAAAATTATTCTCTCATAGTTCTAGAGACTGTGTGTCTGGATCAAGGACTAGGCAGGGCCACTCTGCTTCTGAAGGCCTCAGAGAATCCTTTAATTGCCTCCTCTGGCTTCTGGCTTCTGGTTGTTGCTGGAAATCCTTGACCTTCCTTGACTTGTAGCTGCGTCACTACAATGCCTACCTCCAACTTCACAGGACTGCCTTCCCGCTATGTACACTTCTGTGTCTCCAAATCTCCCTCTTCTTTAAGGAAAGCAGTCATTGAATTTAGGGCCTATTCTAATTCAATTTCATTACGCTCTGGTTTCTCTTCAAATCGTATAAATCTTTCGCCTTTTACTAATTCAATTTCACCTCATCTCATGTTGGTTACCTCTGCAAAGACTTCATTTCCAAGTAAAATTGCATTCTTAGATGCCAGGTGTTAGGATTTCAATATCTTTTTTGGAAAGACCTACAACAGCAGCACACACAATGGATGCATATGTATAGTTACTATTGCAGGGATTAAGGCAGGAAATAAGAGGGTCCATGACTCACACAGCCTATATGACCTCAGCAAACTGAAATATATGGTTGTCTAATGAGAGACTGAGGGAAAATGCAGACATACAAATTCCAATACACCATGAAAAGTATTTAAGTTGGTGCAAAAGTAATTGCGGTCTTTGCCATAAAAGTAATGGCAAAAACTGCAATTACTTTTGCACCAATCTAATACTTTAGTAAGAGCCTGATCGTGGCATGCTGTGGGAACACAGGGGAGGGATTGAATTACGCAGCATAGACCAGAAGATGAAAAGCCTTCTCTAAATTGAATGATGGCTGTCCTTAAAGAAGAGAGTAAAAAACAACTTTAATCTAAAAAGGCGATTAAGACTCTATGTCCCACTGAAAGTGTGTGTGACTGGAGAATATTCCAGGCAGACAGAGCAATGGGGGCAAAGGCATAGGGTGTAGAAAGGCAAGAGAAGTTCATCAGTTGCCCACAATGCCACAACCAGCTGTGATAGGACTCTGTACTGTTTACTCCAAATTCCATCTTTCTCTCCCTCTGACATCCTGGAGAAAGAAACAGTGATGTTGAATCCTTGGCCCAAAGTGTTTATTTTTTGATAGGGTATCTCCTTACCTGTTGTCCCATTATCAATCCCCAAAGGCCTTGAGGTTTACTGAAATGCATAAGGTGGAAGTAATGATTAATGTATCCCAGGCCAAGAAGCTGCAGGAGCAGGGATTCCTGGCTCCTCACAGAGATGCCATTGTTCCTCTCTGAGACGGTGTCCCTCCCTCTCACACCCTGACCACGGCTTCCCCAAGCAGAGTGTTTATGTGTTGAGTGCAACACTCCGTGGACTTCAGGGTCTAATGGGGTGTGAGAGGGGGCCTGGGGTTTTTCATCTTGTTTTCAGCTGTACAAACACCCCACACTTTCCCCTTCCACTCAGCGTTTAAGCTCAGGCCTGTTAAGATACCAGAGCTGCAAGGTGTTGGCAGGGACTCCACAAGTCGAAAGAGAGAGACCCAGTGCCTTCTACCCTAACACCAAAGACATGGACAGTGTTTATTTTCTCAGCCTTCACCTAAGCTCTCAGGTAAACATTTCACTGTTTGATATTTTGGAACTTCTCTACAGCTTCGTTAAAAAGGAGGAAGATGGGCACTATTGTTGTCCAAAGCAAGTGGAACCTGCTTCTCCAAAATGCAATGAGAGCAAATGAATTAAGAGATTTTCTCTCCCATTTATTATGGATTTACTTTTCCTTTCCTTCTTTTTTGTTAACCTGTTAACATTGACTTAAGACCTCTTCCTAACAAGTGTAACCTTTTAGAAATTCTTTGGGACTGACTGATTAGGAAGCAAAAATAGATTCAAAGGAAAAGAGAGGCAGGAAAAAGAAACCAGCAAATGCTGAGCTCCCCTTATGCATCACCGGCTGTGATGCAAACTTGTATTATTTCACTTAATTCTCACAATGACTTGCAAGGTGAGTGCCATTTTCTTCTTACTACAGGATAGAAAATCAAAGAAGATAACCTAAGGTTTCAGTCAAGGTCTTTCTAGCTCCAAAGCCCATCATGCTTTTTCTCTCTCTCCACCATGCTGATTTGTCATCAACCTTACAAAAAAAAATTATAGAAAGAGAAAGAGATGTGTACATCATCATGAAATAGCCATTATTTTGATCAAACACTCGCTATTTGCTATTCAGATATAAGTGATTGCATGATTTAGCAAAAATAGCCAATAATCGGCATCATAAGAAATGACTTCAAGTCCTAGCTTGGCCACTTAATATTGAAATTAAGTATGGAATAAGCTATATTTACGGAGGTCAATTAAAAATCAATGTTATGTTTTTCCATCACTATATTGTCAATTCATCTTTTGAGCTTTCTTCCATCCTCTGGCATGAAATCATAGGCAGATTCCAAACCATTTAAGTTATACTCAGGTATTAGAGCAATTAGCTATTGCTAAAATAATGCTACATTATTTTACTACCTCACACCCAGTAGCTAAAAGTAATAATTATTTATTACTCTTAAGAACCTGTGGATTAGGTGGAAGCTCACTGATACAGGCTGTTCTTGGTTTCAAGATGTAGTTTGTGTCCAAGGCTAATTTAGGTGACTCTCATTTTCTTCGGACAAGTGACTACTCAGGAAATTTTCTCATGATGATTGAAGGCAGACATACAGTGAGGACAATGGAAACACTAGATCTCTCTTACCAACTAGGCTTAGAACTAGCCCTCAGATACTTCTGCTCACATTCCATTGGCCCAAATAAGTTACAGAACTGAACTCAAAGGGCTGTGTGGGGACAGACCCACAGGTAACCCCAGTGATTCCTGCCTTCTGGTATTTACGCCTTTGTGTGAATAATCCCCTCCCCTTGAGTGTGAGCAAACACTCACAACAGACCAATAGAACAATAAAAAGGTACAAACAAGGACCTATGACTTGTTTTTAGCCAACGGAATACGGCAAAGGTGAGGGATGCCACTTCCGTGATTACACTACATTATATAGAACTTCGTTTTGCTGGTAAACTTACTCTTGAGATTCTCTCTCTAGAGAACTCAGAAGCAGCGAGCAGCCAACTTGGGAGGCCCATGTTACAAGGAGATGAGGATGAATTCCATCTGACAGTCAGCAAGAAGCTAGGGCCATCAGCCCTTCAATTGCAAGAAGATGAATTCTGCCAACAATTCTGCCCAAGGGAAGGACACAACTTGGAAATTTTCCAAACTTTGGATGTACAGACATTCTCAATGGAGCCCTCTCTCTTTGCTGTGCTGTTATGAAGCATATCCTTCCAGTTTCTCCTTTAGAGTGCTATTTTGTTTTTCTTTAGGGCTGATTAAGATTCCAGTCTCTTTGTCACTCAAAGCACATGTTGATGGCCTTTGCAGCAACATGGATGGAAATGGAGGCCATTACCCTAAGTGAATTAACACAGGAATAGAAAACCAAATACTGCATGTTCTCACTTATAAATGGGAGCTAAACACTGAGTACACAAGGACACAAAGAAGGGAACAGTAGACACTGGGGCCTATGAGGTTGGAGGGTGGGAGGAGGGGGAGGATCGAAAAACTACCTATCAATTATTATGCTGATTATTTGGATGAGAAAATTATCTGTACATCAAACCCCACAACATGCAATTTACCCATGTAACAAACTTACACATGTACTTGTTGAATCTAAAATAAAAGTTGGAAAAAGAAAGACACGTATTGAGTTCCAAATGGCTTTCCGAAAACTCCCTTACTTCATTTACATTGCAGCCTGGACTTACAAATGGGGGAATACACCTCTCCTTTGCTCTTTGGAAAACATCACACTCCCAAAATAGTGTTCTCTCCAGAAGTTCCCATTACCAAGCTGTCTCTTAACAAGCTATTCACCTTCCTTTACACAACCTGGAGATAAGCGAAGGGATAATGTAAGCAAGACCAGTTCAGCAACACCGTCTTTTCAAGTTCTGCTCAGATAATTTTTCATATGATTTTTGTAAGGAAAAGACTATTACAAAATAAAATCTGGCAACATTAACCAGCATTTTAAGCCCCTATCACATGCCCTACCCAGCACTCCTGAGATCAACTAGCTTTCTTTTGTGTTTTTTAATAACATTATCAATATATTATATTAAGATGTATTAGTAATCTACAACTATTTCTACATAAATAAAAATTAACAAGCCAAATGGGAAACTGTCAGCTTTATTAAATGTTTTAAACTTCTAAATGCACTGCTTACCTTTAGTGTTAGAAATTTGTAGCAGGAATGTATGAAAAGACTGGTAGTGAATATATTATTCCACTGGTAAAAGTAAATTGAATTTCAGTGTTAGTAAGACTGGCTCATATAGGAGTTCTTTACAGAGAATAGGAACAATTCAACATTGCTGAAAACAACTGCCAGAGCTCAGGGGGAAGTGCTCTCTCTTTGATCAACCCAAAAGGAAGATATCATTAATTACCGTCTATAAACCAGTACCTGAAGTACACAGCATACTCAATAAGCCACCTCAGATCATTCTGATACCCTCTTATTCATAGGTATTCAGTTCATGCACTAAACACAATCCATCACTGATCAGATCAGCAAATGCAGTCTCTCTCAGCACAAACGACAAGAGACAAACCACTCTAAACCAAAAATACCCTAATACGAGGACAGAAACTGGATGGTAAGTTTGTTGGATGCACCAAGTCCTTAAATCTTGTTTTATGATTTTTAGAGAGCTCTGTAATGGCTTCCTAGGTGTAATGGAAAGAGTGCATTTTATTTCCTTTTAGATTTTCCACAAAGCAATATAATTTTTAGGAGGAGCTGCCTCAGAAGTTCATCCAGAACAACTTTTTCATTAATCCACTCAAAATTAGCTCATATTTTGGACATTATAGTCTGAATTATTTACAAATAAAATGACTGCCAACTATATGCTTTATCTGATACATTGATAAATACAGAAATGAAAAAATAAGGTGTTTTGGTAAATTATTTTTGAAACCACATGTTCACAAAATACATATTTTCACTCCCTAATAAATAAATTAGGACTGGCCAAGTGCACTGTGTACAATTTGTCTCTTAATTTTGAACTCATGTGAATGTCCAAGAAAACTCAATCTCTCTGCTTCAGAATTCTTTGCACTTCATTCTTACACACATTTGGTTAGTATAGTTTTATGTCCAAAATGTTTCCTCCCATTAGAAAAAAAAAAACTTTTTCTTGGGATCAAAAAAATCATACTTGGAGCTCAATCTCTTAAATTCCCCAGGGGCAAGTGTTCCAAGCATATTATAAACTTGGCACAATGCATCATTATCTCTGCTAACCAACACATCAAACTGTGTTCAAGGGTGATTTAAAGGGCTATAAAATAAGACTTTTTTAAAAAGTGTACAGGTAGATAAAGATAAAATAAAATTCCCTTAGAAAATGTACACTTAATTTGCTATAAACAAAAAGGAAGGTTTTATATATACATATAATATAGTCTTAAATGACTGTCTGTGTATACATTCAATTGCTTGAATATCTAAAAGTAATGTTTTCTTTCAGATACTCAAAGAAATGTCTATTTTTAGCCATCAACTGCTCCTCTAGAACAATTAAATTTGGCGCTTTGGAGGGATGAATATGGATAATCCAGCTATACAAATTGCTAGGGCTGCAGAGTTGAACATTGCTGACATCAAGAAGAAAGGCAATGTGTGCCTGAGTCCATCAAAATAGGCTTCAGGTCTTAGCAGAAAGTCTTCCATAATGAAGTACTACCTTCCGAGTATCTGTTCCACACAAGCTGATTACTCTAAGCCCCATTACTCATCATTCATTCAGGGATAAGCAAGCCTAAGCCATTTTGGGATGATGAGAAGGTCTAGCTGAGAGCTTGTGAGAGATAAGCTTTCTGGCTTTTGTGAACTTAAGCCAGGTTTACTCCCTCCTACAAGTCATGGATAAGGAAACTTAGCACCCTGGGCAATTGACAGGCATATTGCATTTATGAGGAAACCTACCTTAGGATGAACATGATGTTGACCTTGATGACATTAACTGTTGGATCCACCAAACTGAAAGTTCATGCTACGTCTGGATTCTGTCTCACTTGCACAAATATGTTTCTATAATGTTCAGGTTCATTACAGTTTAAATTCCATTAATTGCTGCCTAAAGCATCCCAATAGATATACTTTATTTTCCTTTCACGTCATTCCTACATCAAACCATAGAATGGGAAAGGCTGCCAAGATTTCGGCCAAGATTGTGTCTAAGTTTAGTTTCTGCCACTACTACAATATTTACCATGGTCTACATTTAAACACCTTATATAAGTCTAACACATTGAATCGATTAAATTAAGCTTTACTGTCTGTTAGAAGCTGCTGAGCAGGCAATTGAATGTACTGGTGCTACTTTTACAAAATGATTTCCTCTATGTATTAATGTAGAACATAGATAGCTACAGAGTCCGTTAGACCAATGTTACTGAAACGCTACTGTCAGACACATGGTGCATTTGGAGATAGGCAGCATAACATAGATAAATGACGGTCTACCCGAGGAGACAGGCAGATGCACTCTCATTGAAACACACTAACACATGATATCATAGAAGTATGTGCAAAAAATGAAAGGATCCAAGAAAAGAGTTGTTTTGTATTCATGGCTTTGTTTCTTTTCTCTTCCTGCATAAAAAATATTAAACTTTCGGCCGGGCGCGGTGGCTCACGCCTGTAATCCCAGCACTTTGGGAGGCCGAGGCGGGTGGATCATGAGGTCAGGAGATCGAGACCATCCTGGCTAACAAGGTGAAACCCCGTCTCTACTAAAAATACAAAAAAATTAGCCGGGCGCGGTGGCGGGCGCCTGTAGTCCCAGCTACTCGGGAGGCTGAGGCAGGAGAATAGCGTGAACCCGGGAAGCGGAGCTTGCAGTGAGCCGAGATTGCGCCACTGCAGTCCGCAGTCCGGCCTGGGCGACAGAGCGAGACTCCGTCTCAAAAAAAAAAAAAAAAAAAAAAAAAATATTAAACTTTCAACCTGGGCAACATGGAAAAACCCTGTCTCTACAAAAAAATACAAAAGTTAGCTGGGTATGGTGATGTGTGCCTGTAGTCTCTGCTACTGGGGAGGCTGAGGTGGTAGGATTACTTGAGCCCGGGAGGCAGAGGTTGCAGTGAGGTGAGAAGGCACCACCGCACTCCTACAACAGAGTGAGATCCTGTCTCAAAAAAAAAAAAATTAATTAAACTTTTTCTCTAAAAGTAATGTTTCTCTGCATGTGCTTGAATATAGAGGTGAAGGGAAAAGCTGACCCAGAAAACAAAGTATTAAACATTTTTATTGATTTTCTCATGGAGGGGTGTATATAGAGGGGTGACACAGGGGTGGGTAATGAGGAAACTGGAAGATACTATAGGCATTTTATTTTACAAAGAGGCAACACAAAGAGTAAGAAATCCAGGATTCTTGTCCAGCATGAGCAGGCAGCTTCCATCACTGAGTCTCAGTTTTATCATGTAAAGCAATCACTGCCCTGCCATATCCCATTTTACAATTGTTGGGAGGAGTATATAAGTATATACCCTTATTTTATACAGATGCACACACACATATATGTACATGTATGTGTCTATATCTAGATATCTATATCTATATCAACATTTTAAAAAGTGAGACAATAATCCTCACAAGCTTGGGGGGTTGAAGAAATGCAGCTAGTCTAATCCACGTGAAAATAAATATCAGCTCTGAGCCACTTCATTATAAATGCTAATCAGCATATTTGAAGAAGTGTATCTGAGAAGACAAAACAACCAGCAGACTTATTTTCAGAGCATGTGTGAGTCATGGGATGAAGTCCTATTGGGTATGTGCACTGAAAAGTAAACTGAATCACACCTAAGGATTACTTTGGCAATCGCTTTCTACAACAAAAGGGAAAATCACAGATACAAAACTTTTATGTTTTAGTTTTCTTAGTTTTTTCCCCTCTTTAATTTTAACAACTTTACTGAGATATAATTTACATACCATAGAATTCACCCATGTAAAATGTACAATGCAGAGCCTTTAAGTATATATACAAAGTTTTACAATATTCACCAAAATCTAATTTTAGAACACTTTTATTATCCCCAAAAGAACCTTATACCTTTCAGCAGCCATTCCCCAAACACATTCTACTCTCCCCTGTCCGGCTCAGGGCAAATATCAATCTATTTTATATCTTATGGGTTTGTCTAATCTGGACATTTATATGAATAAAACTATACAATGTGTGATCTTTTGTGACTGGCTTCTTTCAGTTAGAATAATGTTCTCAAACTTCATCCATGTTGTAGTGTGCATCAATACTTTTCTCCTTTTTATGACCAAGTAATAATATTCCACTCCAAGGATAAACCACATTATGTTTATGTATTTATGTATTTCAATTGTTTCTACTTTTTGGCTACTGTGAATCGTGAAACTATGAACATTTAGATACAAGGTTTGTGTGGACATATGTGTTCATTTCTCTTGGTTTTATACTTAGGAGTGAGTTTGTTGAATCATATGGTAACTTTTTAAAAAACTGCTGAATGTTTTCCAAAGAAGTTGCACCATTTTACATTCTTACAAACAATGCATGACTTTTGTTTTAATCTAATGTTACAAGTTAAATAATAAAGTTTAATTTTTCTTATTTCATAGTGACAATACATTTATTAACTGCCTTTCAATTTCTCCATAAGATATGCCTGTTGACATTAAAATAAAACATCATATTTGTTATTTTCAATTTTTTTGTGTTTATTTACCCACCTAATCCAGATTTCTTTTTTGAGACGATGTTTCTTTTTTAAATGTTGAATGTTTTGTGTTTAAACATATTGGTCATTAGCCAAAGTGACTTATAAATTTTTTACCTTTTAAATATTCTGAGTATTTTTTTTTTTTTTTTTGAGACAGAGTCTTGCTTTGTCACCAGGCTGGAGTGCAGGCGCAATCTCGGCTCACTGCAACCTCCACCTCCTGGGTTCAAGCAATTCCCCTGCCTCAGCCCCCTGAGTAGCTGGGACTACAGGCATACGCCACCATGCCCAGCTAATTTTTTTGTATTTTAGTAGAGATGGAGTTCCACCATGTTGGCCAGGCTTGTCTCGATCTCCTGACCTCATGATCTGCCTGCCATGGCCCCCTAACGTGCTAGATTACAGGTGTGTGCCACCACACCTGGCCTTTGAGGTCAATTTTTATAAATAGTCCAATCTGTGTATAGTTGTACAGTGAATATAATCATTTTTAATTAGCCACAGAATTTCTTAGAACATGATTAGTTCAATGTCATTAATTATATGGGATTTCCCCATTGTTTATATTTAGTATCTATCTCATAAGTTTATTGGGAAGATTCAAGGACCTAACTCATATATAGCTTGGGGGGTAGGGGAGGGAAGACTGGCACATAGAAACAGCTCAGTATAACTGGCTGTTTTTATTCAATCATACCAAAGTAAAAATCTCCTTTTACATTTCTGTTTCTGTCAGTTTCTTCTAATGTCTCTAATATTACTTACTCATATATTCAGATTTTGTACTACTCAACTTATGCTTACTGGTGTCACAACTTTATAATTAAATATCTTTCATCACAATTTAAAGCTTTTTATTAATTCTTTTAATTTAATTCTAATTTATCTGACTCTAATATTGGCACCTTTACTTTCCTACATTTAAGCTTGAGTGAAAAAAAATCTTGTTTATTCTTTTTTAGGTTCTTTTTTCTCTGAATCATTTTGATCACATGTATTTCTCTAAACAAATATAATTTTATTTTATTTTTAATCCATTCTGGAAATTAATACCCACTGGCAGGAAAGTTTGAGTCCGTGATGTTCATTAGGATTATTTTTATTTGTGCTCTCTGATATCATTCTATGCTCTGCTGTTCTATACTTCCCGGATTGTATAGAGCACCCTTGACATAAGTAACTCCAGCTTAGAAAAATGCTTCATTTTAGATTTCACAGGGCCCTTTGCCAACAAGGACAAAATGTTTTGCTTGATAAACAAATAAAAAATAATAATAAAGACTACATCCAACCAGATAAGGACATAAAACAGGCACACTGTTCCTCTATGAGTCCTCACCTGAGGATTCTGTGACCATAAAGGGGCAGGGCTTCAGCAGCTCAGAGCAACTTTCTTCACTGAGACACTGTCTTGTTATCACTTGTGATTTTAAGCACCCAGTATCTGCCATGGAAGGCTCTGCCCACATCCAGGACAATTTATTTTCCTTTGGGTATTACATGAGTCCATTTGCATCACTATAAAGGAATACTCGAGGCTGAGTAATTTATGAAGAAAAAGAGGTTTCGTTTGGCTCATGGTCCTGCAGGCTGTACAGGAAGGAAGGTGTCAGCATCTGCTTCTGGTGAGGGCTTCAGAAAGCTTGCAATCATGGTGGAAGGCGAGGGGGGAGCAAAAGAGGGAGTGAGAGACGGGGGAGGTGGCACACCCTTTTAAACAACCATATCTTGCATTAACTCAGAGGAATAACTCACTCATTGCTATGAGGAAGGCACCAAACCATTCATGAGGGATCTGCTCCCATAATCCAAATACCTCCTACTAGGCCCCACTTCTGACAATGGGGATTACATTTCAACATAAGATATGGAGGGGACAAATATCCAAAAACCATATCAGCTATAAACTCAGCAATGGAACTAGTGCGTTGAATGATAGTTCTCCTTTAAGTTCTTTGAGAAATCTCCAAACTGCTTTCCACAGTGGCTGAGCTAATTTGCATTTCCACCAACAGTGTATAAGCTTTCCCTTTTCTCTACAGCCTCGCCAGCATTTGTTGTTTTTTGACCTTACGGTAATGGCCATTCTGACTGGTATGAGATACTATCTATCTCATTATGGTTTTAATTTGCATTTATCTAATGATTACTAATGTTGGGTATTTGTTTCTATGTTTGCTTGCCATGTGTATGTCTTCCTTGGGGAAGTGTCTGTTCATGTCCTTTGCCCACTTTTTAATGGGATTATTTGGTTTTTTTGCTTGTTAATTCGTGTAAGTTTCTTATAGATGCTGGATATCAGTCCTTTGTTCGATGCATAGTTCGCAAATATTTTCTCCCATTCTATTGGTTGTTTGTTTACTCTGTTGATAGTTTCTCTTGCTCTACAGAAGTTCTTTAGTTTAATTAGTTCCCCCTTGTCCATTTTTGTTTTTGCTACAATTGCTTTTGAGGAAAGAATAATAAACACTTACTATATTTTTCAGGAACTATGTACTCATTGGCTCCATCCCTATTTCTCAGACTGAGAATTCTTGCAAGGGCTTGTCTTGTTTCTTCTGTCATCCATGAGGGGTGTGGTACCTGACACATAGCTAGTGTATAGTAATCGAGTTTTGAAGGAATGAATAAGTGAGTGAGTTTTATAGACTCCCAGAGCTAGTAGTGACTCCATTTGACTGAAAAGAAAATCAAAGCTCTGAGATGTGTAGAGGTTTGCCAGCAAATTATAGTTACTTAGTGGTAGGAACAAGTCAAGAGTTCAGGTCCCCTGCCATCCAACCCCACATAATCTGCTCAATCTTACCATATGTTTGAAATTTTAGAAGTGAAAGCTTTTACTTTTTTCTTCTACTTTTTGTAAGTAGTGCTAAATGATTAAGAAAAAGAGAGGGAAATATAATTTAAACTGCCTGTGATGAAAATAAATTAGTAGGAGGCATCCTGAAAGTCCAGTAACTAATATCCATCCACAGCAGCAGGCATATGTTTTTCCTGGCATACTTTCACTCTGAAGGTAAGCAAACACGTAAGTTGGTATTTCATTACTTTAAGCATTTTTATTAAGATGTTTTGTATATGTCAGTGGTGTAGGAAGAGAGAAAGATTAAAAAGAAATTTCTTGTTACAACATATTTTGAAACGTTCTGTATTTCTACAACATAGTTTATTTTTGGTTCTTTTTCTCAGCATGCAATCTTGACAATTTGGAGATAGAAAAATCTCTAACAGACAAGACCAATTTGACAAAAATTCTTCTGTACTTAGAGTATCTGACACAGGCTGCCTACATTTGAATACTAGAGCTTCACTTCCTTATAGCTCTGTAATGTTGGAAAGTAAAAAAGCATTTGGGATCCATATTTTCTCATCTGAAAATGTACTGTTAAATTAAAAAAAATCTCTACCACCTACTTCATCAGCGTGTCAAAATACTCAAAAATGTTACACAAGATAATATATGTAAATCATTTGGCACATTGCCTGACACATTTTAAATACTCTTATCATTTAGCTATTGTTGGAACAAACTGCCTTAAGACTCAGTGTGTTAAAACAATAGAAACCTAAAAAGTTCTGAGCTCATAGAAGTACAGAGTAAAATAATTGTTAACAAGGGTTGGGGTAGTTTGGATGAGGGGAGAGTTCAGGAGATGCTGATTAAAGAATACAAAATTACAGTTAGGTAGAAGGAATAAGTTCAAGAGATCTATTGTACAACATGGTAACTATAGTTAACAATATATTGTATTATTGAAGAATGTGAAGAATGAATGTAGAGTGTTCTCATCACAAAAATAATAACTATGTGAGATAATGCATATGTTAATTAGCTAGATTTAGCTATTACATAATGTCTACATACTTCAAAACATTATGTTGTACATGGCAAATACGTACAATGTTACCTGCCAATCAAAGAAAAAGAAAGAAGGAAGGAAAGAAAGAAAGAAAGAAAGAAAGAAAGAAAGAAAGAAAGAAAGAAAGAAAGAAAGAAAGTTTTTTTTTTTTTCTTGTAAGTTTGTGTAAGTTATTTGTAGATTCCGGATATTAGTGCTTTGTCAGATGGATAGATTGCAAAAATTTTCTCCCATTCTGTAGGTTGCCTGTTCTCTCTGATGATGTTTCTTTTGCTGTGCATAAGCTCTTTAGTTTAATTAGATTCCATCTGTCAATTTTGGCTTTTGTTGCCGTTGCTTTTGGTGTTTTACTCATTAAGTCTTTGCCCATACCTATGTCCTGAATGGTATTGCCTAGGTTTTCTTCTAGAATTTTTATGGTTTAAGTCCTTCTTTAATCCATCTTGAGTTAATTTTTGTATCAGGTGTAAGGAAGGGATCGAGTTTCAGTTTTCTGCATATGGCTAGCCAGTTTTCCCAACACCATTTATTAAATAAGGAATCCTTTCCCCATGGCCAGACTCATGCATGCATCTGAAAGTTAGATTGCGGCCTTCTCTAGATTGGTATTGGCTGGGGCAACTTAACTAAGACAACTCTGCTCACATGTCATTCATCCTCCTCCCAGTAATCGTGAGCCATCTCAGGCATGTTCTTTGCAAGGAAAGGGTAGAAGGACAAGAGCAAGCAAGCTTCATATGCAAACATTTTAAACAATTTTGCTTGCTTGAATTTTGTAAACATCTTACTTGGCCAAAGTAAATCTCATGTCAAGACTAAGGGTAGAAATGTACTCCTCCAGTCCATTTTCCTTGGTATAAATACATTACAAAACTAAAGAGCAAAGAACATAGATATAGGGAAAGGTGATAGGTTGGGGCCAATAACACATTCTACAACAAACACTCAATTGTACAATACTAAGTAATATTAACTGTATCATTTACTTCCTAAATCTTTGTACATAAAATACCTTACATCTTCCCAAGCAATTGAATGGCACAGAGTACTAGTTCAAACTGTTTCTAATGTAAGTAAACTGAGTCTTGGTAAGCAGTAAAGTTTGTATATTTACAGACATCGCCCAGCAGCTTAGACAGCTATTCTATTCTGAACCTGTCAGAAATGGGTACTACAACGACACATCCCATTATCTCATTTCCAGGTGTATTTCATTCACCTTATTGTCCTTTCAAATGTAACACTTGGAATCTGTTGATCCTATCTTGTAAACACTTATTCTCTTTTTCTAGTTTTCAGCTGCAGAATTACCAGTCATGGCTTTATATAGGTTCTGCTTCTCTGCAGAGATCTTCTCTTCATTTATTAAAGTTATTCTTTTCTTTAATTCTTTGAGCATACTTTTTACTTCTTTTTATCCACTTAGTAGAAAGAAGTTGATTTAATCAAAGACACTAGCTCAACTGGCTCTTCACCTGAAGAAAATTCAAATTGGTTTCCAATTTATATCATACTCTAGAATTCAATTCTAAATGGATTAAAAAGTTAAGATTTAAAAAGAACAATAAAAATTATAATAAATAACTTGTGAAACTGAAAATACAATCCAGGATTTGAGAAAAACTTTCCTAATTAAAACGGAAACTCCAAAATCTATAAAAAGAAAGTGACATGGTGGACTACGTAATATAGAGAAAGTATAGATTACAAATACATTTGACAGAAAATGTGTTATGATCTATATATATATAATGATCTTAGGGCCAGGCACAGTAATCCCACCACAAGGAGTATTGCTTGAGGCCAAGAGTTCGAGACCATGCTGAGCAATATATCGAGATTCCATCTCTACAATTTTTTTTAAAATTTAGCCAGGTATGGTGGTGTATGCCCGTAGTCCCAGCTACTTGGGAGGCTGATGTGGAATAATTGTTTGAGCCCAAGAATTTGAGGTTACAGTGAGCAATGATCATGCCACACTGTACTCCAGCTTGAGCAACAGAGCAATACTCTAAAACAAAAACAAAATAAAAACAATGATATCTTGCAAGCTTGACAGAATCATAAAGAAAAGATAACAAAACAAAAATCCCAAAATAAAAATTGACAAAAATATATTAGTAGGTACTATTAAATAGCAAATACTAATGACCAGAAATATATAAAAAGATGCTCAAATTTACTAATAGGAAAATGTGTTGCTACTATATAAGATACTACTATAGATCTCACTTTAATATTATGTTATGTTTTATTTTCTTTTTTATTTTAGATTAAGGGAGTAGCCGTGCAGGTTTGTTACATGGATATACTTCATGATGCTGAGGTTTGGGATTCTAGTGATTCTGTTGCCCAATTAGCAAACATAGTACCCAATAGGTATTTTCAATCCTTGTTCCCCTTCTTCACTCTTCCTTTTTGGAATTCTGAGAGTCTATTTTTCCACCTTTGTGTCCATCGTATACCCAATGTTTAGCTCTCACTTACGAGTGAGAACATGCAGTATTTGATTTTCTGTTCCTGCTTTAATTCATTTAGGATAATGGACTCCAAATGCATCCATGTTGCTGCAAGGGACTTGACTTCTTTCTTTTTCATGGCTGTGTACTATTCTGTAGTGTATATCTTATCACATTTTCTTCATCCAGTCCACCACTGATGAGCACCTGGGTCAAATCTATGTCTTTGTCATTATGAACAGTGCTGCAATAAACATACAAGTGCAAGTGTCTTTTTGGTGGAATGATTTATTTATTTTCCTTTGAGTATAGTAATGGGATTGCTGAGACAAATGGTAATTCTAGTTTTAGTTATTTGAGAAATCTTCAAACTGCTTTCCACAGGGGCTAAACTAATTTGCATTCTCACCAACAGTATATAAGCACTCCCTTTTCTCTACAAACTTGCCACCATGTTATTATTTTAACTTTTTAATTATAACCCTTCTGACTGGTGTGAGATGTATGTCATTGTGGTTTTGATTTGCATCTCTGATGATTAGTGATGCTGAGCATTTCCTAGGTTTTCTTCTAGGATTTTTATCCTTGAGGTCTTACATTTAAGTCAGATCCATCTTGGGTTAATTTTTATACAGAGTGAGAGATAGGGTCCAGTTTTCTTATTATCTGGAAGCCTTTGGAATCTGATCATGCAATGAGCACAAAGGGGCTCTGTCCCTGATTAGTTTATAGAATTTGGGGATGGTTCTGTCTTTCCTGTTTCATTTTTCCACCCCCATCTGATAGAGACCACACATCTCATTGTAAAACATACTGTTGGCAAATCCCTCATACATGTTATATTATCACACAGCTCAATCCCTGCTCCCCATTTCCAACCACAGCCAATCAAACTGGTCTCCTGCTAACCAAGTTTCCATTCTTGGTAGAGAAGGGAAACAGGGGGAGAATGGAAGACCAGGGAACTTTTCCTGTCCCTAATGATCCATTTAGGCACCTCATTTGCTCTGTACACTGCCATTATTATTATCTATAAGCCACTTATATGTCTTCTTTTGAGAAGTGTCTATTCATGACCTCTACCCACTTTTTAATGGAGTTACTTGTTTTCTTTCTTGTGGATTTGTTTATGTTATTTATTGATTTTGGATACTAGTCCTTTATTAGATGCATAGTTTACAAATAATTTCTCCCATTCTGTAGATTGTCTGCTTACTTTTACTCTGTTGATAGTTTCTTATGTTGTGCAAAAGCTCTTTAATTTAATTAGGTAGCAATTGTCAATTTTTGGTTTTGTTGCATTTGCTTTTCATGATTTTGTCATCAATTATTTGTCTAGGCCAAAGGCTAGAAGAGCATTTCCTAGGTTTTCTGCTAGGATTTCTATCCTTGAGGTCTTACATGTAAGTCTTTGATCCATCGTGAGTTAATTTTTGTACAGAGTGAGAGAAGATGGTCCAGTTTCATTTTTCTGCATATGGTTGGCCAGTTTCCCAGGGCCATTTATTGATAGGATATCTTTTCCTTATTGTTTATTTTTGTCAATCTTGTCAAAGATCTGTCAGTTTTAGGTGTGCAGCTTTATTTTAGGGGTCTCTATTCTATTCCATTGGCCTGTGTGTGTGTTTGTACCAGTACCATGCCATTTTGGTTACTGTAGCCTTGTAGTATAGTTTGAAGTTGGGTAATGTGATGCCTCCAGCTTTATTCTTTTTGCTTAGAGTTGCCTTAGCTACGAATGGGAAAAGTTGGAAGCATTCCTGCTAAGAACTAGAACAAGACAAGGATGTCCACTCTCACCAGCCCTATTCAACATAATACTGATAATCCTAGTCAGGGCAGTTAGGCAAGAGAAAAAAATAAAAAGCCTCTTAATAAGAAAAGAAGCAATTAAGTAAGAAAAGAAGAAATCAATTATCTCTCTTTACTAATGATATGATTCTATGCCAAAAGACCACAATGATTCTGCCGAAAGATTCCTATATCTGATAAACGACTTCAGCAAAGTATCAGGATACAAAATCAACATGCAAAAATCATTACCATTTCCATATACCAATAAAGTTGAATCTAAGAACAAAATGAAGAACACAATCTCATTGACAATAGCCATACACACAAAAATAAAATACCTAGGGATACAGCTAAACAGGGAGATAAAAGATCTCTACAAAGAGAATGACAAAACATTGCTGAAAGAAATCAGAGATGACACGAACAAATGGAAAAGCATTTCATGCTCCTGGGTTGGAAGAATCAATTCCATTAAAATGTCCACACAGCCCAAAGCAATCTACAGATTCAATGCAATTCCTACCAAACTAACAATGCCATTTTTCACATAATTAAAAAAAAACTATTCTAAAACTCATAGAGAATCAAAAGAAAGCCTGAACAGCCAAGGCAATGCTTTTTTAAAATGTATTCCCAGTATATAGTTTGAAGATTTTTTTCTCTGCTAAATATAACATATAGACATGCCTAATGTTGGTTTCTATTGACTGTGTCTTTTTTTCTGTGTATAGATCACACTGTGTATGAATCACACACTGTTTCTATGTTTTTGGTTTGGTTGTTTTTGTTTTTAAACTAGACAGTTAAGATACTATCGTATAGCTATTTTGTATCCCCTCATATTGTTCTGATGATTATTATTTTTATGTTTTTGTTCTAGTAGGCATTTAACTTGCTTGAACCCAGACTGCAATCATTATCTCTTCAATTGTATATAGCAGCTGAAATCACTACACACTCCTTCTAGCTTCAAGCTGCTGCTCTTTTAGCCTGGTTCTCTTGAGGTCCCCCCTTTACGTTTATAATTTACTAAATCATCAACAAAGATTTGGGTGGTGCTTCTACTCAGGTTTTTCAGTTTACCGTTTCTCAATTCCCTTGATTTTTTAAAATTTCCCCACTACTTTTCAGCTTCTCTCATTCTTTTTTCAGTCTCTGTCTCCTGACCCCTCAAGCCAGTAAGCCTTCATATTTTCATGATGAGAGCTACATATTTGGAAAATGCATTTATTTTAAAAAATTAGCAGACTCATAGCTTTCACACAGCATAGTTCTATCCTTTTCCATATTTAATTGCATTTTCATTGAGTCTCCTGAGTCTCCCACCAGTATGCAAGATCAGTCAAGAATTTCCACGTAGTGTATAGTCAGATTTTAGGTCCAATTCTCTTCCAAAACTAGATTCGGTTTTTTGACATCTTAAGCTAGTAAGGCAGTTATTTTCTGCTGCCACGGTAATGAAGTGTGCCCTGTAGTAACAAAGGCACAAACTTGCAATTATTACCATTTTCAGTTGGAATTTTTAAGGAATAAACTCTTTACTGGCTTCTGTTATTGGATATTTTCAAGTGCTTTTAAGTGATTGTTTTCTATACTGTGTCTAGGCTTTACACTACTCATCTGAGGCAGTAGCTTATGAGCACTTCACCTCACTGAGTACCAGAAATCCTCTGCCTGTGGGTATTGGAGAATGGTGACAATGCCGGCAGGCTCCTCAGAGTGTTTTGTAGGATATAAAAGCCGACCTTGAAGAGAAGATGACAGGACCATATGCCAAATCTACCAATCATGGGAAGTGCTCAGAAGGTTGATAATAAGTACCATAGTGCAGTTAAATAGAAAAGACTCCTAAGAATATGACATTTTTAAAAGGTGGCCAGGAAATAATTCCTGGGAACACCTCTGGGAATCAGAGAGGACATGAACCCAACCTCCAAATTATAAGGACGAATGAACAACCTTAGTGGACTACAGATGAAATAGTGTCTTCATAAATGAATTCAATAAAATGCAGGAAATACAGAAAACATTCTAAGAAGAGAATTGAGAACATACTAGGCTTGCAAACCTTAGGAGCTGTTGAAGATAATGTAAGAAGAGTGCTTTTCCATGGATTCTTCCTTTTGAAACCACCCTATTCCCAGATTCTGTCATTTAATAGCTGTGTAAATATGAGCAAGTTATTAAACTTGCTAACACTCATTTATGAACACACAGTAGAACCTCAATAGATATTAAGTGTTATGCACTGTTATATGCATTGAAGATTTCATAAGACAGAAGACAAGATGTTGGAGAGGAGAAATGAAGGCATGTGTGAATGGAAATGAATCACTGACTATTATAAGAATTCAGGGATTAGAAAGAGTCAATAATCTTCAGTTGTAAGGTTTGGGATAGTGCATCTCTAAATAGATGAGAAGTAATCTGGGTTTAATCCTGGCATATCTATGAAATTATATAAAAGTTGTGTAGAATTTTCAGACCTCATGGAACAGTGAAATCAAATGACTAGGAAATGGCCATAGTATCTCACCATCACTGCCTTTCCTCAACTTCTCCAAGAAAACAAGTTAACCAAGTACACCCCATCCATAGAGGTCACAGGGAGAAACATAATGATCAAAGTTTCCTCTTGGAATAGTTCTTCTAATTCCTCCACATTGAGTGAAAGAATATGGCCTGGAATACCTTGTTTGTGAGACTATCAGTTTAAAGGGAGTTGTCAGGACCAGTGGACCACCTGGAAAACAACGAAAATGACAAAGAATTGCACCTTAGTGAAGATTCTAACTAGATACTTGAATTTAGGGAGAAGAAATAATGAGGTTCTCAATATTTTTATGCTGTTCATTCAAGATCTACAAAGAAAGAAGACTTCCAGAGATTCAGAATCTAAAAATTAACCAACTAGGAGCTAGAAACCACGGTTTTATTATGAACTAATTAACTTTCTATATAAAATTAGAGTACTATTGAACACTAAGGATTCCTTGTAGGTTTAGCATGCTAGAACATAAAGAAAGTAGGACTGTAGACAGCAAAGGGAATGGTAGACTTTATATAGAGCCAGGTATCTTAGGCTTAAAATTGCCATTTAGTTGTTAAGAAGGCTTTGTAGCTAAAAGTGTGGATTCTAGAGCCAGATATTCTAAGTTTGAATTTCAGCTTTGCTATTAAATAACTATTTTAACATGTACATATCATTTAAACACCTTACTCTGTTAAATTGAACTAAATTTGGGCTTCAGAAGCTTCTGTGTGAGTCATACCTAATAAACTATAACATAACTCAGTACATAAAGAAACTGAAAACCTAACTTAGGAATTTGCTTTTGTAATAGCTGAGTCTCAGTCAATCACAGCAGCTGAGCAGCCAACTAGCTGTTTCTGTACCTCATTGCCTTTTTTTGTCCATAAATGTTGTACAACCATGGGCAGCCCCAGAGTCATTCTGAACCTACTCTGGTTTCTGGAGACTGCCTGATTCCTGAATCGTTCTTTTCTCAATTAAAATATGTTAAATTGGCCAGACGCAGTGGCTCATGCCTGTAATCCCAGTACTTTGGGGGGCCGAGGTGGGCGGATCACAAGGTCAGGAGTTCGAGACCAGCTTGGCCAATGTAGTGAAACCCCGTCTCTACTAAAAATACAAAAATTATCTTGGCATGGTGGCTGGCACCTGTAGTCCCAGCTACTGGGGAGGCTGAGGCAAGAGAATTGCTTGGACCTGGGAGATGGAGGTTGCGGTGAGCCAAGATCGTGCCACTGCACTCCAGCCTGGGCGACAGAGCGAGACTGTGTCTCAAAAACAAAACAAAACAAAACAAAACAAAACAAAACAAAACAAAAGTTAAATTTTTTGCTTTTTAAATATCAAATTGGTGTCAGAAGTAGGATCTAAGCTAGATCTTCCACCAAGCCTTAGGATCAATCATTGAGTGAGCAAATAAAGTACCCACCAGGTCCACAGTGCCCATTGGTGTCTTGAAGCAACTGGGAATTATGAGTTAGCTCTCACTTGGATTCTGAAGTTCCATGGATTTGTGTTTTGATCTATCTAAGCTTATTTGAACAACTTTTTCATCTTGACTGGATTTGTAAGTCACAGCAGAAACTGGACTGGCTCAAGGATTGAAATGGATTCAGTGAATAACTGAACTTGGATCCAAAGTCCTCAAATATCTGACTGGGTCAGACAGAAACTGGCAGTAAATGGCAACTAATGCAGGGGGTGCAAACCCTGGCTTTCAGAATTTGACATGTACTTTGAGCTCTATTATTTTTTCTTGTACACTTATATAGGGAAAAAAAGCACTGGATAAGTTCATCAAGGGGATCTCAGAGCCAAAGCCAAGATTCTACAGAATTATAGAATCCTTAATTTCTGAAGAACCAAGTATTTCACCTTCTAACTATGCCTACCTTTACATGAATAAGTTCTTGCCCCTGGAAGCAGCAAATTCTTATAAGAGTGATGAAATAGTACTAAAAATATAATTTAAAATTATCATGGTCAGAATGTAAAACATTCCAAATGAACAACACTACACTTTAAGAAGCGCATTTAAAAATGAGAATTCCTGAATTAGTCTCATTCTGAGATACCTATTGATGTGTAGAAGGTTCTAAAACAATTTCAAAATGTTTATTGCCTCTTTTGAAAAACTCGACAAAAGGCAAATAAAAACCTTAGGTTACTAATTAATAAGAAATATAAAATCTGCTAGACTGTTGGCTTACTATGCCACACCAAAGACAAAAAAGTAAAGTAACCCATTGTATAAAATATTTATTAAAGATATGTTCTCAGGTAAAGTAGATTTGATTCTGTTTATCAGAGATATCCATGCTGAATCCAGGCATAATGGATGTTATATTTGCCCTATTTGTGAATGAGCTCTGCCTTTTCCTCAGTGATTTTAGATGAGGTAAAAAGTCTTCCTGGTGAACTAAATAAACTTTTCTGATGTATAGCTGGCTATTGTGAAACACTTTGGCAAAAACATACATCTATAAAGGAAACCTTCATTTGTAAGGATGTCTGCTTCTCTGTGTCACAGGCAATAGTCTGAGGACTAAGTCATTAGAAACACATACAATAGAAAATGCATTAGTTTAAATTTAGATAACAATTCTTATCTTTGATTAAGGTCCTTTTACTGGCCATCTTGTATTATTGGGAACTTTATCTATACTCTTATTTCTTGGCTTGGGCAAATGATGGTATTCAGACCTAAAGTCTCAACTTTGTGCCATTAAGATGTTAACTTTCTACCTTGTTTTACTTAAGCTATCAGTTAGAAAGTTCAAATTTAGGTTAAAAAATGTTTAGATGGCTATAAAAATGGGATAAGTGCAGCAAACAGCGATGAGATTAAAACAAAGATTAAATCTATCAAAGATCTTATGGATCAAAGAGATCTCTACTGGTCCTCCAACATTACAGGGCCCCAAACCAATGCATTTTATTTACCCCAGTTCGGAAAAATGTTAAAAAGTATAAGGCAGAAATTACAATGAGCAAACTAGCTAACAATTGCTTAGAACTATAGTCACACAGATTAATCAAGAAAAGGGCAATAGTCCTTTGACTTAACTGCTTGTTGGAATGAGATAAAATTTTATAGAAAAACATGTCACAGTTTCAAAATTATTTTTCAGTAATTTGAAGTCTTAACATCATGTTAGAATAAGTAACAGATAGATACTCATTCAATGTCTGGGTCATTCCTAAGCAGTTTAAAATATTGAAACACTACTTGCTGAATGTAGGTTTAGAATATATCTATTTTGACTGTCTTAGTCCATTCTATATTGCTATCAAGGAATACCTGAGACTGGGTAATTTTTGTTAAAAGTTTATTTGGCTCATAATTCTGCTGACAAAGAAGGCAAAAGGGGAGTTGACATGTGCAGAGATAAAGTGGTGAGGGAGGAAGCAAGAGAAAGGGTTGGGAGGTGCCAGGCTCTTTGTATTATGACAACCAGCTCTCATAGGAATTACTAGAGTGAGACTCACTCACTGCCACAAGAACACCACCAAGCCATTCATGAGGAATCCACCCCCATAATACAAACACCTCCCATTAGGCCACACCTTCAACAGTGGGAATCAGATTTCAACATGAGGATTTAGGGGACAAACATTCAAACTGCAGCATCAACATCTTGTTTGTATACAATACAGAAAATATGAATATATTTGGATCTGTTAATAACCATGAAAAAATGTGTTATGAGAAAACATATTTCTGCAAGTTATAAAATGGTTCTTGTCTGCAAAATGGTGATATAAAATAGTTCAAAATTTTTTACTTCCCAAGTTTTCACTAAAAAGTAAGGTTATTAACATTAAAAATAACTCCTTATGTGAGGAAAGTAAGACAAAGTAAGATATGTGTTTGGTAAATGAAGCTTACATGGTAGGTGTGTTTTAGGTTAGGAAAAAATAAAGGTAATTTTTGTTCTAACATAGACTGATGGTTGCAAAGTGAGAAAGAGAAAAGATTTGTGGAAGATGAATCTTGTAAAGGAAATTTTATGTATGATCATGCTGGCTAAAATTACAAGGGAATTATTTAAAAGTTTTTTTCTAAAAATTGAGCATTAATATCAAAAATATACAGTACAAAACTGGAATTTGGTCCTCTCTATTAAAGCAACAAGATTTTCCTGGAGTATTGATCTGCTATTCATGGAAAATAGTGAAAGTTTTTTCTTTTAACCTTTTAAGTAACTGGCCAAAGCAAAAAAGTTTCTGTGTTTTATCAACATGAATCCTTGTGCTTTATGTTGTTTTTATTAAGTTTTGATGACAAAAAACTAAGTCCTCTCTGTTAAAGAGTTAAGGTTTTTCCAGCACTATATAACTTACTGTATTTACTTTTAAATTCTTTTTGTTATCACTCTCATTAAATGGATGGGTATTATTTCACAGTGATCTGTGATCCCACTTTGACCAGGTATTTGAAATATTTGATTTTTTGACAGATGCACAAAATCAAATTCTAAATTAAGTCATTTTCTTGACCTTGATTTGACTTTGGTATTTTCCAGTTGGCTCCCCGGCAGCAATAAAAGATATGTTTCTCACCTTGTGAAATAGAGATACTAAACTAATAGTGCTAATTTAACATTTTGGATTACATAGAAAGCATCACCAAATGATAAGTGATGCTAAATTTTTAAGATTATATTTATTGGTATATTATTGATATGAGTGTTCTAAAAAAGTATGGGATTTCTATAAATCTAACATGAGCATAATTTTGGTTACCATGTTAAAATGTTTTCTACCACAGAAATAACCAAATTTCTTTGTCAAGTGCTGGTTAAAATTAACTCTCAGATTTTAACCTTGAACAGCCTAAGTCACTGTCATCCACAGTGGTTTTGCTTCTTCTCTAAAAGCATTTGCAGTCAACTACAGTCAAAAATTTCTTCTTGTTCAAGGAGATTTATAGAAAGAAAGGATGGAAGGGAATCTGATAAATACAGTTTTTTTATATAATCTTAAGATTATACAATTGGACTGGTAAGATTTCCCAGAACTCTAATGAAGAGACCACATGGTTTATGAAACTAACCCAACATCAAGCAGAACAAGAATGAATTAAATACGAAGGAAATAGGCAGATTTTTATGCTAAGTCCACCAATACTGAAGTTGTTAAGTGATTTAAATAAACTTCATGATCAAATTACCTATGATAACCCATTTAATAAACAGTTCTATGTACCCAATTTAGAGAATCAAAATTGATATTTAAAATGATATAAATCAAATGTTAAATGTGAACTCATGAAGAGCCTGGACAGCTTTCTGGTTTTACTGAGTCCTTAAAGCTCTAACTACTAAAAACTCTCCAATCCCTGACTCATCATGGAAGATATAAAATTATCAAAATTATGAAAAAAATTGTGTAGTGACTGTTCTAAAATTGCTACAATGTTTATGACCCACGTTTGGCCTGTCAAATCTATAATCCTTGAAATTCAATGAAAATTTTTGGTTCATTTCTGCTACCTGATGGGTCATTTGAACATTAATAGAGGGATTTCATTCATTTGCCATTTCAATGCATGTTTTCTCATTGTATATGAGCTTTTTCATGCATGAAGGCTGATGCTATAAAAGCAGTTAAAAGGTTATTAGAAAATATGTTTTGCTCTTTGGGCATTCCTGGAGAAATCTCCAGCAATGGAAGTACTTGCTTCACTGTACAAGTTGTAAAACAGTTAAATAAGGAATTACAAATGGAATAGTATTAGGTAAAGCTAACTGAATTAATTGGATTTCCTTGGTCAAAGGCACTGCCGGTGGATGGAAATAAGATTCATTTCCAATAAAAATATAAGTTGACCGTGTATAGTCACTGTATGGCCTATGTTCCTAATAATAGAATGCCATGTATCTCCTGCTCTCCTGAAATCTAATATGACTAAATGCTTCAAGGTTTTATTGCATTATACCAAAGCATATTTTCTTTAGGTAAGAAAAGCATTCTGTGATCTACTGATCAAGGATAATCAAACCTCTTATGATCTAAAACCTGGAGATTAGGTCTTCTATAAATTACATTAAAGAAAACCTGCCCTTGTACCCCATTGAAAGGGACCATACAAAGTTTTTCTCACCACACAAACTGAAAAAACAAAACCCCTGGGGGCCTCAAATCTTGGGTCTGCATCTCACAAGTTAAAAGGGTTTCTCATATTCTTGGAACTGTACATCCATGGGAGACCTTAATGTAAAACTAAGCAGGCAAGTTTCTCCCCCAAAGCAGACAGCATTGTAGACCGACAGCTTTTCCAAGACCACAGATCAAGACTTCTCTGCCATCATGAAACTCTTGCCCATCTAAATTTTTTCCTTGCTTATGCCCATCTCTTTGGCTGGGCAGGATAATGCTGTAATTAGAATTTTGCAATCACTAGCATCTGTGGGTAAATTGATGAAGAGTTGAATCTTTCACGCCAAACCTAGATCTGTGCATGATCTAAAGAATCATTTAGTTCAGCCAGTAACTTTGGCAACATCTCTAATGTAACTGTTGTTCAAATTGTACTAGTGAGGTAAGATTCCTAGACCTATTTGTTCTCATAACCTTTTTTAATTTAACCTAGTCATTCTATACAAGAACCTAGACCAATAAGTATATCACAAGACAGATTTGCACCAACATCCCAAATGGAGTGTCTTCGAAAACTGACTTATGTGCCAGGATAGTATAGTTCTCTTTTAATCTGTAAGAACTCTGCCTTAGATTCTTGGATAGAAACTGTAAATTTCACTATTTAAAGTAATGCATCCATGAATAATAGAACTGAAAAAGAGGCCTTGTGTGCACTCATGGGGTATACTTCTATTTGTGGAGGATTTCAGAGTGAAACTTATGCACTAAAAACCTTATGCCTTCATGGATGGAAGCTGAAGGGCCAATGTTCTAAGAACTTTAATGGTGTCTTTATTACTCCACAATCAATCAGAAACAGAACATTGGTCCACTTCTCTTAACTTACATCATAGGTTAAAAATAACATTGCCAGGGGCCATCAATCTTTCTGAATGGGCATCAGTTTGTTAAGCCAGTCTTTCTCCCCTGTGGCTTGGAGTAAATATAAATGAAGCAATGATTCGAAGTTTATTCCTCACAATTGGCTTTACAGTAGATTGTAATGCAAAAGTTATGGTTGCACAACAGACTTTTAAATTCTCTTGTTAGAGTTGTACTGGATAATAGAATTTCTCTAGCTCACCTACTGGTTAAATAGAAAAAAATCTATGCTGTTACTGATACTTCTTACTGCACATGCATGAGCACAGCTGGTATTATAGAGACTCAGTTGAAGGGGATTAATAAACAGGCTGCTTGGTTAAAACAGGTAGACTCTTTGTATCATTTTTTATCTTTTTGTTTCTTCCTGGTTTGCTTCACAGAGATCCTGGCTAAGGAGCATATTCCAAACTCTTGTTATCATCCGCCTAAGAATCATAATAATCTGCTGGGCACACTGTATTCTCTCAAAAGATTCAATGTGTGCTTGTAGCCATCTGAAGAATGTCAAATGATCTCTCTGGTACTGGAATGACAAAATCCCAAATAAATATGTGATCATGAGAACATCATAACCTATGAATGGCATGTTGAGACCAAAGCCCCAAAATTATGGTAACTCAGAGTAGCATTAATGGCCTAAGGTTTGGTCACAATCTCTCTTAGCTGAGAACCTGACCAAAAGGAAGAAATTGTTAAAATTATGGGGAGTCATTGTTTCAGACTGAGCTTCTGAAGTGGGCCCCAACAAATTAGATTAAACAAAAATGAAGTCACTCATGCTAAATACCACATAATCAAAGTGAAACTTTAAGAAAGCAGAGAGATCTCAAAACATATTTTTTTTTTCTTCCTGAGAACAGGAGATTCCTGTCTGCCTGAGTGAGCATAAGAAAGCCTCCTCTACTTTTACTTTGCAGAGAAATGGCCTGAGGTGGCCTTATCTTGACCAATCAGTTTTTTTGTTGTTGTATTGTTCTGTTTTTTTATCGTTCTGTTTTCTTGTTGCCACCATGCAAAACCCACTGTTCTGTTATTGCCCAATGGGAGCTGAGACCAAATATGTCCATTTATAATAATAACAGAGAGTGACATCAATGTTCGAAGTTTTGGTCAATCCCTCAAAATTAAGAGGCTGACCAAAAGGAAAGAATTTTTAAATAAATCTAAATTTAGGCCTTAGAAGCCTCCATATAAGTCCTATGTAACAAACTGCATCCTAACTCGATACATAAACAAACTGAAAACCCAACTTACGAATTTGCTTTTGTAATAACTGAGAATCATCAAATTATAGCAACTGAACAGCTAGCTAGCTGTCTCTCTATCTCATTTCCTTTTTCTGTCCATAAATATTATTCAACCAGTGGCAGCCCTAAAGTTACTGGGAAGCTTTTCTGGTTTGGGGGCTACTTAAATTTGATTTGTTTAAAGATTTTTGTTTAACAACGTCTTCATCCATTCAATAGAGATGATAGTGGCTATTGCAAAACATTTTTATGACAATTAGTAAGTCAATACACACAAATATATAGAGCATTAAGTGGTATGTCACATGATATAATTATTAACAACTTATATTTATAAACAAGAAAAGTATAATGAATACATTATAAACATCATTAGTTATGAAGTCAAAGGAGTATCAGAGTCAGTGTCATAACAGGTCTGAGTGTTAGCCCTGTCACATACCAGCCATATCATCCAGGTAAAAGTTGGTTTATTGATACAAAATTTCTTTGGATAAAAAAATAAATAAATAAAATAAAGAAGAATCTCTACTTTCCCATGAGAATTTACTGTGTGGAGTCACATCACATTTTCCTCTCAACTGAAGAGTTTATTATAGATTTGCTCTATTATTAGAAATATTTGCTCTGTTTTCTTATGCTAATTCCAAGATGCCACACAGTAGCTGCCTGTCTTTCACTACTGATTATGTGAATCCTTAAAATCAATAACGCCGAGTCTAATGTTTTAACTGGTTATTTGAGAACATGGGACAGTTTAAGTTTACATAAAGTTTACTCAAAAATGAGAGGAGGAAAAATTAATTCACAAAAATTCAATAAAAACAGTTGGGTCTTAACAGATGACCATCTCCTGGCATGAAAGTTCATTCCTAATATTTAGGCAGTAGTGATCCTACTACAAAAATTTTGGAGGTATTTCTTGAACGTCCCTGCACAGGGTATATGGACCGCAGTTGTAAAACTGAATTTGGCCTCATGTAAGTGTTCTCAGTGTGTATTTTATTTTATTTTATTTTATTTTATTTTATTTTATTTTATTTTATTTTATTATTTTTTCTAGACTGAGTCTCTCTCTATCACCCAGGCTGGAATGCAGTGGCGCGAACTCGGCTCACTGCAACCTCTACCTCCCAAGTTCAAGTGATTCTCGTGCCTCAGCCTCCCTAGTAGCTGGGAATACAGGTGCCTGCCACCATGCCCAGCTAATTTTTTTGTAATTTTGTAATTTAGCAGAGACGGGGTTTCACCATGTTGGCCAGGCTAGTCTCAAACTCCTGACCTCAAGTGATTTGCCCACCTCGGCCTCCCAAAGCTCAGTGTGTTCTTCACATTGTTTCAATAAAGTTCTCAGAATTCCCACAACATTTTAAAGCAATGAGATTTATGTAGCCAGAATGCCTAGCTGTTTTCTTAAAGAATCTAACCAATCTTGGTGTCTACAAGATCACACTTTAAGTAAGTCGATCATTCTGCACAGGAAATCCTGCACACAGTTTATTCGATACTAACTCAGGTTATGCTTTTCCAGAGTGATGGCTCACATCTTTCCACCAAGCCCTTTGTGGAAGTCGTTTGTGTTGTGGCTATAGTTGTCTGTACTGGTTAGGAATTACTTCACTTGAGAGTAACAATATCTTACTAGAAATAGTACGAAATGAAGTTTTAGTTTTTCTCTAACAGTGAAATGTCTGTTTTGGTTTAGTGTCAAAATATTTGGGCTCTGGGTTAGCGTTCTAAGATTCACTTGACTGCATGATTATCTCTGGCTGCAACTGCTCCAAGAATCACATACTTTCACAATTGCATTCAGAGGCAGGTTTGGGTATGGGGGCAAGGAGAAGTAGATCATGAGGCAGAATGTCTCTCCCTCCAGGGCTTCTTTTTATGGAGGAGAATCTTTCCCCAAAGGCTTCTGAAGCTCATTGTTCCTTCCTCTCACTGGCCTGAACTGAGCTATGTGTCTACTGCTCCTACGTTAAGTAGTTAGTTTCATCTTTTCTGGTATTAGAACAAAACCAAAATTGACATTAGTTTGGCTTTAGGCAAACACCAGAGTTGACCATCTTCGTTTTTTCTGCTTTGCTTTGTTTTGTTTTTCAGATTTACTTTACTGAATAAGTAATTCAAACTAACAAAAAGCATGTAATACAAAAAAAAAATCCCAGATTTCTCAAAAAATAATATTTTACCACATTAATGTTGTTAGTCTCTCTCTCTCTTCCATGTTACATTAACACATACTATTTTTAAATGATTTGGCATTAATTTGTACACACAATTTACCAGTATCCTAAATACTTAAGTATACACACACATACACACAAACAGACACACAACTACAAAAACTACAATATAACCCTACCATTATTGCCCTCAAATCAGAAAAGCAACATTGATTCAATATTTCTCATAATTATATTTAGGTCATTCATTTCTGAACAGCAATATCGCAGAAATGATGCTATGTTCTCAGTACCCTAATAGGTGCTATACAATATTGATTTGTTCTAGCATTGTCAAAGTAAACAATGACCACATGATTAAATTGGCATCTTCTAGGTTTCTCCACTGTAAAGTAATTTTCTTCCTTTGTAATTAGTATTTTGTTGGGAGCTACTTTAAGACTATTAAGATATCCTATTTCTCATGAAACTTCCACCCATTAGTTTTAGCATTGTTGATGATTCATACTTTAATCACTTATTCGTATGATGGTTAATAAACAGTAATTTCATAATTCTATCCCTCCATATAAATTTGTTACTTGGGATTCTACTCTTAGAAAGAGCTTTCTCTTCTCTCTATTAATTCATTTGTATTAGCATACACTCCTGGATTTCTACTTTATTAGTGGATTAAAATTCAATAATATTATTTTGATGCTCAATTTCTCCCAGATTTGGGACACAGTGGAAGCCCCTTCAAGCTGACTTCTATATACCTTTGACATGTCATCATTACTCTTTAAACACTTCTTTCTGACAAAACAAAGTTGTTTCATGCCCAGTGCTATGGACTGTTTGTGTCCCCACAAAATTCATCTGCTAAAATTCTAACCCCAGTTGAATATATTGGTAGGTGGGGGACCTTTGAGAGTTGATTAGGTCATGAGGATGGAGCCCTCCTAAATGGTATTAGTACTTTTATAAGGAGATAGAGATCAGAGCTCTCCTCTTTCTCTCTATAGGAGGATACAATGGGAAGTTGGCCATCTACAAACAGAAAGCCAGTCCTCGCCAGACACTGATCTGCCAGCATCTTGACCCTGGACTTCCTAGCCTCCAGAAAAATGAAAAATAAATATTGTTTAAGCTACCCAGTGTATAGTAACTGCTTATAGCAGTCCCAACTAAGACATTCAGTGTGTATTTTTGTTGTCTCAAACTCAGAATCATCCATTTCTGTAAGGAATACTCATTTCTTTTAGTAGAGAATGGTATTCATAAACTAAGACCTAGACTCTCTATATACTCATTGCTGCTTGGGTCTTGTTCCTGTTAGGCCTTCTTAATAGATAAAGCTAGGAAATATGTATGTATATGCATATATATTATATAGGTACGTTTGCTTTTATATTTATTTATATATATATCTCTATTAAGAATTATGAGTTTATTCCAATACCTCCAATTTTTAATCTAAACTTTAGGGATGGTCTAGCCTTACCCCGTTCCACATTTCTAACTTTCTTCTCCAACAGTAATAAGCCTGTCTCCCATTTTTCGTGATATATTAATTTATTTTCTGAAGTCTCCTTCATGTAACCAATCTCTCAGCAAGACTAGTTCTTTACACTGGCCATAAGCACTTCTGGCTTTGCCTTGACTGCATGAAGACCTTCTTGTTTACCTCAGAAAAATAAGCAAATGAATGTTGGACTAGTCACTTAAGGATTGTATGTGTTCATTGTGACTACGGTGGCATGATTTAGTCATTAAACAACGCAGTGATTTGGCCGCATTGCATTGACCACCCGTCTTGGCCTCTTCCTTGCTTCAATCCTGGCCACATCAGCTGCATTTTTTTCCGTCCTTGATTATTTTTTTCTCATCACTTGACATATAAATATTTTGGTACAATGTACTGTAATGAGTTCCTTAGAACTACTTTGGCACAAAGCCACAGAAATAAAATGATTGAGCTATTCAGTTGGAACAAGGTCTCCAGCCCATGTGAACACTGAAGGGTACATAGATTAATGGAGTAAGAAAATAAAAACACTCACAAATTATCAAATTATTTGTTCAAATCTCGCTATTTCAACAATGAAACATTGTTAAACATTATTCCACAAACATTTTTCCAAACCTTCCATATTTAAAACCTACACCAATTTCTCTGCTGTTGTGACATGTTGTGCCTTCTTTTTTCTAGGAACTTATTCCCTTCTACTTAAACGTCTGTTTGTCAGTCTTTGAAAGTAGCTTTGGAGCCTGATATGGTTTGGGTGTCCCCATTGTGATGGTTAATACTGAGTTTCAACTTGATTGGATTGAGGGATACAAAGTATTGATCCTGGGGCTGTCTGTGAGGGTATTGCCAAAAGAGATTAACATTTGAATCAGTGGGCTGTTGAAGGCAGATCCACCCTTAATCTGGTGGGCACAATCTAATCAGCTTCCAGCAAATATAAAGCAGGCAGACAACATGAAAAAGAGAGACAAGCCTAGTCTTCCAGCTTACATCTTTCTCCCGTGCTGGATGGTTCCTGCCCTCAAACATCGGACTTCAAATTTTTCAGTTTTGGGACTGGACTGGCTGTCCTTGTTCCTCAGCTTGCAGACAGCCTATTATGGGACCTTGTGATAGTGTATTATATATCCTATTAGTTCTGTCCATCTAAGAGAATCCTGACTAATACATCACCAAAATCTCATCTTGAATTTTAATCCCCATAATCCTCATGTGTCAAGGGTGGCACCTCATGGGAGGTGATTGGATCATGGGGGTGGTTTCCCCCATGCTGTTCTCGTGAGTTCTCATGAGATCTGAAGGTTTGAACTCACACACTCTTTCTTGCCTGCTGCATGTAAGACATACCTTCTCCCCTTCACCATGATTGTAAGTTTCCTGAGGCCTCCCCAGCCATGTGGAACTGCGAGTCAATTAAACCTCTTTTCTCTGTAGATTACCCAGTCTTGGGTATGTCTTTACAGCAGTATGAAAATGAACTAATACACAACCCTTTGAAGACAAAATTAGTTATGCATTTCCATATCCACAAAGGTTAGCCCAGGACCTACTCACTGATGTTTGATAAACCCTTGCCAAATCACTGAATTATTTAATGATAAAATATTGCCACAATGGTCCAAATGAACAAATACAATCATTAGGTGAATAGTCTAAAATGTATTTGCCTTTTCTTCCTTCTTATGGATCTTTAACACACTTCCGTAAACCACTGTTGCACATCCTTTTCTGCATCTGCCCTTGTGTGTGTGGTTGCTACTCTCTTCACATTAGTGAGGCTCTTTAAATTCCTGAGACCAGCCAGACACTTAGAAAGAGAGATTCTGTCTATCTCCAATGTCCTAATTTGAGTAGGACTCAGAATGGCCAACTTATAAGAAGATTTTACAAGCCATGATATTACTGTATTTTCCAGTGTTTTCCAAATTCTACTTACCCTCATCTCCCAATAATCCACATTCGTTTAACTGGGAAACCAAAAAGAGAAGCTCTTGTTTACCTTATTTGTTTCTCTTACATAGCAAGTTCTCAGACACTACTCTTAAACATGTAAGTTTAGAATTAAAATTTCACAGATGCCAATGTTTTTAAAATGTAATTTTCAGAGGCTATGAGCGCCTGAGAGAGAAAATATTATACAAAAGATAATGAAAATAATAAAACAATTCTGAAGCTATTATATGAGACAGAACACCACCATCTAGAAAGCAAAGTTATTACCAGCAAAAGAAGACTTGTGAGGTAGTCTCTGCTCTACTCTTGGCCTCAGCAGCATCTGGAACAGGAATTCTAGGTCCCTATGCCTGTGCTGTCCAATATGGTAACAGCCACTGTGGCTGTTGTGTACTTGAAATGTGGCTGCTCTGAGTTAAGATGTCTATGAGTGTAAAATGCAGATCACATTTTGAAGATTTGGTTTAATTTAAAACATGTAAATTTCTCTTACCGATTTTTAAAACGGATTACACATTAAATGATTACATTACAAATGTATGGGTTTCAGTGAAATATATTATCCATTGTTGCTTTATTTCTCTGCTCTCTTTTATAACAAAAGGTCTTAAAAGCATTGCTAATTGCCACTGTCCCCATTTATTCACCTTACATTCTCTCCTCTATAACCTCCAATCAGCACCAATACCTCAATTAGCAAGGTTTCAAATCACCTTTACATTGCAAACTTCTGTGGCTATGACTTTACTTTTAATGAATTTGATCTCATAGCATTATTTGACACAGTTGATGACTCCATCCTTCCTGAAATTGTCTCCTTTATTGGCTTGACTGAAACTCCATGCTTCTGGTTTTTCCCTTTACCTCCCTGAAGCAACCCTTTGCTGATTCCTTTCCCCCTCTGTGACCGTAAACTCATTCTTGGACATTCACCTTTCATCAACATTTACTCTCCCGTTTACCCAGTCTTTTTCCTTAAACCCCATTGGCATAGGAGGAATCTAAAATGTTTCCTTAAGTCCTAAGTTATTTCCAAAATTCATATATACAACTACTGTTTGGTATCTCTATCTGGTTTTCTGATAAGCACCTCAAAATTAACTCAATTCTCTCTTGATTCTCCCTTGGTTTCTCCCTTTCAGTACACCTGCCAGTCTTCTCAGTCTTAGTTGATGGCAGCACCATCTGCCCCATTGCTTAGGCCCAACATCTAGGATCTATCCTGTCTTCTGTAATATCCAATTCATCAGTGTATCAGGTTGACTCTTTTTCTAAAGCATATTTCAAACCTGATTATTTCTCTCAATATTCTCTGGCTGCTTCCTGGTCCAAACCACCATTTTCTCTCACATGAACTGTTGTAATAATCTACAAAATAGTTTTCCTGCTTTTACTCATACCCCACTACATAACCCATTCTCCATATTGTGAGCAGAGCCATTGTATTGTCTGTTTTCATAAAGACATACCTGAGACTAGGCAATTTACAAAAGAAAGAGGTTTAATTGGACTTACAGTTCCATGTGGCTGGGGAAGCCTCACAATCATGGTGGAAGGTAAGCAAGAGCAAGTCACATCTTACGTGGATGGCAGTAAGCAAAGAGAGAGCTTGTGCAGGAAAATTCCCCCTTATAATAACCATCAGATCTCGTGAGGCTTACTGTCATGAGAACAGCATGGGAAAGACCTACCCCCGTGATTCAACTACCTCCCAGCGGGTCCCTCCCACAACACATGAGAATTCCAGATGGGGGACGCAGTGGGGACACAGCCAAACCATATCAGTCCGCCCCCAGCCCCTCCCAAATTTCAAGTCTTCACATTTCAAAACCAATCTTGCCTTCCCAACAGTCCCCCAAAGTTTTAACTCATTTCAGCATTAACTCAAAAGTCCACAGTTCAAAGTCTCATCCAAGACAAGGCAAGTCCCTTCTGCCTATGAGCCTGTAAAATCAAAAGCATGTTAGTTACTTACTAGATATAGGTATTGTACAGGCATTGGGTAAATACAGCCATTCCAAATGGGAGACATTGGACAAAGCAAAGGGGCTACAGGCCCCATGCAAGTCCAAAATCCAGCAGAGCAGTAAAATCTTAAAGCTCTAAAATGATCTCCTTTGACTCCAGGTGTCATATCCAGGTCACACTGATGCAAGAGGTGGGTTCCTATGGTCTTGGGCAGCTCTGTACCTGTGGCTTTGCTGGGTACAGCCTCCCTCCTGGCTGCTTTCACTGGCTTACACTGAGTGTCTGCGGCTTTTCCAGGTGCATGGTGCAAGCTGTCAGTGGATCTACCATCCTGGGGTCTGGAGGACAATAGCCATCTTCTCACAGCTCTACTAGGCAGTGCCCTAGAAGGGACTCTGTGTGGGGGCTCCAACCCAACATTTCCCTTCTGCACTGTCCTAGCAGAGGTTCCCCACGAAAGCCCCACCCCCACAGCAAACTTTTGCCTAGACATCCAGGTGTTTCTGTACATCTTCTGAAGTCTAGGTGGAGGTTCCCAAACCTCAATTCTTGACTTCTGTGCACCGGCAGGCTCAACACCATGTGGAAGCTGCCAATGCTTGGGGCTTCCACCCTCTGAAGCAACAGCCTGAACTGTACCTTAGCCTCTTTTAGTCAGGTTGGAATGGCTGGGACGCAGGGCACAAAGTCCCTAGACTACACACAGCACAAAGACTCTAGGCCTAGCCCACAATACCATTTTCTCCTAGGCCTCTGGGCCTGTGATGGGAGGGGCCACTGTGAAGACCTCTCATATGCCCTGGAGACATTTTCCCCAGTGTCTTGGGGATTAACATTCAGCTCCTCGTTACTTACGCAAATTTCTGCACCTGGCTTCAATTTCTCCTCAGAAAATTGATTTTTCTTTTCAATCACATTGTCAGGCTGCAAATTTTCTGAACTTTTATGCTCTGCTTCCCATATAAAACTGAATGCCTTTAACAGCACCCAAGTCACATCTTGAATGCTTTGCTGCTTAGAAGTTTCTTCTGCCAGATACCCTACATCATCACTCTCAAGTTCAAAGTTCCACAAATCTCTAGGGCAGAAGCAAAATTCTACCAGTATCTTTGCTAAAACATAACTAGAGTCACCTTTGCTCCAGTTCCCAACAATTTCCTCATCTCCATCTGAGAACACCTCAGCCTGGACTTTATTGTCCATATCACTATCAGGCTTTTGGTCCAAGCCATTCAATGAATCTCTAGGAAGTTCCAAACTTTCCCCCATTTTCCTGTCTTTTGAGATCTCCAAACTGTTTCAACCTCTGCCTGTTAGTTCCAAAGTCGCTTCCACATTTTTGGGTATCTTTTCAGCAATGCCTCACTCACTGGTGCCAATTTCCTGTATTGGTCCATTTTCACGCTGCTGATAAAGACATGCCCGAGACTGGGCAATTTACAAAAGAAAGAGTTTTAATTAGACTTATAGTTCCACGTGGCTGGGGAAGCCTCACAATCAAGGTGGAAGGCAAGGAGGAGCAAGTCACATCTTAGGTGGATGGCGGCAAGCAAAGAGAGAGCTTGTGCAGGAAAACTTCCCCTTACAATAACCATCAGCTCTCATGAGACTTACTTACTATCATGAGAATAGCACAGAAAAGACCTGCCCCCATAATTCAATTACCTCCCACAACACGTAGGAATTCAAGATGAGATTTGGGTGGGGATACAGCCACACCATGTCAGCCATACATTAAATTATAAGTCAGATTATGCCATATCTCTGCTTTAAGGTTTTTAACCTTAAAAGTTTCCCATCTCATTAGGATAAGTACAAACTCCTTACTCTTATTAGTCCTGCTTACTTATTCAATATATAGAACTATTTTCCAACTTTTAAATTATTCTCCAGACAAGCTTTCCTTTCTACAATCCCTTAAACACACCAAGAATGTTCTTCCTGGCTGTATCCACTACTTACATTGGTCTTCCCTGTTCTCTTCATAGTTGGCTCCTTGTTGTCATTTAAATCTCAGCTTAAATATTATCTCACCAGAGACATCTTCCTGACCAGCCTAATCTAAAGTCCTGCACAAGCACTCTTTAAAACAGCACCATATTTTAATTTTCTACTTGTCCCTAGTCATTACCATAAAGTATTTTCCTTGCTTATTTTTCCTTTAATTGTTGGATTTTCTTTGATATAAAGCAGAACCTTGTTGGCCTTATTCATCATTATATTCCCAGTGGCTCAAAAAGTACATATACTAGAGACTTAACTATTTGTTTATTGAATGCTTAATCACATCATCTTATTGACTAGCACAGGGCTGAAAAACTTCAAAATTTGTGGGAGAAGTTATCAGGTTTCAAATAAACTTAATATAATGTTTTCAAGACTATTTTCCTTAGCAGCCACTCCTTGGTCCTGACTACCTGTTTTCATTCTAAACCAATGTTGTTCCAAAGAACTTTCTGTGATGTCCAATACAGTAGCTACTAACCATATATGGCTAATGAGCACTTCAAATGTGGCCAGTGCAAATGTGGAAGTAAATATTTAATTTTATTCCATTTTAATTACTGTTCACCCTTGAACAACACAGGTTTTAAAATGCAGGTCTACTTATACGTAGATTTCCATCTGTCACCTCTGAGACAGTAAGACCCACCCTTCTGTTTTTTTTTTTTTCCTCCTGTTTAGCCTACTCAATGTGAAGATGATGGGAATGAAGACCTTTATGATGATCCACTTTCACTTAATAAATAGCAGATATGCTTTCTCTTTCTCATGATTTTCTTTTTTCTGTTTTTTTTTTTTTTTTTTTTTTTTTTTTTCCTTGAGACAGAATCTTGCTCTGTCACCCAGGCTAGAGTGCAGTAGTGCAATCTCAGCTCACTGTAACCTCCACTTCCCAGGTTCAAGCGGTTCTCATGACTCAGCCACCCAAGTAGCTGGGATTACAGGCATGCACCACCATGCTCAGTTAATTTTTGTATTTTTAGTAGAGATGGGGTTTCACCACATTGGCCAGGCTGGTCTCAAACTCCTGGCCCCAAGTGATCTGCCCTCCTTCGCCTCCCAAAGTGCTGAGATTACAGGCATGAGCCACCACACCCGGCCTCCTTCTCATAATTTTCTTACTAACATTTTCCCTTCCCTTGCTTACTTTATTGTAATATAATATATATAATATGTATGTGATAGATATAACATACAAAGTATGTGTTGGTAAACTTTCTGATCAACAGTAGGCTATTCGTAGTTAAGCTTTGGGGTAGACAAAAGTTATACCTAAATTTCTAACTGTACAAAGTGAAGCAGAAGTGCCCTTAATACCCCCACACACACTTTGTTCAAGAATCAACTATAATTTAAAATTAAGTAGCCTCATGTAGCTAGTGACCACCATATTAGATAAAGCAGCTCTAGTGTGAATGTTCTTTTAAGGCAGTCTCTATGTCTCAGTTCATCCAATGTTCTGAGTACCCAGCAAGTTTCTGATGCAGCGCAGGTACTCATAAAGGCTGATTGTAATACTTGAGTTAAAGGTAGCACTGAATGATGGGACAATGGGAATTATTGTCTCTGTGTCTTGGTCTGCTCAGAATGCTATAACAAAATTCTTAGGATTCACCCAATCCTAAGGGTGGGACAATCCTGAGGGTGGGAAGTCTAAGATCAAGCAGCCAGCAGATTCAGTGTCATGTGAGGGCTCACATTCTGTTTCAAAATGGCTTCTTCTTTTTTTTCTTTTTTTTTTTTTTTTTTGAGACAGAGTCTTGCTCTATTGCCAAGCTTGAGTGCAGTGGGGCGATCTTGGCTCACTACAACCTCTGCCTCTGGGTTCAAGCAATTCTCCTACCTCAGCCTCCTGAGTAGCTGGGACTACAGGTGCATGCCACCATGCCCAGCTAATTTTTGTATTTTTAGTAGAGACAGGATTTCACCATGTTGGCCAGGATGGTCTTGATCTCTTAACCTCGTGATCTGCCAAAAATGGCTTCTTTTTGCTGCATCCTCACATGGAGGAAAGAACACATTCTTTCTGGCTTCTTTTATAAGGTCACTCATCTAACTTATAGGGACATAGTCTTCCTGATCTAAGCATCTCCAAAAAGCCCCACCTCTTAATACTATCACCTTGGCAGTTACATTTCAACATATGACTTTTAGGGTGACACAAACATTCAGACTATAGAACTCTATGGCGGAGACAGCCACCACATTGTGCCTTCCCTTCAGTGCAGAAATGGAAATAGTACAAATCTTAGGGTTAGGTGACCGAGATTCAAGATACCTACCTACTGTTTACTGGTTGTGTGATTTCAGGTAACCACAGAGCCACCTCTGGGCTTCTGTTTCCTCACCTGGAAAATGATGACATAAAATAATTCAGCCCCTAATTCACTGAATTTTTAATAGGAATCAATTGAGACCAAGAATAGGAAAATCAAGCTGTAAATTATGAAGTGGCCTTTAAGTATATGGTTTGATTATTAATCCTACAGATTGTTCCTGTTGGCAGATAAATATTAGGTGTTAGTTATCAAACATCACATCACCTAGACAGCCCTGGCCTTAGAAATGTTGGCATCTGCTCGTTTCACTGTATGATGGAAAAAAAGAATAAATAAATCATAAATGATTAATTTAGACTTCCCTCCACGTCTCCCGTTAACAGCTCAAAGCCCCCACCACACAGCAGGCTTAGTGATGAACTGGTGTGGTAGAACCTTCAAGACGGCAGCTAACCCTTCTCCAAGTACAACCAGCTGTGAAAACAAATTTAACTCCACCAACACTGCAAAGGAGCAAAGCTTTTTCATAGGTTAGAGATATAATGTTCACCTCATTCAGAGGGATCCAAACCAAATACCAATGACTTCTGGGGGTAAGGCTATTAAGCATAATAGATAGATTATCTACTAGTTTACTAAATGTGAAGGAAGAAACATTTGTCATAGTTTTGCTAGAAAATGAGACTTTATCAAAGGGAGAGAGGGTGAAAGGTTACCAGTTCTATTGGTGCGATTATTATCTTTACATAGCTGGAGTGGCAAAAGAAATGATCCCAAACAGAGTAAAACAAAACAGACCGCACCGAAGCACTTCAAGATGAGCCCCAAGAAGCCATCATACCAGACCCATTGGCTTCATCTTAATTTATCATCTTGGCCCTTGTTGACAAGAGTTTGATTGGGTTATCCATCTATTTAAGCTGCAGCAAGTTTTATCACAGCAAACCACATGACAGATGTTGAAGATGGTTATTTCTTGGAAATTAATTGTTTAATAACAATAATACTATTGTTTTTGAGCACCAGCAACATCCCTGAAACTTTGCATTCTATTTATCTCCATTAAAAATCCACAAAGTAAGCATTACTATTTTCACTTTACAAATGAAGCAATTTGGGTTTAATCAAATTAGACCATTATAGCTGGCTTTAGGGATATTTCTGTTTTTAGTGTTAATATCGCTATCAGAGGAGGCTGCTTATAGAAACACCTTTCTTGGTTCCTCAATACATGCATACATAAGAAACTTAATAGTCAATGCCTATTTGTTATTTCTGTCAACATCTTTGCCCATATCTCCCTATGGCTTCTTACCTTGGAAAGGCAGATCTCAAGAAACTCTTATTCTGTGGAAGTTAGGTTTCTTTAATGCTACCTTTACTACCCTTGTCAGAGGTCACAAATGCCTCAAAAAAGCTGGAGTTACTCATGTTAGATAAAGCAATTTCTCCAGCCTTACTTTTCTCTTCTGTTCTGAGGATGCCACTCTCACCTGGTTACCTCACAGATGCCCCTGGCACCTAGATTAAGCCCTGGCATTCAACAAGAGCCTTGGATGGTCTGTCTGGGTTTTGTTTTAGCTTCCTCCAGAAACATAGTCTCTTGGTGTTTCCCATTTATATCAATAAGAAAATAAGGCTCTTTCACACACTATTTTCAGAGCCAGGAGCAAGCCCGGGACTTCCAGTTCCCATGACAGTTTTCATTACAGGGACATACCTTGTATTTCTTTTTTTTTTTTTTTTTTTTTTTTTTTTCCTGAGACAGAGTCTTGCTCTATCACCCAGGCTGGAGTGCAGTGGTGCAATCTCGGCTCACTGCAGATACCTTGTATTTTAATGAAAATAAATATGATTTAATAAACATGAATGTTGTCAAATTAACTGAAGGAATGTTGCAAAATAATTGAATTATTTTAAAAAATCATTGCAGCTGACATTTATTAGTTTTCTATATATACTAAGCCTTCACACATATAACTATGTGTAATTTTTTTTTTTTTTTTTTTGAGACAGAGTCTCGCACTGTCGCCCGGGCTGGAGTGCAATGGCACAATCTCAGCTCACTGCAACCTCTGCCTCCCAGGTTCATGCAATTCTCCTGATTCAGCCTCCCAAGTAGCTGGGATTACAGGTGCACACCACCACACTTGGCTAATTTTTGTACTTATAATAGAGACAGGGTTTCACTATGTTGGCCAGACTGGTCTTGAACTCTTGACCTCATGATCTGCCTGCCTCTGCCTCCCAAAGTGCTGGGATTACAGATGTGAGTCACCACACACAGACGAGAAATTTATCTCTCATAGTTATGGAGGCTAAGAATTTAGAGATCAAGGCACTTACAGGTTCACAGATTGTGGAAGGAATCAACAAGCCTTCTAGGGCCTCTTTTATAAGGGTACTACTCTCATTCATGAGGGCTTTCCTTTCCTGACCTAACCACCTCCCCAAAAGCCCCATCTCCTAATTCCATCACCTTGTAGGTCAGAATTTCTTTCAACATATAAATTTTGGGATAACACAAACACCCAGACCAGAGCATGATTATTTTCATTTAACAAGAGAGACAACTGAGGCACAGAGAGCTTATGACATTCATCCAGGACCATACAGAGGAAGGTAATACACCAAACTCTATCTCCAAACCTGTATTCTTATGTAACCTACAGTGGGGAGGATGTTACAAAGTATATGGACATTGAAGCCAGAGCCTTGATTCAGATCCATTCTCTACCATTTCCCATGTGCCAATCTTTCTACCCTAAGCAAGTTACTCAACATCTTTGTACAGGCATTTTGAATGTGAGCTCT
Organism: Homo sapiens; assembly: GCF_000001405.40. Taxonomy (NCBI): domain Eukaryota; kingdom Metazoa; phylum Chordata; class Mammalia; order Primates; family Hominidae; genus Homo; species Homo sapiens. The sequence continues at coordinate 12,838,906 of NC_000004.12, forward strand.
CAGCCCACCTACCTGAGCTGGAATTTCTGTTCCACCACTTCTAGCTATGAAGCCTTGGACAATCCAGTAACCATCTGAGCCTTGGTTTCCTTATCTATGAAGCAAGGATAATAATAGTATCTATTCCCATAGACAATTAAATGTCCTGAGGCAAGTAAAGTGTTTTTTACAGTGCCTGGCCCACAAGAAACAGTTAAGTGTTAGCTAATCCTGTCATTATAATCATTATAATTGAGAATCAACTTCCTGATCTGTTACACTGGGATAATTAATCATCTTCATCGGAGTGTGGTGGGAATGAATCAAGAAATGCAATCAAAATCTTTAAACAACACACACTATTATTCTTTGGCTTTGCTAGATGCTTTGGAGAAGTATACATGTAAAAATGTACTGAACCTCAGAAGCAACTTTCACAGGCAACTTTCAGAGAGAAATTAGATGTGGACATTCATTGTTCCAGGGCCCAGTAGCTGAATCTGCTCTTCCTTTTCTCTCTGTGTGTCATTTAACAATTTAGCTAATCCATGGACTCTTCACACAGGACAAAAAACAAGGACAATTTATGAGATTTGGGAAGACAGGAAGAGTGGTAAAATTAGTAGTGACATGGGTCAGGCAGCCCTGACTTTAAATCCTGTGTCCTACACTTGTCAATGGGCTAAACTTGGGCAGGTCACCTGTACCCTGTATCTGTAAAATGAGGGTAAAAGCACCAATCTCATGGGCTTGTGTCTCATCTTAAATAAAACATATGTAAAGCATGAAGGAGAGTCATTTCCACCCTCCTCACTTGACAAAGCTCTCGTGGCCAAGGTCAAATCTATATTTTCCATGAGTAGTTAGAGTCACAGGGCTGAACTTTTCCATTCAGCAAAGAGAAGAAAATACTCATTTCTGATTAAGTATACTTAAATTGTATATATTATTAATTTTATTTGAGTTCTGTACTTACATTAAACACTGATTTCACTAGGTAGGGTACAAATTTAAGTATTCAGTGTAAATAAAGTTTAAGTACATTAGTACAGATTTAGTTTAAGTAAACTGATCCAATTTGAGTAGAATAACATGCAAGCTGAAAGGCACTGATGAGCTCTGCTAGTAGACAGGAATAGCTAAAGATGTGGGTGGTCAGAGAAGAGAGAGCATTCACTTAATTTTTGAATTATTCCCTGATTGTTTCTTCATGATCTTCCATCTCCACCTTTACACCCATCACCAGGCATCAACAGGCTCTCAAGCTCTTCCAAAAATTTTGAAGAAAAATATGTAATAAAGAACTCATGGTCCAGGCAAGTCCTGAATATCCTTGTTAATTTTCTGTTTCGTGGATGTGTCTAATATTGACAGTGGAGTGTTAACGTCTCCCACTATTATTGTGTGGGAGTCTAAGTCTCTTTGTAGGCCTCTAAGAACTTGCTTTATGAATCTGGGTGCTCCTATATTGGGTGCATATATATTTAGGATAGTTAGCTCTTCTTGTTGCATTGATCCCTTTACCATTATGTAATGTCTTTTTTTATCTTTGTTGGTTTAAAGTCTGTTTTATCAGAGACTAGGATCGCAACCTCTGCTTCCTTTGCTTTCTATTTGCTTGGTAAATATTCCTCTATCCCTTTATTTTGAGCCTACATGTGTCTTTGCATGTGAGATGAGTCTCCTGAATACAACACACTGATGCACTGATCATTAGAGAAATGCAAATCAAAATCACAATGAGATACCATCTCATGCCAGTTAGAATGGCGATCATTAAAAAGTCAGGAAACAACAGATGCTGGGGAGGATGTGGACAAATAGGAATGCTTTTACACTACTGGTGGGAGTGTAAATTAGTTCAACCATTGTGGAAGACAGTGTGGAGATTCCTCAAGGATCTAGAACCAGAAATACCATTTGACCCAGCAATCCCATTACTGGGTATATACCCAAAGGATTATAAATCATTCTACTATAAAGACACATGCACACATATGTTTATTGCAGCACTGTTCACAATAGCAAAGACATGGAACCAACCCAAATGCCCATCAGTGATAGACTGGATAAAGAAAATGTGGCACATATACACCATGGAACACTATGCAGCCATAAAAAAGGATGAGTTCATGTCCTTTGCAGGGACATGAATGAAACTGGAAACCATCATTCTCAGCAAACTAACACAGGAACAGAAAACCAAACACTGCATGTTCTCACTCATAAGTGGGAGTTGAACAATGAGAACACATGGACACAGGGAGGGGAGCATCATACACTGGGGCCTGTCGGGGGGTGGGTGAGGGGTAGGGGAGGGATAGCATTAGGAGAAATACCTAATGTAGATGACGAGTTGATGGGTGCAGCAAACCACCATGGCACGTGTATACCTATGTAACAAACCTGAATGTTCTGCACATGTATCCCAGAACTTAAGTATAATAAAATAATTAAATAAATAAACAACCCCCCCCCCCAAAAAAAAGGAACTCATGCATGTCATTCATTCTAAGAACATTTAAGGAATACCTGCTCTATTCCAGGCTGCTCTGTATTAGCTGCTCATGACACAGGCCCAGTCCCCGCAAGGCACTCACAGTGATCGAATAAATGAGCAATTTTTCTTGGACTTAAAAAGTAAGAAAAGATTCCTAAGACATGGATCCTTCCCTCAAGGAATTGTTTTGAGTCTAATAGAGGAAGAAAGAGTTTGGGCACAAATAAAGCCAATTATCAAAGTGCCTGAAGTTTGGAGGAAAATGGTGGATTTAGGAAGGGGATGGTGTGGCAGTGCAGAGCACCACATTGCAGGCAGGAAGAACAAGCAGAGTGAAGGTATAGAAGAGCAGAAAGCTCTCAGCATACAAAAGACACATGGAGTAGAGCTTCCTGAAGCAGCTTCCCAGGTTCAGAAAACAGACACCAGGACACTCGACTTCTACTTTTGCTCCAGTTTGCCTGTGATTTTTCCATGTAAAAAGTCTATTTTTGGCTGGGCATGATGGTTCATGCCTGTAATCCCAGCACTTTGGGAGGCCGAGGTGGGCAGATCACCAGAGGTCAGGAGTTCGAGATCGGCCTGGCTAACATGGTGAAACCCTGTCTCTACTAAAAAGACAAAAATTAGCCAGGCGTGGTTGGGGTGTGGGGTCTGTAATCCCAGCTACTCCAGAAGCTGAGGCAGAAGAATCACTTGAATCTGGGAGGCAGAAGTTGCAATGAGGCAAGATCACGCCACTGCACTTTAGCCTGGGCAACAGAATAAGACTCCATTTCAAAAAATAAAAATAAAATAAAAGTCTATTTTGTACACCACTTTAAAGAGGGCATAGGGTCTGGGCATAGTGGATCATGCCTGTAATCTCAGCACTTTGGGAGGCTGAGGAGGGTGGATAGCTTGAGCCCAGGAGTTTGAGGCCAGCCTGGGTAACATGCCAAAACTCCATCTCTATAAAAAAAATACAAAAATTAGCTGGGTGTAATGGCACACAGCTGTAATCCCAGCTACTCGGGAGGCAGAGGCAGGAGGATCACCTAAGCTCATGAAGGTAGAAACTACAATGAGCCATGATTGTGCTACTGCACTCAAACCTGGGTGACAGAGTGAGACCCTGTCTCGGGGGGGGGGAAAAAGAGGGTATAGGAAGCTGTAAAAGACACCAACAACCTGGAATATCATGGAGAAGCTTCTTGCCTGGCCTTGGCAGCCCAGATATCCCACCGCATGTAACTGGACCATGTGAACTCAACAATTAGCACCTCCCTTTCCTTATCCATAACATGAGCACATAGAACAATATTCCAGACCCTTCTAGCTCTAATATTGGTGGTTCTATAAGTTCTCCAATAGAAGCTGGCCAGAGAGAGATGTCTTTCTTCGTGGCTTTTCCCCTTTCTCCTTAGATTCTCACATGCCCTGGTTTCTGGACAGCTGATCATACATATTATTTTGCCCTGCAACACAAACTAATGAATTTTGTTTCCAAATTTTATATGATAACTAGGAATTCTTGTGTAGAGAAAAATGCATGTGTCAATGGAAAACTATGCATTGCCTACATAGCTTACCCTCCAAATTATCTGATTCTAGCCTTTTCTTGTCTTCAAACTCTTTTACAACTCTGTAAATTGTAGGTAATTTATAGCAATGTGAATTAATTCTTATCTATAAACATGCAAATTCAACCCTATCTTTAGAGGTTGTCTTTGTCTATTCTTGCTGCTATAACAAAATACTATAAACTAGGGAGTTTATAAATAGCAGAACTTTATTTCTGACAGTTCTGGAGACTGGGAAGTCCAAGACCATGGCACTGTCAGGTTTAGAGTCTGGTGAGGGATCATTTCCTGGTTCATGGATGACTGTGTCTTCACATAGTGGGAAGGGCAAATGATCTCCCAGGTGCCTATTTTATAAAAGCACTAATCCCACTCATGAGGGCTTCATCCTCGTGACCTAACTACCTCCTAAAGGCCACACCTCCTAATACCATTACCTTGGGGATTAGGATTTCAACACATAAATTTTGAGGGAATACAAACATTCAGACCATAGCCAGAGGTCTAATGAATTTCCCTCACCCACTTCTGAAAAAAAGTTTTACCTCCGTTTGCACATTCACTCCAATATTACTAATCTACAAATATTCCTGTTCTTCAGATTATTTTCTATATTTAGGACAAGCTCTTAGGTAAATCTCTAGCCCTGTGATCCTCAGAGTTAGAGATTTTCTTATCATAAAAGTGGAAGCTCAGGTAAAGGTGGTAAAAGCAGGTCTTGGTGGTTTGTAAAAGCCCTTTCAGCTGTTGCAGCTGATGCTTAACTCACCACGGGAGGTTCAGAAAGTGCTTTCTAACTAAAATTAAATGAACTCCAATATGTCTTCTTTTTTTATTTTGTAAAAGTAGGTGTATTCGTTTTCTAGGGCTGTCATTACAAAGCACCACTGACAGGGTGGCTGAAGTGACACAAATATATTTCTTCATAGTTCTAAAGTCTAGAAGTCTAAGATCAAGGCGACAGAGGGTAGGTTCCTTCTGAGGGCCATGAAGGAAGCACTGGTTCTATGCCTTTCTCTGAGACCTGTGGGTGGCCATCTTCTCCCCGCATCTTCACATGGCCTTCCCTCTATGTTTGACTCTTTGTTCAAAGTTTGACTTCTTAAAAGGACACCAGTCCTACTCTATCAAGACCAGCCCGAATTACCCAATTTTAATTTAATTATTTCCTTAAAAACCCTATCTTTAAACACAGTCTTATTCTGAGGTACTAGGGGTTAGAACTTCAGCGTATGAACTTTGGAAGACACAGTCCAGCCCAGTAGAACTAAACAAAAATGACTAGGTAACTTTTACATGTTCTTTGAGACTATACAAACCACAGAATCGGAAAACATACATTCACTTTACCAAATTGTCTGAGAGGAGAGGCACATGGGCTGGTATGCTGTGATGATTCATGGTCCAACACTCCTTAAACTGTAACAAGGCCCTGACTGCATTCTCCTATCCTACATAATGTGCCAGTTTTACTATGCCATAAGGAGCTCCCTGAATGTAACAGTTCCCTGACAAGAATTGTCAGATTTAGCAAGTCAAAATACAGGCCACCCAGTTACATTTGGATTTCAGATAAACAACATTTTTATAAAGATAAGTATGCCTCCTCTAATATTTGAGACACGCTTCTGCTAAAATATTATTTGTTGTTAATCTAAAATTCAAATGTAACTGGGTACTCTCTGCTTTATCTGTCAATCCTACTCCAATCCCTCATGGATATACACATGCTATGTTTAAAATTCTCACTTGTCACCTTTCTGCACTTTATATAGTTAAATCCCCATCACCCCTAGACACTGACTGTTTGTACACTTCTTAATTCATATGTTGAAGTGTTGACTCCCAGTGCAGCTGTTTGGAGGCAGGTTCCTCTATGGAAGTAAGTAAGATGAAATGAGTCCATAGAGGAGAACCCTAGGCCGGGCGCGGTGGCTCACGCCTGTAATCCCAGCACTTTGGGAGGCCGAGGCAGGCAGATCACGAGGTCAGGAGATTGAGACCATTCTGGCTAACACAGTGAAACCCCGTCTCTACTAAAAATACAAAAAAATTAGCCGGGCGTGGTGGCGGGCGCCTGTAGTCCCAGCTACTCGGGAGGCTGAGGCAGGAGAATGGCGTGAACCCGGGAGGTGGAGCTTGCAGTGAGCCGAGATCGCGCCACTGCATTCCAGCCTGGGTGACAGAGCGAGACACCGTCTCAAAAAAAAAAAAAGAAAAAAAAAAAGAGGAGGACCCTAATACAGTAAGATTACTGTCTTTATAAGAAGAGACACCAGAGGGCGTGTTCTCTCTCCCTCCCCACCACCATGGAACACATGCACAAAGAAAAGGTTACATGAGCACACAGTGAGGCGGCAGCTGCCTACAAGCCAAGAGAAGAGGCCTCAGGAAGTAATCTACCTTGCTGCCACCTTGATCTTGAACTTCCCAGCCTCTAAACTGAGAGAAATACATTTCTGTTGTGCAAGCCACTCTATCTATGGTATTCTCTTATAGCTGCTGGACCAGTCTAACACATCCCTTAAAGCAGCACACCAGGGACTAGTACACAGAGTACAATATATAGTCAGGTGTTCAATATTTATTGAATGAATGACAAGTCTAGTCATTTTGGATCCTGCGAAGTGAAACAGGTACCCACCTTCTGTTCTATGAATGAATATGTCTTAACCTGTCTCTGCTGGAATCTGTCTTAACACATCATCCCATATTGTCAATGCCTGCTCATTTGTCTGCCTACTACCAGGGGCCTTGGAAAGCAGGGACTGTATGTCATTTATTCATTGTCATGCATCTAACATTAAGCAAATTCCCTCCTATGCTGTTTGCAATTTCCAATGAAACACACTCAAGAAAAAAAAGTGGACTTGTAATGTAATGTGATATTAATCAAAGCTCTTGGGACTTGGAACTTCGATAGTTCTCCTTCAAGTTCCCCAATTCAAATCTTCTCTCACCACCCAGTTTGGAGACAATCCACGTATCTGAGCACACATGTCCGGGCACTGCTGGGATGAGATCAAATGTTTCCTGTCAGAGCTGGGTCTCAACAGCCCTTGGAGGGCTCTCAGTGACCCCTAGAGCCGGTGTGAAAGTGGACCAGCAGCCAGATGGCTTCACGTTTCCACATTCCTTCAGCTTGTTTTCTTACTGTGGCAGATACCCAAGAGCATCCCAAATCCTCAAGAGAGATGGGATTTCAAGAAAATCTCTTTCTTTTGCAAAGCAAGAGATGTGAACTCTTGAGCCTGATGAAGAGAAATATGATTTAAAACACTGACTACAGGTTTTCAAGCTATCAGCAACAATATAAGAAAAGTACCCACACAGAGAGTGTTTTCTCCCCCCAACATTCAATTCCACCTGGGGGCAAATGAGCCACACATATCCACTGCCGAGGATTAAGACAGGTCAGGGATCACAGAGTTGTGGCCACGTAAACAGATTATCCTGTTTCCTGAGACATCCTTTATGCTGCAGCTGCCTCCTTGGAGGAAGATCGTGAATCACATTGTTCTTCTCTCTTCCATTTGATCCGACACCATGTAAACAAGCAATGTTGAATGAGAAAGAAAACATTTCAGGCAAATGTTGGAATTGCTTACCTTGTACAAACAATCTGCTTACTCAGTAACAAGGTCTTACATTAGAAAGGGGCAGTTTTGGCGGTGAGTATGTTTGGGTAAATGAATGAGAAACAATTATTTAACACCAATTATGTGACAAGTATTGTGGTTTACTCTTCCCACATGTGATCTCATTTCATCCAAACAGCCACCCTGAGGGGAAGTGATAATAAATGGTACTGCTTTTCACAAATTATAAATGAGAAAACATATATGAAACCATTTAGTAATGGGCAAAGTCAGCATTTAAACCCATGTCTCTCTAAATAGGTAATTTATTTAACAACTCAGTAAACACTTATTTGTAATTAAAAATGCAAATAACAACTATTGAATAAAAGAATGAATGAGTCATTTCATTTGATCTTATTTTATTTTTAAACTAATGAAGCTGAGAAACAAAGACGTTGAAGAATTTGCCTACTTCTACAAGTCTTATAAGTGTTGGAATTTTGACCTTTTCTCTCTCACAAGGCAATTGAAAATTTCAGAAAATATTATGATGATGGGATGTCAATAAGAAATTACAATGAGCCATCATTTGGGGTAAATTAGTCTTAAACAAACAAACAAAATGTTCCTTGACAAATTTATAAATGACTGTCCTAAGAAGTCATAGACCACTTTGAGGTTATCAGGCAGTTCATTGACACATAGGTAGAAAGTAGAGACCAAAATGCTGAAAAAGACACTGCCAAAAAAATAGCCACCAAAATGAGTGAAACATTTGTCTCAGATTACATAGTGGTGATAAAGCTGAGAAAATTGTAATAAAATGGCCTACCTTAAAGATTTGTAAGATCTTTCTTCAATGTGCTTCACGTAAAAGTTCTCTATGTAGGAAGATAGGTCAGATGCAAAGGTCCTGAGCTCCAGGGTAGGTCTGCATGTGTTTATATCTCAACTCTACCAAATACTAGGTGTGAACCTTAAGAAATTCCCTCATATCACTGGGCTCCAGAGAATGGGAATACTAATTATATCTACTTCATTTACTGTTATGAGGATTTAATGAGACAATCCATTCAAAGCATATAGAAAATGCCTGATGTATTTAAATAGAGAACATGCAATGACTAAACGAAAACATACCTTATTAAAATTGTTTATTTTACATCATAATATGAAATGGTCTCATTTCATTTTAAGACAATAAAATTGTGGGCAGACATCTTCTGATGTTAAAATTATGATTCTATCACCATATCTTTTTGAAAATCTGTTTTCCCTATTAATGATCTAAGAGTTACTTTGCCTAGAACACCATCACTAACCAAAGCAATCAGGAAGCTGAGGAATATCCAATCAAGTACACATCAGTTGTGGTGTTCCAAATCCACACTATGATATTTATAGAGGGAGATGCGCTGACACTATAAGCGATAAAGTAATGGTGTATTGTAGGGGAAAGCATTGAATTAAGAATCGCTGTTGAATTGGTCAATTCTTTGCTTAAGTCACATTGCCTTTCTGAGTCTTAGATTTCTTAGATATTTGAAACAGGGGCTTGGGCAAAATTATGTCTATGGTTCCTTCCATCTCTCAAATGGAAGTTATTACCATTTTAGTGTTGCCTTGGTAATACCATACAAGTATTAGTATCAATTATTATTATAAATAATTTGAGATCTTCTCCTTCCTGAATCACTGCTACAGTCATTAAACTCAATTACCTCATTATCTAAATTCACATGAATTATAACCCTAAAAGGGATGTATGTGTAAAAATGGCTTTAAAGAAACCAATGTGTCACCTCATGCATTTATAAAATAATCAAAAGTGCTGAGGCCATATGGTAAAAGGTCCAAGGTTCGCTAACTCCTTTCCCCAGTCTCTCCTTTTGACTTCCATTTCTATCCCACGTCTTGGGGTATTTATTTATCTTAAGTTTAGATGAGGCCCTGCAATCCCTGAAGGAGACATGGAAAGATTCAGTTCTGAAGAGGGACTTGGGAGAAAACCATATTTCATGCCCATTGGCATTTGGGAGGCTGTCGAACTGTCTGTTGGGAAGTTTCTTGCAGAGTAAAAACAGAGAGTTTGAGGGTGGCCAAGCATTTGACTTCCCATCTGACTTGGGTGCGTTGTTGAAGCTCTCAGCACCTCCAGCTCACCATCTGCAGGATAGATCATCAGAATGTAACAGACCATTTATTCTGATGACCTTGTTTTATTGATGTAGAAATTGAGGCCCTGAAAGTAAAGCAATGTTCCCAAGGTCACAGCATGAGTTAGAATTTCCAATCAGAGACCACATTCTCAGCCATCCCTTTCCCTCTTTTAAGTCAAGCATGAGTTGGTGACAAGAAAGAATTCTGATAATTGTGGGTAACAGTGCACAATTCAATTACTTTGTGGATTTTTAGCCACACAATGAATTTAGTTTGCTGCAGTGGCAAGATTATGGGCATAGGTTTCAAGCAGACCTTAGCTGAGTCCTTATTTTTTATTCAACAGCTGTGTATTTCTTTAGCCTATGGGCAACCTTCTGTTTCCTTCTTTGTAAAACAAGGATAGTAATATCTGCTTCCTGGAATTTTTACTACATTAAACTGTAATTTGATAGCATATCCTAAGGAGTGGAGCATAGTGCTAGACACAGTGAGGACTCTAAAAAATCCTTGTCTCCTCCTACAACCTCTTTGAGGCTGTGATAATCACATTTAGAGTTCAATCGTTATGCATTTTTCAAAGAACACCTGGAGATAATTCACACAATTCTGCCTTTTAGATATTTATTTTAGTCACACTGTAGAAAAATTGCCACTAAAACTGCTTTAGCAAGGAATGAAAAGTGAATCCTGAAAATAATAGTAAGAGAACACGGGCACACAACCACAAATACACATCACATGTACATATTTACTTCAATCTTCCTCTCCCAACATCCATCCACTCCAAAGAAAACCACTAAAAGAACAGGTAAATTATTTTTATTTTTAAAGGCATAAATCTGTAGGACAAAGTGGAGAGAATGGAGCAACAATTTTGAAAGCTGGAAAGCAGATGCCTGATCTGCAGTAACTAACTTAGCAGGCGCACAGAAACCGATCTTTTTGCTGGCAGTGAGGAAAGCTGAGAAACAAGTTGATTTACACCATCGAACCCATTAAAGGCTCAGAAATTTGTTGTATCATGTACTTCTGAGTACAGGAGAGAAGGTGGGGCAACATGCAAGAGATGCAGTTGAAACACTGTCAAAGTCTATCAGATCCCTAGATAGCTCCTCTTGTTCATATAGCATTCCCCTCACCTAGGTAGAAGGAGGGCTTATTCCTTAGGAAAGGTAAAACAAAGGGTCAGTTGATAGACGAATGATGGGCGTAGTTAGATATGAGAATGGGAGTGTCATCGTGAAAACATAGCAAACCAGTGAAAGTTTGCATACTGTTGAGATGTTGAGACCTGCTTGCCTTTTCTCCACGTGGAGCTTTTGGAGTGCTGGCAGCCAGATATGTCCTGGAGACTGAAAGAATCTTCTCTAGAGCACCGAGTTAGTCTAAGGGAAAACACCTGGCTTCACGGATTCCCCAATGTAAACCCCTAGCTAAGTCTATTTTGAAAAATTGAAAGGACAGACCCCTTTGACACACATGAAACTTCTCACCAAATATCAGAGCCCATCCTTAGAAACTGGTAATCACCCAACGTCATTTGATATTGAAAAAGAATATCTAATGTAAAAGTCAGAAACTAAATAGTAGGAGGAGGTAGGAAAAGGAGAAGGGAGAGGAGAAAGACAAAACACACAAACCCAGAGGGGAGAGAATTTACAAAGTACTGTCATTAGTATCTTTCAGATAATAAGAGAATATATTTAATCTACAAATAAGAACAGGAAGCTATGAAATAGGAACTCTCAAAGAGGATTAAAAAGAAATCCTAGAATTATGAGAAATAAAAAAAATATATAGAAATATGGAAGAAAAAGATAAAGAAAAGTCCAACAGAGGCTTTTGAAGATAAAATTCAGGAAACATTATATAAAAAGTTGAAGATAATGACAGAAATGAAAAATGAATTAAAGACAAGAGAAAAAAACATTATGACACATCCAAGAGGTTCAACATCCAAATATTTTGAATTCCAGTCAGGGAGAGTAGAAAACTGAGTGATAAAGATTTCATTAAAAAAAAAGTCAACACAGTTTCCCCAAATCTGAAGTACATGAATTTCTGTTTCAAAGGGCTTAGCACGCTGCATGGGAGCAAACCAATACCAAGACATGAAGAACTTTCAGAATATTGAAGAGAAAATAAGATACTTACATAAAAGATATATAATGAGAATCAAATAATATCGCACTTCTCACTGTCAACACATAAAGCTAAAAGGAAATGGGAAAATGCATTAAAAATTTCTAGGGAAACTGATGTGTCCCCTAAGCACAGATGATCTCTCAATTTCATATAAAAATGCAATAAAGGCTTGGCCTGATCCCAGCACTTTGGGAGGCCAAAGTGGGAGGATCACTTGGGCCAAGGAGTTTGAGACTAGCCTGAAAACATAGTGAGACCCTATGTCTACGAAAAAAAAACATTAAATAAACCAGGCATGGTGGTGTGCACCTGTGGTGGTCCCACCTACTCAGGAAGCTGAGGCAGGAGGATTCTTGAGCCCAGGAGAACAAGGCTGCAGTGAGCCATGTGCCAATGCACTACAGCCTGGACAACAGAGCAAGACCTTGTCTCAATTTTAAAAAAAAAGCCACAATAAAGATATTTTCAGAGAGAAAAGGTCTCACATTTTCCAATTATTTATCAGCAATCACCTGGCAGACTTGATTTTCTTTTTCTCTAAATGAGGAAATAAACCAGGAAATATGATCCAAAATCCAAAGAGGAGATCCAACAAAAGAGAGAGGCAAAATTGATTTCCACAGTGAAGGGAACTAATGGGGTTGCCTGTGCAGTTCCAGAGAGCCACGAGGCCAGGCAGACGCAGGCAAGAAGAAATTTCCTTAAGAAGATGACATTTTAAATTATCTAAGGTATTTGTCTAAAGTATTTTTGTATATTCAAAGGAGAATTAGACAGTTGGAAGAGAATTCAGAGTTGAATTAATCATTAAGCACATAGAAAATAAGCCAAATTGTTGACTTCATGGGTTATTTCCTACGCAGGAAAGTAAATATAATTACATTATATGGATCACATAAAATAGCATTTATACATTAATAATAAGGGCATAATCAGTATTTACCTAATCAAAATTGCTAGATAAATATATGGGGAAGATAAAGCAATAGAATTTATTAGAGAGAATGAGAAGTAAAGGGGAAAATGGTGGTAGTGGGTGGGTGGGTGAAAGAGAACAAAATCCCATCTTCTATTTTGGGAAGTCAGTACATAACACCTAAAACAAAATCTAGAAGTATAGTCATGTCATTTGAAAATACAGGGCAAATATCACAGAATTAGCTTGAAAAAGTTACAAGCAGCCGACACTAGGAAGAAGGTGGAGCAGACCTGCTGTTCTTACCGAGTCTTGTATTGGATCCTTTTTAACCATATGCATGTTTACTTTTGATAAAAATAAAAAGGAAATTAACTACTGTTTTCCAGGCTTCCTCTTTAAGATATCTGTCCAATCTCCAAACTATTAACTGGAATACTAGTTATCATTTTTGAATTGCCTCATTTTTTTTCTACTGGAACCGTGAACAATGATATCCATGCAATCAACTAAATTTGACGCACTGTTTCTGTTTCTTCTCGTGTACTTTAAATGTAAATTACCAATAGTACAATTAAGAAGTGCTTGTTGATGTATCACTCAGAATCTTACCTTACAGTTATCTACCTGTTGCCCCACACTAAAAGCATTTTTTTGAACAGAATCACTCCTGAAAGGTAAGTTATTGCTTTCAAATAACCACTAGAGGGAAATGTTGCTCTTTTTACTAAGTAGTCACAGTCCGCTAGGGAACAGTTTCCTCAAGCAATGAGTAGGAATTATAAAGCCATGGCTTGCGTCATTTTTCCCTTCCTGGAGTGTAGAATCCTGAAGCTTGAAGGGAGCTTGCAACCCATCTAGGTCAAGCTCCTCTGACCTCTCCCTTTCGGCACTAAAAGAAACCAAGACCCAGAGAGGAACAGCTTTTTTAAGTCATAGGATAAAGGAAGCAGAAAAACCAAGTGCTAAAGACAAAATTTCCTTATTTACCTAAGCTGGGCAAATCTGGAATGAAACAAGAGAGTAACTCAGAAGAGTTGGTTTTTAGTTCAAGATCATTAAGCAGGGATTCGATAGTAAGAATTAGCACTGGTTAAATGTTTGCTGTGTGCTGAGTATACCTGTTACCATGTGCTGGGACGACTTTAGATGTCTGCATTCTTTATTTTTATCCTGATCAGAGTTGTGTGTGGTAGAAAAAAATATTTTCTATCCCTTTTCTACAGATGAGAAAACTAAGCCACAGAGAGTTTAAGTCACCTGCCCAGAATCAGACAGGAAGTGATTGCAGACCAGGGATTCAAAACTAAACAACGTAGCTCTGGAGTTCATGACTAATCATTCTGCTTACTGCCTGTCAGTGGAAGACCTGGAATTTATCTGTGAATGTGGAAAAAGCTATCACTCCTTCCTGGGGAAGTGGCCTCACCTCACCCTTTGGTCAGATGAGACGACGTGTCCCATTGACCACAGAGATCCTTCAGGATTTATCAAGGTGGTAGACAGAGCTTTTTAAAGGACTGATTTCTTTCTATTCTCAATGTCTCCCATGATGCCTGGCTCAGAGGACTGGCTCATGAAATGTTAGATGAGTGAATAAATATGATCCTAACGACTTCACAAACAAATCAGTTGTAGAGAAAACATACTGTGTCACATCTTGTCATTCATAAAATTTAGGAAAATGCCACAAAACTATCTTTGTCCACTTGGTCTCACTTAACATTGTAGAGTTGATCCAATCAAATGCCTAATTCTACCTGATTTCCCCCCAAAATTTGTAATGCATTTTGTTCAGTCCATAAAGCATAGTCTGTCACTGTGTACATAGGCAGGCTCCTAGGCCCACTGCATTGTGTTATTTCATGAGCTGATGTAGCTGATGTGTCACTGCCTTATAAAACACCTGGGGTCTTTATCACTTATTGCTGTGGGCCCAGCCAAGTCTTCATCTTCTCTGTTGATGGAACTTTGAGCTTGTTTAACTCACCATTCCTCACAGCACTGAGGCTTAGGGAGGGGAAGGGCTCCTATTTAAAAATAATAACCATGTACAAAGAGGAGGATTTAACAATGGAGTTTACAGCTAGGGAAATTTCCTTTGCACAGAAGGAAAACACACTTCATGAAAAATACCTACAGATTTTCAATCTTCCTACTGGAAGGTTTGAAGTCATTTAGTGCAATTCTAGAAATGTAAGGGGTTAAAATGCCCATGTCTTGCCCCCAAACCAATTCATCCTTTACCTATATTTAGAGACAGGGTCTCACTTTGTTGCCCAGGCAGAAGTGCAGTGTAGTTATCATAGCTCACAGCAGCCTGACACTCCTGGACTCAATCGATCCTTCCACCTCAGTCTCCCTAGTAGGTAGGATTACAGGCACAAGCCACTGCACTGAACACATTGACTTTATTTTGGTGAATGTTAACATATGTATAAATTCTTGTAATCATCACCACAATCGAGATACAGGACTGCTTCATCACACTAAAAAAAAACTGATATTTCTTAACACCCAAACCTCTCTCCTCTCTTATACCTGGTGAACATTGATTTGTTCATCAGTACAGTTTTGACCTGCGACTGCTATATAAATGTAACACAGAGTGTATAAACTTTGAGACTGTCTTCTCTCACTCAGCATAATGCTTTGGGGATTCTTCCAAATTGTTTGGTGCGTCTATAATAGTCTATTAGTTTTTACTGCTGAAAAATATTTTATTGTATGTGCATTAGTCTGTTCTTATGCTGCTAATAAAGACATACTGAGATTGGGTAATTTATAAAGGAAAGAGGTTTAATTGACTCACAGTTCAGCATGGCTAGAGAGGCCTCAGGAAACTTGCAATCATGGCGGAAGGGAAAGCAAACATGTCCTTCCCACCGTGGCAGGAATGAGAAGTGCCCAACAGAAGGAGGGAAAGCCTTCAGATCTCATGAAAACTCACTCACTATCAAGAGAACAGCATGAGGATAACCACCCCCATGATTCAATTACCTCCCACTCAGTCCCTCCCAGGACATGTGGGGATTATGGGAACTACAATTCAAGATGAGATTTGGATGGGACACAGCCAAACCACACCAGAAGTACCACAATTTGTTTATCCATTCACCTGCTGAGAGATACTTCAGTTGTTTTCAGTTTAAGGCAATTATAAATAGGACTGCAATAAACATTCGTATGCAGGCTTTCTGTATGAACATAAATTTTCATGACTATAAGATAAATACCTACATGGACAACTCCTGGGTCATCAGATAAGTGTATGTTTTACTATACGATAAACTGCCAAAATATTTTCCAGAGGAGCTGCATCATTTTGCTTCCCCACCAGCATTGTATGAGAGTTCCAGTTGCTCCGCATGCTCATCACAGTAATTCATAATTCTCTCTCTTTTTTTTTTTTTTTTGCAATTTTAGGCACTCTAATACTTATGAACTGTTACCACATTGTAGTGTTAACTTAAATTTCTCCAATGAATTATGATGCTGAGTATCTTTTAATTGTGCTTATATTTTATACACCTGCTTTGGTGAAGTGTCCATGGAAATATTTTACCCTTTTTCCAAAAAACCAAAAAAAAAAATAAAAAACAAAATAGGTTTTGTTTTCTTATTGTTGGTTTTCAATAATTTTAAACTATATTCTGTATGCAAATCTTTTGTCAGACATATGATTTGTAAATATTTTCTCCCAGTCTATGATTCTGCTTTTCATTCTTTTAACAGTACCTTTCAAAGAGCAAAAGTTTTGTTGTGCTTTGCTTTTTTAATTTTGATAAAATCCAATTTCTTACTTTTTAAGAATAATTATGATTTGTGTTTTGGTGATGATATCTAAGAATATCTTGCTTAATGCTAGGTCACAAAGATTTTCAAAAAGGTTTGTCATTTAATGTTTTACATTTAAATCTGTGATTGATTTTGAGTTAATATTTATATTAAGTAAGAGACTGACATTGAGGTTCATTACATTGTATTTGAATGGTTAATTTTCCCAAAACAATTTCTTGACAGGATTATCTATTGTCCATCGAACTGCCTTTGCATCTTTGTCAAAAATCAGTTGGCTACATATGAGTGGGTATATTTATGGATTATCTTCCGTTTGATGGATCTGTGTGTCTATCCCTTCAATGCCACTATGTCTTAATTAGTGTAGCTTTATAGTAAGTCTTAAAATCAGGTAGCATGAGTATTACAACTTTATTCTACTGTTTTAACCATTTATAACCTTTCTGTAATAATTTTAGAAGCCTTAAGTATGATGCTAGCTCTTGGTTTTTTGGAGATGGTTATAGGTTTAAGAAAGTTTCCTTCTACTTTTAGTTGTCTGACAATTTTTGTCATAAATGATGTATTTTGTCAAATGATTTTTCTATATGTATTGATATGATCTCCTTTTCTTCTGCAGGTTGTTAACATAATGAATTACACTAATGGATTTACAAATATTGAATCAGCCTTGCATTCCCTAAAAAATTCCATCTTGGTCTTCTGTATTATTTTTATTAATATTTATTACTAGATTTGGTTCTTTAGTATTTTGTCAATTTTGTGTCTATTTATATAAGGGATTTGGTTTGTAATTTTTTCTTTTGTTTTATATCTTGTTTTGGTACTATCATTGTCTGGTTTTGGTATTAGAGTAATACTAGCTTCCTAAAATAAGTCAAAAAGTGCTTACTCCTCTATTTCTAGAAGAGATTGTCTGGAATTGGTGTTACTCCTTTATGCAATTGGTAGAATTATTCAGTATATCCACTTGATCAGGGGTTTTCTTTATTGAAAGGTTTTAATTTATGAATTCAATGTTTAATAATTGTGGCACTATTTGAGTTATTTATGATATTTTGAGTAAGTTTTAGTACTGGTTTCTGAGGAATTGGTAATTTTATCTAAGTTATAAAATTCATGTACATATTATTTATAGTACTTTTTATTACCCTCTTAATATTTATGAGTTCTGAAGGAATATCCCAGTTTTTTAATTTTTTATTTTTTTTTATTGGGGAGTACCTAGTAGGTATATATATTTATGCAGTACATAAGATATTTTGATACAGGCATGCAAATCATAATAATTACATCAGAGTAAAAGGGTTTCCATCACCTCAAGCATTTATCCTTTATGTTATGATCCAATTACATTCTTTTAGTTATTTTAAAATATACAATTACATTACTATTGACTACAGTAACCCTGTTGTATTACCAACTGCTAGGTGTATTATTCATTAGTAAGTTCTATCCAAACTTTTCTTGTCTTTCTTTTTCCAGCTTTATTTTGGTATATAAATTTTGTTCATCTTTAGAAAAGCCAGCTTATTGTTCAATTTTTTTCTACTCTTCTTCTATTTAAAAAATTATTGATTTATATTTTTAAATTATTTCCCTCCTTCTATTTGCTTGGGTCCATTTTGCCCTTTTTAGTTTCTTAAGGTAAGAACAGATATATTGATTTGAAGCTTTTCTTCTTTTCTAATATAAATATTTAATGCTATGAATTATTCTTTAAAAACTGCCTTAAATGAATTTCACAAATCTTGATATGTTTTATTTTCATTTTGATTCAATTCAAAATATTGTTCTAATTCCTTGGGCCTTCCTCTTTACCCAAAGGAAATAAAATCAGCCCTCATAGAACTATCTGCAAACCCACATTTATTGCAGCATTATTCACAAGAGCCAAGTTATGGAAACAATGTAAATATCCATTGATGGATAAACAGATTAACAAATTATATACATAAATATGTATATGCATATATGTGTGTGTGGATACACACACACACACACATAAGAATATTATTCAGCCTTGAAAAAGAAGGCAATCTGGGGCCGGGTGTGGTGGCTCACACTTTGGGAGGACAAGGCGGGTGGATCACGAGGTAAGGAGATTGAGACCATCCTGGCTAACACAGTGAAACCCCATCTCTACTAAAAATACAAAAACAAAATTAGCCAGGCGTGGTGGTGGGTGCCTGTAGTCCCAGCTACTTGGGAGGCTGAGGCTGGAGAATGGCATGAACCCGGGAGGTGGAACTTGCAGTGAGCCAAGATTGCACCACTGCACTCCAGCCTGGGGGGCAGAGCGAGACTCAGTCTCAGAAAAAAAAAAAGGCAATTTGGCCATTTGCTACCATGTGAATGGACCTGGAAGGCATCATGCTAAGTGAGATAAGGCAGACACAGAAAGAAAAATACTGCATAATCTCAATGATATCTGGAATCTAAAAAAAGAAAATTGAATACATAGAAACAGAGAATAAAATGGCAGTTACCAAGGATAGAGGTAGAGAAAGGAAATGAGAAGATGAAGCTTAAAGGATGCAACTTGCAGATATGTAGGATGAGTAAGTCGAGAGATACAATGTGCAACATGAAGAATATGCAATCATGTGTTGCTTAATAACTGGGATATAGTCTGATAAACATGTTGTTAGACAATTATGTCATTGTGTGAACATCACAGAATATACTTACTCAAACGTAGATGAGCCTACTACACACTTAGGTTATATGATATAGCCTATTACTCCTAGGCTGCAAACCTTACAGCATGTTAGTATACTGAATATTGCAGTCAATTTTAACACAATGGTAAGTATTTGTGTATCTAAACATAGAAAATGTACAGTAAAAATTAGTATTATAATTTTATGGAGCCACAATTATATACATGGTCTGTCATGGACTAAAACATCATTTTGTAGCACATAACTCTAATTATAATATTGTATCCTATACAGGAAATTTGCTAAGACAGTGGACTTTAGACTATTTTAAGACCAAAAATGCATCATTATGCAAGATGATGGATATCTTAATTTGCTTAGCTATAGCAACTACTTCACTATTTATATTAAAACATAATGTTTTGCACCTAAGATGCATACAATATTTTTTAAATCTCATAAAATACTTAAAAGCATGCTGTTTAATTTTCTTTTCTTTTTTCTTTTTTTTTTTAATTGAAACGGAGTGTCACTCTGTCCCCATGCTGCAGTGCAGTGGTGCGATCTCGGCTCACTGCAACCTCCACCTCCCGGGTTCAAGCGATTCTCCTGCCTCAGCCTCCCGTGTAGCTGGGACTATAGGCACACACCAACATGCCCAGCTAATTTTTGTATTTTTAGTAGAGATGGGGTTTTGCCATGTTGGCCAGGATGGTCTCGATCTCTTGACCTTGTGATCCACCCACCTGGGCCTCCCAAAGTGCTGGGATTACAGGCATGTGCCACTGCACCCAGCCTATTTAATTTTCAAGTGTTTGAGAGTCTCCTGTAATCTTTGTTATTGATTTTAGTTTAATCTATTAGAATGAAAGAGTAACATTTGTATGATTTCAAGTGATTTTAATTTTTAAATTTGTTTTGTGACCTGGAATACATTCTATCTTGGTGAATGATCTCTGTCCACTTGAAGACAAGGATGTACATTCTTCGGTTGTTGGTTGATATGTAAAACGTCAGTGTGAAAACATCCAGCTTTGATGATGTTGTTCAGTTTTTCTATATCCTTGCAGACTCAGTATCCACTGAATCTATCAATTACTGAGAACGGAGGTTGAATTACTGAGAGCAGAGGTAATACATCTAAATATAATGGTGGATTTGTATACTTCTTTCAGTTCTGTCAAATTTTGTTTCATATGTTTTGAAATTCTATTGTCAGTACTTATTTTACACATTGAGGACTTTTATGGCTTCTTGAGAAATTGACCTTATCATTATGTTATGTCTCACTTTATCCCTATTGTTCTTTGCTCTGAAGTCTACTTTGTCTGATACTAATATAGCTAAATGTTAACGATAGTTTTCTTTTTAAAAGAAAAGCTTTGTTCTGAAAACAAAATTCTTTAACAGTTATTTTAGAGGAAGTCTGCTGGCAACAAATTCTCTTAGTTCTTCTTTATCTGAGACAGCTTTATTTCACTGTCATTTCTGCAGGAATTTTTCACTCGATGGAGTTTGACTGTGTTTTTCTTTAGGCCCTTTAAAAATGCTTTTTTTACTTCTTTCTGGCTACCATGGTTTCTGATGAGAAATCTACAGTCATTGAAATTGTTGCTCTCCTAAGTAATGCATCATTTTCTCTGTCGTCTTCAATATTTTTTCTTTACTTTCCAGCAGCTTGATTATAATGTCTCCAAGTGTGAATTTGTTTGTTTGTTTGTTCGTTTGTTTTCTGTTTGGAGTTTGTTCAACCTCTTAAATCTGTAAGTTTATGGGTTTTGTCAAATTTGAGAGGCTTTCTTACTATTATTTCTTCAAATATTTTCTCTGCACACTATTTTTCATCTCCTTCTGGGACTTCTTTGACATAAATGTTAGATTTTTATATCTTCCCATTAGTCTCCGAGACTCTGTTCCTTTTTCTCCATCTTTTCTCTCTGTGTTTTTCAAATTAAATAAATTCTAATGACATATTTCAAGTTCACTGACTTTTTCTCCTAGCATATTCATTCTGCTAGTAAGCCCCTTCTGTGATACTTTTACTTTGGTTAATGTGTTTTTCTGTTTTTAATTTCCAGTCATTTCTTCTTTATATCTTCTATTTGTTTTTGTTAAGACCTTCTACCTGCCCATTTATTTCAACAACGTTTACCTTAACCTACTGAAGCATTTTAAAAATAGCTATTTTGAGTCTGCCAGATAATTCAAACTAGCATTTGTTGATTTTCTGTTTCTCTCAAGTTAAGATTTTCCTGATACTTTATATATTGAGTAATGCTTGGATTGTGTTGTAGATATTTTGAGTATTACCTTATGAGATACTAAGTCTTGCTTAAACCATATGGATAATCTTAAGCTTTTAGTGTTAGTAGATCCATGCATGCACAGCTTGGGGTGTGTCCAGAAATTCACAAATAATTTTTAGGTGAATTTTTGGAAGTCCTTCCTCTCTGAAATCTCAAAATCTTCTCATTTCCTAGGACCCCTCTTTTTAGCCTACTATTCTAAAAGCTGATTTATTCACCGGAGTCTTCCATACTCCCCTTTGCTGTGCACAGGTCTGGGGTTAAGCTGTGGAGGACAGAAAAGGTAGGGGTGGGGGTATAGAAATAAGAGTTTTCTCCTCCCTCTTCAAAGCACAGCTTCTGTATCCAACAGGAAGCTTCTACTCAGAATTCTAGGTGTTTGTGAGAAGCTACAGGCTGAAATATAAGATATTTTGCAAATAAGCATTTACTGTATTCTCTCTGGCCATTAGGAAATCTGTCCTTACTACTCAAGCTGTAACGAGAGTACTTCTCTTGAGTTCTTTCATGTTCTGGGGTGGGTTGCACCAGGCCACGTGGATACCAAAGTAAAAAAGAATGAAAAACTCACTGCTGATTCAGTGATACATTGAATTTTGGCCTTCTTCGCCACCCCTCCTGCTACTAGTTATTTTTTAGAGTACTCAAAGTATCTTCTCCATTCACTCAGTCCAGGTTTTATAGCTGCTTTCCATGGAAAATCCAGGATGGAGTATTCTTACTTCATCCTTCCCATATCTGAATCCCCTGCATTGTGTTAATTATTCTAAAATCCAGAACATTCTTCTACGGGTAGGCTTCTCCAGCTCTTTCTTTTCCAAAATCTAATGAAATTAAATTATGCTGTTTCCCACATGATTGCTGTCCTGCAAAAATTGGTGCACACAGAATAAAATGTTAACGGAACTTCTTAGAATTGTGAAACACAAAGGCTGTTTCTTGCATCTACATGTGTCCACACTATTCCATCATAATTTGATGCCCTTCCTCTGTCATCTGTGTTTGCATAGTTAACTCCCACTGAGACTTTAAGATTCAGATCAAGTGTTGGCTTGAGCTTGAGGTAGGTGTTCATGTTCTGTTTACACTCCCATGGTGTTCTGGACTATTTACAAATGCTTATCTGACTAGCTGTGTCTCCTTTAAGCACTCTGTTATTTTTATGTGTATATCTCCAATGCCTAAAAGGAAGTGGATGTTTCATAAATGTTTGATGAATGAATGAATGAGAAAAGAATAAAAATTCATTGAGTGCTCACTTTATAAATAATGTTATTTACTCTGCACAATCTTAAAATAACATAATTGTATTAGACATGTTTTGCAAGTGACTGTCTCTCACTGGTGGGCACTTGCTCAAGTTCAGCTTACCCAAAGGCTGACTAAAATTCTATGGCTAGCAAGGAAAACATGAACTAGGTAAATCATCACAAGCTTTTTGGAATTTTGAAATAAGGAAACTAAGAGAATGTAGCCAGCTGGATCCAGACAGCAGCATATAATTGAGACCAGTGTGACAACAAAGGCCTTGTCCAACCTGATACAAATAAAAGAAAAAGTAGTTTATAGAGAGGAGGTAGTGAATACTTACAGAGAAACAAGAGGCCATGGAACCTTTGGAGAGAGACCATGATAAGAGAGTGGGGAGGATGCCTGCACGGTTTCCCATATACAGCTCCCCCAAACTGACTGTACATATACAAATTATTAATCTTACTTTTTCTTAAGACCCATGGCATACTTTGTAAAAAGAACTTCTTGAACTTTCTTGAGTGAATTTTTATTGTTCACTAGCTCCTTATTTAAGCAGACATTGATGGTTACTAACACAATAACCATTAGCTCTTTTATTTTAAAGCCCTGAATTATATCTACATTTTCCAGCCTCCTTCATGTAGCCACATTTCCCTGAGAAGGTTAGTAGCATCCCCAACCCAAGAGATACATTTTATTTGGCTTAAGCCAAATGTTGAAGATCCCTACTATTATCAGTGCTTAGATTATGCAAAGAAAGGTGGTATAGTTCTGGCCAATGAGACGTGAGAGGGACTCAACTGGGGGGCTTAGGCAAAACAGGGTTTTATGGGAGGCTTCTTTAGGGGTTTGAAAAGGTCATATTGTAATTTTATTGTTTCTTCTCCAGGAATAAGCTGAAATATACTACAGAGTAAATTTCCTCTCATCAACTATTTGGTTATACTAAGGTATAGACAATGAACAAGAGGCAGAGAAATACGTGATGTCCCCTTATATATCAATTTAGAATAATAACTTGGTTCTTTAGTACCTTTCAAAGGTGAAAACTTTGTTTAATTTTTTTTAATAATACAAGGTCTCATCCTTTCACCCAACCTGGTGTACAGTGGAGCAATCTCAGTTCATTGCAGCTTGGACCTCCCGGGCTCAAGTGATCTTCCCACCTCAGTTTCCTGAGCTTCCTACTGCTCGAACTTCATTGTACTTCTTCCCAGGAACAACTCTTACAAACATCAACAATGACCTCTGTGTTCTGCTATCGAAGTTCATCATTATTTCATTTCTCCTTTTTTGTATAAATAATTTATTCTGTCTGCTTACACCTTATCACAATGACCTGGTTCTTTTCTCTCCTAGGTGGCTACATCTTCTTCACTCAGGTGCATATCACCATGCCTGTCTAATTTTTTTGTTTTTTATAGAGACAGGGTTTCTCCTTGTTTTCCAGGCTGGTCTCAAACTCCTGAGCTCAAGCAATCCTCCAGCCTCAGCCTCCCAAAGTGCTGGGATTACAAGTGTGATCCAGCACGCCAGGCCAAAAGTTTAATTTTTAATTGTCATTATGAAATCAAGGATTTTTACTTATTTCATATGTTCTGATTTAGTTATAATTCTTAAAAGGTCATAAAATTAGAATATGACCTTTCCAAACCCTTAAAGAGACCTTCCAACCTCCTATCTATCCAACTGTACCCTGTAAGTACAGACTACTTAAGAAGGCAGCCTTTGAGGCCAGGCAGACTTGGGTTCAAATCATAGTTTCTCCACTTAGATTCTGTATGACCTTCATCAGTTTACTATAGCTCTTTGTGCCTCATTTTTTGCATACATAGAATATGCCTAACACCTCTCAGTATTTTTGTGAGGATCAAATAAGATTGAAAATATAAGGTGCTCAAGAAAATGGAGCTCTTCTATATCATCTTTCCCTCCTCTTTTTAAAATTGTATCCTCTTCTTCCTATTAGGTTGGCACAAAAGTAACTGCGGTTTTGGCCATTACTTTTAATTGCAAAAGTCACAATTACTTTTGCACCAACCTAATATATTGGTAATAGTATTAATATCAGTATTATTATTTAAGTATTCTGCCCAATTTTTAATTCCTCTCTAAAGTCTATTCTATTTACTTCTACCAGTGTTGACATAACTACTGATCACATTGTATTATTTAGTCTTATTAAATCCTGCATATATGAATTTATTAATTTATTCAACAAAATTCACCATTAAGGCTGCAAGCCCACCTTATCTTTATTGATATTTATTTTATTTATCTATTACTACAGATAACCACTCCTTTTTAAGTCCACAGCCTCTGCTCATGCAAAGACTTTGCACTTGAAAATTTTCCTTCTCTTTTCTGCAATATGTTATTCCCTTTTTACCAGCTGAATCTCATCAGCTGACATGCATGATCCATTGTATTTTATCTTCAAATGTAACCCTCTCTTGATACCATATTCACACCAAGGCTCTAACTCTATTTGTCTACTCCCACCACAGCAAAACTTGAAAAAGTTGGCTGTCACTACTATTCCAATTTCATTCTACTTCTTCCCAGGGACGACTCTTACAAACACCAGCAATGAACTCTGTGTTCTGCTATTGAAGTTCATCATTATTTCATTCCTACTTTTTTATAGAAATAATTTCTCCTCTTTCCTTTCTCCTTATCACACTGACCTGGTTCTTTTCTCTCCTGGATGGCTATATCCTCTTCATTCATTCCTTGTTTGTGCCTCCCCATTTTAACTTGTCCTTTCAAAGTGGGAGTGCCTCAGGGCTAAGATCCTGAGTTTTATTCTTTGCTATGCTCATAAAGACTTCCGGGGCAACTTCAACCAGTCACCTGCTCTGTTGGCCATCATGGCGTATCTAGGGGTACCTCCCACAGAATGTCAGCATAAAATGCTAACTGGGAGGTCCTTACCCAATTATTTTAAATAGGAAAATTATAATATGTTGTGTGTCAATCTCAAATTCACAACTAATTTTCTAAAACACAACAAAACAACAATATAAAATTGTATTACTATATACAAGTATAACATAAACTATTGTGTTAAGGTGTCAAATGTTTAACACGGTGCCTCTGAATCATCAAACCATTAAAGTAGTGGTAACAGGTATCTGCTTTGTCTTCAGTAACATGACCTTTCCAGCAGCCAAGTAACATACCCATCTGTTAACACTTATAAGATTTCAAAATATTTATCAGTATGTATTTGTTGGCTGCCTAAATCTTTCTCTATACCTCTGACATCTTCCAATACTGGACTTTTATATCTAACTTTTTATTATCTTGCTCTCATTCTCCTTTATCTTTCTTGTACACACACACACACATACAGACACATGTACACATAAATACACACATACACACATACACATCTGCTTCTCTTTCAGATTTTTTCTACTTAGCTAAAGTCATCACCATCCACCAAGATATTAGAAACAAAAATTTAGACATCTTTGATCTCTTTTCCACTAATGACAACATCTGATCTATCCGCCAGTCCTGTCAATTGTATTTACAAAACACATCCAATGCTAGTTCCATTCCCCACCTCCACTAGAGTATATGTATTCCACATGGTCTAAACGAAGATTGTTACCAGTAATGGTTACTGAAAAAGACTTGAAATTGAACTCCCTGTGTTGACTCTTTCCCTAATCTACTTAAAACATTTTCCAAGCCTTCCAATTTTCCATAGGATAAAATACAAACTCCATAACACCACTTACACAGCCTTCCATGATCTGGTTGCTTCTTTCCTTTGACCTCAACTCTTACCCACTCCGCATTCCTTGCTTGTTAAGATCCTGCCACACTGGCCTGCCTTCCTGTCCTGAAACAAACTGGTTCCAGTATTAAGGTCTCTGCACTGCACCCTTGGCCCTGATCTGGTCTTCCCTTGGTGGATCCATCCATTCAGCTACAGTTTAGATTAAATAGCACCTCCTCTAAGAAAACTTTCTTGACAATCCAACCTAGAAATGTCTTGCGATCATGCTTTATCACAACATTCTACATAAATTCTCTGCATGGCACTTATAATGGATATTTTTGTGTGTTCAGTTGTTTATATCTTGCCTCTCCCATATCTATCCCTTCTGATTATAAGCCCTGTGAGAGCAGGATCTTTATCTGTATTGTACTGCTGTATCCTCTGAACTTAGATTGTTAGTGACAGATACTAAGAACTTAATAAATATTGGTCAAGTTAATTAATGAAATATTCATTGAGTGCATTAGGTTCAGGTCTGCACCAGTAGCAGGAAGTAAAAAGGTGAAAAGTCATGGTGTTTGTCTTCAAGTTACTTTTAGTTAAGAAAGAAGATAATCCTGCAAAGAAAGTTTAAAATGTAACATGATGATGGAGAAATGTCATAAGTACAGTAAGATCATGGAGAAAGTGCTCAAGTGTGTCCCAAAAAGACAGGGACATTTTCCCAGAGGAGGCAGTGCTGAAAAAAGCTACTTAAGGATGAACAGGGATCTGTGTGTTGAGTAAAAGGAAAGGCATTCTTCGCAGAAAGTACATGTTCTAATAGCTAAAAGCTGTACAGTATTCCTGGAGTATACTGCAGGTAACAGAGTCATAAACTCTAAGGCTGTTTGTGTGGAAAGAGGAAAGAGCATGCAGGTTTCCACATGACGAGTTTACCGTGATCAGTAAGGGGTCCCTGAAGAATATTGGGCATAAGAATAGGGACATTCATGAACTAGAGAAATCCCCTTGTCATAAGTGAGGAGAATGACTTCAAAATCAAAACAGGAAAGCTAGCCAGAAGTCTATTGCAATTATTTAAGCAAAAAGTAATTAACCAGTTAGAGTGAAGACAGAATAAAGTCCAGGAAGAATACATGAGACCTGGTAAGTAAGAAATCTAGAAAAGAAGTATCAGTATTCTTAGTGAACCCAAGCTTTAGGCTTTATTCATCTTGAGAAACCCAGTGCCTAGTATAGTCCCTGGAACAAAGAAGAAGCTCCATGTAGATTTGCAAATACAAATCAAACTGTATTAAGAGCAATTAATAAATTCAATATGGTAACTGAATACCCTGATTACTACAAATGAAGGTATAGTTATGGTATCATGATTTTATTTTATTTTTTTAACTGTAGATACACATCAGTTAATTTTAAATGATTTGTTAGGGCTGGGCACAGTGGCTCATGCCTGTAATGCCAGCACTTTGGGAGGCCAAGGCAGGTTGATCATCTGAGGTCAGGAGGTCAAGACCAGCCTGGCCAACGTGGTGAAACCCCATCTCTACTAAAAATATAAAAATTAGCTGGGCATGGTGGCGGGTGCCTGAAGTCCCAGCTACTTGGGAGGCTGAGACAGGAGAATCACTTGAGTCTGGGAGGCGGAGCTTGCAGTGAGCCAAGATCACACCACTGCACTCCAGTCTGGCCAACAGAGGGAGACCCTGTCTCAAAAAAAAAACATTAAATAAATAAATAAATGATCTGTTTGTTGTCATTTGGTGGAGCTGTGGGTAGAGTTGGGAATTATAAAGATCCGCACTGTTCAGACTCAGAATTCTGAACTAGAGAAGAAATAAAAAATTAATAGCTGTCAATCCTTTCATGAAACTTAATAATTCAATTATCCAATACAAATATTTCAAATGAGTGTGAAAGTGTGTAAACAAGGATGCAATATACAATGAAGTAAGCATGTATGAATATAAGGAAATAGTATATATACATACATATATATACACGTATACATACATACATATATACACGTATACACACATACATATATACACGTATACACCCATACATATATACACGTATACACACATACATATATACACGTATACATACATACATATATATACACGTATACATACATACATATATATACACGTATACATACATACATATATATACGTATATATACATACATATATACACGTATATATACCTACGTGTATATATATATATACACACACATATATATATACTTTTTTTTTTTTTGAGACGGAATCTCTCTCTGTCCCCCAGGCTGGAGTACAGTGGCATGAGCTCGGCTCACTGCAACCTCCATCTCCCGGGTTCAAGCGATTCTCCTGCCTCAGCCTCCTGAGTAGCTGAGATTAGAGGTGCAAGCCACCATGTACAGCTAATTTTTGGATTTTTAGTAGAGACAGGGATTCACCATGTTGGTGAGGCTGGTCTCAAACTCCTGACCTTGTGATCTGCCTGCCTCAGCCTCCCAAAGTACTGCAATTACAGGTGTGAGCCACCATGCCCAGCCAGGAAATAGTATATATTTAGTAAATATTTTTTAAAATATTGAAACAATATGAATGATGTCATCCCACTTATGTAAAACAAATACACAGGAAATATCCAAAAGGGTTTCTAAGCAACTGATCCCAGTGACTTTTTCTGGAAAGTAAAACTTAAAAATTAGCTACAGTAGGAACCTTTCACATTTTATTTTATTACAGAATACTTGAATTTCTTTCTATGACAATGTAGTACTAAAAATAATCTCTTTGTTCAAAAATGAAACACAGAGAAAATCATGCAAAATAAATGTGTGGTTTAATGAGTTATACTAAGTCAAAAAGCCTCAGAACCACTACCAGGTTAAGAAATAAAACTTTACCAACCATCTAAAACCACCAAGGCATCAGTCCCATCACAGCCCCTTCCCTTCCCACACAGGTAATCACTCCTGACTTTTATAGTAATGACATTCCAGCTTTTAAAAACAGCTCTAACATCCATGTTTACCAAATATAATTAGGATTGTATTATTTTTAAACTTTGACATTTCTTTTAAGTCTCTTTTTATCCATAGATTTTTCTCTCTACCTTTTATGTTCCTTATACATTATTTGCTGAAGGATCCAAGATATATTTGAACTGAACTTGTTGACTGCATACACATGGTGCAGCATGTTCCTCTGTCCTCTGGGTTTCCTGCCAATTGGTAAGTAGACCCAAAGACTTGATCAGACTCAGGTTTGATCTCCTTGAAAAGACTGCTGGTGTTTAGCAAGACTATCGGAGACACGTATTCTTGTTTTGTCCTTTTCATGGTTACCATCTGTTGATATGTGATGCTGTGTCTGTTAATTCATTGTAAACTGCTGAAATTCTAATTCAACAAATTATCTTTTTAGTTAGTTGAATACTTGTATAAAAAGACCCTTGCCTTCATTGTCTACTTGGTTACCTAGTGATATTGTTTATACAGGAAAGGTAAAATAAATGCTTAAAGTGTCCTTTTACTAGTTTTCAAAATGATGGATTGATTCCTTATCATCTTCATAAGGTGATCAATCATTCTTCCTCTTATAAAAATCATTATTCAAACATGGATATAAACATATTTAATGAGTTTCCATTCATTGCAATTATTTTTATTAGTGAAACTCAAATAGTGCCATATCTGGCCAGTTAAAACCTATTCATGTTGGGTCTTGAGTCTTCTAACATGACCCCAATAATTTTCCATAGTTCCATGGTCATCTTGTACATTTTCTGAGACTTACAATTAGCTGTATTTTTTTAGCATAAAACTCTATGTCAAAATCAATATCTGGGCACTAGGAATGCTTATTGCCACTGGGTTGATAATTGTCTTGAGGACTTTTTAGTGAACAGAGCAAAGAAGACACACACATGTGTTCATGTACATACATAAGTACATATTGACACTTTGAATTCAAAATCAAAATTACAGAGCTTTTACATAACCTCTTCCCTATTACATCTGTATACCTGTCTTTCACATTGAAACGTTTGGTTCTCAGGACACAGGGGATAATAAAATTAGAATGCTTCATAGCATTGTTTTATTTCATCTCATATTACACAAGCAACAGTCTCAAAATAACAACACCATATCACCTATGATGACTAACACAATTTAAAATGATTGTTGTATATGATCTCCATTTCTCCCTCATATGTAGAAAGTTGTGCTACATCTGCATTTTCAGAACATATAGATATTACATTGTCTTTCCCTGATAACCCTCATTTAGTCTTATTTATACAAATACTGATATATTTAAAACTCACCACCAGATATGATGTCATTACGTCTCTAGTCATTTTGGTTTCCTAATGTTTGTTCTCAAGTAAATTCCTCAGAAGGCTCATGGGAGCAATATTCCCCAAGTGCTTACAGGTTGAATACAGCTTTTGTCCTTTATACTGAAAGTCAGGTTTATTTTAAAGATATTTTCTTTTCCTGAGTGTCTTAAATTAGTCCATTTTTTTTCTGCAATAAAGCACTGTTGTCAAAAAGTCTGATGATAATTCAATTTTATTCCCTTAAAAGTAATTTGCTCTTTCATTAGAGATGCCTAAAGATTATTTCAGGTCCAATAATTTGATCAGATTGTATTTTGGTTTTGATCATTCTGGGTCTGTAGTCTCAGTTACAACTTTCAATATATTGTCTTATTCTTTTTTTTTCAGAAAAATTTTGAGAACTATTTTTTTTAATGGTTTGTTTGCTTCCTGTTTTGATTTTCTTTTTTCAAGCATTCTAATTATTTGCATTTTGATCTTCTTTGGCTCCTCAATATTTATCCCCTTCTCTTGAATCCTTTTCCCTCTTTTACGAATTTCCTTTTTATTTTTAACATTTTTTATTTTTCACTTTCTAGTTCTCTTCAGGCATTATATCTTGTGTTCAATTTCTCTTCTAGTTTACCTTCATTCTAATTTTTTAAATTTTATTTCTAATTCTTTCCTGAGATCTGTCAATTAGAGTTCTTATAATTTTGATTTGTTATTCTTTCATGTCTTTTTTTCATAATGTATTTTAGCTCATGTTCAAATGATAAGTTACAGTTTTATGGTGTATTGTAAGCCTATCTTCCTCAGATATTTTCACTCCGTAGGAATGTTATTCTGCTACTTATTCATTGTATTATTATAGTAACTCTGTATGAGATTTTACCTCAGTACTTTCCTGATGTACATTTTTTTTTTTTGAGACAGAGTCTCACTCTGTTGCCTAGGCTGGAGTGCAGTGGCACCATCTCGGCTCACTGTAACCTCCACCTCCTGGGTTCAAGCAATGATCTGCCTCAGCCTCCCGAGTAGCTGGGATTACAGGCGCCTGCCACCACGCCTGGCTAATTTTTTTATTTTTAGTAGACACAGGGTTTCACCATTTTGGCCAGGCTTGTCTTGAACTCCTGACCTCAGGCGATCCACCCACCTTGGCCTTCCAAAGGGCTGGGATTACAGGCGTGAGCCACTGTGCCTGGCCGATGTACATTTTTATAAGAAATAAATTTTTGTGATCTTTTAGAATTGAGAAGAGGTGTGGTCAGGAAAGCTTTTCAAACTTTTTAAGTACCTTTCTGTTTCTGTATAGTGCACTAAAATGCATAGCCTTGATTCCTTGGATTTTCTAGTTCCGCAACCTCCCCTCGCCTTCTTTGGTCTAGACTTTCTCTTTTGTCTCTATTATTTCTAGCTTCATAAATTTTGATTCCACTCCCAGAAGTTTATCTCAAGTGTGGGTGCCTGTCCTAGAATGGAACCTCAGAAGGTCAGTTTCAGAATGTTCTTAGCAGTCAGGTGGCCCCACCCCTCAGTCCTCCCACTGTGGGCCCTTGCATTCTTCAGTTCATTTGGTCACCACACTTTCCAGGGAATACCTGCAGTATTGCGGAGGTTCTTCTGTTCTCATTGCTCAGCCCCATTCAGTTGCTTCCCTCTTCTGTACAGATGCTAATGGCACACAGATTTTGTGGTTGGTGGCAGTAAGTCCCCATTCATTTGCATTTTGGGGTTCACAGGGATACCTTGGTATCTTGCTTGCAAGTAAAATTGTTGGAGCATATTTGGATTTGCTATTTTTTGTTCTATTTTTATGCAAAAATTTCAGAAAACTAAAAAAAGTTGCTGCTACTAAAGTCATTTTTGCAAAATCTTCTACATGTATCTTAAAAATTAAAATAAAAACTGAATTAATTTCTTTGACACTATGTGTTGTGGTAGACAGTTTACTGTCCTCAATTATTCACAGCTTTCATTGGAAGAAGGTAATACTTACCTGCCCACTGCCATATGACCTGCATTGTCTCCTACTAAGCAGATTATATTTCCTCTCTGTTGACATCAGGCTTTGGTCAATGGAACATGCGTAACATGGAGAACACGACGTCTTAGCATTGAGAGCCATAGCATGGTCCAGCCATCAGTCTCTTTTGACATGAGAGTGGTATGGTTAAGCGGGGAAATTCCTTCAGCCTGATCCCAGAGTAAAGATACATATGGAGCCAGAACCAACAGATGGGCACCAACGTATGACAGGAGTGAGAGATAAGATTTTGTTTTTGTAAATCACTGACTATCACAGCACAGCATAGCTTTAAAGTGTCTATTATTTTTTTCAAGCAGTGGATTTTAATTTGCGAGTCTAATTCGGTAATATTGTTAAATTGGATTAGAAATCCTAAGATAAATAAAAAAGAGGATGAAGATGATGTAGAACAGAGATTAGTAATCACTAAAGGTGGCTACTTCTTCATGTTCCTGGAAAACAAAAGAAATAAAATGGTGTAATCAGAGTCCAGAAGTGTTATCTACAGTCTCTCTCTCTCTGTGTGTACGTTGTGTACATATATATACATATATATACACACATATATACAGTTTTATATATATTTTTATATTATATATATGACAGTAGTTTTCTGGTAGCATCGTTTTTTATATATATATATATAATATATATATAATGTAATATATATATGACAGTAGTTTTTCCAGTAGCATGGTTTTCACACCTGAATTTCTAATATATAATTTCAATTAGAATGGAGCAAATCCTAGTGGTTTAGAGGAGAGGGATCTTGAGTCCTGCTCTCTCTGCATCAGAATTCACTCCCACCTCAAGACTCCTGGAGTTGCTGTGACTTCCCAGAAGCCAAAGATTCCACAAAACATACTGTGAAAACGTAATTGTCAAAATGAAAATAAAATGCAAAAAATATTAGAATGTTAAAAACTTATGTTCAAAAACAGTATTATAAGATAACCTTTAAAACATCAACTAAAAGTGTAAAGTTCCTTTAAATAAATCTAAGAAAATATGTAAAACCTTTATAGGGGAACCTTAACATTTACCCAAAGAGAAAAAACAAAACTTAAACCATGAGAGATATCATGTTTATGGCTTAAAAGATTGAATATAAAAAAAGTGTCAGGAAACTACAATTTAAGTGTAGTAACAATGAAAACATCAACAGGACATTTTACAAAGCCTAAAAAATTATTCTGAAGTTAATAAGGAAACATATGTGACTAAGACTAACAGGACAATTTTGAAAAAAAAAGGAGGGGGATTTAGTCATCACACATCAGTATTTTTAAAATGCAATAGCTATAAAAATACTAGGTGCAAGTGCATGACTAAACAGACCAATATTTCACAACCCAAAGTACTCAAATATATGTGTGTGTGTGTGTGTGTATATATACACACACACACACATATATGTGTATATATATATATACATATATGTGTGTGTATATATATATGACAGCCAATCATTGATATTTCACAGATCATTGAATGCACTTTTATTTACTTACCAAGTAATTGACCAACTGAATAAATGAGCAGGGGTATATTATAGTTCTGTTCGTTCTGGTCCATTCAGATCACTCCATATGATTGGGGCTCAAGGATGTTTACCCGACTTCAAATTTTCCTCTTTTGGAAGGAGACAATGAGACTACAGAATGTAGAACTTTTAAAGAGCAAGGAATAACAAAAGAACTGCATATATTTAGACTTGAAGCCAACCTAAGCTGCTTATAAATCTGAAATGCTGTTGTGGATTAATTCTACAGCAGACCCTGAAGGGTCCATGCACAGGATTTAAGGGGGGTCAATTTTGTCCCAACTGGTACAAGTAGCACATTTTCCTACCTGAAGGCCATATGGAGTTATGAAACCAAGAATTTGGAGTCAGGCAGAAGCAGATTCAAATCACCATTTTGTCACTTTTTCACTGTGTAACCTGTGACCTGTCACAAAGGCTCTGTGACTCAGTTTTCACAGAGGATTAAAATGTCATTAAAATGAGGATAATTAGAGGCAGCAGAACATTACTATGTAAGTGTGAGTTCTGGACCTACTGCCAGTGTTCAAATTCACTTTCTAGCTATGTGAACTCAAGCAAGCTGTTTAACCTCTTTGAGCCTCAGTTTCATCATCTATAAAATAGAGAAATAAAAGTAGCTACTTCAGAGGGTTGTTGGAAAAATTAAATGACTTACTATATATAAAGTGCAAAGAAGTGTATGTGGTTCCTAATAAGCCTTGCTCCTAGTAGTAATAATAATAATAGAAATAAAAACTACCTCAAGTGTTACGAAGACAAGTAGATGCAATGACACATGTAAAGCTTTGGGCACAGTGCCTGAAATATTCAAAGTGCCCTATAAAGGTTCCTTTCCTCCGTTCCCTTAAGCTGTCAGCAAAAGGAACAAATGTCCCTCCAGAGGTAGTGAGTCCACCATCAGCAGAAGCATTCAATCAGAAGTTGTTTAATCACATCTCCAGAATGTTATAGTAAAGCCTTGAAACTAGGTGAACACAAGGATTAGGCAATCCCTGAGCTCCTCTTCAAATAAAGATTCTGTGATTAAATCTAAAACTTTCGGAAAGGCCGTCAAATGGGAGTTGTGGGTAACCAAAACTTTCCTGAAATTTCCAGCTCATTTTCCAGGATAAATGCAGCCCCCACTACCCTACAAAGCACACCAAATATTAGCAACACACACACACACTCACACACACATGCACACATAAACACACACATGTACACAGAGGCATCATTCATACATCCTAACATAAATCTTTTCACCACAATGACCACGGTTGTCAGTGAAAGAAATACTCTTGTTCAGTCCAATGCACTTGGGTAGCCCAAATAAACAATAGTATAATACCCGACATTTATTCAGCACCCTTTGGGGCAAGGGCTCACACTTTATACGTATTTCTCATTTATCATGGCCACATTCCTGGGAGACAGGCTGCCCCTCAGAGAGGCAATGGTGTTGGGCTTTTGATTTCAGTCCTGCCTGGTGGAGAGCTGTTGCTTTTTGCATGTTAGAACATGCAGTACTTAAATGTCTTTCAGCCTTCCTGGGCCTGGCTGAGTGGCCTTTCATGAAAGGCTCCTGGTGTTGCATTGAGAGTTGCAGTGCCTCTGGTCTGGGCTGTTTCCCCTCACTACTGAAGCTTGCACCCTCATGGCTTAAGAACACTCGGGCTCTGAGTGACAGGCCTGGCATTGTGTTTCAGCGAGGGCATCCCCTTGAGAGTGCTGCAGCATTTGAATCCAACTGGAGAGAAACCTACGGGATCTTTGGAGGTCATTGGGAATCTCAGCCTGTGCCACTTACTAGCTGTGTGACCTCAGGGAAATCACCTACCTTCTCTTAGCTACCTAACCTAGAAAACAGGCCCAGTAAGACATGATTTGTGAGGCTTTAATGACACAACATGGGATAAAGCCTGTCCATTCCCTGTCATGTGGTGGAACTTGAATTTAAAATACATAGTATTATTATTATGATAGGCATAATCTTGCCTCCAAGTTATGGAGCTCAGTGTTTCCACACATCCAGTGTTATGGGCTCATTTATGTCCTGTTG
Source organism: Homo sapiens (assembly GCF_000001405.40). Lineage (NCBI taxonomy): Eukaryota > Metazoa > Chordata > Mammalia > Primates > Hominidae > Homo > Homo sapiens. Next base: position 12,875,451 of record NC_000004.12, read on the forward strand.
AAGTCCTAACCCCCACAGGATATGACTGTGTTTAAAGAGAGGGTCTTTAAAGAGGTAATTAGTTAAAATAAGGTCCTCTAGGTGGGCTCTAATTTAGTACGAGAAGAGAGATAAGGAAGACCCAGATGCAGAGGAAATCTATATGAAGACACAGGGGGAAGGTGGCCATTTACAAGCCAAGGGAAGAGGTCTAGGAAGAAACCAACACTGCTGACACCTTGATCTCAAACTTTTAACCTCCAGAAAATGAGTGTCCATGGTTTAAGCCACCCAGTCTGTGGAACATTATTATGGCAGCCCTAGCAAACAAATATATCCAGCTTGAGTCCACAGACATAATCCCTAAACCTCAGGTCAGGTGATCCCTTTGAAAGATCAAGTAAATAATGTCCCAAGGTTCAGGAGGACACTTAAGCAAAGAAAAACTGTGATCATGAAGCAGAATATTTCCCTGATGCCTTCACAGGACTCACGAGAGGAGAGCCTCTTTTACTCAGCCCACCACTCTCAACTAGCAGGAGGGAGAGTGTGAGCAAATGGGTATGGGAACTGGAGTGAATGAGAGCTGGAACAATCTGGCTGCTTCAGCACCAGTGGGATCAAAGTTCACTCACTCAGACACACTGTGTTCTACTCCTTGTGGGAGGCAGCACACAGGTAAGCAGGTGCAGGAACCAGCCAGATGCTTTAGTGCCAGCAAGAGCAAATTCCATGTAGGCCCCATGGCAACGTCCAGGCAGGGGTGCCTGTGACCCCTGAAGCCTCACAGTGCTCTTTTAGCTCTGCCATCCATGGACGGCTTAAGTGTTAACAGCTTAGTGGGTCCTCTGCCTTTATTTATTTATTTATTTATTTATTTTTTATTATTATACTTTAAGTTTTAGGGTACATGTGCACGTTGTGCAGGTTAGTTACATACGTATACATGTGCCATGCTGGTGTGCTGCACCCACTAACTCGTCATCTAGCATTAGGTATATCTCCCAATGCTATCCCTCCCCCCTCCCCCCACCCCACAACAGTCCCCAGAGTGTGATGTTCCCCTTCCTGTGTCCATGTGATCTCATTGTTCAATTCCCACCTATGAGTGAGAATATACGGTGTTTGGTTTTTTTGTTCTTGCGATAGTTTACTGAGAATGATGGTTTCCAATTTCATCTATGTCCCTACAAAGGACATGAACTCATCATTTTTTATGGGTCCTCTGCCTTTTTGCGTGAGACAGCTGCCCCCTGCCAGCAAGGGCAAAGGGCTAGTGTGACAGCCTTTTGTATCTGCACTTGCGGCTCCTGAGCTCTTGTCTGGCATCCAGAAAAATGAGGTTGCGTGAACAAATTGAAAGATGGTAAATGAGGGGGATTTTATTGCCAATGAAAGTGGCTGTCAGTGGGAAGGGGAGCTCAAAAATGCATGGGGTGGATAGGTAATCTTTCCCTGAAGTCCAGCCATATCCAGCCAGATTGTTCTCCAAAGTTATATGGTCTAGCTGTCCCTCTGAAGTCAAGCTGCTTCTCTCTGATGTCCAGCCATAGTCTCATCTGCTGGCTGAGTCTGGGGTTTTTATAGGCACAGGATAAGGTGGAGGAGAGCCATGGGTGGATTAGGAAAAGACAACATTCAAATAGGAAAACAGAGACATAGGTTCTCACTTTGGGCCATGGTTTCAGGCTTTCCAGCTTCAGCGTGGGGTTTTGCTGGGGACCTGCCTTTTTCTGCCTAGAATTTCTCTGCCCCCTGTCCCTATCAATTGTACACAATAAGTTAATTGCATAAGCCCTTGGCAAAAAGAAAGTAAAATCAAAACCATTTTTCTTTATCAGTGGGATGAATGAGAAAGAGCACCAGATTTGAGTCAGAGATCAAAGGGTGAATCCCATCTCCACCAGCATTTAGCTGTGGGAACTTTGGTAGCCACTTATCTCTGTGTGTTTCTGTTTTACTTGAGTAAATTCACCTGTCTTCCACATCAGATCATCTTTAATGACCTGGACTAAGTTAATGATTCTTAATTATTCAGGGGATAACCCAGTTACTACTTTATAATAGAGTAATCATAAGAGTTTCTCAGATTAATGGAACGCTATGATTCTATTTGGGAATTATTCTCAAGGCTTCAGTAAAGAGGGAAGTGAAAAGACAAATGTGCCTTTCAATAAATATTGCTATCATTACAGTAGAAAAGAGATATCTTGGAATATTGGCATAGGAAAAACTCATTTCAGCATTTTCTACTCAGATGCCATGCATAGGAGTAGACAAGAAATAATGTTTTAAAAAATAGCCAAATCTTATCCATCCCACAAGCTTTATATAGTGGTGTAAAATAAATGTTGAACTGAATGATGTCCATAACTCTACTCTTTAGCTATATTTTCAAAAAAATTATTTTTGAAGACATGACCATATGTTTGTTGAGAGTTAATAGTCAACCTCACTAATCACAGCACAAGAAACATTGCTACCTCTAAGACATCCACCCATGGAAAGAGATCCTAAATCTTCTCAAATCTTGTTCCCACTCCACTTTCCTTTAATAAGTAGCCTCTCCTCTAACCTAGGAAATGTATATGAATCCTTTGCATTCCTTTAAGGCAATTCACTAGCACTTGTTATGCTGTTGTTGCCAGCCTTATTATAGTTAATTTCCTATCAAAATAATTTGCTACCTACCTTTTAAGTTGTGAGAGCTAAATAATGTGTTCTAAGTGCTTTGGGATTGCTTTGGGATTCTGAGATGAAAGTCCCATAAAAATGTCATGTTATTATGTCCTGACCCAATAAAAATTGTCAGGAAAAAAAAATCATGCCTTTAGAGGGCACTTTGTGCCTGTGGGACTTCATAATAAATGCAAAGCTACTCCTACTCCACATCTTTTGAGGAATTCTTTAGGCCAGCCTCATATAGTGGAAAAGTTGTGCATTTCACTAATCTTTGGAATCACTTTACATCTTGCAGCCTCAGTTTCCATTTTCTTAACTGTTAAAAAAAAACGATACAACTGACCTCAGAGGGCCATTATAAAGGTGAAATAATAGTTAGCAAGTACAGAGACTGTGGCTTATAGAGCAGATTAGAATATGTAACCTCTTCACTTAAAAGCAGATCCATTAGGCAAAAATCTGAACATGTTACATATTAATCATTATTCTTTTTCTCTACATACAAGAGGACTGACTATTTATATGACAAATGTATGTGTCATAAAGTTGTTTAATATAGTTGTTGCCTTGGCATCCATTTTTAGGCCTGGTATCCACTGTTGGAAACCTGTTTATATTCCTTCACCTTTGGACTAGTTAAAACTTTTCTTGCCCCTGTTGTTGTTTGCAATATGGCCTGCTTATTCCTATCTCACTAGCCTAAAATCCCACAGCTACTGTCCATGATAAAACTCAATGATCAATGTCAGAATCATGTAGATAAGTACTCCTGTTCACAAGTGTTTTCTTTAAATTGACCAATCCACAATCCCTACAGGAAAGCCTGATGGATAATACCCATGGACTTTAATGAAGGCCTCATCCCATATGTCATCTCTGGCTCCTGCTCTCCACCCATTGGTTGTATGCCATGCTGTCTTCAGACTTCCAGTCAGCCCTCCTGAGCACACCTCTTCTCTCGTGGACCTGTGAGTGATCAAATGTTTCTTTTATTTTCTGTTTTGTTGTGTTGCCTGCTCTGTTTTGCACCTAATCAATATACCTCAACGTAACTTTCCCCCATCAAGACTCTCCTAGAAAGCGATTATCATAGCTTAAGGCTATTTCCAGAGAGATATTTCAGGACCAAATCGAGGAAAATCACAATAATACATTAAACATTCACTATTCTTATACATAATGGCTGCCCTCGGAAGCTTCTAAGCTATCCAAGAAGGAAGCTTATCCAGCTACCGTTGTGTGCCCTGCAATCAAAGTACATTGCCAACTGTTTTAGTTGATGGTTCCACACAGCAAATAAAAACAGAAACAAGCACACAAAACCTGCCCTTGCTGAGCTTACAGTTGAGTGAGGCGGACAGTCAATACTCAGGGTAAATAAGTCAATCTATCACATGTTAACTCGTGATCAGTTCTACAGGAGAAACTAAAGCCAAGAAAAAAAAATAAAAAGTGCTCAGTGTGGGTTACGGGCTGCAATTTTAGCTGCAGCAGCATGAAGTGCCTCATCCAGGAAAATGGCATTTATGTAAGTGTGTAACGGAACTGAGGCCTTTAATCATATGTCACTTTTTCAGTGAAGGGTTTTGACAGGCTGCAAGTGCCTTAAGACGCTTCCAAGAGTGTCAATCCAAGCAGAGAGCCTGACATGGGTGACATGTGTTCTTTTCACAATGCTAGGTCACATTTACTCATTTTCACCAAAAGCAGTCACAGTTCTTTCAGAATGGGTTCTCTGTGCCCATCCGGTAACCAGTACCACTGAGAGCTAATAGTGCATAAAGATCTTTGAAGAAAGTATTGATTTCCTGGCCAAATAATCTGTAACTGAAACATTTAAAACCACATGATCAGGGTGATAAGGTTGTAAACATAGGGCTCTGGGTTCATCATTTATATCATCGTGATCTTAAGATTTTCAAACACACCTGCAGATATATATAGATAGATAGATAGATATAAATATATATAGATAGATATCTGCTGCCATCTATCTATGATATATAAATAGATATTGAGATACAGATAGATATGGAGATATAGATATTTATATATAAATATCTACATACAGGTATACACGTATACACACACACACACACACACACACACACACATAATTTGCTGAGATTGAAAGCCAGAGGTTTCTGAGGACTGGTCTAATATCGACAATCTGCTCTGGTGAAATAAGCTCAAGGAACACTGCCAAAGAGCCACAGAAATAAGCACTCAGAGGCAAAGCATTAGTTCTCTCCAGTTTTTCTGTGGAAAAATTTGTGTGGCTCAGACCTCTCACCCCATATTGGACTCAACCCTGGAGGATAAAATACAAGACATGCTAGATTTTAGCCTTCCTCATTCCTTCAACAGAGCCCAGGTCTGCAGTTTGGTCAGCTGTCTCACCTAGGCCTGGAGGAATTGTGAGAAAGAACCGGTTATAAGAAATTTCCCCATAGGATTGGGTGGCCTATGCAAGCTCGAGATTCTGTACAGCATGATTGTGGTTTCTGCTACCTCTGAAGATTGCCAGAATGTTTGCAGGGATTGAAAACAGGAAATCCAATGATCCACATAAATGATATTTTCCTAATGGTAATATTCCGCACATTTAAAGGACACAACCCTAGAATTGTTCAAGGAAATGGGACCCCTCCTGGTCTTCCTTTCATGCCAATAACTCTACTATGTGAGTCCTATGTCATTTTTTTACACCCACTCAACTTGAGACATGTCCATTTATGCAACTTGGATCCTGAGACTGTGGCCTTTACTGCTTGTCCCATACTTGCAGGAACATTCCATATACAACCAGTCACTCCCATGGACCGCAAACCAGAGTTGTTCTGAAGATGTGAAAATAAATTTTACATTTTTTACAATAGCATATATCTCGGTTTTGGAATTCTGTGTTCTGCTCTACATATGGAGGGTTATAGCAGACATTGTGCAGGGTACTATGGGGAATGGTTAAAGTGGAAAGCTGTGCACCCTGCCTGTTGGAAGTTGACAATCAAGGATGCAACTAAATTCAAAATATCTAATTCTCTGATGGGAATATAAGCCATTGGATAATTTCTGAATGTCAATTTGTAAAAATGATCAAGAAAATTTAAAACTATTTTTATTCTTTAATCTACCCTTAGAAATTTGTCCTATACAAATTATCAGATAAATGGATATTCATTGCACTTTTATTCACATGATAGGAAAAAATGGGAAAAAGAAAAATATCCAATTATAGGAAATAAACTGTGGTATATCAATAAAATGAATGACTTACCCAGTCATTAAAAGTTGTATTTATTAAGAATATACAGGCTGGGTGCGGTGGCTCACACCTGTAATCCCAGCACTTTGGGAGGCTGAGGCGGGCAGATCACGAGGTCAGGAGATCAAGACCATCCTGGCTAATGCGGTAAAACCCCGTCTCTACTAAAAATACAAAAAATTAGCCAGGTGTGGCGGTGGGCACCTGTGGTCCCAGCTACTCAGGAGGCTGAGGCAGGAGAATGGCATTAACCCAGGAGGCGGAGCTTGCAGTGAGCCAAGATTGTGCCACTGTACTCCAGCCTGGGTGTCAGAGTGAGAGTCTGTCTCAAAAAAAAAAAAAAAAAAAAAGAATATACAACACCAAAAATTACTTACGTTATAAATAATGTGATGAAGTAAACATTCAGATATAACATTATACTTATATAGTAAGATTTCAAATTTGTGTCCTTAACAAAAAATGTATGTATGCACGTGTGTGTGTGTGTACTCATATTGAGAAGATGGCAGCAGATATCTCTGAATGGAGCTATCAGTGACATTTATTTGATTCTTGAGTAGAAGTGTTCTTTTTCACTCATTACAAGCAACATATTATGTAATCTTATGTCCTGTTATTTCTCAGTGAAATAAATCAGAGGTCAAATCCAGTCAGACTTCTGGTTTTATCTTTTTCTAAATAAAGGTTTTTTTGGAACAAAGCCATGCTCTTTTATTTGTATATTATGTGTAAATATTTTTGCACAGTATTGACACAGTATAGTAATAGGTCCCAAGTCTAAAATATTTACTCTATTACGCTTCGCAAAACAAACAAACAAACACACAAAAAAATTGCTAATCTCTGGTATAAATGTAAGTCAAATATAAATTAAATCTGATTCTTAAGAGGAGTTATTTTGCTCTCATAGTAGCCATTTGGCAATGTCTAGAATATTCTGGGTTGTAACAGCTGGGGGTGATGGTGCTACTGACATCTGATGGAAGGAGGCCAGGGATGCTGCTAACATGCTGTAATGCACAGCACAGCTCTCTACAACAAAGAATCGCCCAGTTCAAAATCTCAGTAGTGCTGAGTCTGAGAAACTCTGCTGCAGCTTACTAGTTAAACCCTTCTAATATTCAAGTCAGATGACCAGAGTTAGCCAGCCCAACTCTTTTAACATTCAATGAACTTTGCATCTTTGTTGGTGACAGCTCAACTTAGTTCTTGGTTCTCTCTGTGCCTTTTTAACAGATAATTTACTCATGTCTATTGTCACTATATAAAATGAGTTCTTCTATCTGGCTTGACAGAATCAAGTTGTCTAGGAATAGACAATCACTAGAAATAAAATGGCCCTACTGCAACACATATGCTTTCTTCCATACATGTGGAAAACATAGAGGAAAGAATTATGTAAAAGCTTAAAGATTCCTATATTTTAGGCCCCACCCTGTTCTGAGGGAAGTTGAAATATATATATTTCATGTATATATTTCATATACATTTTGTATATATATTTTGTGTATGTATTTCATATACATTTCATATATAGTATATATTTGTATATTCTATATATTTCATATACATATATTTCATATATACATTTCATATATATATTTCTCATACATTTAATATATTTAATATGTATTTCATGTACATTTAATATATATTTTTAATATGTTTAATATATATTTCTTACATATTTTAATATATATATTTCAGCTTTCTTCAGAACAAGATATATATATATTTTTTTGAAGGAACAAAGTGAGACTGAAGCAACCACTGGAATATCATTTCAAGTTATTTTTTAAAAGGCAATATTTTATCTGTTAAACTCAAATATCTTAATTTATTCTATACAGTTTGGTTAATGTGTTTCTTGGACTCTGTGTGCAAAGCACAGGAGAAAGTGATTATAAATACAGTTTGAGGCCAGCTATTTCTATTTCTCAGAAAAGACTCTTATTTGGGCTAATATGCATGCAACTGTCTCAGCTTCTATCACATTGAATTGCCCAATCTTTCAGGCAACTGATAGAATGCATATTTCTGAAACAACTAAAACTGAAGTGAGAACCAGTCCATTCACTCATACCCTCTACTCTGTGAGTTGAGCAGATCCTGAGACACAAAGGTTTGAGGACAGCCCCACAGCCACCAAGCTCTTAGCTCTGATCCCAAGGTAAGCCCAATCATAGAATGAACAATTCCCTATGCTCTGAAATGGGGTTTATGAAATCCAGATTCATAGCTAGTGTGAGAAGGAATGAGCTAATATATGTGTATGTTGTTTAGTTCAGTATGTGGTAAGTTGTAAGTGCTATAGTATTATTAACCATATTTTATTATTTTCCCACTTACTGATCAAAACAATTATATAAGAATAGCTATTATTTGACCTGTATTTAAAATGTGGATGCTGATACTAAGAACTTAAGTAGCTTGCCAAAGTCCATACAACTAGTAAGGGATCAGGTCAACACACCACAATTTTACTCCAAAAGGCAGGAAAGGCAAACACAATGACAGCTTGGGAATAGCTTCAGTGGCTGATTTAGGTGACAGTCTGTGATAGACCACTGATATAGTTTGCATATTTGTCTCCTTCAAATCTCACGTTGAAATGTAATCCCCAGAGTTGGAGGTTGGGCCTAGTGGGAGGTGTTAGGGTCATGGGAGCAGATTCCTCATGAATGGCTTGGTGCCAGTCCTTGAGGTAATGAGTAAGTTCTTGCTCTATTAGTCTCTGAGAGATTTGATTGTTAAAAAAGAGCGTAGCACCTCCTCCCCTCTTACTCTCTTCTTCCCTCTCCATGTGATATGTGCTCACCAGCTGCGCTTTGCCTTCCATCATGAATGGAAGCTTCCTGAAGCCCTCTACAGAAGCAGAGGCTGACATAATTCTTCTTGTACAGCTGGCAGAGCTGCGAGCCAAATAAACCTCTTTTTTAAAAATAAGTTACCCAGCCTCAGAAATGCCTTTATAGCAATGTAAATGGACTAAGACAACTGCTGGAAAAATATCAGGTACTCCCTTAATTCTTGTGTTTGACAGCTCAGCCCTTTCCCTATCCACTTCCCTCCTGCCCCAGGTGCCCCTGTCAATGACAAAATGGCAGCTTGGGCCCATGGTGGTTCCAAACTAGCCGGGCAGATTTTATGTTCTTAAAGTCTGCTTTGGGTTGAAATTATTTCACTCTACATTTCAAAGGCTTCTAAGGCCCCTATTTTCAGGTTACAAAAACAGTCCCAAAAACCAACTTGAGCCAAATCACAAGTAATTGAGCAAATTATGTTTCCTAATCACCCATCTTCCCTTGCGCCTCAGCCGACAAACCCCTTCTCTTGACACGCTCCGGAGGCCCCAGCTTTCCAGCCTCTTCTCCAGTGTCATTCTAATTGGCACTAATCACTTCACTAAAATTCAGGCATCAAAAAGGTTCCCCCAATCAGTTTATCCTTTGACCCTGGGCTCTGGCTTCTCCATCAAGTTCAGGCATTACTAATCCACCTAGTGGTTTGTCCAGACAGCTTATTTTGTCTGCACCTTTTCTTCTTCTACTAAGATTTAAAATGACGACCAGCTGCATTCACAAAGTGTCCCTTCCCCCACTCTGACCCATAAACCCGTTGTGCTGTTGCCGGAGGGCGGGATGGGGTACATGTGTAACTCTACACGGGCTTTTCGGGTCGTGTTTGGGAGAAGACCACAGCGTGTAGGGGCATTCCTTGCAGTTCCCTCCCCCACACCAGCCCTTTCTTCCTCACACCTGCAAGGTGAAAAGCCAGGCTCCCTCGCTGAGCCTTCAATTTCATCACCTTTGTTTCTGTCCTAGGGTGAAAGATCAGGCAGGTAGCAAGACTGAAGTCACAGCCAGTGCTGTCAGAAAGTGGAAAACAGCGGGCCTCAGAGGAGATGAGGCTTAAGAGGATTCCTTTTGTGTGCTGCCTGCCCAACTTAATCCACCCAAAGCCACATCATAAACAAAACATTCTCTTTCTCAGGGGAGAAAAAAATGCACTTGACATCTAAAAGATAGTTAGGACTCAGCCATTCTCCCCCTTAGCGTAGTCAGCCTGCTCACGTATCCGGGAGCATCCTTGTCTTCTCCCTTTAAACTCAGAGCAGATCCAAGTCTTTGCCAGCAGCACCAGGGTCATTTCATTTGTGCACACTATCACTATAATCCCCAACATCCTCCTTGAAAAACGATGCATAATAAAAAGGACGAAAAGATTTTGTCCTCAGAAAATTAACCCCTTGTGGTAAATAATGGTATGACTTCCGACAGCCCCCTCCCCACCCACCCCCGGCCCCGCCATATATCACAGTTCAAAGTGTTACTGTCATCTCAAGGTTTGGAAAGACTCTAATAGGATCAGGGTCTGAGTTAGAGTCCACGTGGCAGCACCAGGAGCTTAGCCGACATAACCATGGAAGCAATATTTCTGGTGGTCCTCAAAGAAGGGAAAACATTTAGCCAGATGAAATAGGTAAATGTGTGGAGAAAGGTGTTCAGGGATGGGGGGCGGTCATGAGTTACAACGGGGCAATTCCTAGAGATTATTCCTGCATGTCCTTTCCCATCTTGTCCTTCCAATCCCAGACTGAGAGAATATTGGAAAGGCAGAAGGTACTTGGACTTTAGGCTCGTAAGGACTGGATTCTCAACTTTACTCTTCATTTGTATCAATTACCAAGCTGTCCTGACAAGATTTACCTCGTCTGTAAAATGGGTATTAACAATCTCTAAACAGTGGCATTGAGGACTGCATGAGACTGTATGAGGTTTTATTTCATTTATTTCTCAAAACGACTTTAAAGGTAAGTACTTTTATAATCATCCCTGTATTACACATGTTAATAAGTGAATTATAAACATGATGAACAATGTAGCTAGCACGTTGTGGATGCAGACCTTTGCAGATGGACTACATCTCTCAAATTCCTGCTGGCCCTTCTTCCTACCTCCCAGCCTCTGAAGATTAATCAGATAAAGGGGGAGAAACAGCCTTAGCAGCACCTGGGAATCAGCATGTGTTTTGTAATGTTATGTCTCCTCCTCTTTCACATTATTATTATTATTATTATTTTGAAACAGCGTGTCACTCTGTTGCCTAGACGGGAGTGCAGTGGCGTGATCTTGGCTCACTGCAACTTCCGTCTCCCAGGTTCAAGCAATTCTTGTGCCTCAGCCACCTGAGTAGCTAGGGCTCCAGGCGTGCACCACCATGCCCAGCTAATTTCTGTATTTTTAGTAGAGACGGGGTTTTACCATGTTAGCCAGGCTGGTCTCAAACTGCTGACCTCAAGCGGTCTGCCCACCTCAGCCTGCCAAAATGTTGGGATTACAGGTGTGAGCCACTGCGCCCGGACACTCTTTCACATTATTTTTTGACGTCCCTTTCAACCCTTACTCCTATCAAGAGTCTTTCCTACATAAGCTATTATAAACAGCTATACTCTGAACTGGGATTCAATTGATCCCTGTAGAACAATATTTGTTCTGAACTCATTGTTGCCTTTCCCCCTCAAAATAGTTCTGCTTTAATAAATGTGATATGGTTTGGCTGTGTCCCCACCCAAATCTCATCTTGAACTGTAGCTCCCATAATTCCCATGTGTCATGGGAGGGACCCAGTAGGAGGTAATTGAATCATTGGGGCAAGTCTTTCCCATGCTGTCCTCACAACAGTAAATAAGTCTCAGGATATCTGATGGTTTTATAAAGGGGAATTCCCCTACACAAGTTCTCTCTTGCCTGCCACCATGTAAGACATGACTTTGTTCCTCCTTCACCTTCATTCATGATTGTGAGGCCTTCCCAGCCATGTGGAACTGTGAGTCAATTAAACCTCTTTCCTTTATAAATTGCCCAGTTTCAAGAATGTCTTTATTAGCAGTGTGAGAATGGACCAATACGAATGGGAATGGAGGAGTAGAAACATTTATCCAGAGAGCTTGGTTAAATATCTAATCTGAATTTTGATTAGGTCTATCAAATTTTTCTTGAGTGTGAACAAAATTCTAGGCATGACTCCTAAAGACAAGGAATTTACAATCCAATAGGGAGAATGAAGTATACTTAGGAAAGCACGTACACATGCACATACACTCACACAGACACACACAGACAGATATGCACAGTAAAAAAAAAAGATGGTGATCAATGATAAGTAATATGAAAAAAAGCAGAAAGAGCAAACGATAGAGAAGTTCAGACAGGGAGACAAATAGGGAGGTTTTTACTATTAACCAGGCAAAAGGTGACGTGAAAGAAGTGATGATGGAGTGAGGTGGAGTGATCTGAGAAATAATTAGAACTTGGATGCCTGGGGAAAGGAATAGAGAAAGGAAGAATGAGAGAGAGGAGTCATGGATGCCACCAGGTTCTGGTTTGGGTACTGAGATAAGGACACAATTGGAGCCACAGCTTGAGGCCAAGGTCCTAGATACAGAGAGAAGATGATGGATTCTGTTTTTGACATCTTAAGCGTGACATGAGTCTGGGACCTCATGTCGTGGATATCTGGGAGCAATTAGACATCTTAGCCTCGAGATTAGAAGGGCAGTTTGGGGTGAAGATGGGACTATGGGACCCCTCAATGAACAAAGAGAGGCTACTGGCTAAAGCTTTAGAAGTCTCACTTTTTCGCAGTCTCTAGGAAGTAACTGTCTATTTTTGTGTACAGATTGGCTCCAAGGAGTGGTTAAGTGAGGGATTGTTAAATGAAATGCTTTGCAAAATGAAAATGCCATAGGAAAGCTGGTGGATCATCCCAATGATAACAGAAGCGGGTATGCACCCCCCATGCTGGAGAGCCACTGTGCCAAGACTGTCTTTCTTTCTGCTTAAATTCGAATCCTCTGAGGCCTCCCATCATCTTGCCTCACATTCTATGAAAGGCTTTTAGCAAATATCAAAGAAATTGCCAAGTTCAGCTATGAGAATCTCATTGAATTGATAAATAGATTCTTGCTTTTTCTTCCAACTGTTCTTTCCCATAAAATACTTAGTTTTATAAGCTAATAAAGATCAAATGTTAATAATAGTGAATCCTAATATCTGTGCTTACCACGTTCTAGGGCTTTTGACATGAATTATCAGATCTAGCCCTTACAAAAACTAAATGAGGTTGAAGTATCAGCTATTGCCACTATAATGCTGTGGAACAAATCACCTCCCAGAACTCGGTGGCTTAAAAGCAGAAGCATTTATTGTCCCAGATCTGTAGGTTGACTAGGCTGTCTCTGTTGCCCTAGGCTGAGCTTCTCTGGGCTGTTCTGCTTCTCACTGTAGGTCCGGGGTCGGCTTGGGCATTTCTTCTGCACATATCTTCAAACTGCATTCCAGGCTGTAGGGATAATACGAACAGGTATCCAGAGAGAATGCTTCTCATGGTAATGGCAGAAGGAAAGAGGTAAAGAGACACTGTGATTCTTCTTAAGGTACAGGCTTAGAACTGGCACCATCTCATGTCTACCCACATGTTCTTTGCCAAAGTGAGCAACACACCCAAGCTTCTGCCCATGTGGCACAAAAGGAAAGAGTAAAGAATTGCAGTTAATCATTTAATCTACCACAACTGGGTATCTTTATTATCCTCTTTTTACAGATACAGAGTTCTGTATATATAGAGGTTAAGCTTAATGCTTTATCCTTCTGTTTATTCATTTTTCTTTTATTAAAAAAACTAATGTTCTGCATAATATTTTCAAACCTGCCAAACCAGAAATTCATGACACCATCTCTGTTTTAAAGAATCCCACAGTGTATGCTGTGGGAGAGACAAACTTGTCGACACATCATTGTGGCACAGAGCAGGGGAATCCACAACAGAAGTCTCTATGAGATGCCGGAGGAGCCCAGGGAAATGGATGACTCACTCTGCCTGGAAGAGTTGGGAAGCCTCCGTGAATGGAAGAGATGATGTCAACACTGGATCTTTAAGGAAGAAGTGGTCATTGTGCAAAAGAAGGCAGATAAATAAGTTATAAGTAGAAGGCAGAATGTGTCCCATGAGAAGGTGTCTAGACAAATGAGCATCCATGAAAGTATATTAAACAGAGGAATGGCATTCTTGCTGCAATGTAGAGCATGAATTAGAAGAAAGGCAATGGAAGAGAGAGGCAGACATCAAGCAAAACCATAATGAAGTGCAGTCTGAATGAAGACACCGACTTTAGCACAGAGGCCTGCACAAGCATGGGAAGCTGCACACATGTATACACACACGTGTATACACACACGTGTATACACACACACGGGGAAAAAGTCTCAGCATAGATATTTTTAGAAGAGAAAAAAGAACATGGAAGCAATTTCAGCCACTTTCTTTAATTGCTCACCTGATGGTCCTGTGGGATAGGATTTCAGCTAGGGTGTCACACACAGTGCAATTCATCCTGAGACGTGTGACCTTTGCCATTTCTTTTCATTTCTCAGGTGTGTGCTTTTCACTCTGCCACGGAAGCCTCCCTTATCATTGACTCTGAATTCAGACTGGAACCTCCATGACTGTGTCATGGGGTGGTCCAGCTGACTTAGGTGGCTGAAGTGTCTCCTTGAGGTGCCCCATCAGGACTCTGGGGCTTAGAACTGGTGAGTCACAGACTTCAGGTTTCAGGAGTTGCAGCACTGGACAGGAGTGAAATTAACAATATTTAATTTTCTTGCCTTGTCTGAGTGTGCTGTATGTACCAAGTGCAGTGCGAAGCATTTAATGTGCAAATGTGCATCATCCCAGACAATTCTGACAGCCTTAGAAAATAGGAAAATAGTTTCTTTTCAAAAAAAAAAAAAAAAGGTTGGCTGGCTGCGGTGTCTCATGCCTCTAATCCCAGCACTTTGGGAGGCCGAGGCAGGTGGATCATCTGAGGTCGGGAGTTCGAGACCAGCCTGACCAACACAGAGAAACCCCATCTCTACTAAAATAATAATAATAATAATAATAATAATAATAATAATAATAATAATAATAATACAAAATTAGATGGGCATGGTGGCACATGCCTATAATCCCAGCTACTCGGCGGGGCTGAGGCAGGAGAATTGCTTGAACTCAGGAGGCCAAGGTTGCGGTGAGCCGAGATTGCGCCATTGCACTCAAGCCTGGGCAACAAGAGTGAAACTCCGTCTCAAAAAAAAAAAAAAAAGTTTCAAATGTCAATTTTTTTTAAAGGAATAGCCTATGTTTATTAAGTACTCAATTGTGACTGATTCAAATGCCCAAAAAACTTTCATTAGACCAGACCCATTCCTATGGGCATGCTTTCCTTGAGGCTGAGTGTTTTGCTAAGCAGACAGGAAAGTTTAATAGAAAGTGGGGCTTGCAGACAACCAGACTTTGAAACTCGGCTCCATCACATACTTCTATGAAGTCCTGGGCACATCCCTGAACTTCTCTTAATTTCAGTTTCCTGATCTCTGAAGTAGAGATAGTTAGGATTACCTTTCAAGTTATTGTCACTAAATGAAATGACTTAGGAAAAATGTTATCTGATTCAAGCAGCACAACTGGATTTGAGGATTTGGGTACATTGAGATTTATTCATGGAGATCTCTTTGGAAAACCTTGGGAAGAGGAAGAGCAGCAGGGTAGGGAAGGGGATGGAGAGATGCAAGAATGTGGGGTCGGGTTAAGTCTAGCTCACTAGGGGATTCAGTCCTGTCTTGAAATAAGGGAGTGAGACTTTTGTGCCCCTGCCCCAACCAGTCAAAACTATTGTATGGCAGGGGAGAAGGAACCTTAGCTTAACATCCTCTGGGCAATGTGGCTTCAATCACTGGACAATCTCCTGGAGAAAACTGCAGATGTGAGCCATTAGCAGAAGCACCTGCAGGACTTGGAGCACGATAACCAAACTAGTTAAGAGGACCTTGGTGTATCTGTAGGGCACCAACAGCAACTGTTGCAGTTCACCCCTGGCACCATTCAGATCTATGTGGTCTCATGTTAATTCATTGCTTCATGCTGCAGTGACTGGAGGAATTTAGTTAGTCACCATACTGGATGACCTCTTTCCCCACAGTAAAGTGTAGAGGAGAAAAAGAGTATAGCATAGCAGAATGGTGTGATACTGTGATTGTGAAGATCAATGCCTCTGGATTCAGACACCTAGGCTCAAACCTTGATTTTCCTTCTCACCTGCTCTGTGACCTTGTACAACCTCCTAAACTGACATTCTACCTCCTCATTCATGCAGGGAAGACCATAGTAAGTTGAATAGTGACTCCCCAAAATAAGTGCCACCTGGAATCTCAGAATGTCACCTTATTTTGAATAAGGATCTTTTTAGATGTAATTAATATAAAGATATCCAGATAAGATCATTCTGTATTGGCGTGACCATAAATCTCATGACTATCCTTTAAGTCACAGAAAAGGAGAAGACACAGAGACACATGGAGGGAAAGGCCACGTTAACACAGGCAAAGACTGAGGTGCAGTCACAAACCAAGAAATGCCAACAATTGCTAGGCAGTCACCAGAGGGAAGGAGAGACTCATACAACGGATCCTTCCTCGAGACTCCAGAAGGAACTGACACACACTGCTGACATCTTGATTTTGAACTTCCGGCTTCCACAACTGTGAAAAAATAAATTTCTGTTGTTGTAAGCCACCCAGTTTGGGGCAATTGATTAAGACACCCCTAGGAAACTAATATCATAACCATGTAAGACTGTTATGTGGATCAAATTAATTAATGCAAGTAAAGGGCCTAGGACACAAGCTGGTACATAGTAGGAATTTTTAAAGTGTCTGTACTTATTGTAATTGTTAGAATTATATAAACACCAATGCACACAGGGGCTGTTGAATATTATTTGTTGTTGACTGCGTCTGTTGTTGTACAAGCACAGTGAAAGTCTCAATTTGGGAACCCATACACAATTCCAGTCAGGTTAAGAGTGGCTCACATAGAATTGCAGGAACAAAAATCTTACTAAGTTTCACAGTACGTTATGCATAGTCCTTTGCTCTTAGCCACTGCTCAATAAGTGTGGAACCTAAAAATATAATTCAAAATGTTACCTGTTTGTTTAAATTCAACTGTTTGAACACAGATGCAAGGTTCTTGAGGGTCTAGGATGTCTCTGTGGATATTTCCTGAAATCAAGTAAATTTAAATAGCTCACCTTACCCTTCCCAAAAATGAAAAGTCTGCATTTAGCGCATGCATGGGCAATGCCAAAGAAAAATACATGTTAATAAGCCAATATTTCTATAGGTCCGTATTCTACATTTTGCACAATGGATTCCTCTGGAGATGAGGGCCCAAAGCAGGAAAGCTTTTCTGAAAAAGTTCAAGGGAAGAAAAGGTTTCTCTAGGACACAACTCCTGCCTTTTTTAAATCTGCCAAACAGCAGTGGCCTTACCCTCTTTCCAAAGTGCTAGAGATTATTTAGGTAAACTCAGTTATTGGCAGTAATGAGGGTTTCAATTCAAAACCCTCTTTTGGGTAAAGTGATTCAGAGTGAGAAGTGTTATGTTTGATTTTTTTCTCACTGTGAAATCCAGATTTTGCAAGGCTATAATGTTCCATTTTCAGGAAGGCTGGCAGGGCCAACGTTTAAGTCTGGTTCAACCATGCTTAATGCTATATCCTGTCATTTTAAAGCCCCCTCCCATTTCTTTCTTTACTCACCTTTCTTCCCTTACACTTTGCCATTTAAGATAAACTGAAAGATAATTATGACCCTGGTTTTTAGAGTCT
The DNA here is from genome assembly GCF_000001405.40 of Homo sapiens. Taxonomy (NCBI): domain Eukaryota; kingdom Metazoa; phylum Chordata; class Mammalia; order Primates; family Hominidae; genus Homo; species Homo sapiens. The sequence continues at coordinate 12,893,090 of NC_000004.12, forward strand.
CTTAATTCTGTTGTTTTAGACACATCCGAAGGCACTGAAGCATTTTTATTTTATTTTAACTTGTGCTTACCAAACCTGTATCATGCACTCCATTGGGCAGTGGGCTCCTTTGGGCTCTTTCCAGAAAATTAAAACCATAAATTAAATATAAATGGTCAAAGCCACAGAACAAGCAAGGCCTTCTTAGTGTCCACAGAGAGGAGTTCTATTACCACCACTCGCTTTGGAGAAGAGGGAGGTTACCTGTAATTCTTGTTCTCTTGAAGGTGTATATTTTATAATAGGTCTCCATTCACCACCCTGCCTTCCCCAAGGAGTTCTTAGCTGCTTGATTTTCTTGGCTAGAGAAGAACTGGCAGTTAGGGGTTAGCAAATTCTTAGGACCCCTGGGGTAGATACATTGCAGTTCTAGCAAGAGTTCATACTCTCTTAAACTGTGTTTCTGGATTTTAATTTTGCCTCAAGCTGTATGTTAAGAGAAGCTCTCTCTGATGAAAATAACTCTGCACTTAGGGAGAAATGCTTCCCTCAAGATACCATGTCTTTATTAACAGAAATTTTCCCCTCACCTTGTTTATTTACATTTATTTATTTATTTATTTATTTATTTATTTATTTATTTTGAGACAGAGTCTTGCTCTCTCTCCCAGGTTAGAATGCAGTGGCACAATCTTTGCTCACTAAAACCTCCACCTCCTGGGTTCAAGCAATTCTCCTCCCTCTGCCTCCCTGGTAGCTGGGATTACAGGCATGCATCATCATGCCCAGCTAATTTTTGTAATTTTAGTAGAGATGAGGTTTTGCCATGTTGGCCAGGCTAGTCTCGAACTCCTGACCTCAGGTGATCTGCCTGCTTCAGCCTCCCAAAGTGCTAGGATTACAGGCATGAGCCAGCGCGCCCAGCCATCCTATCCTTTTAAAATAATAGCAATAAGACATGAAGGAAACTCAAACATTTTTTAAGACCCCAGGATTCCCCAAACTTCTATTCCCTTGAGCCCAAACCATGCAGATTAATATACATGGGGACACATTTCAGTCTCTCTCCCTTACCAAAATTAACAACCTTTTGAAGCAAAAGTGTCAACTCATTTTGGCTCACCTGGCATCTCCTATTGATGGATAGTGGCTGCCTGCTTAGGAGAGTGGAGGCCAGATGCAGACTCAGCAGGAAGCAGTGTGGTGATTGATTAATGATGTCTGCTGCAGTGGAGGACAAGGGAGTGGCAGCATTTGTGCTGTGTATTTGCCATTCCTGGTAAGGACTGTGTGTTATTCATCTCTGTGTCCCTGTGCCTAGCATGGTGCCTGGCACAGAGCGGGTGCTCCATAAATATTTGTTGAACTGAATTGAACTAAACTTTCCAACCAACTCCCTCTTTATAAACACCGCAATGGTTTTCTCTGAGTCAGAAGGTATGGTGGTAGTTCATCTCTTGGTAGAAAGCAGTGATAGTAAGAAATTCTCCAAGGGTTGAATTGTTATGGGGACAGTAGGTTCAATTACCTCAGAAACTGTTCAGTTACTCTGCCATGGACCCAATGTCTATTAAACGAGCCTTTCATTACCATCAGCTCTTTGCTGTTGTCCTACTACCTCCCCGCAAATAACTAAATCATGTCTCCATGTGCCTAGCTGCTGGCTGACGTCCTGCTGTGACACATCTCTCAGTGCCCTAACACAGATCTGCCTCACAACATTAACCACTGACAACCATGTATCTTTTGCTTATATGATCTATGCATTGGGTTATACCCATACACTCACCGCCCTACCTCTGAGCATGGGAGAGCCTTTGGATCTTGTGCTTCAGACAAACTTCTGCTTTGCGGTAGCACCCAGTTTCTGAGTCTACTCAACACCACTTTGTTCTCCTACCTTTTCCCACCCTCATTCCCCTTCATCATCATGCATCAGTGACTTATTATTTTATGTATTCAATATCCCTGTAATGACCAAAGTTTCATGATATTCTATGCCACAGTGAGGTGAGTTGGATATTTGGAGTTGAGTAGTCCTGGTTTAAGCCTTATCTTTACTATTTAGTATCTCTCTGCTCCAACACAAGTTGTTAACCTATTGTGTGGCTTGCTTTTTATGTGTATTTTTGAATTAAAACATAAATGCAGATAACAATAGCACCTACTTTAAAGTATTGCTGGGAGAATTAATGAATGCATTATGCCTTGAATCTAGTAGAAATTGAATGAATAATAGCAATTATTAGTATCTTGTCCCAGGGTCTACACTGCATTAGAATTAAGAAAATAGATATGCCCTAAAGAGTCATACAAAAAACATAGGATCAGACTCCAGCTCATAATAACAAAACCATCGGAGGCTCTTTGAGATCATATTTATGAAACAGCAATGATTCAGCAAAGGTAATCAAATCCTCCAGCAGAAAAATCAATTGAAAACTACTCACTAATGGAGGGGAAAAGAGTAACCAAAGGGAGATTTGAAGAAGATTGCATACTCTTAATTTCTATTACTCTTTATCATTTTCATTATCTTACTTGCTCCTCACCACCATGTTCCCATTTTTACATATGAGGGTATTAAAGCTGGAAGGTGTTAATCAGCTTGCCCATGGCCAGACCCCCAATAAGTTGTGCACCTCAACCCAGGTCTTCTGCCCAGCTCTCGTTCCTCACCAGGTTGTCTCTTTACAGAAATATCTGAAAGGAATGAACAGGACCCTCACCAAGTAGGCTAATAAAAGCTTGGAAGGATGGAGCTTGTTGTTCTCACTCTGGAGACCTTCTCTAGTGCTGAGTACAGGACTCTGAGGATTTCCGTGCCATAACTTCTTCCCTTTCTGTACAGAGATCCTGGCTAGTGGGCCTTTTCCAGAGGCCCTCGACAACTGAGGGGGCCATGGTGTCATTGCGTCATCAGGCCACAGCCAGGCTCAGAGTGTCTGCCTCTGCAGAAACACTCCTGAACAAGCATCAGGAGAATGCCTTTCCCCAGTCTAGTGTAGAGTGTGATGGAAGAAAAATAGCAAATATGCCCATGATGAGGATGCAAACTTCAGCTGGGCCTGTTAGAACAACACCAACCTTTTTCTAAGGTACCCAAAGTCCAAAGCTTGTGTTTTCAGTTGCTCCTCAGAAATGTGTTTGAATAGAAATCGTTCTGAGGGCAGGCCTTCCCATGAAGGAGAGATTACTTGCCAGCTCTTTTTCATGAGCCGATTATCCTGTCCTTCCTTAAAGAGTTTCCACACCAAGGATGTGACATTTGCCTTGCCTCTCATGGTTTCAAATCAAAGATTGAAGAACAGAGATTCACTGGTTGTCATGTAACAAAACCAGGCTCAAATTAGCTGCACGTCACTGGGGAGTGATGAGAGTAATGGAAAAATATTAAAAAATATCTCATGGAAAATAAGAGCAGAGAATGTGGCTGGGTACCATAAGTCACTGAGGTCAATAAAATGACAATTTTTAGGGTTGAGAACCACGTTCTTTCCATCTACCTCAGCTTCATAGTTTTGTGTTAGTGGTTTTTTGGTTGTGTTTTGTTTTATCTGTGCTTCTTGATCCATTCACCTTTTCTTGTGTGTAGCTTTCACATAACTATGAAGCAGGTGACCCTAAACATCCCACCAGTTAAGGCATTCAACAGAGATTGGATAGAGCAACTGTAGCCAACTAATACTTATGGAAGGAATAAACTGATTGATCCAGTGTTACTTCTACTGAACCAAGTGTTTTTATCTGTAGGGAATGAGAGTCAAAGAGTGAAAACATTGTTGCAGGAATCACTCTGGGGAATGAGAGGCAGAGGTTTTCAAAGCAGGGTCACAGACTAGTAGACATCCCAAGATGTCTATCTGGAGCATCATATAACTTTAGAACAGAAAGAGGCTTCTCAAGAGCATTATCAGGAGCACTGATAATATCCCAAAAACTTACAGTGTCCTTGCAAAGTAAGTGTCTCTTCCCCAGAGGGAAGAGGGTAAGAAGAGTAAGACTTGGAGAGGTTAATTTACTCAAGATTATGCCTTCTGCAGCAGAAGTCATCAGTAGCAAAACCCATCTTTTCTTCTGCCAGACGTCCTCACAGAGAAATCTGTTACCTAAATGGATTTACCACTGCCCAGGTTCTAGCCCTCAACCTGCAGGCCCAGAAACCTGATATACCAACACAGAGAACACATCCATGTCTTTCAGTAGACACATACAAGTTCACAGGGATCCATGAAACACAAGATGCCTATCTACTCATCTACAAAGAGATGCTCTACCACAATTTATACCACAAACTCGCAATCTCCAAGTGGCCTAAATTGCATGTTACCTTCTTACAAGAAGACTGACTTGGGAAGAGATTTCCAAGTACATGGAATTAGAATAGGGGTATTTCCTATATAACTCAGATGTTTCATCTTACATAACAGTAGTACCCTGATGTGACCATCTGTATAATCAAAATGGACCTACTCCTAGATCTTGGTACTTGGTATCTCAAGACCCAGACATCCTCTATTCAGTGCAGCTCTTGGATGCGCATTGCCAATGTGTGTCTCTATGACTCTCCTTCTCCTTAGCTTCTGCTCAGCAAGCCCATTTCTGATTGGCATATCTTTTCTTGTAGGTTAACCCATTTAGTTACTGCTTGCTCCTGCCTGGAAACAAATTTATCTTTTCAAAATAATTTTTCCTATGTCTTCTCTCATCCAGCCTGTTTTGCGATTAAACTCTCTAAGGGAAACCTAGAGTTTGGGGTCTGCTTCATCCTTGCCCCTGTACCTACCACCCATAACCAGATCTGCATATTTAAAATGCAACTGGACATTAAAGCCATTACAGAAGCTTTCCAAATGGGCAAATATTTGCCTCAATTATTCTATTTACAATTCCAAAAATATTTCTTCTGTTGAAGTCTGTGTACAAGAAGTGGCTCCAAAACCATTTTTAAGGGAGTTTTGACATCAATGAAACGTTATGCTGGCAGGGAGAGTGAAGTGCTTGATTAATAAAGAGTCTCAGTGTTTTCAAACACATATTCCAAGCAGCCTCATTTGAAGAAAACCACAAACGGAGAATGCTTTGCTGCTCACAGTCACAAGGGGGTTGTGTATTTCATTCCCGCTTACACAGTCCGCTTACTTTGGAGCTTGGGTAGGAAAGAAACATGGCCAGCCAGCAGAAATAAGGCTACATTCAGTGACCCTACCCTTCCACCCATTGGCCTGATGGGAGAACTTTTTTACCCCTTAATGCTACTGTTTTCTTAGTTTTTAACCTTTTAATACTTAATAATTCTCTAAAAGACCATCCTGAGAGGAAAGAAGGGGACACCTTACGACTTCATTGTGTTAGCAATTGAGGATTCTGAGATTCCTAATTTCAGAATTTCCAGTCAGTGGTGTTGGCATGTCATACAGAAACGTAATTGAGCATGTTCATGTTAATTACTTTGAAGTGCTTTCCTCTTTTCCAGTGCTTTACAAAAACACAGCAACTTAAATTGGGTCATTATTTCATGTGTCTAAGATCCTACTCGGCTTCTTAAGGGAGCCATGGAAATGCAGTCAGAAGAATTAATTTAAAATGGTTCCAATATTTCCCCATAAAGGAAAAATGTAAATAAAAAAATATATTGGCAATGTAATTACTAGAAATGGGACTTATAATAATGATGATAATAAACAAAACACCATCTTTAAATTCCCCTTTCAATTCACTAATATATTTTGGGTGCCAGCAATGTCTAGACATCTCCAGTTTTATTTACCTTGCATCTTGTTTAATTCTCTCAACAATCCCACAAAATATGGAATCATCATGCCTCTGAGGCACAGAGAGGTTAATGACTTATCTGAAGTCACGCAGCTAATTCACGGGAGAACAGATCTGTGGATAAAAATCTTCTAAATCCTTGACCAAAGCTGCTTCTTTTAGTGCCCCATGTTTATCAGGAGCAAGAAATAACTTGTTAAATTATTATTATTATTATGATTTTGCAGGAAAATGAGATGAATGGGTACACAAATCTGGCTACCATACTTGTTTTCTCCATAAGTTTTAATCTACTTCTACTACATATTCATGGGTCCTTTGTCCAGTCAAATCCTTAACTAATTAATTTACAAAACTTCCCTGGTGCTTTGTGTTTCATCTATTCTATTCATTCCTTCATCATACACACACACAAACACATACACACACACACACAAACACACATGTACATACAGTCGGCCCTCCATATTTTTTGGTCCCACATCAATAGATTAAACCAACTGAGGATCAAAAATGTTTGGATAAAAACATTCTACCAAGTTCCAAAAAGTAAAAGTTGAATTTGCCATGCACCAAGACCTATGTTGAATCCATGCTAATGAAGTGATGTGTAGACATTGCATTAGTTATTATAAGTAATCTATACAGAAGATTTAAAGTATATAAGAAGGTGTGTGTAGTTTATATGCACATACTCCATTTAACATAAGAGATTGACCATTCACAGATTTTGGTATCTCCAGGGGGTCCTGGAACCAATCCTCCATGGATACCAAGGAACGACTATGTGTGTGTGTATGTGTGTGTGTGTGTGTATATATGTGTGTATGTGCGTGTGTGTATAGGTATATATATGTGTATATGTGTGTGTGTGTGTGTATATATATATGTACTTGGAATCAGCAACCTATGTGTATATACATAGTTGCTTGGAATCAGCAAGCTCCATGTATACAAACAAACACACACATACACGCTTATAATTCGGGGGCAGTCTACTCATCTATTTGGGAGACCGACCTCTCCCACTATTAATTCTCCTAGTTAGTCCTCCCCACTTCAGTGTTGCACATGTGCACCAGGCCTGGCCAGTGTGCATATATCCATTTCCCTGGCCACAGCGTAATAACCTGACCAATGCAGAGCCAAAATCTTCCCTGAGAATTTTGTGCAATGATCTGGAAAGGACGTGGTTGTAACCTCTGAGATTACACAGAAATGATGGAACGAGAAAGCCTGAAACTGCCAGAGCCATTTTTAATACAACAAAAAGATCGCCTGCCTGAGATTGAAAACAACACAATGGAAAGTGGACACAACAGATAAAGAGAAAAGAGTTTTCCCACAGATAGCTTTAACCCTTAAATAGCTTTGAGTCACATGAGCTAGTTCATTTTTTTGAGTAAGTTGGCAGATTTGTGTTTTTTAAAACCCAAAGAATCATGAATAAATGCATCTTTCTTCTGTGTTTACATCTCTAACCCACAGAACCACAGGACATTGAAATATGCCTCAAGAATTCTCCCATAATCTTGGTTCTTGACCACCTGTAGCTCCACTCATCACAACCAGACTCAGTTTTACTTTCCTGGCTTCTGATCTCCTCAGCTGCATTTAAGGATGATATTCAGTCTCCAATTTCTTGGCTCTATTCTTAGTGTTTCTTTCTGACTATGACTTTGACTTTATCTTTAGTTTTGTTTATTTCAAGCAACCTATCTGGTTTAGTGCTTCAACCCCAAATTCTGGAGCCTCCTACTCAACCCTATCACCCTCCTCTACCTGCCTTTTTATTTGTGATCTTCCCAATCTCATTAAATATATACAAATTTGACACTCCCTTAATTCTGTACATTTTCAAATATCTTGTCAAATATTCTTTCTCCTTTATGTCTAAATAACTCTATGCAAAAAATTTTGTACACCTTGAAGAAATGTATGCTTTCCCTGAAAAAAATATAAATGAACAAAACTTACACATGAAAATTTAGAAAGCCTAAAGTGCTCAATAACTATGGAATTTGTTGAAAGGCAAAAATAAATTACTTCCCCAAAGACTCTAATTTCACATAATTTTATGACTACACTGTTTCAAGTTAAAGTTATAGATTATTTATACATCATTTAAACTGGTTCAGAGAATACAAAGAGGAACACCTCTAAATTCCAGAAGATATATAAGTATAACCATGATGTAGAAACCTAACAAAGTGAGCCTATAATAAAAGAATTAAAAAGTTAAACTACAGATACTGTCACTTATGAGTTGTGATCCCAACATCCTCTATAAAATTCTAGCATATTTAGCACACAGTATGGTAAAATAATACACTACTATCAGGTATATATTTAACAATAGTTCATGACCCAGAAAACAAACTTTTAGTAAACAAGGAATAGAATAAATTTTCCTTAATATAATTTACTCTAACCAAATATTTCCCTTAAAATCAAACAGGAGATAAATCATAATACCTTCATTAGTATGTGCATTTGCTCTTAATGTTCTTCACTAGGAGAGCTTAAGTGATTTTCACAGGGTTACTCAATAGGCAGGTGAAAGAGTTGATATCCCACAGAGCAAGCTCTGGCTCTGAAGCCTGAAATTTCTGTATTATTCTTAGCCCTCAGAGGTGGATATCCTCAGTTTTTTCTTAGTCAGCATCCTTCCCATTTTCTGGCAAGATTTTTTTGGGAAATTATCTCTCACCTGTCAGATAGAATCTTGATGGCCTAACAATCAAGCCATCCCGCCCTCTGGCCAGGGAGTAGGCATACAACCAATAAATGGGACTTCCTTTCCCTTCCCTTCTCTTGTTTCTTTCTTTCTTTCTTTCTGTCTCTCTCTCTCTCTCTTTTTCTTCCCCTATTCTGTGGAACTTCAATCTTTAGACTAAGTAGACTAAATGATTCAATCTGATTTATCCTGAAGGGTAAAGTCTTAGTAGACTATCCTTTAATTCCTAGAGTTTTCTCATTTCTTTCCTTTTTGGAGGCCTCATTTTAATGTCCTTTCAATCTTTGAGTGACTTCCAAATCCTTCCTTAAAAATCATTTAAAAAAGACATTTTGTTAAAGTGAGCCAGTGTATGTTTCTATCACTTGTAAATAACCCTAGCCAGTATGTCTGTACCTCAGTCAAGTAAGCTAGAACTCTGAATTCAAGTACCTTTTCTTAGCCAACACTATCCATCAGTTCATGCAGTCTGTGGATTTTACTTACACAATATGTTTGGTCTTCTTTTCTTTCCTTTCCCTTTCTGCTACTGCCCTAGTTTAAGTTATCATTACCTCCTGCCTGAACATTGGCCTCCTACCCTTTTCTCTTGCCTGTAGTCTCTTTCTCTCTTATCCATTCCACCAATTGTCAGATTATTGGTGCACTAAGAATATTCTTGATGATGTGACTACTCTGTCCCGAATTTGTATTTCAAACACAATTAAATCTGAAATCCAAAAGACAATCTGACAATCCTGAGCCTATACCTCTAACCTTAACCCTCTCTTCTTTTATTTTTTTCACTGTGCTCTAGTCAAATGAATAATCTGTTGTTTTCTTCAAGACACTATGCATTCTTGTCTTTGAGCCTAACCAAAATGCTTTTTGCCATATCTTACAATCCTCATGCAGCCAAATATTACTTATATTTAGAGGTCACACATAATTACCATTTCCCCCTGAAACCTACCCCAAAAGCTGAATATCTCATCTGCTTCATCTGCATTCTCTAAAGCTTCATCTCCACCTATCTTGTCAGCTTTAGATAGCACTTCCTACTCCTATTTTATGTAAACAAGAACATATTTCCTTTTCCCACAGCAAGACCATGACATGTTTTTCAGGACAACTGGAATAAAAAAAAACTGGGTAATTACACAGGAATGGAAGGCTATATCCACACCAAGATATTCCCTAAACTCAGCCCATTGAACCCAGGAAGATAGATGGGGTGTGGTCACTGAGACTATTTCTGAGAAGGCCCTGTATGTATGAAGACTTCTTTGAGCTTGTAACTCCATTTGTGAATTGTGTGGTCACAGCCTGGTGACCAATGTGGTCAGCTGAAAGTACACCCGTGGCCACACACATGTATGATGGACTGCCAAGGATGAGTGACAGCAGCACCATTGTTGAAAGAAGCTGAATAAAAAATGTACGTCATTCTTGAAACTTACACTTCTAAGCCTTCTTTGTTTGCTTTGTGGATGACATACCTCAAGCCTCCAAAAAGCCCTAATACCAAAGTGCATAGAGCAGAGTAGTCTAGACCTAGGGAGAACTCAGGTTTTAAAATCAGACAAACTCCAATTTAACTTCTAGTAGACCATGTATTAGTTATGCAGATTATCAATCTTTTCCTTTAACTATAAAGTGGGTATCAAAATACTGACCAAGAAGTTCATTTTAAAAATCAAACAAGATTATGCATATCTAATGTCTACCACAGTGTTGAGCAATTTAATGTGCTTATGCTAATAATTGTCTTAACACCGTAGATATTTTTATCTAAACTTAAAAAAAAATACTATGAAATGAAGATAACTTCAAAAATAGTTACTTTTTTTTTTTTTTTAAGAAATTGATCAGGGAGCCAAGATGGCCGAATAGGAACAGCTGCCGTCTACAGCTCCCAGCGTGAGCGACGCAGAAGACGGGTGATTTCTGCATTTCCATCTGAGGCACTGGGTTCATCTCACTAGGGAGTGCCAGACAGTGGGCGCAGGTCAGTGGGTGCATGCACAGTGCGCGAGCTGAAGCAGGGCAAGGCATTGCCTCACTCGGGAAGTGCAAGGGGTCAGGGAGCTCCCTTTCCTAGTCAAAGAAAGGGGTGACAGACGGCACCTGGAAAATTGGGTCACTCCCACCCGAATACTGCGCTTTTCCAACGGGCTGAAAAAACGGCGCACCACGAGATTATATCCTGCACCTGGCTTGGAGGGTCCTACGCCCACGGAGTCTTGCTGATTGCTAGCACAGCAGTCTGAGATCAAACTGCAGGGCGGCAGCGAGGCTGGGAGAGGGGCGCCCGCCATTGCCCAGGCTTGCTTGGGTAAACAAAGCAGCCAGGAAGCTCGAACTGGGTGGAGCCCACCACAGCTCAAGGAGGCCTGCGTGCCTCTGTAGGCTCCACCTCTGGGGGCAGGGCACAGACAAACAAAAAGACAGCAGTAACCTGCAGACTTAAATGTCCCTGTCTGACAGCTTTGAAGAGAGCAGTGGTTCTCCCAGCACGCAGCTGGAGATCTGAGAACGGGCAGACTGCCTCCTCAAGTGGGTCCCTGTCCCCTGACCCCCGAGCAGCCTAACTGGGAGGCACCCCCCAGCAGGGGCAGACTGACACCTCACACGGCTGGGTACTCCAACAGACCTGCAGCTGAGGGTCCTGTCTGTTAGAAGGAAAACTAACAAACAGAAAGGACATCCACACCAAAAACCCATCTGTACATCACCATCATCAAAGACCAAAAGTAGATAAAACCACAAAGATGGGGAAAAAACAGAGCAGAAAAACTGGAAACTCTAAAAAGCAGAGCACCTCTCCTCCTCCAAAGGAACGCAGTTCCTCACCAGCAACGGAACAAAGCTGGACAGAGAATGACTTTGACGAGCTGAGAGAAGAAGGCTTCAGATGATCAAATGACTCTGAGCTACGGGAGGACATTGAAACCAAAGGCAAAGAAGTTGAAAACTTTGAAAAAAAATTTAGAAGAATGTATAACTAGAATAACCAATACAGAGAAGTGCTTAAAGGAGCTGATGGAGCTGAAAACCAAGGCTCGAGAACTACGTGAAGAATGCAGAAGCCTCAGGAGCCAATGCAATCAACTGGAAGAAAGGGTATCAGTGATGGAAGATGAAATGAATGAAATGAAGCGAGAAGGGAAGTTTAGAGAAAAAAGAATAAAACGAAACGAGCAAAGCCTACAAGAAATATGGGACTATGTGAAAAGACCAAATCTATGTCTGACTGGTGTACCTGAAAGTGACAGGGAGAATGGAACCAAGTTGGAAAACACTCTGCAGGATATTATCCAGGAGAACTTCCCCAATCTAGCAAGGCAGGCCAACATTCAGATTCAGGAAATACAGAGAACGCCACAAAGATACTCCTCGAGAAGAGCAACTCCAAAACACATAATTGTCAGATTCGTCAAAGTTGAAATGAAGGAAAAAATGTTAAGGGCAGCCAGAGAGAAAAGTCGGGTTACCCTCAAAGGGAAGCCCGTCAGACTAACAGCGGATCTCTCAGCAGAAACTCTACAGGCCAGAAGAGAGTGGAGGCCAATATTCAACATTCTTAAAGAAAAGGATTTTGAACCCAGAATTTCATATCCAGCCAAACTAAGCTTCATAAGTGAAGGAGAAATAAACTACTTTACAGACAAGCAAATGCTGAGAGATTTTGTCACCACCAGGCCTGCCCTAAAAGAGCTCCTGAAGGAAGTGCTAAACATGGAAAGGAACAACCGATACCAGCCACTGCAAAATCATACCAAAATGTAAAGACCATCGAGACTAGGAAGAAACTGCATCAACTAACGAGCAAAATAAGCAGCTAACATCATAACGACACGATCAAATTCACATATAACAATATTAACTTTAAATGTAAATGGACTCAATGCTCCAATTAAAAGACACAGACTGGCAAATTGGATAAAGAGTCAAGACCCATCAGTGTGCTGTATTCAGGAAACCCATCTCATGTGCAGAGACACACATAGGCTCAAAATAAAAGGATGGAGGAAGATCTACCAAACAAATGGAAAACAAAAAAAGGCAGGGGTTGCAATCCTAGTCTCTGATAAAACAGACTTTAAATCAACAAAGATCAAAAGAGACAAAGAAGGCCATTACATAATGGTAAAGGGATCACTTCAACAAAAAGAGCTAACTATCCTAAATATACATGCACCCAATACAGGAGCACCCAGATTCATAAAGCAAGTCCTGAGTGACCTACAAAGAGACTTAGACTCCCACACATTAATAATGGGAGACTTTAACACCCCACTGTCAACATCAGACAGATCAATGAGACAGAAAGTCAACAAGGATACCCAGGAATTGAACTCAGCTCTGCACCAAGCAGACCTAATAGACATCTACAGAACTCTCCACCCCAAATCAACAGAATATACATTTTCTTCAGCACCACACCACACCTATTCCAAAATTGACCACATACTTGGAAGTAAAGCAGTCCTCAGCAAATGCAAAAGAACAGAAATTATAACAAACTATCTCTCAGACCACAGTGCAATCAAACTAGAACTCAGGATTAAGAATCTCACTCAAAACCGCTCAACTACATGGAAACTGAACAACCTGCTCCTGAATGACTACTGGGTACATAACGAAATGAAGGCAGAAATAAAGATGTTCTTTGAAACCAACGAGAACAAAGACACAACATACCAGGATCTCTGGGACACATTCAAAGCAGTGTGTAGAGGGAAATTTATAGCACTAAATGCCCACAAGAGAAAGCAGGAAAGATCCAAAATTGACACCCTAACATCACAATTAAAAGAACTAGAAAAGCAAGAGCAAACACATTCAAAAGCTAGCAGAAGGCAAGAAATAACTAAAATCAGAGCAGAACTGAAGGAAATAGAGACACAAAAAACCCTTCAAAAAATTAATGAATCCAGGAGCTGGCTTTCTGAAAGGACCAACAAAATTGATAGACCACTAGCAAGACTAATAAAGAAAAAAAGAGAGAAGAATCAAATAGACGCAATAAAACATGATAAAGGGGATATCACCACCGATCCCACAGAAATACAAACTACCATCAGAGAATACTACAAACACCTCTACGCAAATAAACTAGAAAATCTAGAAGAAATGGATAAATTCCTTGACACATACACCCTCCCAAGACTAAACCAGGAAGAAGTTGAATCTCTGAATAGGCCAATAACAGGAGCTGAAATTGTGGCAATAATCAATAGCTTACCAACCAAAAAGAGTCCAGGACCAGATGGATTCACAGCTGAATTCTACCAGAGGTACAAGGAGGAACCGGTACCATTCCTTCTGAAACTATTCCAATCAATAGAAAAAGAAGGAATCCTCCCTAACTCATTTTATGAGGCCAGCATCCACCTGATACCAAAGCCTGGCAGAGACACAACCAAAAAAGAGAATTTTAGACCAATATCCTTGATGAACATTGATGCAAAAATCCTCAATAAAATACTGGCAAACCGAATCCAGCAGCACATCAAAAAGCTTATCCACCATGATCAAGTGGGCTTCATCCCTGGGATGCAAGGCTGGTTCAATATACACAAATCAATAAATGTAATCCAGCATATAAACAGAACCAAAGACAAAAACCACATGATTATCTCAATAGATGCACAAGAGGCCTTTGACAAAATTCAACAACCCTTCATGCTAAAAACTCTCAATAAATTAGGTATTGATGGGATGTATTTCAAAATAATAAGAGCTATCTATGACAAACCCACAGCCAATATCATACTGAATGGGCAAAAACTGGAAGCATTCCCTTTGAAAACTGGCACAAGACAGGGATGCCCTCTCTCACCACTCCTATTCAACATAGTGTTGGAAGTTCTGGCCAGGGCAATTAGGCAGGAGAAGGAAATAAAGGGTATTCAATTAGGAAAAGAGGAAGTCAAATTGTCCCAGTTTGCAGACGACATGATTGTATATCTAGAAAACCCCATCGTCTCAGCCCAAAATCTCCTTAAGCTGATAAGCAACTTCAGCAAAGTCTCAGGATACAAAATCAATGTACAAAAATCACAAGCATTCTTATACACCAACAACAGACAAACAGAGAGCCAAATCATGAGTGAACTCCCATTCACAATTGCTTCAAAGAGAATAAAATACCTAGGAATCCAACTTACAAGGGATGTGAAGGACCTCTTCAAGGAGAACTACAAACCACTGCTCAAGGAAATAAAAGAGGATACAAACAAATGGAAGAACATTCCATGCTCATGGGTAGGAAGAATCAATATCGTGAAAATGGCCATACTGCCCAAGGTAATTTACAGATTCAATGCCATCCCCATCAAGCTACCAATGACTTTCTTCACACAATTGGAAAAAACTACTTTAAAGTTCATATGGAACCAAAAAAGAGCCCGCATCGCCAAGTCAATCCTAAGCCAAAAGAACAAAGCTGGAGGCATCACACTACCTGACTTCAAACTATACTACAAGGCTACAGTAACCAAAACAGCATGGTACTGATACCAAAACAGAGACATAGATCAATGGAACAGAACAGAGCCCTCAGAAATAACGCCACATATCTACAACTATCTGATCTTTGACAAACCTGAGAAAAACAAGCAATGGGGAGAGGATTCCCTATTTAATAAATGGTGCTGGGAAAACTGGCTAGCCATATGTAGAAAGCTGAAACTGGATCCCTTCCTTACACCTTATACAAAAATCAATTCAAGGTGGATTAAAGACTTAAACGTTAGACCTAAAACCATAAAAACCCTAGAAGAAAACCTCGGCAATACCATTCAGGACATAGGCATGGGCAAGGACTTCATGTCTAAAACACCAAAAGCAATGGCAACAAAAGCCAAAATTGACAAATGGGATCTAATTAAACTAAAGAGCTTCTGCACAGCAAAAGAAACTACCATCAGAGTGAACAGGCAACCTACAAAATGGGAGAAAATTTTTGCAACCTACTCATCTGACAAAGGGATAATATTCAGAATCTACAATGAACTCAAACAAATTTACAAGAAAAAAACAAACAACCCCATCAAAAAGTGGGCGAAGGACATGAACAGACACTTCTCAAAAGAATACATTTATGCAGCCAAAAAACACATGAAAAAATGCTCATCATCACTGGCCGTCAGAGAAATGCAAATCAAAACCACAATGAGATACCATCTCACACCAGTTAGAATGGCAATCATTAAAAAGTCAGGAAACAACAGGTGCTGGAGAGGATGTGGAGAAATAGGAACACTTTTACACTGTTGGTGGGACTGTAAACTAGTTCAGCCATTGTGGAAGTCAGTGTGGCCATTCCTCAGGGATCTAGAACTAGAAATACCATTTGACCCAGCCATCCCATTACTGGGTATATACCCAAAGGACTATAAATCATGCTGCTATAAAGACACATGCACACGTATGTTTATTGCGGCATTATTCATAATAACAAAGACTTGGAACCAACCCAAATGTCCAACAATGATAGACTGGATTAAGAAAATGTGGCACATATACACCATGGAATACTATGCAGCCATAAAAAATGATGAGTTCATGTCCTTTGTAGGGACATGGATGAAATTGGAAATCATCATTCTCAGTAAACTATTGCAAGAACAAAAAACCAAACACCGCATATTCTCACTCATGGTGGGAATTGAACAATGAGAACACATGGACACAGGAAGGGGAACATCACACTCTGGGGACTGTTGTGGGGTGGGGGGAGGGGGGAGGGATGGCATTGGGAGATATACCTAATGCGAGATGACGAGTTAGTGGGTGCAGCGCACCAGCATGGCACATGTATACATATGTAACTAACCTGCACATTGTGCACATGTACCCTAAAACTTAAAGTATAATAATAATAATAAAAAAAAAAGAAACTGATCAGATTGTATAGTAGGTGAAACAATGATCCCAAATATATCAGGCCCAAATCCCTGGAGTCTTTAAATGTTACCTTATATGGAAAAAGTAACTTTGCAAACATGACAGTTAAGAGTCTTGAGATCGAGAGATTATCCTGAATTATCTGGGTGGACAATGAATATAATCACCAGCATCCTTTTAAGAGGAAGGCAGAAATATGTGACACACACAGAAGAGGAAAAGGCAGTGTGATCATGGAAACAGATTGATACGGCCAGAAGCCATGGTATGCAGGCAGCCACCAGAAGGTAAAAGAGGTAACTGATTCTTTCCTACTGTCTTTAGAGGAAGTGCAGCCCTGCTGACACTTTGATTTTGGCCCAGTGATACTGATTTTATATTTCTAATCTCCAGAATTGTAAAAGAATTAATTTTTGTTGTTTTAAGCCACCAAGTTGGCGATCATTTGTTATAAGGGCCACAGAAAACTAATGCAGATATTGGTGCTAGCAAAGGAGATGCTGCTATAATAAATACCTGAACATGTGGAATTGGCTTTAGAATTAGAAATGGCTAGAGGCTATATAAATTTTGAGATGCAGTTTAAGGAAAAATAAAACCCTAGATAGCCTTAAACACAGTGTTGGTAGAAATATGAACAGTAAAGACATTAAGGTTGAATGCTCAAGAAGGAAATAAGCAACATGTTATTGGAAACTGGAAAATAACCAATCTTTGTTTATAGGGGCCAAAAACTTAGCCAAATTGTGTCCTACAATTGAGTGGAAAGCAGAACTTGTAAGTGATAAACTGATTAACTTGGATATTTAGCTGAGGAGGTTTCCAGCCAAAGTATTGAAGACACAGACTGGTTTCTTCTTGTTGCTTATAGTGAAATGCAAGAGAAAATGCAAGAGAAAAGAGATAAATTGAAGAAAAAACTGTTTAGCAAAAACGAAACAGGATTCGTTGACTTCAGAAATATTCAGCCTATCCGTATTGTAAAAGATGATAAAAAAAAAAAAGCAGCCCATTGTTAGGAATGTATAGTCTGGAGGGAAGGCCAGCTTGCAGCAATATAATATCTTGAAGATGGATATTATAATAGGACAATGAAGTCTCATAGAAAAAGCATTGAGCCAGAGGTAGTGTCAAACATTACGTCTTAGACAAAAACTAAAACGAAAACAGCTATTCCAATAAGAAGAGAAATGAAGGTAGAAGGATGCATGAGACTTGGTAAATTTGTCAGTGGTAAGAAGAGCAAAGTGAAGTATTTCATATCTAATGATCTGTTGTCTCTGTGAAATAAGGGAGGGAGGAAGAATCACTTGCTAGGAGTGAGAAGGCAGGTGGTCTGGAAGATGACTCTAGAAAAGAGGTCAAGTTGTTAGTTCACCTGTACTGCAATAATGGTGATGAAAATGATGATGATGATGATGATGATGACGACGATGATGATGACAGTAAGGGCAATGAATACTAATGGCTGTAGCTAGTATATTTGTTATGCATTAACTATGAACCATATATATAATATTAATCATTTTTTAGAGTTATTATCACATAAAACTATCACATCAGCCCTGAGAAGTAGATCTCATTATTATTTTCAATTGTCATTAGTTTATATTATAAATATATGTACTATAACATGTGTAACAAAACATAATAAATTATGTGTAGTATCAGATATTTTATGTAACATAACAAATGTGTCATATATAGACATATGGTATGTTATATATTATATATAAATAATATATTTTTAAAAGTAAACATATAGATGTTTACTTTTATTATGCTATTATTGTTTTATAGAAGAGAAAATAGACTCCGATAGGTTAGGTAAATTGACCAAGGATACACAGCTAGTAGATGGTAGATTGTGGAGTCAAATCTACCTAATCCAAAGGATTAGGATTTGATTATGGAATCAAATCTGTCTAATCCAAAGTCTGTTTTCTTAACTATTAGATTATACTACACCATTATCTTAAAATGTTTTCTCAAAGAAGCCGGTCAAAAGCCCACTTGCCTCTTCCTCAGTATTCCACTCCTTAGCATGTCAAATCAAAACCATTCATTTATCCCTGCATTTTTTCACAAAATATGTTCCCCAAATCATCGTGTGATTCTCCACTGCCAAATCCACTGGTCCCTTATGAGTCTACACCTTACTTGACATCAGATCTTGCACACCGCTCTTCTCCATACACCTCTTTGCTCCATTGCCTGCAATGGCAACACAGTCCTGGGCTCTATTTCTTTTGGTAGAACCAGTTGTATCATATATTCAGAAATCCAGTCTCATGGATACAATGAAAGGAATACTGACCTAGAAAACTGCAGAGCTGGTCCTCACTCTCTCTGGATCACTGAGCCACTGAGTAGCCTTGGGCACTGTCCTCACTCCCTCTATGCCTCCATTTACTCACTTCCAAATAAAGGAGATGATCCAGTGAGTCCCAATCAGCTTCCACCCTCTATTAGTCCAAGTTCATAAAAAGGACATTGAGAAGAGAAATCTTGGCTGTCTGCCTCAGGGAAAAAATAACTAAGATATCACTTTGCAAAAGGAGTAAGTGAATTTCAACAGCATTGTGACTGTCTCTGCCTGGAGTTGGCTGTCTCTCCAACCCTGGGCTCCCTTCTGGACACTATAAATTATCCAAGGACATAGGCTAATTGACACAGTTGAGAGGAGAGGGACACAAATAGTCCCAGGCTTGGAGAGTGATACCTCTGTGGGGAGGTTAATAGAGCTGGAGCAGCTCAAGCTTGAGGAAGGGCTGCTGAAGGGAGCCATCATTCTGCCGACACATTCATAAAAAGATATTGTGAGAAGGGCAGGGATCAGTCTTCTTATTAATCAGCAAGGGCAGAATGAGAATTAACAAGCTGTAAGCTGCAGTGAGGAGTATCAAAGCTAAATATCAGGGAAAATGTTAGACCACTGGGAGCAGTTAGGCAATGGAACAGACTGCTAGGAGAAGCCATGAAGTCACTCTAATTGGGGGCATTTGAGGCAGAGAGCAGATATACATCCGTCACAGGGGAAGGGCCTCCTGGGGGAAAATAAGGAGCAGGACGCTAATGGACCTCAATGAACGAAGCATAACAAGCCCTCAACTTTAACAGCAGAGCACAGTCTGAAGGTGTGAAGGCAGCGTGGGGCGAGATTGGGAGTTGAAGAGTGCAAACAAACAGTCATGGTGGTATTGTTGAGATGGTGATTTGTGCAGTTTTCATGAACTGGGTTCAAACTTTCATTCTGCTACCTGCTAACTCAGCATGGTTTCCTTCTTGGATTCAGTTTCTTTGGCTATAAAATGGGGAGCATGATGATCATTTCACAATGAATGATATGAGGATAAAATAAGGCCACATCTATGAATCATTTCACCTGGCATCAGTGACACAGGCAGTTCTAGGTAAATGATATTTATGATAAAAGCCAGAGCTCTCCAGGACAAGAAGTGAGGCAGAGGGAAGGCTCCAGGCCCCAGCTTGCTTTAGTAGCTCATCTTCTACTTTTGAGGGTGGCAGGGGGTCAGTGTTCAGAACTGGTGACATTCAACTACTGAATGAATCTGTCCTGCAGAGAGGTTCAAGGTCAGGAGGAAGTAATTTTGGAAATTCATGAGGCCATGGGTGGGAAAGGCAGTGTGTTTTTCTGAACCACCCATGTGTCTGGGAGTGGCAGAGGCCAGAACTGAGGAAAAGGAGCTCGGTGACTTTCAAAGGGTAGGGATTGCTGCCAGTAGCAGATGCTCTCAGTGCCCCACAGCACACCCCTCTTGGCCAGCCTCTGTGTTCACCACTGTGATGGACAGCTCTACGTGAGCTCACACTCAGATTACAACAAACCCTCACCTCTCAAGCCAGTCTTGCCACTATCTGCCTTAGAAAAGGGCTCTTTCTGAGGCTGAAGAAGTCAATGGGCCCCATGCACAAGGGCAGCCCAGAGGTTTATTGATACCCCAAAGAACACCCTCAACCAACACAGTATAGAAGCCAGTGGATAAATGCCCCCCATTTCCCATTATTCGGGCAGAAATTCTGGGATGCATTGGTTCTTCAGAGGCCCCAGTAGAACCAAGCCCCTACTGCCTACAGTGGCAATGCCACTCCTGTTGGCTTTTCCTTCTTCTGGTCTCAGTCTCCTCAGGCTCTCACTCATGCTTCATGTAATGATTTCCCAAATCAACCACCCATACCTAAGTCCTTGGATCAAACTCTGCTTCTGTGGAAACAAAAACTGAGGCAGTGTCTGAAAAAAAAAATTCAAAAGGTCAGAAACAGGCTGGTCACGGTGGCTCATGCCTGCAATCCCAGCACTTTGGGAGGCCGAAGCAGGCAGATCACGAGGTCAGGAGATCGAGACCATCCTGGCTAACACAGTGAAACCCTGTCTCTACTAAAAATGCAAAAAAAAAAAAAAAATAGCCAGGCGTGGTGGCAGGTGCCTGTAGTCCCAGCTACTGGGGAGGCTGAGGCAGGAGAATGGCATCAACCCGGGAGGCGGAGGCTGCAGTGAGCCGAGATCGCACCACTGCACTCCAGCCTGGGCAACAGAGCGAGACTCCATCTCAAAAAAAAAAAAAAAGTCAGAAACCAGACACAGCTTACAACAGAGAAGCTTTGTGTAGTAGCACACGTCATAATGAATATTTTGTATGTGTTCTCAATCATTAATTTTGAACTTATATTGCCATCTATTTGTTTTTCTTGTTTTGTTTTGTTTTCGATTAAGTGTTACTCTCATTTGAAATGCCTCCAATCTCATCACAGAGGTAAAAACAAAACTTTAAGACTCAAAAATGCCTGCCATCCTCCTATCTTCTGACATATCCCTCATAGCCCAGCTTATATCCTGGCACTTTGATCAGTATTTTTCTAGTTTAATCTGCCACAGCATCTTCCTTCAAATAATTTACAGAGCACTTTGAACTCAGAATCAGTACTCATCAAATTACTGTTTACTTCATGCATATATATATATATAATCTTCCTAGGGAATAGAAACTGACATCATACACACCCCCAGCAGACTACCACTTTCATTTTGACAAGACTTGTGTGTTATGGCTGCTCTTAGCTGCAAGAGAGGCAGGACATTTAGGTTTTTTCTTCTTCTAAAGTGGAGACAGACAAGCAAAAAGGGTAAAGAATGAGCACTTAGACAGTGGAAAAGATCTTTTTATAACAATATGAATCAGTTATTAGGCATTGGGTCACATCATAATTATGGAGGCTGAAAATTGCATTATGGTGGCTGAATATCTGCCATTTGCAAGCTGTACACTCAGGAAAGCTGGTGGTGTAGTTCAAAACCCTGAAAGCTGCATAGCCAATGGGGTAGATTCCAGTCCATGTCTGAAGGCCTGAGAATCAGAAGAACTGAGGGCAAAAGATCAATGCCCTGAACTGATCAGCTGAATCAGTCAGGTAGACTTAATTCAGCCTTCCTGCACCTTGTTGTTCTAGTCAGTCTCTCAATGGATTCAGTGATGTCCACTCACACTGGGGAAAGCCACCTGCTTTACTCAGTTTCCTAATTCAAATGCTAATATCTTCTGGAAATGTCCTCACCCAGAAATAATGTCTAATCAGCTGTCTGGGCATCCTATGGCCCAGTGAAGTTGACACATAAAATCAGCCATCATAATAACTTCTTGTCAGATGAAAAATTTTACTCCCATGTTTTTACAGAGATTCAGGGAGCTGTTGAGTTTTATTCAAGGAAGTCATGACTAGCTAGAGACAAGTTAAAACTTTCACAAACATATAGGTGCAGAAATAATAACCATCATAGGTTTCATAAATTATGCTGGTACTAGGAATATAAAGGAATAACCTGACATCTGCCCTCATAAATCTCCCAGCATGTTAGACACACAAGGAGCTCTCAGCCTTTTAGGAACATGCACAGATCATTGCAGTACATTGTGGAAAGTGCAAAGGGTGTGATGTGCATGGCACATCGTGGGAGCACAGACTGGGGAATCGGGGTGGGACTTAATTGAGTTCTCTTGATGATGTTCAGACAAGTATTCCCAGAGGAGATGAGCAGGGGCTTAACAGGTTGACTTGGTGATTTTTTGTTGTTGTTTATTTTTCTTAACATAAAAAGGGATGATTATAGAGTTATAAGCTGGGGAGCAAGGTGATCTAACTTACCCTTTACCAAAGGCAGTTTTATGTAGAGGAAGGACTATTGGAGAGTGGTAATAAGGAGACTTCTTCCCACAATCTTTCAGGTGATTGAGAGAGAAAATGGCTTGCTCTGGGGTTGTAGCTTTGGGACACTAAGGAGTTATCAAAATGAGAATATGTAGTAGAGTTATTGTATGATGTTGAATTTAATATAAAATATAATAAAGTCTAAAACAGCATGTACATTTTTGGCTGAGTAATTGAAAAAATGTAGGTTTTGTTTAATAGGATAGGGAAGTCTGGCTGGTAATTAGGTGGCTCTTTTCCTTATGTTAAGTTTGAGTTGTTCATTAGTTTATGAAGTAGAGATGTCAAGTGATATGGTTTGGCCATGTCCGCACCCAAATCTCATCTTGAATTGTAGCTCTCATAATTCCCACATGTTGTGGGAGGGAGCCAGTGGGAGTTAATTGAATCATGGGGGTGGTTCTCATGATAGTGAATAAGCCTACGAGATCTGATGGTTTTATAAGAGGAAACTCCTTTCACTTGATTCTCACTCTCTCTTGTCTGCTGCCATGTAAGATGTGCCTTTCACCTTTCACCATGATTGTGAGGCCTCCCCAGCCACATGGAACTGTGAGTCCATTAAACAACTTTTTCTTTATAAATTACTTAGTCTCAAGTATGTCTTTATCAGCAGCTTAAAAACAAACTAATAAATCAAGTAAACAACCTGGTGATCAGGGGAAAATCTAAAGCTTATGGTAAATCACTGTTACTTTCTTTATTAAAATGTCCATGATCCCTCAATCCTTGAATCTGATTTTTAAGTTTTCTCCTCACTGGGCTACTTTAGGACCTCTCTTGCAGTTCTTATTAAACTCTTTGATTATTCTCTTTAGAAATCTTTCTTGCCTGTCTGTAAATTTGTTGAGTTCAGCTATTGCATTTTATCTTTGAATTATCATCACAAGTTCTGACATATGATAAGAGTGCCACACATATTTATCAGTGGCAAAAAATGTCTTATTTAATAAGAAATGAGCACCTTTTTCAAGTAGGCAAAGCATAAATGACTATGATTATCATCTTCATCCTCTATGTTTTATAAGTATTGAATGTCAAATATTACAGACTCACAGCCCATCTTCTAATTTTAAATCATTTATTCTTGACAGTACATCATGAAAAATCAGATATATAAAAACTATAGAATTGACTAAATTGACATGTTTCCATGGATTCTGGAAAGAAATATCTCATTTATTTAGTAGATTTTTTAGAAGTGTCAAATACAGCAATGGAATGCTGGTCTCTCATCCAAACCAGCCACTTACAGATGTTATTAGGTAAGTTTTATTAACACTTAACTAGATTGGAGTATTGAAGAAAAATAAGTTACTGCTGAAGAATATTACTGATGATAGACCATACGTATTTCCATTTTAATTATCATTATTATCCTCTTAATATTTTGTAATAAAAGGGCCAGTCCCTTGGATTAAATTTTGTGCACAATTTGAAAACGAAGCTGGAGTTTGAGCAACAAAATTTGATAGACATTTCTTCCAAAACTTTTTTGAAATGGAAAATAAAAATCTCCATGTTGAAAATATTTTGTAATATATTATCAAATTCAGCAAACCTTATTAAACATGGAATAATATGTTCAGATAACAAGGATTTTCAGTATATAAATTAGATGTTTATTTTGTTTTCCTTTCTTTCAATTCCTATGTACTCTGAAAGATTTACTAATTATGAGTGTGTTGTGATTTTCACCAATAAATTATGTTATCTGCTTGGGATTTTCAAAGTTGTTACTTTTCAGTCAGCATCAATCTGTCACCTGTTCCAGCCACATTCATCTGCAGTGATTAATTAATTTTGTAGAAAAGTTGACACTACCACTGGGAATAATTCTTTGTTATTTTTTATCTCCTGAGGCCATATAATTTAATACTGGATGGTTCCATATAGATTTAATTGGAGGAAAAAACTTATATATTATTACTAATGTGAGAGGAAGGCTTAGAGAAAGCCAAATTGAATTTAGAAAATATCATGCGTGGCATTTAGCAATATCTACTATAATAGTCTGTATATTTTAAAATTGTTTTTTATCCAAATAAACTGCAAGTGAACTTCATGAAGGAAAAGTGCTTTTGTGTCCCATACCTAGAACACAAACTGCCACATAGCACATACACAATACTTTTGGAATGAATGACTGGATCATTTGGTTAAAAGTGTCTTGAGAGCTCAGATGACCTTGCTGCTCTTGAAACCATCATCAGTTCATCATTGTAGCAAGATGATACTAATAGCTGATTAAATTTGTATAATACTTTAAAATTAGCAATGTAATTTGTAATTTTCAAAGTGCTTTCATTCATTTGAAGCTCACAGAAACCTCGTGAAGCAAAAGGGGTTTTATTATCTTAATGGTACAGAGGAGTAAACTGAGACTTAGATAAAATGAAACAATTAGACACAGCATATGTCTAAATCCAAATCCATACATAAGAACTAGAGGGCATCATGACATTAGCCTCCAAAAGAAGGATCTACTATGTCTGTGTGTGTCAGGGTGGGGCAGGGGTGCTACCCATGAAAAAGGTGAGGCCTCAGCAGAATGTTGAAGATCTAACAAAGCTGAGAAATTAAGGTGGAAGAAAGGGTATTCCAGGCACAGAAGTATAACTTGTTCTTCCTTTTCCATCAGTCTCCATCGCCTCACTCTCCTCCATTTCTTTTAGTAGCTCTTATCACCTACCTGATATTATGGTACATATATACTCATGTGTTTATCGACTACTCATCCACAGGAAGGTAAAATCTCAGGGACTCTATGTATCATATTTGTCACTGCCTTCCCAACTCTTAGAAGAGACCCTGCCACACATGAGGCACTTAATAAATATTTATGGGGTGAATGAATGCTGAAAGGACCTCATGAATAGATGCAAGTGACAGGGACAGGTGACACATCAATGGCCCTTTTGAAAAACTTCAAAGCCATCTGTCTTTCTAATAGGTTGAACCATATGAGATGCTAATATTTGACTGCTTTTGATCTGTTTACATGGAGATTTTGTATAGTTACTGATAAAATGTGAAGAGGAAATCAGAAAAGGAAGAGCTCTTAAGGCTGGAAACAAAGGAATTGACCAAATTTGGGATGGACTAATTTAGCATGTTAAGATATCTGGATAAATCTTAGGAAAATATGGGAGTCACTGAGAGGCTTTAAGTAGAAGATTGTCATAACCTGATAGATCCATGTGATGATTTTGTAGCAGATGGATTCAAAGGGAGAAGAATGGAAGAAGCCAGGAGACAATTCAGAGGTCATCACATCATCTGGCAAGAGGTGGTAAATGCCAGAGCCCCCGGGTTAGTGGAAGCTTTGACTCACCCTACTCAGGCTGGCTTTCTCCTAGGAGTCCTCTCCCTGAATTTCCTCTGCATGACGGGACATCACCTGGTTCCCCTGGTGGGTACCAGCTCTCCCTTTTCACCTTCTTTTCAAGCATGGAAGGGCCCCAAAATATATTTTTCTTCCTTTTTTTCAAAGCTGAGACAAGTTGGGTTCACCTGAATATTAAGTGGAAATGAAATGGAAGAAAATAGACAAAAACAACCAAACGTAGATTTTTGAACTGATCAAAGGCAATTCACTCACCACAAGTTCTTTGAGATTTCACCTCTTTACTCTTTTGAAGTCTTAGTCTCTTTCTCTATCCTCTTTATTAATCTCCATTGTCTAAATATTTATTTTTAAAATCTGGCTTTAATTTCGTAAAGCACAGATCATTTTTTTGTCTGTTTTCAACCTGATACTATTTCAGTAGGGAAATTATTGTAGGCATCTGATTACTTCTAAAATCAATGGCTAAAAGCCATCAAAGCACCCATTCTGTTACTAATAACATAAATTTTTGCAGCATCTATCATCTGACTGGATGACCATATAATTTCTTTGCCCAAACTAAGAGTTTTAAGAGGAAAAAGATGCACAATAATTAGTTGAGACAACAGACATAGACCAGGAATTCCCCAGGCAAACTGGACACAGATCATCCTATATGTAGCTAAAAACTCAACATATAGATAATCAAATATCTCTCACAAGGGGTGTATTTTGCAAACAATTTACTTGAGATAATTTACCAGGACAGTGTAGTGTGTGAAGTCTAAGTGTTCTTTAGTAACATTGCTTATATCAGCTTATATCTGTTTCAAGATAAAATTTTCAGGCCAAAACTATTAATATATTTTTGCTCTTTATAGCTTTCAAAGTTCCACTGTATATCTTCTAAATGTATTTAAAATCCTGTGAATTCCACAAGAGTCGAGTTAATATGTGCATTTCATATATATATAAATTGGGGCTCAGAACATTTAGATTGAAAAGACGATGATGTAAAGTAGAAGAATACTGACCCAAACACAAAACATGTATTTGAGCACTGGCATATCACGTTTTGTTTTTGTTTTTGTTTTTGTTTTTTTTTGCAGTGCTACCCAAAGCATGGGTCGCATACAGTTTAACCATATGCAATGAGAATAGACTTATAGAAACCTTTATAGAAATTCAGTAGAATTATTTTCTGTCTGTTGAAGCTAATAAAAAATTAGGCTTATTTTTTATAGGCCTTCTTTGTCTAGTAATTCATGTTTACTGTGTTTCACAAATGCATCAGTTCATGAAAATTGAAAATTAAAAAAAATTATCCCCCTATAGATCATTTTAAGAAATGCTAGGCCACAGGATATCAGGAAGTTATTTAACCACCCTGGATTTTAGCCTCTACACATTTAAAAACTGAAAACAATAAGTGATTCTACCTCACATGGCTCAAGAAACAATAAAAAGTAATAATAAAGGAGAAGAGTGGTGAAAAAATATAAATACAACAAAAACAAAAATATAATAAAATATAACTAGCATTTGTCTAGGACCCTAAAGTAATTATTTAAAAAATATGCTCAATAGTAGCCCCAAAGTTACTACAAAACTTCAGTTAGTAGAGGTGGGGGCTTGGTGTGCGATTTCAGCACCATCTTCCAGCTGCACTCCTCACTGCCTCTTTGAACTGAGCAGGTTTGCTTTCATTTCTTTAAAATATTATGTTTGTGCTTTAAGTTTGCCATTAAGAAAAGGGGCCCATCTTTAAAATTCTAACTTTTCTATAGAGTGTACAAAGTGTACTCACTCACTTAATTCTTACAATGGCCATGTTATGTCAAGATGTTATTTTCCGGAAGAAAGAAAAAATGGCAAGCTTGCAGGGTGCTCGGGATCTAGCTGCCAAGCAACAGAGCTCAACACCAGCCCAGGCTTCATGATTCCACACCCAGGTCTCTTCTTGGCCACCTGGCATGTATAAGATGAAATCTACAATTTCTTATATGTTTTCCTTTTTGTTCTACTTCTACTTCTTTTCCTCGCAAAATCTTGACTCATGAAAAGAATCAGGACCAAGAACTCAAAGATTTCCAATAGTACATATTGTGCTTGGGAAAATCCAAGTTATACTTTCTATTTTTTTATTTTTAATTTTTGTGGGTAAATAGTAGGTGTATATATTTAAGGGACACATGAGATATTTTGATACAGGTATGCAATGCGTAATAATCACATCATGGAAAATGGAATATCTATCATCTCAAGCATTTATCTTTTGTGTTAAAAACAAACCAATTATATTATTTTAGTTATTTTAAGATAAACAATTAAGTTGTTACTGACTATAGTCACCCTGTTGTGCTATTAAGTACTAGGTCTTATTCATCCTTTCTAACTATTCTTTTTTACCCATTAACCATCCCCAACTCCACCCCTCAAAGTTATACTTTCTAAATAACTAGCTCTGAAAGCATCTCTTTACCGAGGCTTAGCTGTGTGTGTTATGGAGAAAATTGTGCTATTGCCCTGACTTTATATATTGTAGTCCTACCCCCTAGCATTTAATAATATGACCATATTTGGAGAGAGGGTCTTTAAAATGATAATTAAACTAAAATGAGGTCATAAGGGTGGATCTTAATCCAATATGAGAGCTGTCTTTATAAGGAAAGGAAATGTAAACACAGACATACACAGAGGAAAAATTATGTGAAGACAGAGAAGATGGCTCTCAACAAGCCAAGGATAGAGGCTTAGAACAGATCTTCCCTTCACAGCCTTCAGAAAAAAACAACCATCTTGATCTTGAACTTCTAGCTTCCAAAAGTGTGAGAAAATAAATTCCTATTGTTTACGACAACCAGTCTGTGACACTTTGTTATGAAAGCCCTGCAAACTAAGATAAGTGTATAATGTTTATGATAACAGTATGCAGAATCAAATAAGTCACTTTTTATGTACCAGGTAACAAAAACATTTCATATTACTGTTGTATTCAGGAAGTATTCTGTTGGCATTCCAAGACAAATGAATCACAATTTCTGGTGTTTTTTTTGTTTCTTTGAAAATTCTGCATTTTTATAGGAGTGCTGAAACTTTATACTTAGAGCAGCCCATATACAAGTATTTGGTAAACAGGAACTGAACCCTTCTTTGAGGTTTGCAAACTGAATCTCTATGGAATCAATGTGCTTACCATTGAGAGCATCAGGAAGGTATTCGTCCTCTTTGAACCTTAATTTTTTATCTATAAAAAGGAGAATTGGCAAGAATGATCTCTAAGGCAATGACTTATGGTTCCAAGAGCACTGGATTTGGGGCAAAGACAAAAAAAATCTGCATTGAAGTCCTTACTTTGTCACTCACTGTTTAGCTATGTGATATTAGGGAGGTCCCTTTGCTCCTCTGAGCTTTTGTTTCCTCTTTTATAAAAATGTGGCTTATAATACTGAAATCACAGTGTGCCTATGAGAACGTGGTGAGATAATAAATGTAAAAACACCTCGCACATTGAAGAATCCAAAGCAAAGTTGGTTGTATTTTCATTTTAGCTCCAAAGTACCATGTCTAAAAGCACTTTGGAGCAGAGAGTATATCAAAACTTAATTTGAACTAATTTCTAACAGGCAGGCAAGGTTGCCCAAAGAGTGTTTTTGTTCTTCCCACTTGCTCAGATATGTACATGTAGAAAAATCACCTCAGTCATCTTGCATTTTTATTTCTTACAAAGATATTTTAAAAGGCAAGAATGATGTCTTATGGACATTACCACAACATGCCAAAAATGATGTCATTTGGTGTTGAAATCACTCATCTCCTCGAATATCATTCCTGCTGGCTAGGATGTCTTGGATATGTCAGAAGTGATTTTCCTTAGTCCAACTTGTTAGTAACAAGTTTTTCCTAATTTTTGACCATTAACCATCCACCCTTAAGAAGAAGTTTTGAATGTTGCTTTGTCTGGTTCTTATATAAATTTAAAAACCATCCTCAAATTATCAGCTGCTAGATGTGAAGTCAGGTGTCTTCAATTTCAGATGAACCAGATAGAAGGTGTTACAGATTTTCAGTAAAGTGATAAAATTCAAGTGGATACTCAATCCTCACAGGCAAGCACTTGGGCCTGTCTGGTGGTTTTAAAGAGTGTATCTGCAGAGACCATGGTCCTCCAGAACAGATTGATCAGGGGAGCAGAGATGGAAATGGAGTTAAGTTAGCAATTCAGGAAGAATCAGAAGGTATTGATCAATCCATCCATTCACTCAACAGATACTATGCATCTATCAGATGCCCATCACTGTGCTCCTAAGAGAGGGAGAAAGTCACTTAGCTCTTCTCTTTTGGTAAAATTCAATAAACATATTAATGGCCTAGTGTGTAATCTGCTAGAAATAAAGATGAATATAGCAGGAGTTCTTTCCTTCAAAAATATATGAAGAGCATACAAAAGTCACTTATTATACATATAAGGGTAATAGAAATATAGATGTCAAACACTACTTTATTAACAGTGAAATCAGCAACTGATAACCCATTACAGAGCTCTGCTGAAAATTCTTTAGGCACCTGAAGCTGAAGCTCAAGGCTGAAGCCAAACCTCTGCTCACCTAGACCCCATCACAGCTAACCCCTGGGATCTTACTTTGGCCTACAGCAAGGGGAGAAGAATTATTGGAAGTTCCAGAGTCCATTCACTCTGCCACTTCTCCATTTCAGAGAAGCAGAGACAGAGTAAGACAGAGTGGCAGAGAACGTTGAGATGTATTAGAGGAAGCCTAAAAGAGTTTTTGCTAATGTAACCAATCAGATTAAGAATTTCTTCTCCCTTATCTGAGAATTAAAGAATAGCACCAGGGATAAGAAATTGTGAATTTTTCTTACTTAGGATACTAGAGGAAAGGGAAATTAGACCCAAAATAATGAGTTAGGAAACTATTATACTTGGCCAGTTTGAGGGCTTCCAAACTATGCTTTTGCTTTAAATGATGGGAATACATCTGATAGAGAGAAAATGAGAAAAAACTCAAAATCATGGACTCTCTGAACAAAAAGAGAGCCTCAAAATAATGCCACAGTTTTGAAGTCTTGTCAGCTGAGGCAATGACTATTAATTTACTCAGCAAACATTTTTAAACATCTTCTATGTACATTCACTGCACTAGCCTTGTTAATTTACAGAAACAGACATAATTCCTGACTTCAAAAAACATCCATTTCCATGCCGAGCTATATCCATAAACACATGGAATGCAACATGCTAATTGCTGTAATGAATGGGACCAGGCGAATGTAGAAGAAGCACCTTGCTCCACCATGTGAAGAAAGACTCCAGTAAAAGAGAACATGTGAGCCGGCTCTTTGAAGCAGGAGAAAGGGCTGACTGAGCTAGTTGACTAAGTGGAGGGAGAAACACTGACTTGACAAAGGAAAGCAAGCATGGCAAAACCCATTGTGTCTGGAGAACCTGTTATTTATATGTCTATTGAGCTCCCAGCATGCGTGCAATACAAGAGTGAATAATAGAGTAAAGTCTCTGCTGTCATGAAGATTTCAGGTGGCTGTGGAGGAGGGGCAGCATAGATAATAAACAAACAACGATAGAGGTATTTTTAGAAACCAAATATGCAATGTAAAAAATCAAATGAGCTAAATGGTATAGTTCCAGCAGAACTATTTTATTTGGGACATGGGAGCGTCATCATGGAACGTGTCTTTTGGCTATGACAGCCAAACCCAAAAGTTAAGAAGGATTCTTAACATGTGAAGACAAGGGGGTTGAACACTGACCAAAGGGAGCAGTAAGAGAAAACATTCAGAGAGTGGAAATGACCTGGAAGACTCAAGACATAGGTTGAAGGCCCACATGGGTAGAGATTGTGAGTGGGGGATTAGGTGGAAAGACAGATGATCAAAGAGAGGAGAAGTGGCCACATCATGTAAATCCTACAAATGTTTGACACAGTAGAGGCACAGAGTGGAGCAACTACAGTAGTAGCCAGCAAGGCAGATTATAAAGGGCCAACATGCTTCACTGTGAAATTTGGACTTTCACCTGTGTGATAGTGATGTTTATGTGTGAACTGGGCCACAGGGTGCCCATATATCTAGTTAAACATTATTTCTGGGTGTTAGTGAGGATGTTTTCCAGAAGAGATTAGCATTTTATTTGGTGGACAGAGTAAAGCAGATGGCCCTTCCCAACTAGAGTGGGCAGAATCTGATTTACTAAGGACACAAATAGAATGAAAAGGCAGAGAAAGGTTATATTTGTCCCGCCTCTGCCTGATAGCTTGAGCTAAGACATTGATCTTTTCCTGCTTTTGACATTCCCTGGTTCATGGGCCTAACTCAGACTAGAATCTTCACCATTGGCTTTCCAGCTTTCAGGCCTTTGAATTGCACCACTAATATCCCTGGATCTTCAGTTTGTACATAGCAGAATAGAAGACTTCTCAACTTCCATATTTGTGTGAGCTAATACCTTATAATAAATCTAGATAGATAGATAGATGATAGATAGACAGACAGACAGACAGACAGACAGCTATCTCCTATTGCTTACATTTCTCTAAAAAATCCTGACTAATACCACCTGGAAAACTGCAATGTTATTCCCCTCACTGTAACTGGATACTGATATAAAGGAGCCAGATTGTGAAAAAGTTCTAACTTTACTTTTGTTAGCCAGTTGAGTGGATGAAACGCTATGACCCAGATAGTATCCAGCCTCTCAATATCTTAAAAATAGCCTATAAGGGATGTTTGCAACAGACAAAATTTGGGATTTACCGTCAAGAAATTATCTATTTGAGCCTAAAATCCAAACTCAACAGTCATCCAGAAAGAGGCAAATTCACAAGTTTTTTTTTTCTTTCTTTCTTTTCACAGGCCCCCTGGATACAGAATGTCCACTGTGAGCTAACCAGGAGAAAGAAATCTGGCTTTACAGTGCATGTAATCTGGAGAGCAAGGAAAGAAACATTTAAGCTGTTATTCAAACAAGTTTCATTCCAATTACTACTTTCCTCTCTGTCAGAATCAATTATTCTCAATGTTGACATGGCCATTGCTTGTGGAGGTGATTGGAAGATCTGCTTCCATATTTTTCTCCTGGTGTTTTCTCTTTTCTTCAGCTGTTTTTGGTTGTGGGTTGCTCTATAGCGTTGTTGTTGATTTTCCCACTGGAGCCAGCACCACAGTGTTGTTTTTACATGGCCATAAAATAAAATGAATGTACACAGGAAAAGGAGCTTTGCTCCAAGTCAAGTACAGGACAGCTTAGCTTAACATGCACTCAATTTCACAAGCAGAGACCTGTTTGAGGGACCTGTTTACTCTCATTGCTTACAGACACAGTGACCATTTGCTTTGTGACATCCCCACACCTACAGTGGGCCCCAGCCAGACAAGGACTGACAAGCCAGCTCATTTTTGCCTTGTGGCAGTGGGAGAAACACTGATCTCCTGATGACTTTGATGGGCTAATTGCAGCAGCACACTGAATTAATCACACCACACCACCGCTGGGCGCCTGTCAGCACCTCCATGACGCTATCAACTGGGGCTGTTGAGTCTACATGAAATAGAGAAAAGGGAAGTGAAAAGAAAGCACTTAAGTATTTCCTAATATGTGGCTATTAGACTGAATTTAACCACTGGTCAAGCAATCAGGTCGGATCACTTTTTACTCTGTCATCTTGAGTTGTCTTGTGTTATTCTTTGCTTGTCTTCTGAAAGCCAAGCATGAGTTTCAAAATGATGGCAAGCATGATTAAACTTTAAAAAAATGTATTCAGCTGCACTTGAGAAACATTTCTGAAATTTATATTATTTCCTGTCAACGCCCTAGGGAATTCAAGAAATATAAGTTAAAACTCAGTAGGGTGTTAGGCAGAGAGATGTGGAAGAGTCAAGGGCACCCATGCTTTGTTTTTATGTTACAGCCAAATAGAATTTATTTCTATCCTCTGCTTATTTCCTGATTCTTATGGCATTCAAGACTTTTCTCATAGAGTTATTAAGTAATAGAATTTCTTTTTACAACCAGTCCAACATTTACATGTTCAGATTATATCCATTAAAAATACCACTGTTCTTCAAAGTTAAACACCCCCACTAGCATTTCTCTTTGATATATTCCAATAAGAATAATTTATTCCTAAATTTTTTAAACACTCAAGGCCAGGAAGTATACTGTGTTCTCTTGATGATTTATCTCCAGCACATAGTAAGTGCTCAATAAGTACCTGTTTAAATAAATGTTGAATGATAAATTCTTGAGATGCAACCCAACACACCTCCTAGCAGCAGATCATAAAAGACTGTATGTATCATTGTTATTCGGTATACACACAACTTTGGTTCCAATTTGATTCAATTCATCAAATATGAATCATGCAGTTGAGAAAGAAAACATCAAAGATGATTACAAATGTCTGGATGACCAAAACAATGGTATTGTGATTCACTTACTTATAAATTCACTAAGGTGGACTGGATGGCTTGTCTATGTAACAAGTGACTTTGTCTGAGAGCACATAAAAAATTTGTATGATAGATGCCATATCAGAAACTTCCCTAAAATTGTTTTGATAAAACAAAATATAAACCTCTCTCCAAAATGGAGAGGAAAAAGAAATTAGTTCTAACTGAGGAACTGGGGTAAACTCCACCTAGGACACGTGAGCAGCATCTTCAAGAGTAACTCACCAAGCAGAGTAGTGAAGGAATAGTGTTCCCAACAGAGGGATTAGAAAGGTGAAGGGATAGTTAGCTCTCCCTTAATGCTGTCTGGCTTTTCAGTACCAATATCACTCTTCACAAACTTGACACTTTCCTGTGTTTATTTAAGATCCCATGAGCTTTTGGTAG
Source organism: Homo sapiens (assembly GCF_000001405.40). NCBI lineage: Eukaryota > Metazoa > Chordata > Mammalia > Primates > Hominidae > Homo > Homo sapiens. The sequence continues at coordinate 12,927,898 of NC_000004.12, forward strand.
AGATGATGCTTCTAGCTTTAATATTTGCATCCCTCATGATAGAAACAGATGTCTCAACTGCATAGCCACGATAAATCCAAGCCCCCCTGCCAGCCTAGGAAGTATCGTAGCACACATAGGTGTTCAGGACCCAAGTTCCTTTATGTTCTATCAATGCTTTCTTCACTTCCCCACTATTTCTAGCACCACAATGATCAATCTGAAGCCTTCATTCCTACAAACATTTCTAGCAGCTCACAATACTAGTTTATAAGATACTTGGATATGACATTAAAAGGGTGGTTGGTGATCAGATTGCCAGGCTGTGCCGTCTATACCATATCTTTCCAAACTATTCAAATACTAGACACACAAAAATACATATTTCCTTTTGTTTCCATGTGACAATGCCTCTTCAGCCTTACTAGTTTCTGAGCCTCTGGGTATTGGCTTCCAGAATCACTGTAATTCTAATCCTGTGCCCTACTTCTTAGCATCTTACTTTCAGATACTCAGTAATTAATGAGGATTTACTACACAACTCCACCCATTTCTTGTAAAACTGGCATAACTAACCAATTAATCAACATAGTTATTCAACAAATATTTATTGAGTGAGAACTACATGCCAGCTCTGCTCAAAGGCAGGGATGCAAAGAGCAACAAAGCAGAATTAATCCCTGGTGTCACACAGTTTATAGCACAATGGTCTTCTACATCTTACTGAGTAAGTTTCTCTTGAATATCTTCTGTTTTAATATTGGTTTAATTGATTTATCCCAGTTCTGAAGGCTGGGAAATACAAAATCAATGTGCCTGCAAATTCAATGTGTTGGGAGGGCCCTCCTCATTTTGTGAAGATGGTTGCCTTCTTGCTGTATCCTCACATGGCTGAGAGAGATAGCATCTCTCTTATGCCTCTTCTTACAAAGGCATTAATCCCATTTATGAGAGTTCTACCCTCATGATCTGATTAGCTTGCTCCAAAGGACTCACCTCCAAATACCATCACAATGGAGATTAGGACTTTTAACATATGAATTTGAGAGGGACACAAACAATTAATCCATAGCATTCTGTCCCAGGTCCACCCAACATTTATCTTCTTCTTACTTGCAAAATACATTCATTTAATCTCAACAGCCCCAACAGTCTCAACTCATTTTAGCCTCAATTCTGGTCTGAAGTCAACAGTCTCATGTAAATATCATCTAAATCAGATAAAGGTGACACTTGAGGTTTGATTCACCCTGAGACAAAATTCCTCTCCATTTGTGAATGTATAAAACCAAACCAGTTATGTGTTTCCAGAATACAATGGCAGGACAAGCGTAGGATATACATCCCCATTTCAAAAATGATAAATAGGAAAGAAAGATAAATAGGAAAGAGGTCTCAAGCTAGTTCAAAACCTAGCAAGGTAAGCATTGTATTTTAAGGCTGAAGAACAATTTTTCTTGGCTCTATTTTCTGTCTTTCAGACCCACTGTGGCAGAGATTCTGCTCTACATCTCTGGAGATAGGGGTCTGGTCCCCAGGGCTTTGCCCAGTGAGCGATGGGGTGTCCCACACTCATGACTCTGGGTGGCCTCACCCCAAGGCTTCTTGTGGAGGCTGCCTGGCCTGCCGAAATCAAGACGATGGTTTTCTCTTTTGAAATCAAGGAGGTAACACTGATGATTTATTAATCACCTTTTATGGCTGTTTGTCTTTTGTCTTGAAGAACAGTGCACATTCACAGTCAAATAACTCTATAGTCCCTTCCTGTAAAAATCTAAGAAGTTTGATTCTCTTCCTGTATCCTCTCTCATCTCAGTTCTCTTTCATTTAAACTGGCAGTGTTCTGCTCGGGTGACTGACTAGTGCTTTGATTCACACCCACACAATCTCCTTATCAAATGGTTGACCCACCATGTCCTTGGTGTTCTCTTCCAAACATACTTGCTCATTTTTGTATAATATAGACAAGCTAAGAAGTTTCTAAATCTTTCAGTTTTGGAATATTTTTGTGTAACCATTTTGTCTACAATTTATTTTTCTCTTCTCTCATTTTACTATGAGCAGTCACAAGGGCCCAAGCAGCTCCTTCAACACTACATTTGAAAAGCTCCTCAGCTAAATGTCCAGTTTCATCACTTACAACTTCTACCTTCCACAAAACACTAGAACATAAACATAATTCAGTCGATTTCTTTACCACTTTACAACAAGGATCACCTTTTCTCTATTGTCCAGTAATTCATTCTGCATTTCTACCTAACACCTCATCAAAATGGCCCTTCCTATCCATATTTCTGCCAACATTCTAGACATGGTTATTTATGAGTAACTTTCTCTACAGCTTTCCTCTTTCTTTTCTGAGCCCTCACTCAAGTTGCTTTTAAAAGTCTCTTCATGGCAATATCAGCTTTTATAGCATGCAATTCAAGACTCTACCCTTTACCTAGTTCCCAAGCTACTTCTACATTTTAAAATATTTGTTATAGTAGCACCTCTACTCTCAGTAGAGGTCTCAGTCTGCTCATGCTGCTATTACAAATAGCATAAACTAGATGGCTTAAGCAACATTTATTTCTCACAGTTCTGGAGGCTGAGAAGTGCAAGTTCAAGGTGCCAGCAGATTAAATGCCTGGTGAAGGTTACTTTTCTGGTTTTAAAACAGTTGTCTTCATGCTGTATCTTCACGTGGCTGAGAGAGATGATCTCTGTCATGTCTTTTCTTATAAGTGTACTGATCCCATTCATAAAGGGTTCACTCTCATGATCTAATTATTTTCAGTGTCCTCACCTTCAAATACTTTGGAGATTAGGACTTCAACATATAAATTTTGGGGTGATAACAACATTCTGTTCATAGCAAAAGGTATAAGAAGGATTGGCTGATGTCCACAGTTTACTTAAGGTTCATTGTTTTCCAAAAAGTTTATTCCTGTACAAATACAAGTACATAAATATACATAAGTATAAATATGTACATATATATTTTTCCATTTATTTATTTTTGCTAAATGTCTTTTTTTTTTTTTTTTTTTTTTTTTTTTTTTTTTTTTTTTTTTGAGGTAGAATCTTGCTCTGTCACCCAGGCTGGAGTGTAGTGGCATGATCCTGGCTCACTGCAACCTCCGCCCCCTGGGTTCAAGCAATTCTTGTGCCTCAACCTCCATAGTAGCTGGGATTACAAGCGTGTGCTACCAGGGCCAGCTAATTTTTATGTTTTTAGTAGAGATGGGGTTTTGCCATGCTGGCAAGGCTGGTCTCAAACTCCTGACCTCAAGTGATCTACCCGCCTCAGCCTCCTAAAGTGCTGGGATTACAGGCATGAGCCACTGCACCCAGCCAATTTTTGCTAAATGTCTTGGTTGACATTATGAGCTTTGATAGTATTGGCAAACTTAGAGACTTATGGAAAATTGAGTATTTTTCCCACATAAACATCAAAATTTTTCTATATTAAATAAGCTATTTTCTGAAACTCTTTACTTACGAGAATTTTTTGTACATTAATGAGTTGACTTTACTTGAAATAGCCATCAGAATTATAATTGCAGTCTCCTAAATTTAATATTTTTAAATTATTTCAAAAGAATATGACTCACAGCAACTCAAGGAAGGAATAAGTGGAAATCTTTTCTTATAGGCTTATATGTTGTATACATCAAAAAAATAAAGTCACTTAAAGAGAAAATGATGGGGAGTCTTTTGAGGCAGTGATGTTAACTGTCTTTTTCACATCTATAGCCCTCCATCTAGTATTTTAAGCACTTAAATTTATCAATTAATTAATTGTGAAAGATATATAATTCCTTGTTCTTAAAGCTGCTGTTACATTTTTAGTCTCCAAACTTACAAGCATGTGCTGTGTGCACATAGACACATGAATAGTTTCAACAATAGGTACAAGCAAACCTTGCATGAATACCATTATTTAAAGATTTTGAATTTTTTAAAATATAAGAATCATTATCATTATAAAAATAAAAACTTTATTTGATGTTCTTAAAATTATTGCATGTCTTTGAATTGTTTATGAATTTCATAGAAAAGAAGGGGAATGGGGCTTCATAATTCTTTGGTGCTCATAGTCCCTGAAGTTCTTATTTTGGCTGTCTCCCCACATTTTTTTCTGCACGAGCTCCTGCTTCTTTCGTCCTTTGAATTGGAGTTTTTAGACTTTTTTTTGCTGTCAAAACACCTAATTTGTACGTTTGCAATGCCTACTAAGAGAAGCTCTCACAACCTGAAAAATCTCTGCACTAGCACAATGGTTAGCCACCTCTGAAATACCCACTCAGAAACCCAGAAGCTATATGTAGTCTTGTCCCAAGTAAAAGGCGGACCTCCAACCCAGTGGTGTTTATTTTTCCTTTAATCAACTAGTGAAGCAGCACAGACATACATAAATGCCAAGGGTCTTCTCCCAAAACAGCAGCAAAATGAGGTTAGAGATGCTGGGAGGATCCCCTGGTGAGTCCTGGCAAAGTTTGAGACAGTCCTGGGCTTTCTCATGTCTGAGCTCAACACTCAACAGCTCACCACAAGGCCGTCCCAGTGAACTCTGTCCCATTGATATTGGACATTACAGGAAAAGATAATAATCAGTCTTACAGACCTCTGTGGCCTGGGAAGGATGGACAAGGGTATAAGCTGCTGGCTACCTAAGGTTGCAAGGACAATGAACAGGCTGGTATCACCCCTGCTCTTTGATGGTTTCAGGACAGACTCACAGAATCACAGAATCGAAGAGGTGGAATGCAATGAACCATCTCTATGTTTCGTTTCTTTGTTGGTTTTCTGCCAAAATGACCCCTGTGATGGAACCTTACCAATTTCTAAGGCTGCTACTTTACTTCTTTAGTAATTTTAACTGCTAGGCATATCTACTTAAATATAACCCAAACTGACCTTGCATTGCTCATTGTTTTGTCCTGTAAAGGTAAAGAGATGAGAGCTAGTTTCCATAAGAAGTTATCAACTATTTGAAGGCAGCCATAATCCCTCTTCTCTCTGGGCTAAATGACTACATTCCTCACCCTCCTGCAGCCTGGTTTCCGCTCTCACTAAAAGTGCTCAAACTGCCACCCTTACCTCACTAAACTCCTCAGATGCATCCAGCAGGCATAATTCATTCCTCCTTTGATGTCTCCCTGGACAAGGCTTTCCCAGTTCTCCACCTATCAGGGAACCTGTTCTCGGTAAGCCTTCCTCACTGGCTTTTCTGCTTTCCTCACTTCTTAAGCTAAGGTGCTAGCCTTAGCCCTCTTTTCTTCTCACCAAAAAAGAACCCACCTCAGTGACTACATCCATACCCAGACCTCAACTCTCATCTAAATGTTAATAATACCCAAACTTTATTTCCTGTTTGAAAGTCACATGACCATATCCAACTTCATCAAAAACACTCCACAGGGGCCTCAAGCTTAATATAATTACAAATTAAAATAATTATCTTTCTCATAAAATGAGTTCTTTCTTACCTGTATTATTTTCCACCTCCTCTGTCTTCTGCAACTTAAATGGCTCTACTGTCTATCTCTTCAATGACACAGTGAAAAAGAAAAAAAGGGAAGGTATCCTTAACCTATGTAGTTTATCAATAAAATGCTAGCCAATAAAGAAGCAAAGGTGGACGTTAAAACCAAAATTCCTGATTCCAAGCCAAATGGCTTTTCTTCGTACATTTTCTTTTGGTATTTTTTGGTATATTCATCTTTGTATATTTACTCAAGTAAACAGAGGCAAATACAACTTTTCAAGGACTTTCAGATAAAATTGATTATATGTGACCAGATTCATTTCAGGAACCTATAAAATGTATACTATTTTTCATTCTATTCCAGTTCACATCATCTTCATATAAATGTAGAGCTTTGGTACATACTACAATTGGATGTGAAGTCTATTTTTGCCAATGAAGCAATGAGGCAAAGTTCACAGCTGAGGACAGCCACACTTTGCCAACAGTTAGCTTAAACAAGGAGAACTTTGACACTTGTGGTAAGGGGGAAACCTTTTCATGAATTGCTGCTTTATTGAAACCTTGCCTAGCAGATGCAGTTTAAGTGGAAAGGGAATTTCTGCTGCAGTTTATAGGACTGTGGGGGTCAGAGGCCAACCAGGGCCTTCTGAAAATGGACTGGAAGAGCTTGCCTCTTCTAAGACAGCCCCCATATTTTCACTTATGACAAATATTTGGAAATTAAATAATTATCTTAAGGAAGGCATGATGCCTTTTACAGCCTGAAATCCTGAGGGTTGCCATGGCTGTGAACTTCAGAGTTTCCACAGCATTTCTAAATATTTGCAGAGAACCATTTCCTGTTTCAAGAATGACAAAAGTCTAACTTGAAGAGTGAACATTTTAGTGCTGGTCAATTATTTCAGAAGAGTTGTACTTTGTTAAAATCCACACTCAAATATACTACAACAACATTTTGGGCTTGGGAACGTTTTCTCGATCTAGGAAGTTCAAAATAAAGCCTGAATGCTCCATCTTTAGAGCTTTCAGCAAGGGTAAGGTAGCATAGAGGAACTATTACATAGGATGCCATTCTCTGCAAGCAAGTGGTGGAAATTAGACATAAAATCCTCTATTCAGGAGAATACAACCTGGCATTATCCTAAAATGTGTATGATTAGGTGAATGCATTCGGATAGAATAACATTTAGGTGAATGCATTCAGATAGAATAACATTTCCTCCTCAATTCAGCCTCTTAACCTTCAGCCACCTCTAAAATGATTTCATTATTCAGATTTATAAAATTTAACTTATATTTGCCTCCTTTAGCTGCCACAAATTTTCAAACTGTTGCTAGGATCTACTAGATATTCTGGGGCCTAACTGTTGAGTTTCTCACCATGGCATGAAATACCAGATACATTCACTCTGCAGACAGGAAACAATAGTTACCATTTATTCGATGCCTTCCATGTGTTGTATTCTATATAAAGCTCTTTGCAGGTATCATCTCTTTAATTTTCATAAGACCTCTGTGAGTCAGAAATTATTTTAAATTTGTGCATACTCTGCTAGAGCCCCAAAAGGATACGAGACTAATAAGATGCACTTAAATATCTTCTTTGAAGAAGTATTTTAAAACTAAGAACAGTTAGATAGATTTTGTCAAAAGCATACAGCCAAGGAGTAGCAGAGTTGGAAATTTTACTTAAATAGATCCAACTCCAAAGGTCAGACTATATCGCTCACACCATCAGTAGGAACTGCAGCCAGCAGAAAAGTGACCAGGGACCCATAGGGGAAGTGAGGGTGGAAGCACAGATCATGAATGGGGAGAAGCAACTGCTGGCTGAAAAACACAGAACCAGGAGACAGAAAAACCCCTTGCTTGTATGTAATTGATGCAGTGCCTCCCAATGGGAGTACTATTAGCATTTTGGATGAAACAATCCTTCACTGGACAGGACTGTACTCACACTGAGGAATGTTGCTTAATGCTTTCCCCAAACACTTAATGCCAGCATCATCCCTCATCATTGATAAAAACAAAAAACACCTAACGTATTACCAAATATCCCTTAATGAGGTAGGGCTGCTTAGAGGAAGTGGAATTTTATAATCCTAAGCATTATAGGTAGTATTGCTTTCCTCTTACAGATGAAGAAACTCCAAAGTTTCAAGTGCAAACCTTTGGAATGGAATATAACGGTGAATAATATTAAATGTTAGGCCCTTTCCCCAATGACACCATCATCCTAAGTGCCTTGACATTTCTTTCCTTGCCAAGATAATAATCTCTTTTACACAAAGGTCATTGTGTAGACACATACACAGATCCCTAGCTTTCTAGAGCAGAACTTGGGTCTTCTACATACTGCAGTGTGTTCTTCTCATTATAGGATCTCCAATAATCAATTACTTGATTTTCAGTTTAATTAATTAAGGACAAGATCATAATTAAAAGCAACCCATTTTAATTAGGTCCATTTAATTAGAAAAACAGGTTCATTTCTATTTGGGAATTTTAACAGGAAAACTGCATGAAATATGTGGTAATCTAGGGCATATTAAAGGACACATTTTACTTAGGAGGGGATGATAGACTGAAGCAGCATTGTGATGGTGAGCAAAAGAAAGTCTTTGACATGGAAAAGACTTACGAAGTGATCATGCTTAGCTGGGCCAAATGGCTTGTGTTATTTCCAGGTGGAAGTATATTGCAGGGCTTCTGTAGCACTCTGGAGGTACAATTGGGAAGCAATTGGAGCAGTTTGGAACATCTGTCTCTAATCAGCATGGCCCTGCCCTTATCCATTTCTGTTCTTGTCCAGGAATGGTAGAACATGAGCATGTCCCAGCTCCAAAGCCTCCACTATAGCACATGTTTCTAATGAGTACTTAAGAAAGCAAGAGCTCCCAGCGAACACATCACAAAGACATGAAGTAAAAGGTAGACTCCTCAGAGTGAGCTAGATTTTATTAAAGCAAGGAGGGGAGTGCTTGCACCCTCTCTAGCACATTTAGTGCATACTCCAAACCATCTCGTTCCCCACTCAACCTTAACTCAGCCCCTTATTATCAGCCAGACTCCCATCTCTAGTGTTCTTTATTTATCCTTCCTCTTACTCAGTCCTCCTTCTTTTCCCTCTTTGCTGGCTAGTCTATGTTCTCCCACCACCACCACCCCAAATGCATGCTTTGCTTTTACCTGCCCCACTTTTGCCCTAGAAGCAAACTCCTATGAATGGCAGCTTCCAGGCTCCCTGCCCTCTAATTTGCAGGTGAGTACAGCCATTGAAAGATCGAAGCAGGTAATCATGGGTTAGGTAGACAGAATGGAGGGGGGCCTTATTCTCCCCTGCTTCCTCCCTGGTTCTCTGCTGTGCTCCAGGCAGTGGCTCTATACCTCTGTTCCCTTAGGCATTTCTGCCTCTATGATTCTGGCTCTCACCGGGCTCTTTCACAGTTTCCTGTCCTTGCCACTTCAGACTCAGGAATAGTAATGGCTGTCAATCATTGCTAGTCTCAGGATACCTTCACTTTTCTAGCTGGTTTCCTTAACCCTGCCTACACACGGCTAAATGGTCTTCCGTCATTAAAAATCTCTAAGTTGAACCACCTGAGTCAAATTTGTTTTTCTGTCCGGACTCTGACCAACATATCCTCCCTCCTATTGCTGTCTGTGGTGCCTTGGAACTACCCATCTATAATCAGTAAATTCTACTTGATCCTTGGTCTCCTCCCAGAACATTTACTCTACTGTCTTATCTAAAAATCTACCTGACTCCAACTTACGAGTTCATTTCTCCTACAGTGTTTTCAAGTGAACCATCTTTTATCTCACATCTCATGTGGCTTAGGAGAGGGTTGGCTTGTCGTTACAGCTTCTAGGTCACTATCCACCTCACACACACCAAAAGCAAAGGAACTCCCATTGCTTATAAAGGTCAGGCCATTCTGTTTTATCTCCATCATTGCCAACTTGTTGCTGTCATCTACTGACCTCCAAGTCAACCTCCCTCATTTATTAAAGCCTTTAGCTGTGAATTTAATTATCTTGTTCTCATTGCCACTGACATCAGCCTTAATTCATTCATCCCACAAAAATTCATTGAGTACCTGTTGACAGACCATGTTCTAGTTGCTAGGGATACAGTGTTGAACAAAACAAAAAAAGGAAACATTTCTACTTTCACATACTTGTGTGTATGTGGGAGAGGACCTTTGTGTCTTAGCCTAAACAGGGTCAGGCTGACTATGTGAAGGGCTCCCCCTGGAGTTGTACAACACAGTGGCCCTGTTCACCTCTCCATTCCTCACTTTCCTAATCTCCAGTGACTTTTCTTTCCACTTGACTTTACATATTCACTCCCTTGGGTCATAAGCACAGTGTTGTCACCAGGAGCTGCACTTCATTCAAAATCTTTCATTTAAAGATTGAATTTTCTGATCCCCATTTCCATTCTTGGGTGTCCTTGCTCTAGTGACCCTCCTGTCAGTTCTTTACCCTCACTAGACCTCCAAACTATTGAACTCACTACTTTCTCACTGTCCCTCAGGTTTCTTCTGTCCTTAGGACAGATGAGAGAGCTGAACCCAAGACTCAACATTAAGCCAGAGATTCACAAGGGAGCTGAAGAGGCCCCAGGTCATTGGTGCTGGTTACAAGATTTCCTGCCTTTGTCTGCCAGGCAGCCTAGGGGTTACAGTGCTTTGTGATGTTGTGAATCTCTTGTTCAACTCTTGGCAACTCCATTGCCTACGTAACTAATGCTCTGCAATAATATCCTCTGCTTAAATACTTGAAGACAGTTTTGTATTTTTCATTAGACCTTGACTAAAACAGAAATGCCCAATAAGATTGTAAAGATGTCCAACTTCAATAGTATCAGAAGGAAATAAAAATTAAGATCATACAGCAACCAAATTGACAAAAAGTAAATAATAGTTCACATAGCTACAGAATTAAGAAACTCTTATACTCTTCTACTGGGAGTATAAATTAAAATAACAAGTTTAGAATGATTTAGCATTATTTTACATTTGTGGACATTTGCATAAGCAGCAGGTATAAATCATATTACTACGAGAAACTCTTGCCCTCAAGCAACAAAGTCTTTTACAATAATTAGCATATTTTTTAAAAGTTGATAACAAAATACAAAGAAAGGAGATAATCCTAATGACCATAATGACAATTACTAATAATAAACATGGCAAACTATATATATATATATATATAATATATATATTCTCTAAAATATTACAAGACAGTGAAAATGACTGAAATATAATTCCTTGCACAAAACATAGTTTATTCTGGGAAATATAATCTAGAGTAAAGAAGTCACTGAAGAACATACAGAATATCCACCATTTATAAAAAGCTCAAAAATAAGTGACATTAGACAACATGTTATTTATTTTATATATATATATGTATATATATGGCATTAAATTATTTTATGAAAAAGGAAGAACAAAGATAAACACAGTGATTACCTGGTCTTGGTTACCATGGAGTTGAGTTAGGACAGGGACCCACAGGTGCATGGAAAGGCTTTGTTAATGTACTAGACCTTGGATTAGTGCTTATTTAGTTATTATGCATCATCAGACTATATATATGCATGTATACACACATATATTCACATATACAAATCTTATAAATTTTATGTAAATTATACATACATATATATACATACACACACACATATGTATATACAAAATTTTTCTTATTTTTATACTACTAGTTCTCAGATTGCCCATTGGGAAGCATCAGCTCCCTAAGGTAGGTCTTTTTCATCTCAAATATCTTATAATTTCATAAAACTCCAATATTCTAAAGATGCATAATTCCATACCATAACTAGCCAGATTATTCCTAATCATGCTTTATCATTAGTTCACTTGCAAATCCCATGCCACCGAATATGAGAGATTACTGCTTCTTAATGGTTACTTCACTGCACTGTCCCTCAGTTCCTCTGAAAAATGAGGGACTAACTCTATGTACCTCATGGGGGCTCTTGTGAGGATAAAACTGAGTAATTTAAAGAAAGCATCTAGCAATGTCTGGCATATAGAAACATTCAAAATACATGAAAATATTCAAAATCTTCTTCGTATAATATTAATATAAATAATGATGTTTTTACTCTCTCTAAATTAATTTAGAGAGAACACATTGTGGATTGTTCTGTAAAGCGTGCACATAATAGAGTTTTTCTTAGAGGGCCTCATTACATGAGAAGGCTCACTTGCTCACATAATTATGGAGCCGACATGTCAGGTAAGCCACGCACAAGGCATGAGCAGGACTTCTGGTTGCATGATCATGATCTTTACCTAAGAATTCCTCCAATACAAACACAGAACCCAGAAGGAAATAAGCTTGTGGTCAAAATTAAAGTTTAAAGAGAAGTAAATTATATGTCATTAATGATAATGAAACTCACTGAAGTTCCATCTCTACCTCCAACAAATTAGGCATGAAGCTCAGCCTCTCTGGTCTTCCTTTCTTAATCTATATAACAGCTTAAGACTGAACTCTACAACCAAACTGCCAGAGATTGTACCCTGGATCCACTGCCAACCACTGTAGGATTTGGCTTGATAAACTCCCCAAGCGTCAGTTTCCTTATAGGTAAAATAGGGTCAGCAACACATATAGTGGTTGAGAGCATTACATGAGATGTTTATAAAGGGCTTACCCCAGTAGCAAGCACATTTAAAGTGCTTAACAAATATTTTGACTGTCACCATTCTCTAACTCCATCACTGCAGTCGTTGAAAACCCAGGGCCACCTTTCATTTATCTTTATACCTCTAGATTCCAACACATTTCACCTATACATAGTGCATGTTTGGTGGATATTTGTTGACTTGCATTCTAGATGGTCACAGAAAATCCAATGGAGTCTTTAAGTGTTCACGTAAAGGTTATCCAGAAAACCCTTTGGAGTTAATTTGTCCTGTGCTCTTGGTAAAACATGGCTTCTATGGTAGGAAGAGGGGAAAAGTCTATATTTTAAATGGTTTCATGGACTGCCAAGAACTGTTATAAAACAATATTTTGATGAGTTACACAGTACATGAATCAGAAACATATGAGATTAATTTCCCTGAAAATACATGTGGGTTTAAAAATGAAAGGAAAGGAATGTTGGCACAATGTGCTATGCCAAACCGAAAATGTTAGAAAAATATTTTATGATATTAGGATGCACAAATCCTAAAAGCAGCTCAATTTGCTCATCTTTCAGTGGCCTGCTCCCAATGTACCTGTTGTGTCTGGTCCTCTACAGTGAGAATAAGTAAAACCTAAACAAGAAATTTAAAAGCCATGGTATAAGACAAGGAGCCAGAAGTTCCAAGTCTTGGGCCTGGTTCTGCCACTGGCTAGCTGTGGAAGTCTAGATTAATCACTTAATCTTCCTGGGCCTCAACTCAGGAAAACAGTCCATGACTTGCAGACCTCACAGGATTGTTGAGAGTGCTGTTAGAATGCGAGTTCAGAAAGCAGTGATAAGCCCAGGATGACAGAGACCAGAACAAAAAAGTAAGATGCTACTGTCAAGAGGAGGCAAGTATCCAGATGAGCCCATACCCCTGTGTCAAAGTGAAGCAGGCATGCACAAGATGTACACGTGGCTAACTGTGGAGGAATCTTCAGCAAAAGTTAAGCAGAGTATCCATGATGGATTATAGTTCTTGTTCATCAATATCCTCAAGCCCTTTGTATTCTCTGCCTTCTACCACTTCTAAGGTGCAAAACCCCAACTCTACATGTAGGTGGCTGGACACCTCAGAAGGATGGTCGGCAACATCAGCTGGACCCAGAGGGATCTTTTTCTACTCTTCTGTTTTGCGGCTCTTCTTCACTGTGCTAACTCCCAACTCATCACTCAGGTCTAATCCTTCTACTAAAATCGCTATCCTCTTATTTATGGAAAATCTGAGACCAACTAGCATTAGTTAACCAATAGTATTCTCATCTGTATATCTACTTCTTCCCATACCCATTGGTATCAGTTATCTGTTTCAATGCAACAAATTACCCCAAAACTTAGAAGATTAAAACAACAAGCATTTATCTCATAGAGTTTCAAGGACAGAAATCCAGGACTGACTTAGCTGGATGATATTGGACATGGGTAGACAGGGTCTACCATGGTGTTGCAGTCAAGCTATCAACTGGAACTGCAGTTAGGTGAAGCCTTGACAGGGCAGAGGGAGCCTCTTCCAAGCTCTCTCATGTGGTTATTGGTTGGGCTATTGACCTCTGGTTTTCACAATGTAGGCCTCTCCCTAGGTTGTCTGAGTATTCTCATGAAATGGTAGCTGGATTTCCCCAAAGTGTTATGGACTGAACTGTGTCCCCTCAAAACCTTATACTGAAGCCCTAACTTCCAACATGAATATATTTTGAGATACAGCCTTTAAAAATGTAACCGAGACTGAACTGGGCTATACAAGTAAAGCTCTAATCCGATATGACTAGTATCCTTATAAGAGGAGGAAGAAGCACCAGCATGCCTGTCCTAACAAAGTGATGAGAGAGAGAGTACACCTAAGAGGGATGCTACAGCATTTTATAAATTAATCATGGAAATAATATACTAAAACTTCTACCACATACTACTGGCCACATAGATTGACATTCGTGTAATTTCAATGGGGGCTACACTAGGGAGTTAGTACTGAGATGTGGAAATCATTTGGGCCATCTTAGAGACTAGCTTCCACACCATCTGCACTCTCAACAAGAAGTGAGCTCCAGCCACCCTGCTCATTTGGGAGGTTGATCCCGTCACTTCTTGCCTCCTCTTAGTTATTGTTCTCAGAAGCAGTCATCCACCTGCTTCTGAACATGTGCTCACTCTCTCTGTCTCTACTGACTCTCCACTTTCACTTTACAATATCCTTGTACTTGACCCACTATAGGCAGATCTTATGGGGCTCAGGAGATTACCATAACTAAGACTGCCTTTTATTTTTCAAAAAAATAACTTAATTAACTCTTTAACAAATTTTAAGGCTTATGACACTTATGAAAGAAAACAATTTTGCTTCCCTGTCCACAAGTGATTGAAGCCATAAGTGAACTAAATTTAACTAGGTAGGGGTGGACAAGACAGAGGTCAGCCATATCTGAAATGACTTGGTGCTAATCTCATTCCAATAAAGGCATTTGTATATGGCAGTGACAAACCTACCTGATGAAATCAAGCCTTTTGCAAAGAATAAACATTAAGTAAACAAAGAGAAGTAAGGTGACTTGGATGCGGGGCATGAATCAAATAATATGGATGTGCTATTTCAGTTCTTCATATCTTTCATATATTCCAGTCTACAAACACAGAGCCCAGAGTATCGGAAGAGCTAAAGAGATGATATCCCTTATTTCTCTCATATTCTTATGAATGTTTGTGATTAATACCTCATTACCAAAAGTAGTCTGTGCAGACTTAAAATGCCTGACTTCCCCATTCCAATAAATAAAAAAAATCTATCTAATCGTTTCTCCTACTACAGCATTCCAACTCCATCACCACTACTTTCTTCTTTAGTTTGAACTAGATAAATTGCTTTGCATGTAGAATGCCCCCTTCCAGCATTTCTCAATAAAACAAATACTGTATAGCCCACCAAAGTCCAAATATTCTTTATTAACTCATGCCATATTATTAATAGTTCTGTTTATTTCTTATCTACAATGGTGTGTCAATGAAGTATATGATCAGTGGCATTTTTCAGAAAAGAACATACATTCACTTAGCCAAACAGAAGTTTTAATCTTTGCACAAAACAAGAAGATAGGTATACCGTGCTTGATGGCTGATTCAGTGGCTTTATTATTTCATGAAGGACACATGGTCCATGGCCATTCTGCTTCATCATTCTGTGTGTGGCTTTTGTTTTCATGCTTATCTCACCGAGGTTGCGAAAGGGCTGAAAATGACTGCTTTGCCTCCAACATTGTATCAGTCTTTCAAAAAGAGATGAGAGGCAAAGGACAAAAGGTATGGAACATATGAGCCTAAGCTCTGTATAAGTTTTACAAAGTGATTTCCGGTTACATTTCATTGACTAGAACTCATTGTCATTACCACAAATTACCATTGCCAATCAGGGCCACCCACAAAGGAGGATGGTGTTTTATTTGTTTTGTTTTGTTTTTATTTTATTTTAGATGTAAACATTATTACTCTGAATGAAAATCAGGGGTCCATTGGTGTCAACAAAAGAGAAGATGGATAGTGAGCAATTGTCCCACAGTTTCTACTTCAAAGAATGCAAAACAAAATAGTGACTATTTGTATTGTGTCATCTCAGCTAAGCAGGAGCTCTGTTTCATAGAATCTCCTTACTTTTGAGGGTCTGGATTAGGGTGGCCATGACAGAATTTTGAGCCACGTTTGAAGGCAAAAGTAAAGCTTCAGCCATATTTTTATTTTATTTTATTTTATTTTAAGTTCTGGGATACATGTGCTGAACGTGCAGTTTTGTTACATAGGTATACATGTCCATGGTGGTTTGCTGCACCTATCGATCTGTCATCTAGCTTTTAAGCCCCATATGCATTAGATATTTGTCCTAATGCTCCCCCTCCCCTTGCCCTCTACCCACCAATAGGCCCCAGTGTGTCATCACTATTCCCCTCCCTGTGTCCATGTGTTCTCATTGTTCAACTCCTACTTACGAGTGAGAACAAGTGGTGTTCGGTTTTTTGTTCCTGTGTTACTTTGCTGAGGATGATGGTTTCCAGCTTCATTCATGTACCTGCAAAGGACATGAACTCATTCTTTTTTATGGCTGCCTAGTATTCCATGGTGTGTATGTGCCACATTTTCTTTATCCAGTCTATCAGTGATAAGCATTTTGGTTGGTTCCAAGTCTTTGCTATTGTACATAGTGCTGCAATAAACATACATGTGCATGTGTCATTGTAGTAGAATGATTTATAATCCTTTGGGGATATACCCAGCAATGGGATTGCTGGTTGGGGTAGTGTCAGTTGTCACTGGTTTGCTTGCTTCCCTTGTTACCATGGAGCAATAGCTGGGCCCACAGATCCTCCTTCCTTTCTGCCCTGCTGAATTCAGTCCCAGCACCAGACACAGAAGCAACAGTATGCGTAAACTGTATGGCCAGTTTACCCAATTACCTAACATCACATTTCAATGACAAACACTATATTCTGTGTTATTTCTAGTAGTTCATTTTATAATGAAGAAATTAACAATGACAAATGAATTCCTGATGTTGAAGCAGATTGAATGTTTCTTACTAAAATTAAAAACATATAGGCTGGGTGTGGTGGCTTACGCCTGTAATGCCAGCACTTTGGGAGGCCAAGGCAGGCAGATCACAAGGTCAGGAGTTCAAGACCAGCCTGACCAACATGGTGAAACCCCATCTTTATTAAAAAATATAAAAATTAGCTGGATATGGTGGCATGCACCTGTAATCCCAGCTACTCAGGAGGCTGAGGCAGGAGAATCACTTGAACTCAGGAGTTGGAGGTTGCAGTGAGCCGAGATTGTGCCACTGCACTCTAGCCTGGGCAACAGAGCAGGACTCTGTCAAAAAAAAATCTATATCTATCTATATCTATATCTATATCTATATCTTCTGATAATTAGTGAGCATGGAAAAGAACAAAGAGCATAGTTAGCGCAGTCAGGGAATTGTTGGTTTATATCCCAAATCTGCAATGTTGTAAAAGTTTGACCTTGTGCAATGCATCCTCTTGAAGACCTGATTTTCTTATCTGTATGGCAAAGCTAATTGTACATGTACCTTTCAGAGTTCTTGTGACATTTACTAATAATACATATAAAAGGGCCAGCATTCTATTTAGTAAAAAATAGATGTTCCAATAAGTGATGGCTGTGAATGCAGTGCACTTTCCATTATACCAGGAGAAAATAAATAAAAATATATTTTTAACGTTGTGACAGAAAGAGCAATATTCCATAAATGTAGGAAACAAACAATTAATTGTATTAGATGATAAGGGCATGATAAAAGCAGAACATTACCTAAAGATTAATAGTTTAAGAAAGAAAATTTCTCTTTCTCTCTTTCTCTCTCCCTTCTCCCTTACCCATCCACCCACAACTACCACTATTATAACTAACCCAGTGTGTGAGTTTAACAACTATATTGCAGCTTTTCATTTAAGGCCATTTAATTGCCTTAAAGGTGTTTTTAAAAATCTTTAAAATCAATCAATAAACAGACAAATATCTTAATGAAAAAATAAGCAAATAAACTAAATGAAAAAACTCTCAGAAAAACAGTAATACTAGAATTACATATTAAAATATTTTCATTCTGGGCAGGAAATATAAAAGATGAGCCTGGAACACCTTGTAGTGCCAGCAAATAAAAACAAATGCTCAGAAGGAAGGAAGGAAGGAAGGAAGGAAGGAAGGAAGGAAGGAAAGAAGGAAGGAAAGAAGGAAGGGAGTTACGGAGGGAAGGAGGGAGGGATGGAGGGAGGGAAGAAAAAAGGAAGGAAGGAAGGAAGAAGGAAGGGAGTTAGGGAAGGAAGGAGGGAAGGAGGGAGGGAGGGAGGAAGGGAGGGAGGGAGAGAGGGAGGGAGGGAGGGAGGAAGTTAGCTGAGGTCATATTAACATGACATAAGAGCCAACTGAAAGAGCTCCCAATAGCCAAAGTTGACACAATTTGAGCAAAATATTAAATAAAATAGGATCAAATAACACAAAGTATAGAATAAATATCCATGAGGCCATACCGATATAAATATATAAATGAATGAATAAATAAATAAATGTATAATAGACAAATCTCTCTTTCAGAAGAACTCCAAATAATTTATGTAGATACCTAGTTCTCAGGTTAGATGAAGGGTAACTTCTCTCTCCCTAAGTGTGGGGCTATTCATAGTGAATTCATCCCAATGAGTACAGTATGGAAATGGAGAAAAACAGAATAACTTCATAGTGCAGAAACTGACCAACATTACCTCTTCCAGGCGAACATGGTTAACACCAGCATTTATAAGTCATGTTGACAGCATGTGCCCTGGATACACTCTGATGAAAGCACTTCACCTCTCTTGTTGTGCACATAATCTCAATATAATAAGAAAAACACCAGGCAAATCCCAATGAAGAGATATTCTGCAAATATCTGACAAATATGCCTCAAAAGTGTCAGGGTCATCAAAAACAACAAAAGTCTGAGAAACTCTTAAGATGAGAAGGACACTAAGGAGACATGACTACGGAGAGTAATATAGTATCCTGGACAGAAAATGGGACCTAGGTAAAAACTAAGAACATCTGAAAAAAGCATGGGCTTTAGTTAATAATAATGTATCAATGCTGGTTCATTAGCTTTAACAACTGTACCATACTAATGTCAGATGTTAATAATAGGAGACATAGGTCTGGGAATTCTCTATTTTCAAATTTTTTCTGTAAATCTAAAATTGTTCTAAAATAAAAAGCACATTTTTAAAAGATATTCATTCTCATTGTGCTAAGTAAATAGTTTTTTTAAAGTTATAATTTTTCCCATATTATACTGGCAAAAGGTTTTTAAAGGTACAGAAACTTAGTGTTAATAGAAAATGGATACTTAGTATAAATTCACACAATTTTTCTAGAGAGCATTTTGCATTAATAGTTCAATGAGGCATACACATTGATTCAGACATCTCATTTCCAAGATTTATTCCTGCGATGCTTAATATACAAGTAAGAAAATACATAAGAATGTTTCTTGCAGTTAAAGTTTTATCAATTTGATAGTCATTAAATGAGGAATAGTCCATCCATATATCCAATATTGTATAGCCATTAAAATTATGCATTTGGAAATATTATATCTACATCACAGTTTTTATGAAAATTATACTGTGATTCTACTTATATAAATACATGCACACACACACAGGCATCTACATATATAGAGAGGGTAGTTAGTGGAAAAATACTAGGGGTCGATAGTGGAAAAAAGTAGAAAATTCGATTATTATTATGTTTTTCTTTTTAGTTAATTTTATGAAATATTACAAATCTAATTTTAATGCTATAGTTTTTGTTCTTTAATTTTTAGATTCTTAAGGAATATCTTATCCTGGTGAACCAGTCAGTAATCATGAACTTCCTTTTACCTCTCAAGTTTAATGCCCAGAGTTAAAGACTCCTAGATCCAGCCCCACACTCAGAGTATAGCTTTTTGGATTTTTTTTTTCTTTTTTTTGAGATGGAGTCTCACTTTGTTGCCCAGGTTAGAGTGCAGTGGTGCAGTCTCGGCTCACTGCAACTTCTGCTTCCCCAGTTCAAGCGATTCTCCTGCCTCAGCGTCCCAAGTAGCTGGGATTACAGGTGCCCACCACCACACCTAGCTAATTTTTATATTTTTAGTAGAGATGGAGTTTCACCATGTTGGCCAGGCTGGTCTCGAACGCCTGACCTCAAGTGATCTGCCTGCCTTGGCCTCCCAAAGTGCTCGAATTACAGGCGAGAGCAACCACGCTCAACCTAGCTTTTTGAGTCTTCAGCTGATTGGGGAACAAATGAATGCAAATGTAAACAGGAGAAAACTAGTCTTAAGTGGTTGAACAACTTGGACCAAGGTCACACTGTTGGCGAGTAGACTCACCAGGATTCATGTACTGATCTGTTTAATTTCGAACCCAGCTTTACAACCACCCGACGTTGTTCTGGAAACAGACAGACTGTAATTGCCTGTATTTGTTCAAGTCTCTACTCTGCTGTGTCCTAGCTGTGTGAATATTGAGCAACTTAAGTAATCTCTCAGATCTTCACTTTCATCATCTGTAAAACTAGGAGGCCGGGCACGGTGGCTCACGCCTGTAATCCCAACACTCTGGGAGGACGAGGCAGGTGGACCATTTGAGGTCAGGAGTTCGCGACCAGCCTGGCCAACATATAGTGAAACCGCGTCTCTACTAAAAATACAAAAATTAGCCAGGCGTGGTGGTACATGCCTGTAAATCCAGCTACTCAGGAGGCTGAGGCAGGAGAATCACTTGAACCCGGGGAGGCAGAGGTTGCAGTGCGCCAAGATTGCACCATTGCACTCCAGCCTGGGCGACAGAGCGAGACAAACCTGAGGTAACAACGCCTACTTTCCAAAACCATGCAAGAAGAAAATACTGCCAGAATTTAGAATAGATGCCTAATAAATATTTTTTGAATAAGTAGATGAACAAATGTAGGAACAATAAATGTTACCTAAACAGAGTGTGACAACCAGTTTGTCAACACACTAGTGATATAAAAGTTTCCTAATTATGAAACATCTTTTACAGGGATTATTCACCATAAGATCCAGGACTCTATACATTTTGCTCACTGCTAAGTAGTCCTTTCTTACCAGTTTAATCTCCCTCTAAAATGCTCATTCTGTCTCAAATGCATATTGTAAGCTATTTAAAAAGTTGGATTTTCTTCCTTGGGAAAGACACTATTTCTTCTACTTGCCAAAATAATACATATATTATATGGGTAGTTAAAACAAACATTTTTAAATTTTATTAAAGGAGTTTTACTGATTTCATAACTGAAATATAAGATATTAACAATAAAGATGTTTTGACAGTAAGAGTCTGTCAACATTATATCTAGAAGTATACATAAATCTAATATAAAATATCTAGAAAATCCAGAAAAATTAATGACAGCAAAACTATAGTCCAAACACTGATGAGTCTCATCAGCTGACTGAATATGACACATATTAAGAGAATGTCTGAAAGTCAGTTATTTTCTCAGTTTTTAAGGCCAGTATCTGTCAATTACTCAGATGCAGCATAAGTAAATGCATAAAGATTAGCCTTTTTCATCAATTTAAAAATCATGAGAAAATAAAATTTTTAATTCAATAGGGTCTCTAAAGATCTATTTCTTAAAACTAAATATAACCTGCTTTTAAAAGGGAACACAAAGATGTGAAACAAGAAAATGAATTAAAATTCCTTAACATTTAAACTTTCCTAAGTGAAAACTTTTCACAGGCCTGATAGTGAGGGATGAGCTGGAACTCTGTGGTGGGAACAGTGCTGGGGGTTTATCTACAACGACGATGGTTAAAATCCGGGACCTTCTTGACCTGTTCAGTGGTGGGTTTACATTGAAACTGTTATAAATTATTACAGAGGTGAAGCCAAGCCAAACAGTCCAACATAAATATATCTGCAGACATACTGGCTACTATATATTCTAAACACTGTCGGTAAATGAATAAACAGAGCTTTCTAAATCATTTAAGAAAATATATTTATTCATAAAATCAATAATTTTCAGTTTTCAGTTTGAGCCTCCTAAAAAATGAGAGACCTATTATAACTAATTTTTTGGAATCCGTAAATATCATGGATTCCCAAGCTGCTCCCTTCCTGCGATAATGGCCAGAACCTCACACTTCTCTAAGTGATGTGTGAATGTTTTTCAGTTTGGACACTTGACTAATCTCTACCTGTTGAAATTGTTCCACTGCATTACACAAGTTAAATATTTGAGCTCCACAATTTCAACAGACTGACTCTGCATCTGTATAAAGGGACAAAGAAGTATAATATGACAGTCTGATTTTCCTAGGGTTGTTGGGATAGCAGCAAGCCTGCTGCTGGCTTGCCCATATGGGTGAATCATAGCCAACCAGGGTAGACCAAATTTTGTGGTCTGGTTTTATTTGCCTAGTCATATAACTCAGGGCTTTAAGTCTGCACATTGTTGACCAAAACATTAATTGTGGCAAAATAGTTTGTGTCTGTACTGAAAGAGTAATACCAGGGTAACCCACATGTAGTGACCATGAATTAGTTAAAAAAAAAAAAAAAAAAAAAAAAAAAAAAGGAGGAAAAAAAGGCATGAGGCTGTGTTTTGTTGCAGGGGAAAGCTCCTAACCTCTGAAGCTAAAGTCATTGGGAGGTCTCATGTTGAAGACAGCTTCAATAGAAACGAGGTTGTTTTATGGGAGGGAGGAGGGGCTGCCGGTTAAAGCAATAGGTGCTTTTCTGGATAGTATTTATTTTCTCTTTGTGTTCCAGTATTAATCAATGTAAGTGTCTTTCTCTGTCATTTGAGTTTCCCTGTCTATTAAACACAGCCAGCTGGTGATAATCTGCAGTTCACTTTTCCTAAGGGAAATTGGCCTTCACTGGTCCCTTTACTGATTGGTAAATTGATAGGTTGATTTTGATATAATCAATGAATGTTAGACACAGGGGAGAAAACCAAACCCCAAAATGTCAAACTGAATGTCACAAAATATGGAAGATTTCTAGGGAGAATATAAAAAGAGATCTCCTGAGGCAAACATATGGGTTCAGGATGAAGGTCTCAGCTGGATGAGTGATGAAAGTGAACGCTATTTTTTTCTTCCTGCCTTAAGCATTATTCAGAGTATCCACTTTGAAGCTACGCTAGAGAAAAAACATGCCTCAGACCCTATGTGTTGGTCCCATACTATCCAGGCAGCCATCAAGAGAACATTAGTATACTAGTTTAGGTTTCTGTGAGCAAGGGAGGGCTGTTTTTCCTTTTAAACGGCCCCAGGACTCCAAAGAGTGAAACAGTTTCCCAGGGCCCTGGCAATGGTAACATCTGTTGGTGGAAACCCAAGAGCTGCTGGGTAATGAGGATGGACCTCCAGACCCTGAATGTCTATCTCACCTATGGCTCTTTAGGATAAGCTAATTGTGTTCTAATTGTATTAGTTTCCTAGTGTTGTTACAACAAAGTACCAGCAACTCTTAAAACAAAAGATGTTTATATTGTCTTGAAGTTCTGGAGGCCAGAAGGCTGAATCCCAGGTTAGCAGAGTTGGTTGGTTCCTACTGAGGGCTTTGCGGAGTCTGTTCCATGCCACTCTCCTAGTTTCTGGTGATGGTTGGCCATCTTTGGCATTCTATGGCTTGCAGCTGAAACCCTGCAATCTCTGTCTCCGTTGTCACATGGCAATCTTTTTACAGTATGATTCTCTCCTCTTCTTCTAAGGACACCAAACATATCAGAGTAGGCTCACCCCATTCTAGTATGACTTCCTCTTAACTAATTACATTGGCAATGACCCTATTTCCAAATAAGGCTACATTCTGAGGTACTAGGGGTAGGACTTCAGCATATCTTTTGGGGAGGGATAAAATGCAATTAATAACATTGATCAATTCATATGTTATGTTTCTTTCAGTCTATGAAAATACTTCAACCTAAAATGCTAGTAATACTTTCAAACAAAATGTAGTCCCATGTTCTGTAATACCCTTTCAGGAGATCTATAAGGCCAAAACTATTTTTGTAGTACTATTATTTGACCTTTTTATTCTCAGTTTTGGGCAACTATACAGAAATCCTTAGTAATCCTTTTCAAATTCTTTATAATATGTAATAATGTCGTCACTCTGATGGCTAATGGAATGTGCATTTGTATATTATATTATCTAGAATTTTCTGATGTAGTGCTACAGAATAAATTTGTACATTTTCAGAGATAACTAGATTTATTCCTAGAACCTCTACTGTGCTCCTGTTAGCTATACTTGGTTGTAACTGCTAAAATCATTGTAGTCTAACTATTGTCAAAAAAATCATTTGTTGAAAATTCCAAAATTTTTCTTATAATTACATAAAACACAACAAGAAATAGTACACATTTGTGTACTTACTTACATTTGTATTTGAAGATAAATCCTTTGCTTAAAAAGGGAGATTAAAATACTATTTCAATCCACATCTAAACATTCTGAAAAAAATTAAAATGATTTTTCAGTGTTCTCTGACCAATGCAAGAGAGGAATCTACACCAAAGAAACTGAGAAAACTATAATATAAAGATTATGTTTAAAAAACTAAAATAAAAAGTGATACTATAACAAAAAGTGTTTTACTTTATTGTGTCTTAAGCAACACATACTTTTTTAATAGTATCATGGTGACAGTTAAATTGAGGTGCCATTTAGAGATCAATCATTCAGAATTTAAGAAAACCAAATATTCTAAATGAATGCACAATGAGCTCCTTATGCCAACAATTGTCTGTTACAGTTTTTCAAACTAACATGAAAAAGCCGAGCCAGGTGCAGTGATGTGTGCCTGTAGTCCCACCTCTCTACCTGGAAGGATCCACTTAAGCCCAGGAGATCGAGACCAGTCTGGCAACACAGCAAGACCTCATCTCAGAAACAGACAAACAAACAAACAAAGCTACTGAAGCATCTTATAGGAAAAATTATATATTGCATTGGCTAAAGGAGGACACTCAATAACTAAGAGCTTAATAAAACCATGTAGAGTTGACATTTTCAAAATGCCTGCTGAATGAAAAGTCAGTAAAATAAATCACAGCACCACCACTTTCACAAGTTACAGTAACTTGTGAAATTAAACATGTAGCTGCAAATATGAAAACTGAGTTAGTCCAGGAGTGGTGGCTCACACCTGTAATCCCAGCCCTTTGGAATGCCAAGGCGGGCAGATCACCTGAGGTCAGGGGTTTGAGACCAGCCTGGCCAACATGGTGAAACCCTGCCTCTACTAAAAATACAAAAATTAGTCAGGCATGGTGGCGTTTGCCTGTAATTCCAGTTACTCGGGAGGCTGAGGCAGGAGAATCCCTTGACCTCGGGTGGCAGAGGTTGCAGTGAGCTGAGATCAAGCCACTGCACTCTAGCCTGGGTGACAGAGTGAGACTCTGTCTCAAAATAAAATAAAATAAAATAAAATAAAATAAAATAAAATAAAATAAAACCGAGTGAATATCTTTATTACATATTTGAGTAGCAATTTTTCACCATTATATATTTGCAAGAAATTTTAAAAGAGGAAAAGAAGCCAGTGTCACTTAAGAATAACCTAGAAAAAGCACTAAAACATTGATTTTATTAATCTCAATTTTTGATTATAAGCCACATTTTAATATTTTGTGTAGTAAAATGTGAAGTATGCACAAAACACTTTGGCTACAGAACGAAGTCTGATGGTTGTCTCCAGGACAAACACTGCTGCAGTTATTTGAGTTGCAAGCTGAACTACTGCTTTTTTTATTTTGTTTTTGTTTTTCACAGAACATCATTTTTATTCAAAATAAAAACTGACGAACTATATTTAATCAAACTTGGGTATTTGGCAAACATTTTCCTGAAAGTGAATGAAGTGAAGCTGTCAAGTCAAGGCAAACAAATGACGGTATTTGTTGTCGATAATAAAATTCAAGCTTTTGAGTCAAAATTAGAATTTTGGAAACCCTGTATCCTCTACCATGAGATTGACAGCTTCTAAATACTTACAGACTTTTCTGATGAGGTTGGTGGTGATATTAACAAATATAAATCTTAGTGTTAATTTAGAAAACCTGAATAATTCAAATAACCAAATTTTCAAGTATTGAACAATATTACAAAATCAAACATAGATAAAAGATCCATTCAAAAATCAAGATAAACAATGGCTTTTAGTATAATAGAAAATCAAAAGTTTATCAATATCATTTCAGATTACACACTAATCTTTTACAAATTATCCTTGGAAAGTTGATATAGTACAAAAGAAGAACATCAATAATTATTTGAAAAGCTGATTATAAGTTCAACTATGTGTGTGTGTTTGTGTGAGAGAGATTGAATTTTCTACATATATTTCAACCAAAACAATTTATCACACTGACTGAATGCAGAAGCAGATAGGAGAGGAGCTGTCTTCTTTTAAATCAAGTATTACAAATGTTTGCAATGAAAAAAACAAAGTAAAAGGCTTGCAAAAATATAAAATGATGATTTTTAATAGAACTGTGATCATACTTGTTGCTTTTAAATGTGTTAATAAACTTTCAAAAACTCTCACTGCTAATATATAACAAATAAAGATTTAAAAACATCTTTTTGAGGTACTCAATATTTTTTAAAACTAAAAGGAATCTTGAGATCAGTTTGAGAGCTGTTGATCTGAAAATCATTGATAATCCTTTTATGCTCCTTTCCCCTGCTCTTTGAATCCAGCTTGCTTTAAGTTAGGTTCAGATTCTTTATTTCAAGATCATAGCTGGAAGTCCCTGCTAGTATAGTCCATGTGTGGGAGAACCATTCTCTCACTCTCCAGAATGCTTGATTAGAAGGCAATGGGAAGTAGAGAAAAAGAACTGATGGGATAAGAGGAGCAGAGAGGGGAGCAAACGGAGAAGATTGGCACAGTAAGCATACTCTCCTTCTTACCCTGATTCTCTCCTCCACAATCCAGACACAATAGGGCTAGTATCTGCCATGGCACAGAGCTTCCAGGACCCAGACCCAGCACTAAGGCAACATTTATTTTCACCCATTGATGCTATCTATGTTCTACTTGCTCTTAAATATTTTAAATGTTATTCTGACATGTGGCATCATTAGGAGGATTAATTACCACAGCATACGTAAAGTGCTAGCACAGTGCCTGGTGCATAAATATACTCAGTGAATGTTACATATTATTATCACCATGATTTCTTCATCTCATTTTTATGTCTCTGTCTTCCTTGACCTATCTCTGTGTCATGACTGTATTTTACCCTATCTTTTCACACTGGGGCACTACCAGTCCTGAATTATGCAATGAAGACTGAAAACAACTTCAGCATATTCCAAAACAGTGGTTTGCTTTGAGATGCAACCCAACACCTTTCAAAGGAGCCCAACAAAGTGTTCGGGGCATATGCATACCTTCTAAGCATTGGCTTTTGTTGCCCTTTGCCAATTGCAAAAGGAAAAAGAGCAAACTTGCAAAAATATCCCCAAGAGACTACTTGGTATTTGAACCTGGCTCAAGGCAAAAACTATGAAAAGCCCTGTGTGAAAATCGGTCTTTGGTGAGAGACTTCTGGCCAGCAAAGACTGCCTCAATACTCTTCATAAAGCAAACAAGCCTCTGAAAACCTGGCCACTCACTACTGAAGCAACTCAAATTCCAACACTAGGAATTTGACTTATTACTAATACAATTTCCTTCATGAGCAGATGTTGGACACAGAGAATATCCCAACCAGGGCAATTCAGATTCCCAATCCTTCCTATTTTACTTAAGCTGTAGGTGTATTTACACAAAACTTTGGGCAGCATTAAACCACAGCTAGTCAGAGAGGTCCTGGATGCTCAGGAGTAAGTCATCCTTCCCCACTTGAAAGGCATCTTTTGCCCAAGAATCAGCCAAAGGAGTTTCCGGTTCATTCGGAATCCAGGTCTTCAGCACAACATGGCTTTTTGCTTTTTAAATTTTTTTTCCCTACCTGTTCAACCAACAAGCAAGCTGAGACATTAAGTATTTTTCCACGGTTCTCCACAAATGCAAAATGTTGCTTCTGCTCGCATACAAATGAGGCCTTACCGTTTACAAAGAGCTCTCTTACGTGTTTCCTTATTTCATCTTCACAGGAGCCCCTGAAAGTGAGGTGGATGAAGGTTCCAGTTTCCATAGGGTAAAATAAAAACAACTGAATTTGGAGTCAAAAGAACTGACCTTAAGTGCAGCTCTACTGTTAACTAGCTGTGTGGTCTTATATCAGTTAGGATTTAGGTCAACTCTGAGAGACAAAAAATAAATCTAAAATAATAGTGGCTCAGACGAAATAGAAGTCTATTTATTTCTAATATAACAGAGTCCAGAAGTAAGCTATCCAAGATAAGATAAGAATGATCATAAGGGATCCAGCTCCTCACATTTTCTTAGATAATATCTTAGCAGAGATGTGGAAGGGATTTTGTGAAAGAGCATTTGTATTTTAATTCATAGAATATTTGCACCACTATTATACTGATCCTCAACATGCAGCCTCCACCTCACGTCTTAAGATAGTTGCTTGGACTCCAGGCCACCCTGTCCACATTCCAACCATCAGAAAGGAAGAAGAGTGTGTAGGGCAGCTGTTCTCTGTGTCACCACAACCACCTGCCACTTACAAAATTTTCCCTAAAACTTGGCCATGTGACCACAACTAACTTCAAGGGAGGCTGGGTCTTATTTCAGGCATGTGCCCAGCTAAAAATCACAAGTCATATAATAAAGAATAATGAAAAAAAAAAAAAAACGGGTTTTGAGAGACAACCAACAAGCTCTGCTACAATCTCAAGCAAGTTGCATGACCTTGCTGAGCCTGTTTCTTCATCTGTGAATACATGAATTTTAACCCCACAGCCTCGACTGGGGCTGAGGCTGGCCTGACTGATCATCAGCTTTGGGACAGATGGTGCCTGAATCAGGGACTTTATTCTTTTAATATGTGAGCTTCTGAGACACAAAGTACAGATTCAACTAGAACCCGGGCAGGAGAGTGGAGGTCCAAATGCTAAGCACTGAGTCAGGAAAAGAGGTATTTTTGGATGGGATGGAGATGGAATAAAAGTAAGCACTAAGAAGGTAAAATCAAACTACAGGTAATGTGAGGAGTTCGGAAAGAGAAGAAAGGACCAAAGTTATTGCCTCGAACTGCAGACGTTTAGTAGCATTGAATATTTGTTTGTAATGGATGTTTGTTTACAGAGGTATGTTTCTCAAAGAATCAACCTAGTGTTAAAGTCCAGGGTCAGTGCAGGCAATGACGAAGATTAAATGAAAATGTCTGCAAAAACATCTTGTGAACTGTAAAGTGGCACTCACATGTAATAAAAGTAGTATTATTAATAACTAATGCTATCTTACCTTTTTTGCAATTATAAGTGAAGGCAGTACCTCACAAAATCTCGAGTGTCCCAAATGACTGTTTCTGATGATGAGAAATATTTTTTCAGGTGCTCTCCCATACCAACCAAGAGAGTCAGCTCTGGACTGGAATACAGGAAACCCAATTTCCTGACACAGCGCCACAACTTACTATATCTGTGGCCTTTCTAAGTTATTTAGGCAAACTGAGCCTCAGTGTACCCAGCTATAAAATGAAGCAATGTGTGCTTATCTCAAAAGATAACCTTCAACATAGATCCTGGATCCACATGTTAAATAAATATTAACAGAGTAATTTCTACGTGTCATGTATTTTGCTAGAAGCCACTATGCAAACATAATATGGTATGAGGTAGTGATTAGGAGTGTAGATATGAAGGCAGGGTGCCCTAAATCCTAGCTCTGCCATTTGCTAGGTGTCTGATATTGGCCAAGTTCCCTAACCTCACCTTGCTGCAGTTTTCCCATCGGCAAAAGAATGATAATAATGCATACTGCATAGAACTGTCATGAAAGTGAAATGGGTCAATGCATGTAAAGTGCTTAGAACAGTACCTGGCATGTACCAGGTGTTCAATACATATTATCTAGTATTATTATTAAGGTAATTGTTGTTGTCACAATAAAAGCAATTATCTAGCCTGCATGCATGTCATTCTTACCCTTGACTCCACCATCATATAGATCTTTCAGTGGATGTAATTTGGGGGCAACTATTACTTGCCAGGCAATAGACAAGGACTTGGGTATCCGTCATTTATTTCTTACAAGTAACATTGGAATTGTTGTTGTTACCAGAAGAAACTGATGCTTTGTCTAAGCTCCCACCTGGGATCTGAACCAGGTCTTTCTGACTGTAATAATTTTGTTCTTTCTACCTCAACCTATTTTATTTGTATTTCCCTACCTGATCTTTGCTGATTATTTGTTTTTCCTGCCTCGCTGATTAGGAGGAAAGTTCTATTAATAGGAATTATGATTAGTTGACCAGTAGGTGTTATCTATAAGATAAGGCCAGGCTCTTGAACATAACATTGAGTGCCTCCATGGTCTGATTCTTGCCTATCTCTCCAATCTTTTCTCTTTTCCTCACTCTCTCCCACCACTCTGTCATCTATATACTCCCTTTGCCTCACTGAGCTCTTCACTGCTCTTCAAAAGACTCCTCCCCTCCTATAACCAGATTTTTTTCTGACCTTGCCATCTATTTTGCCTTTAATGCTCACCTTTTCTTCTGTTCATCCTATATGATAACTCAGGCTCCTTTAAGACCCATGTCAGAAAGGAAACATCATGAATTACAGATGCAAGCTGCAATAAGCAATGACTTCGTAGAAACCCATTCCAGCTAAGTATTAAGGAATGAAATAAAGATGGTTTATTGATAGCCTCTCTATACTCTATAGAATGAGGGTAGGATTTCCATTCCTGCCTTTCTTACAATGTGTAAGCCTTCCCCCAAAATTTCCAACTGAAGTCTCATTCTTCAAATATTTATTGACCCTGGACTCTGTTCTAAACTTAAACTAGAAAGAGCTGACTCTCTAGAGGGGCAGTGAATACTGATCACATCCCTAAAAATGTGCAATTATTCCTCTCCCCAAATGTAGTTTGGACATTTATCAAGAAATTTGCATTTGGAACCATAGCCATAGATATGATTGAATACAGCAATTCAAATCATTATAAATCAATGCTGCCAAAGATCTTCTAAGCATCCTACTTCCTAGTTTCAGCTCAGTTTTCTCAAATTGTTCTTGAAAGCATTAAGTGCAACTGCAGTGGATCTCTTTGGGCTGAGCTACATATTTCTGCCACAAATATGATGTTCTACTTTGTCACACGTTAACTCCAAATAACCACATGTAGCTGACCTCATGCCTGCTCTGGGAAAATGGGACAACTGGGCTTTGTGCATTTGCATTATGTGTCTTGGAAGTGAAATAGACAAGTGACGGTAGTTTTGCTAGTCCTTTTGACAAAGGATGTCTCTTTGAACTTTTGAAGAACAATTTTAAAGATCCCACATTAGAGTAATATCTCAGCAGAGTTATAGAAGGGACTTTGTAAAAAATCATTTGTACTTTAATTTAAGGAATATTTGCAGCACTAGACACAGAAACAGGGTCTTAGTAAAATGCAAGCTTCATTGGTGCTACAGAAAGATCACAAGGATGGAGCTAGACCTGAAGATAAATTCCAGCTTTGCGACATGCTATGCAGCTTTGGGCAAGTACCTGAACTCCATTAAGCCTCAGTTCAATCAGCTGTAACCTGAGAATAGTAATAATTTCTGGCATTTGTAGGTGTTAGAGAAGCTGTAATTATTCAAAGACATTATCTAAGCTACTTGCCTTGGAAACCAGAGCCTTAGAGACAACTGAACACATAAGTATAAGGAACTATGGCAGAGAGAAGAGAGCCTGTACTGTGAATGGCAGATAGTCTAGCCAAGGCTGAGTTGGACCTCAAATCCTGGATCTAGGCCCCTGCTCTGAAAGCCAAGTGATCTAGTCTATGACAGCCCTAGAGGTGATCACTTTATAAGAAACACACTAAAACATACAGAAGATGGAGGCAGACAACAGAATGCTACTGTAACTGGAAATCTGATCTTGAACCATATCTTAAAACTGTGCTGTAAAAGAGGACCTATTTTGAAAATATCCTCATTGGTAGATACTTCAAAACTTCAGTTGGGTTCTAGGTAGGTGCTGGAGAAAGCTAAAATATCTTCTCAAGAAAATGGGAAAGTGTGTGTGCGTGTGTGTGTGCATGTGTGTGTGTGTTTCTCCAGGTAGGTATGTGGTCCGGTCTAAGACTGAAGGAGTAGAGAATGGGGGAAGGGGATTTCAAAGAAGAAACCACTAGGATAATGAAAGGAAACAAGGATACCTAAGGCTCAGTTTAATGTTATTTGCTCTGCCCTAAAGTTCCACTATCTCAAAACTTCAGGGAAGATCTCATGCCTACTCTTGCCTTATATATATTGGACATTTTTTGTGTGTTTATGAAGAAAAGAGGTTGATTTTCCTGGATCAATGGCTGAGAAGATGTAAAGGAAAAACTAGAAGATCCAAAGTGGGGAAATTTAGCAAATTAGAACCAAAGGTAATCCTATGAATGTAAACCTGCCCTCTCTGCCTCAGCATGAACTCACAGAAATATTAGAAACAGCATTAAACTTTAAACGAAGCATGAAGTGGGAGGCTGAAACAATCTTATCTAGATTCTAAGGGGTAGATGTAAGTGTAAAACTTTAATCAGGAAAAAAATGTATTCCAGGAATTCAATTATTTGAAATCTTCATGATGAATGCCTATTTTCTGCCATCACTCTCCTTAGGAAGCTAAGTCCTAATCAGAATTTTACTTAGGTAAGTAGAAAGTCAGAATCATAGAAATGTAATAATCTTGGGAAAAGGTATCCTCTGAGATATCTTCTATATGTTTATAAAATGGGAATGACTTTGGGACTTTGGCAATTTAAGAATGACCTACACAACTTCTGGTTGACCAAGATTCCCTGTCTTCCAGGCAGTGCTAGAACAAATTGGCCAGGTCCTTATTTACATTCTCTTGGATGTACTAACTACACATATTCAGACCAACCTCAGATGGTATGTTTTCTCTCCTAGAGTTTATTAGTATCATTGCCTGTGATTCAACCTTATTGGGCAGGTGTAGCCTAGTCTTTGTTAGGTCCAGAGCTACCTCAAGATTGACTAACCTCTTGAGGCATTTCCACCCTGTTATTTTAGATTGGTTCTTTTAGGGCTAATTTCCTCCATCATGTGCTGACTTTGTAGTTGAGCCTTCAGAAGGTAATCTTGTGTTCCTTGTTCCCAAGTCCTTAGAAGACAACTTGCTATAGCCTTGAGGATGGAAAATAAGTGTAATAAACTTGGCACCTAGTTGATGTTCAATAAATGTTAATTCCCTCTTTTACCTTGGGGTATAGAAGACCTTTGCAATCTATTTATGAACAAGTATTTAATAAGGGTTGGCAGAGAGTAGTGAGTTAATAACAGCGGCTGCTATGTAAAACGTATTGGCAAAGTGAGTTGAGAACTTTTATGCATTTTTTGTAGAACACTAATAATGTGTATATAACTTGGTTTGATTGAGAGGAATGAAATGATATTGATTATAATGGCAGCATATCTATGCAAAAGGCTTTAGATTCCAAACTTATCTGGAATCTAAACTCTTGAGTTAGTACGAACCTATGGAAATAAAGACTTGTTAAAACTACTCACATCACCAATATAATATATTCCTATCATATATTTACCTTTACATTTGTAAAATCCTTGAAGTGAGAAACTGTGTTTATTCCTAGTATTCAGCAGTGCCTGCTACACAGTGATATTGAATAGGTGTTTCTGAAGTGTGTGTTGAATGCACAACTGATCTCTCCATTTAAAAAAATCACCTTGTCAATGGAACAATGATATCCACTTTATTACTATGTAAATATTCATCCCTCTTGCTGCATTTCTTTCTAGTGGCCATTATTTATCATCTTGCAGTTTGAATCTTTTGTAAAATAATGAGGAAATAAGATGTGCTTGGCATGGGTAGAGGTTTATCTTTTGGGTTGAGGTTTTTTAATTTGTTTTATTTGGGGAGATCTATTTGAGATTTTAATACTAAAATATTTTCTAATTTTTGAAACAACCCCAGCAAAGATAGTATACAAAACACAAAATAAGTGTAGACATTTGTCTAAGATAAAATTCTACTGAATTCAGGGAATCTCTGCTTCACTCATTGTGCATGCTGATGCTGCCTGAACTTCATCCATGTTCACTGAAGAGAAAGGTCAGGGTCTTCCCATGAGTGATGGAGCAGTGCTAAGCAGCCAGCACAGAAAGGAAAACAGAAAAACAAACATCAGGTTCCCGGAAGAGTGAAAGGAAAACAAGTGTGTATTGAATGTCTACTTTATGTCAGGGGTTGCCCGCAGGATGCTTTTCTGTGACTTGATTCAATCCTATAAGAAAGGGATTTATAATTTTCATTCTAGAGAAATATAAACTGCTTTAGTTAAAGTCACATAGCTACTAAGTGGCTGAGATTTTTATTTGGTCTGTCTGGCTCCAAACCTCTATCTTTTTCTACTAAACCAGTATTTCCTATGTGTTTCTGATTCAAAAAATAACCTGAAGCACTTAATAAAAATATACATTTTCAGGCCTCTGTCTAAGAGATCTCATCTGGATAAGTCTGGGTTAAGTTTGTGAAATTTAAACAATCACACCAGGTGGTTTTTGTGAGCAAGCGAGGTCTGCATCCCCCGACTCACCATTCTACCTTCCAGAGATATCCAAAGTGTCAAAATATACAAGAGCTTCAAAATAGCCCAAAGAGAGACAAAGCGCTAAAAGACTTTAAATATCCCCATCATCATCTCCCTTCCCCTTCATCCTGCCATCTCTCCATTTCATTTTGTGAACAGTAGACATATATTCACAGCATGTACCCTCAGCTTAAAGCACCCGTTTCAACAGATTTATCCCACCAAGCCTCTCCTATACAAAAATGATGAAATCTACTCTGGAAAGAGCTCAGTCTTGGTTAATTTCATTCTAGAAAGTCTGGGCAAAAACACACACAAAAAAAAAACAAAAAAAAATAGTCAAATGATTTTCCAGATTAATATGGTTTGAATGGATCTGAAAGTTCTCTCTCCTAGCTCCCCTCTCCATTTCTCTTTTGAGTTCTCACTGTCTGTTTCTGCATCTCTGTTTCTCTATAAGTTGTATGCATATTCTAAAATACCTGCGTCTTGCCACTAAACTTTGTATGAGTCATCACTTATGAAGATGAGGCTTCTAGGATTCCCTCTCTATAAATAGATTATTTTTAAGGAGTCAATTCTTAAGCCAGTATTTGTAAAACATTTTCCTTGAAGTCTAATGACAGAAAAAAGTTACTTGTGCCCTTGGAAGTTGTGGAAACACAACCATAGCATCCTACAAAAAGCATGCAATTCATTTAAAGTTTTTTTTTAAATCTTAAAATTTCATGTGAATTTGTTTTTTAAATTATTGACATAATTTAAAATTTGTCCATATTGATTTTAATATAAGAATTTTATTTTTCAATATCTATGAATTAAATTAAATATGTGTATATGTATGGACATCTATGGATGTGTGTGTGTGTGTGTGTGTGTGTGTGTGTGTGTAGCTTTTCTGAAGCTTTGCCATCCCTGTGTACAGATGAAAATACATAGCATTCAATCACTACCATGCATTAACACTTCACCTTAAATAAGTTTACTTGATTAGTTAACTTTCCCAAAATAATGTGACCCAAGATGGAAATTTATTAAATAGGAAATGGAAGAGAAAAGGTCCAAGCAATGGTATGGATTTGCACATTCCCTGAGGCTGATTATCAAATGAAAGATACCTTATTGTTGACTAGTCAGTTTGAGTACAAATATTACTTTGAGTCAGATCCTGCTTCCAAGTCTCTCTCAACTTCAGAGTGAATAAGCCTGATTTATTTTCCAAATTGCATGTCACTTCCACATTCACTGTCATATGTGAGCTTTACTTTAACTTTATAGAACTAACAAGGCAGAAATTGTTCTCTGAATCTGACAGAGAAAAAAGAAGGAACAGCAAGATTATAAGACTTACCTAGAATCACACAGATCATTCTAGTTTCCATTTCTCCATATTTCTTCTATGACCTATCCAGTAATATCTCAGACATTTTCAGAAATATTAGACATATTCAGTAAGTTATGGCTGAACTGAATTTATTATTCCAACATAAGATTGGGAGTGCAAAGCTTAGATTTGCAGCTCAATTCTTTCACTCTTCTTAATCTGGTGTCATTATAAAAACATAAGTTGCATTGCAAAAAATGCTAGTAATTTGATAAATAATATTTATGCACCTCCTTGCAAACCAGCTTTCAGAGTAAAAATATAAAATTGTGCACTGCCCAACTAAAAAAACAAAACAAAAATCCCTCCTGTGTTATCACTGAGAAATCAAGAGACTATTTTTTAAGTTCCAAAGGGCTCAACAGAAGTCAATATTTGTAAATATTAACCTTGTGAGCAAGCAAGGTTTGAATCTCTTGCTGCACCATTTTTGAGTAGTCCAATCTGATAAGAAGAATTCAAATTGGATTGTGATCTGTTTAAATGAAACTCTCCATTTATATCAAATGTGCTCTTTAGTCAGAATAGGAGAGAGGGTAATAAAAAAAGAGTACAGTTCCGCTGAAAGAGGCCTTGACTCTTTATCATCCATCAGGCAAGGTGAAAAGCTCACTGAAAACTCCAGTGAGATTACATTTAACATAAACTTCCTGAGCTGAATTCCATTATTGCTAAAATAACTAGAAGGGAATCATTTAAATATTTTCCTGATGCCAGTATGGGGTCTTATTCAGCTTCTGACTAACAGCATTTTGAGAACAGTTCATCCTCCCTCAAAGTGTGGAGAATTGCTTAAGTTTTATATATAGAAAAAAAAAAACATTTTAAAAGTGTTATTTTAATCTGCCTGCTGATGAAAGTTATCCTGATAGAAGTGAACCACTGCTGCTTCAGACATCCAGCAATAGACATCAGTACTTCCAAGGAAGTTCATGTCATTGTTGGACATAAAATTATGTTGGAAAGATACAAGCCACAGTGAAGTGAAAAACTGTGAGAGCATACTGCAACCCCCAGCCAGAGAAAAGAAATGGGTGAGAAATTTCTCAGAGGCTTCTTGCAGTCAGGTTTGATAGGGTCGTGGCAAAAACTGTTAACAGTTCAAACATCTGCTAGAAATCTCATTCATTTAAGAGAAAAGCATGCAATGAATTCTTAATTCATTCACTGATAATTTTCACTTTCAGAATAGAGAGGAAAGGTCAGAATATTTGGGCATTATTCTTACAAAGTAATTACTGGTCTTGTGGAAATGATTTAAACTTGAAAAAAAGAGTGTATTATATTAAATTTCATGTATTTGAGACAATCAACATGGTGCAGAATTGGATAAAAGGCAACTCTCAAAAAGACAAGACCAAAAAAATAGTGCCATTTCGTGGTATTCATTTATTCGCTTATTCTATTACCTTATTACTATTTGATATTTATTGAACATGTACTGTATGCCAGGCTCTGTGAGGTCCCAGAGCATAAAGATAAATAATAAAGTCTCTGCCCAAAGGAGTTTGTAATATGGCAGACAACACAAGAAAAATGAATCAAGGATTCAGGCCAGTGATGATAAGTTTAAAAAGAAGGTTGTGATCTCTTGACTACTCTTCCTGTGTACATTACAGGATTTGGGTAAGAGTACTACATGCCACTCAGGGTCAAAGCAGAGGGAGAAAGGAAAATCATGGGCAAGTATCTTTATGGTGGTTTCCATGGGAAGAAACAGGGAATACAGAGTACACGGGCTCAGAATTAGCGAGTCTGAATACCTTCAGTAGGCTCTGAGGCATGGGGTCATCCCTGATTGTCTGGTACCTGGCCCTGGGGCGATTAGGCTGGTGGATAGTGTTCAGGCATGTGAAAGCCTGATAAGGAAGTGGTTGGGGGTATGGAGTTAATTAGCTGTTCAAGAAAAGAAACTGACCAGCCTCCAGCGGGGACTTCAAAACTAAATCAAGAAAGAATTTTATAAAACCATGTTACATTCATGCCATCTCAGAGCAGCATAGATAACTCATCATAAAGTGCATGCTGTGCTGCAGTTGCTTATTACGTCTCCTGTATTTTCTACCTGATTAAACTAGCTCTATGAGGGCAAGGACACCCCTAGCATCCAGCACATACAAGATGTCTGATGAATGCTTTGAATGAAACAGAAGGGCATTTAGGTTATGTTTCAAAGAATGAATAGGAGTTGCCTAAAAGCAGATGACTGGGGTAAGAAACCAAAGAAAAAAAAAAAAAGGTAGACCAGTGCTAGAAAGTGTTTTGGAATGGCAAACAGTTTTAGGTTTCTTAGCTTACTATTTAGGGAGAAATATCAAGATATAATGAGACTAGAAAAAAAAATTGAGGTAAAATGAAGGAAAACATGATGTGTTCGTGTAAGAAATTTTAATTTTATCCTATATTAAATGGTGAGGCAGGAAGTTCTAGCACAAGAAGATGGCCAGACAAGTGAGTGCCATGGGTTGCTTTTCAACGTGGAAAATAAATAGGAGAGATAAGATTTTTCTTACCGTAAGCAATGTCCCATAATAACTGGCACAGTTCTCTCTAAGCACAAATGCTTTCACCTCTAGAGCCAGCCTTCATTTTCTGTTTATGGCTGGGTCCATGATGAAACACAATGATATGTAGTTATGACCTACACAATATGCTACAAAAAATCCCTCAGCTAATATCACCAATAGATTTCATCTTCTTTTTCACTTTTTTCCCCATGTAGCATGAGCAGATGAATTAAAAAAAAAACTATATAGAAGTACACATTTTTCCAAGAATATGTAATGCCTAAAATATAATTGCTTAAGTCATAAAAGATCTGGTCTCCAAACAAGTTATATTTATCTAATGACTGTCCAACTGTCTTTAAATTACTGTTTAATAACTACCTTGTGCTCTTATTAAGGAAAAATCATACATGGTGTGATATTGTGTTATGGTTTATTATTTTTATTCAGACACAGACATGACACCATAACATTAAGAAGTCATGTCTTTGGCCATATTCAAATAAATAATATACACTAAAAGCCGCAATCTGTGAAGGATCGCAGGGTTTCCATAAGAAAACGAAAATGTAGATGCAGACATCTGATTTGCTCAGTTCCTTCACAAGATCCTTGCAGCCTCCTCCATGTGGGACATAAAGAGCTTTTGTGACGCACATGCTGTGCATCACAAATGGAGAGGCTGGCCAAGAAAAATATACAGTTACCAGAAGAATAAACCCAGGATGAAAAGCACAGAGGTAGCATCAATAGACGTCTAATATGCCATTGGCCCCATCTGGTTAGAATCACATCATCAGAATCAGAGCTGGAGTAGACCTTCCAGGTCATCCCTTCCATCCTCTTACCAACACAACAATCATCTTTTTGAAGACCAAGTCCAGTTCAATTTCACATGTCTCAAGAGACAAAAATTCCACAGATTCTGGAAGCAAGATATTTACCATATTTAAAGAGCCAAAAGTAGACATAGTAGAGATTTCAGTCAGTAAAAAAACTGTATTTGGCCTTTGAAATATAAGTATAGGTTTTTTAAAGTAAAAATTCTCCCAGTAAAAGACAGCTTGAGGCAGAGGGAGAATCACAACTGAGATGGAAGGAAGAATTGCTGTGAGCTGTTAACAAAGATTTAAGGGACCCTCAGAATTGTTTTCAAGGGAGCTTCAAGAATCAGTCTAGAAAAATTCTGTCAGTGTTCAAATCCTTCCTCCATGCTACAGAGGACAGTGGAACAGTTGTCACCAGGAACTAGCTAAGGTGTGGAAAAAAAGAGCTGAGCTGAAAATCAAAGCTTTAGGTTCTTTTTTTTTTTTTTTTTTTTTTTGAGGCAGAGTCTCACTCTGTCGCCCAGGCTGGAGTGCAGTGGCACGATCTCAGCTCACTACAACCTCTGCCTCCCAGGTTTAAGCAATTCTCATGCCTCAGCCTCCCAAGTAGGTGGGATCACAGGTGTGCACCACCACACCTGGCTAATTTTTTTGTATTTTTAGTAGAGACAGGGTTTTGCCATGTTGGCCAGGCTGGTCTCGAACTCCTGACCTCAAGTGATCCACCCACCCTGGCCTCCCGAACTGCTGGGATTACAAGTATAAGCCACGATGCCCGGCCTCTGTAGGTTCTTATTATAGATAACGGAAGACATTTGGCCTTTGGGAGATGGTAGGGAGAGGAGGACGATTGCCTACTAAGAGAAATCCTATGTGAAGAGCCAAGAGGCAGAATCAGAACATGTATTAAATTTTTAAGAGTCTGTCTGAAGGTAAGATCAAAGATAGCCTATGGAGACAAGAGTTTGCGAGTGAGAAAATAAGATATAGTACAAACAGGTTTAGGCCAAAAAGAATGAGGAACTCCTAAATGGTTGTCTTTAAGAGTCGTTTTTTGTTCAAAAGAAGTACTATGTGGTAGTCTAATTATATACATATAATTAGACATATATATATATATGAGACAGATAAAGCAGAGATATTCTGGGTAAAACATGAGACAGGATTGAATATGTGGGGAATGCTCCAGGCCTCCTGCTCAAATCCACCTATTCCTTTGGAGGCCCTTGCTGCAATGCTGTGGAACTCCCAGGAAAAACACCAATTCTCAACTGTAGAATTAAGATTTCATTTATGAGTATTCTGTGGTGGAGTATGTCAAAAGGGAAATGTTAAAGCTCCTGAATGAGGAATTTTACCCGCAGAACTCAGAGCTTGTTTTATTGAAGGCAATGTTCTATCACCTTTCACATCCATGTGACTCAGTATTCTTCGCAAATGCCACAATCCTATCTGTCTCAGCAGAGTATGTGATGTGCAGTCTCTGAACACTTTCTGTGGCTTGCTTTTATGTACCAGTAAAGTGAGACAGCCAAGTCTAAAGAGGTCAAGGCAGGAAGTATAGCAAGGAGATAGAAGGTAAATAGTGTGAAAAAGAGAAATGAGAGAATCGCCAAACCATAATACAGGAAAGCAGTAGAAAATAAAGCCAGAGTAGGTAAAGAGACCCTCAAGGACGAAACTGGGTATTGATGGTATAACCAACAGTGCTATTTTCTAAACCAAAGGTAAATACCATCATTTTTTCTTGTTAGGAGAAATATTTTGTTTGGAAAATATACTCTCCTACACCCAGCCTTGTATTTAACTAGATCAGTCATAGGAATTCCATCCCCCTTGCAATATTGATTAGGAATATGACGCCATCATGGCCAAAGAAGAAATGTGAAAGGGGGCTTCTGTAGAGAATTTTCCTGCTCCGATAATGGCACAGCTGTGATGAGATGGCCTTTCTTCTTCTCTTAGGTATTCTGTCTAGCCACCTAGAATTAAAGAAGTCATCTGTGACTCAAAAGGAACATACGGGGTGACAATGTTGACACAAACATCTTTCTTCCTTGATGTCAACGTTGCACCAGTGAATTGTCCAAGCCCTACTTTGGGCTCCTCTTTAGAGAAAATATCAGTTTTTGCTTACTTCCTGGGTAAGTTGAGAAAATAGGTTTCTTTAGCGGTGAGCTAAGCATCCCAGTTGATACTGGAAGGTGGAAAGAAGCCTTACACCCTAACTCACAATTGCTATCTCCTGAGCATTTCTTGTAGATATTGCTTTGTACCTGTCACTGAACTGAAACTTTTTTTTTTTTTAAGACGGAGTCTCGCTCTGTCGCCCAGGCTGCAGTGCAGTGGTGCCATCTCCGTTCACTGCAAGCTCCGCCTACCAAGTTCACGCCATTCTCCTGTCTCAGCCTCCTGAGTAGCTGGTACTATAGGCGCCCGCCACCACGCCCGGCTAATTTTTTGTGTTTTTAGTAGAGACGGGGTTTCACCATGTTAGCCAGGATGTTCTCAATCTCCTGACGTCGTGATCCACCCGCCTCGGCCTCCCAAAGTGCTGGGATTACAGGCGTGAGCCACTGCGCCTGGCTGAAACTTTTTTTCTTAAAGCAACAGATATTCATTGGGTAGAGAAGGACTAAGAAATATGATGGAAGAGAAACATGGGCTGGTTTTGTAAGATGAAGTTAAACCCTTCTTCCCCAAGTTTGAGTGAAAAGTTTAAATATTTATGCATAGTGGGCAATATGGGAGAAAGAAAAATTTTTCCCTGGGGAAAGCAAAGTAAATGAAACAATGCCCGTGAGCTTCTTGAGAACAGGTACCATGGTTTGCCCATTTTGGAGTATCCAATACCAGCAACATGCCTGACACATGGTAGGTACTCTGTAAATGCAGAACTAATTAATTGAAAGACACCAGAGATCTAGAAATTAATATTTATTCTCAGTCTCATCTAGGCATTTCCCAGTTGCTTATAGCATGTTTGTGTATGGGCCTACATTGGTACCAGGAACTAAATCTAAACATGAGAACTTGTTAAGCAATAGCTGCAAATGTGGTACAGCCATGGAAATTTTAAAGCAGAAACTGATGACTGTTCATTAAAATTAAAAGCTATATTCAGCTTCCCAGGATAGTAGGAAGAGTCACAATGAATGAACCTAAAGCTTATGTGCATGAACATTACAGCTCAAAATATTTTGATGTGTCCTACTTCCCGTGGTCCTTCCAACAGTTCCGAACACATATTAGGACAGATTCTTCCCTTGTATGGTTTAGCAAGGTGGCTGAATTCTAGCCAACGGATGTCAGTGAACTTATAGGTATCATTTCTGCATACAGCTTTTGAGAAATATTCCATTTCCATATTTTCTTTTCACTGTCCTACCAGCAGTGATGAGAGCAGTGAAACTGTAGGGAATGTCAGAGCCAAAAACTAGAAAGTTTCAAAGACACAGTAATTCATAGACAATCTTTGAGCCTATGAATTACTGCAATAAACAATCAATGCCAACCAGAAATACCTGCACTGGGATTGATCTGTTTTATATTTTGTCATTATTTTGGTGCCATAGTTTAGCCTATTTTACGTAATACAACTTGTACACACCTATTTGGCTTATGAGCACAATACAAGCTTTGTCAACACCTTAGAATGATAGGCAGAATCATGTCAAAAAAAATCTGCAATTAACATGAGTGTGCTTTGCAGTTCACAATGCTTTGACATACACTAGCTTGTATGGTCCTTCCAACAGCCCCAAGAGACAGGCAGGGTAAACATTATTATCTTCATTTCAGAGGTGAGAAGTTCAATGATCAGGGAGATTAAACAAATTGTCCAAATCTAGTGAGTGCTAGACTTAGAATTAAAGCATGAGTCTTTTGATTCCAAATCCTTTGCTTTTATCATTGTAATATTCTGAATGTCTGCCTCTGTATAAAATATTTTCGTGATTGATGATTTTTTGCGGAAATTTCTCTGAGGGATTAAGGCGCTTCTTGGAAAACTCAATTCGCTTGAGTTCTAAATATGAAAGGATTTATAAATCCAGAGGATTTAGCAATAAGGCTGGATCTAGCACAGATCACTTTTCTTTGTAGACGCTCTCAGTGTCTCAGACTTGGATGGCTCCTGCAGAAGTTGTTGAGCTCACTCTCTTTCATTGAAACAAAGACTGCTCTGACACATCCCTGAGAACTGATCAGTCAGCCTCTGCTTGAACACCTCTAGTGAGGGAGCACTCACTACTTTAAAAGCTTTCTCAATCTGTTGTTATGGTAGCCAGTGTGGCCTGACTTCCCCAGAACTTTTCTGGTTTTAAGGCTGAAAATCCCACATCCTAGGGATGCCCTGAGTCCTGAGTAAACAAGCAGGGTGTTGGCTACCCTACTACCATTGTTGAACAATGGAAATTATTGAAACCTTTTAATTGAAATGAAGCATGCCTGGCTGTAACTTCAATCAAGGTTACCTGTTCTGCCCTCCCAGTGTCTGTTATTCAACCAGCATCTGTTTCTTGCAGATTTCTGGATTCTCTGGTTTTGTCTAGCTACAAGCCGGAGGTAAAACTTCATTTTCAGGTTTACCCTACTTTATGTCTCACAGACAGAGCCTGATGACACACTAGCAATAATCCAGATCACCTAAGTAAATTATTCTCCCTATAAGACTAAAGAATAACCCTCTGGAAATTATTTTTCTGTTTCCCCAGCATGAGCTTTATGATGGCATTAATAACAATAAAAATAAATGTAATACTATTATAATCAATCAAGGGTAAGGCTAATGTATTAATAGTAATTGATTCTTAAACAGGAACTAATTATTTTCTCACTGCATGGTCTTAAGAAAAACAATACTATGTCTTCTAAGGTTTCACCACTGAACTTAATTTGCCTCTGAGATTTGAATTATTTTTTTCTTCTTTTCTTTTTTCTTCTTCTTCTTTTTTTTTTTTTTTTTTTAATATGAGTGCACCACTTA
Organism: Homo sapiens; assembly: GCF_000001405.40. NCBI lineage: Eukaryota > Metazoa > Chordata > Mammalia > Primates > Hominidae > Homo > Homo sapiens. The sequence goes on from NC_000004.12 coordinate 12,972,030, forward strand.
CTCTTTGGGGAAAAAGGAACAGTTTCTAAATTATTGGGTACTGAGGGACTACCAAAACCAGGAAATTCATGTTTTATGAGTTTTCCCCAAATCAAAGCAACAGGGTTATGGTCAACATCATCCTTTCACTCCCACTGGGTCCTTTCTGGGAGGTGCTTTCAGAGGCAAAAGAAACTTTTTGCCGTGAAAGTCACATCCACTTTATGGCTTTGTTTCCTGCTGAAAATCTAGATCTGATTGTTCTAAATCTGACTGTGATTCAAACTTCCTACATAAATTTAGGAAAAACCACTTAAGGTCTTTATTTCAGTTTCAGATACATACACACATAGACCTGTATTACCTAGCTACAGTATGTATCTTTCATAAAACAATAGTAAATGTCTGATAAATAAGTAATATTTTTTGTGCTTTTTCCTATACCAAGTGTATGCTAATGAATTTCTGTGCTTACATCCAATAGTGTAAGTTGGGTTTTATTATACACAATTTACAGGTAAAAAGAATAGCATCCCAGAAGGATCTAAACCTTCCCAAGGTCATCACCTCATGCAGTGGCTCTCTAATCTGGGCAATCGTACCCTTTTCACCCGCTACCCCCACCCCACTCCAAGCCAGGAGTTATTTAGTAATGTCTGAAGGCATTGTGAATTGTTGTAACTGGGCAGGTGCTATTCTCATTTAGAAGGTAGAAACCCAAGATCCTACCATATATCCTACTGTGTGTAAGGCAGGCCCCTCTCCCCTTCAACATAGAACTAAGTGGCCCAAAATGTCAGTCCTGCTGAGGTTGAGAAATACTAAGCTAATACATGGCAGACTGAGGATTCAATCCCAAATAATATAATCTCAGAGTGCACATTCAATATTTGCTCTTGAAATACATATTTAGTATTACATACCTTACCTGGGCATGGTTGCTCGTGCCTGTAGTACTAGCTGCTCAGGAAGCTAAGGCAGGAGAACTGCTTGAGCCCAGAAGTTGAAGTCCAGCCTGGACAATGTAGCAAGACATCATCTCTAAAAAGAAATAAATACATACATACACACATAAACACATAAACAAAATATTATCTATTTTATCAAAATACTAATGATAATAGAAATCCATCATTTTGCAATATATTGTTGTACTCCTTTGTCCATTTATAACTCATAGTTTTTAGGGTCTAAGATAAGGGACCTGAATAATTCTTGGTAGACTATGGCAAAGGCATTTGCATATATATTATACATAACGAAAGCTAATGAGAAAGATGGAGCCCACCTAAGAAAATCTCAAGGGCTAGATCCATTCTAAAAGGGTGTTAATGCCTAAAGTGTTTTTAAGAGCATAGTTGGGTCACATTTTATTGATGGAAGTGCCTTACGAAGATTGGTAGAACTACAATTGAGATAGACCCATGTGCTTAATATTGAATTATTTTTCACAAGCAACCTTTGCACAATGAGCTGGGATTGGTATGGCTATGAAAGTGGTAACTCAAGGTCTGTACCCAGAATGATGCCACTCAGGCTGGCATGGGCTTTAGCTAAGTCCAGGTCAAAAGCTCCATGCTGTGCCCTGGGCAGAGAGCAAGATTCAGTCTCCTGTCATGGTCCACCCTTTTCCTTGTAGGCACCAAGCATGCACTCTGAGGCCAGAGCAAGACTTTGTGTAGCCAGAATAGATTCAGGAGAGAGCAATACTTGGCTGTGATGCAGACAACCTTTGAACAGGGGATGACTTCTATAACTACAATTTCTGATAGCTTCAGCGCACAAAAGGAAACCATGAGAGTCTTGGCAATTGCCAGCACTCAGGCAGGCATGGATCCCAGACCCCACTTCGTGTTTGCATTAAGCCAATAGCTCATTGGAGTAAGGCTTTAATGGGGGAATAGGACCTGATGTCTGGTTTTTTGTGCCAGATATTCTTTTTATTCTCATCTCACAAGTATTTCTGAACATTTGATATTAATTGTACAATTTTTCAAGTACACACACTGGTAAAACCAAGAAGGATACGAGAACATCCTTGTGCTCTTGGGATTTTCACTTTAGTTAGTAAATATTCAATGTGATCATTAAGAAAAGAAAAGGAGTTATTTCCTTATTTACTATACATTTGATAAATATCTACTATGTGCAAAGTATGGTGTAGGTATGAAAGAAAAATATAACTGAATATATGAGCCCTCTCTTCAGAAATCTTCTAATATGGTGCAAGAAGCAGACGGATGGTGTGGCAAGAAGAGGAAAGGAAGAGAAGCAAGGGAAGGGAAGTGAAGGGAAATGAAGGAGACGGGAGGAAGGAAGGAAGCTCAGATGTAAATATGGCCTCCCATTTCATTGTTGGATTACCTTGGGACAGCTACTGAACTCTCTCAGGCTCAGTTTTCTCATCCATAAAATAGGCACAATAATACCTATTTTGTGAACAGAACAGAAATTTTTAAGAGCTTTAATAAAAGTATAATTATGGGTGTTCACTTGCTCTCGGGTATGGAGATGGCCAAAAGAGATGCCCCTAGCTTCTGTGCCAGTCCTAAAGAAATTGATGAATGGTCAATCTGCTATCCTCCCCACCAGTGATGCTCTAACCCAGAAGGACCAAGGGAATCCAGGCCCAGAGACTGGGGAAAAAGAAAATGAAAAGTGGTTTAACTCAGCCACACAGTAATCAAAAAGACAGGTGTAAATTAGCAGAACTTACTTTCTTAGAATACCCTAGGGCATTTTATAGGGAATAGGCTTTGAAAACATGGCTTGGGTTGATAGAACATTGACAGTGAACTCTGTATCTCCTGTTTCTATTCTTCCGTCCTAGCTGTGCACTCCTATCACCTTGTGTATAAATGCAGAAGCCACGAACACACACAAGACCACTGAATCAGAATCTCTGGGGGCAGAGCCCAGAAGCTGTACATTGAAGAATCACAGCCAGGAGTGGAAATCACTGCAGTAGAGCATCACTGCATTTGGGTTGAGGGGTTGGGGGGTGGGGAATAAAACCTTTTCACTTCTGGTTTAGGCTCCTCAGTATGCAAAAGTGACTCTAAGATGATTTGATATCATGCATGAGAAGGTAGATTCTTCCTTTGACTGTATGATTATTACTTTGTCAGTCCCTCTGGATAGTGTCACACACCATCCCTCCAGCCAGTGCACTATCTTTAGGAATGACACTGACATTTCTTCTCCCTTAACTTCCACATTCTTTCACACCCCAAATCTGGTCAACCCAACTTTCTTAGTGTTTTTCAATCCTTATCATCGTCTCCCTCTTCATTTATACTGCCTTCTTCCAAGCATTCATAATCTATTACTTTCTTATTTAAATGTCTATTTTATTTGAATAAAAAGTGTTAAATATTAACATTTAAAAAGGAAAGAAAAAGACAGGAGCTAACACATAAAGCAACTACTGGGTATGAACCCTGGATGGGAGTCTTCATACATCATCTGATTTTGATTGCTGTAACAACCTCATGAGTTTAGTTTCCATCTCAAACCACTCTGCAGAGGAGAAGATGAAGTAGTCAGTGATTTTTCCAAATGCTATACTGCTAATACAGGCAGAGCAGGTTCTTAAATCTAGTATCCTTAAAGCAACCAAAAGTTTTTCAACGAGTTTCATAATCATTGCCAGTACATCCTTCCTAATGGCTGATCCGCATTCCAGCTGGCTTTATATAAATCTCTTTTTATTGTTTTCTTTGCCTGAATGAACACAGGGACCAACTGTTCCCTGTCACTCATCTATTACACTTTCAGACACTTGAAGCCTGAGAATCGCTTCTAATTTTCTAATTAATCAATCATACTTTCATATATACTAAATTTAGTTTCCATTGATGGAACAGCCACAGATTGCTGGCACCATCCTTGGCACTGGTGGGCAGTGGTCAGGAGGGAGGAAGATGACAAAGTCATTGGAATTGGGGCACTTGAATCCAATAGAAGCATGACAGATGACAACCAGGCAGAGTAGTTAAGTGCATTCTCTGAAGCGAATTCCTGAAATAAATAGGAAGGCTGTGGGTAAAATAAGGCAATAATCCAACAGCCCTCTTACCCAGCTGGGCAACCTCCTTAGACAAATAAACAGCATCCTTTTAACCATCTACACAGGCTCACAGTTGAGCCAATTTATCTGTATCATCTACAAACAATATTTCACTTAATCTAAGGCAGAACAGCAGCACAAACATTGAGGTCTGGGTCTGTAACCATTTCTTCAACACTGAAATGTTTATGGGAACGTTCAAGGCTAAGAAAGAAAGAACATGTGAGTCCTCAGCGGACACTGCTATCCTTGCTGGGTACAGTTTCTCACTTATTCATATATGATGTGCTACAGAGGACCAGCATTAGCCAGTCATCCTTCAGTGAGTATCAAGTCAAGAGCTTTTGGTTCTTGGCTGAGCTGTGTTTTTCACTAGTTGTGTGATGTTAGGGAAGCCACTTGAGTTCACTCAGTATCAGTGTATTAGTCTGTTTTCATGCGGCTAATAAAGACATACCCAAGACTGGGTAATTTATACAGGAAAAAGGTTTAATGGATTTACAGTTCCACGTGGCTGGGGAGGCCTCACAATCATGGAAGAAAGCCAGGAGCAAGTCACATCTTATGTGGATGGCGGCAGGCAAATAGAGAGAGCTTGTGCAGGGAAACTTCAGTTTTAAAAACCATCAGATCTCATAAGACTTATTCACTATCAGGAGAACAGCCCAGGAAAGACCTGACCCCATGATTCAATTACCTCCCACCGGGTTCCTCCCATGACATGTGGAAATTGTGGGAGTTACAATTCAAGATGAGATTAGGGTGGGGACACAGCCAAACCATATCACTCAGTTTGGTCAAAAATCCAAACAGTGAGTTAAGCTAGGTCTCTCTATAGAGCTCTTCCAACTTAGTATCTCTAAAGCTTCACTTGGATAAGGATTTCTAACAGAGAAAATAGTATCAGTGCTTTTTACCTGGAGATATTCAATAGTCTGAACAGAAAGAGCATCTTCACTCTTCCTCAATTTCTATGTCACCTGTATGAGTAATTGTCATTGTTCAACAATACCAGCAAGGAATATATGATGCTTAATGTTTCTCCTACTCTACCATGTCTGCCTTGTCTTCCCACTAGTTCATCCACAGGAATCTTTCCTATGCTTGGCATATCAACATTCACAGGTACTATACTGTGTGTGAGTAAGGAGGCATCAGGTAGCAAGCACTATGCCATGGAATCGACCTCTGAGATGTCAAGAGGAAATTTCAAGATGGAGGCCAAGCAAGGAAGTAACTTGAATGACATCCTCACATAAATTTGTACCTTCATAGGCATGGGGGAACATCTGTTGTTTTTGTTCATCCACCATTCACACCCACTTCCTCCAGAAACAGCAGTCCAACTTTTCTTTTGGGAAGAATTTTTCCCCTACACATGGTACACATAGTTTTGGAGTGGATAGGGGAGTCAAGCCTCAACCAACCACATGGTCTTTCCTCTGAATATAGTGACTGGCTCAGTGATGGGGGCATGATCCATCTGAGGCTTGTAAGAATTAGCTCTAGGTTGGAGAGAGACTTCTCCTGGTACTACCCATAACAAGCAAGATGTAAACCTAGAACTGCTAGGAGCCATCACATGGAACATGAAAACAAGCCAACACAAAGGAAGTCATGAACTCTGATGATACGGACTGAGTCCTTTGATTCAGCCAGGCCTGAAATGACTTCTTCATTTCTAGTAAAGCCAGTTTCTATTGGGATTCTACTACTTGAAACCAGAAGATCCGTGGGTTATACACTAAAGGCAAGCATTGGCCCTTGAATTTGCTTTTTAAGAAATTTTAGTAGGTGCTTTGATAGATTAACAATCTCTAAGATAGCTTCCAGTTTTATCATTCAGTGTACCTTTAAAACTAACTTGACCAACCAAAAAAGGAAACTTAAAAAAGAAGATAAAACTAATCTGGCCAAGAAAAGCCACATAGTAGATCAGTGACTGTTAATCAGGCTGACCTGAGTTTGAATCCCAACTTATCTACTGCCTCATTCTAATAGCCTAGTTACTTGGCCTCAGTGAGCTTGTGTGTTTCTCTATAACGGGTGTAATGATATGTAGCTTGAAGAATTGCCTTCCAAGATTAAATTAAAACATTGAATACCAGGTCAATTTCCTGACACACAATATGCAGTCAACGGATGGCAGCTGTGATTATTTTATAATTTTATTTGTCCATGGAACCAGAAGCCACATCTAACAGTGTCTTATGTGAGTGTAATAATGGTCTTTCCTTACAACTGCAAACTCAATACACTTTCAAAATATTTTCATACCCATTAGCTCATTTTCCCATTTCCCCATTGCTCAAGAGTAGTCAAAGTTGGTGTGACAACTATCACTTTAAAGAAGAAGAAATCAAGGTCTTACAGCCACAAAGTAGAGTCAGAACCAAAACCACAGCCCTCTAACCCCAAGCTCAGAGCTCTACTTTCCCCACCTCACAGACCTGATGCCCAAAACCTGTGTCATCTCTCAGGGTCTCCACTGATAGAGTTCTGTATATTACCAAGTCATAGAGTTATGAAGTTAGAACAGTCATTGGAAATCCCAACCTCTACCCCTCCAGAATTTCTAACAATATTGTGGTTAAAAGCATAGAATGGAAATTCAGAAAGATGTGGATTAAAATCTATCAATTTTGGGCTTTGTGGCCACAAGCAAATGAAAAATATTGCTGATTTTCATTTTCATAGCTGTGTTATAGAGGTCCTGGAAGTGCCTACCTCTTCTGCTTGTCAAGAGAATTAAGTGTTATAAAGCAATTAGCATAGTTTCTATCACACGGAAACCTCACTGTGCATGGTCCATATTATGGAATTATTTATTGTTGTGATTACTATTATTATAACCTCAGGATTCTGAACCTCCAGTGTTTTCTTCACTACTGCCTGCCTTTTCATACTATAAACTTAAAATCATACACACACACATCCATGTGCCACTGAGACCAGGGACTATCTCTCTTGTCTTTACACCCACAAATCAATTCATATTTTCTGGATGTCTCAATAACAAATAATTGCTATTCTAAGGCATTAATTTGAAATAATATCCTAAGGGAATAATTACCTTTGAATTCTGATGTGGGCTTCTCTCCTCTCTCACTGGGAAAGAGACTCTAGCAACTGACGAAGGTGAGGAAGATTTAATCACACATTCCTACTCCATTGAGAGCTGCTGCTTCTTGTGTTTTTTTTTTTTTTTCTCTGTGCTTACCGCTTATTTCTTCCACACACCTACTTCAGGCATAGCCAAGAGTAAAGGATAGTGGTGCTGGATGTGGGCCCCATTAGGGAAGATTTAGGCTTTATCCTTTGTTTGTGTTCTCCACTTGTGATTTGTATTAAATTCACTTTGGGACACATACCACAAGGTACAAGAGGGCTTTTTGATTGAAAAGTGAAAGGAGCCTATTAGAAATGTGAAATCATAATTTCTGGAGGTTTGGGGATTTAAAAAAATGTGGACAGCTGCTGGCTAAAGAACTGAGAAACGTTTAAGTCAGAAAAATATTCTAGGCAACGGAGCCAGAGAACCTAAATCAGTGGCAAATACTGCTAAGCCATCATTACATACTAAATAGTTATTAGTCATCTCTTCGTTTTAAACAGAAAGCTTAAGGGTCTGAAGTCCAAAGCTTAGACTCCATTCTTTCTAACAAATCAAAAATCCCATCCCTTCCAATAACAGAAATCTGCCAAGAGAACATTAAAGGTCACGCTAAACCCACAAATGCAAAGCAATGCAGATTTCAAAGACCTCGAGTGGAAAAATACAATTAAAAGTCACCAGCTCATTCTGAGCAGAAGAAAAGCCCGAGAGCTTGATTTAAGGTCAGGAACTCAAGGAGCATTAAAGAAGAGAAGCAGGAACCATAAGCCAAGTCATAAGCAAAGTGGCCTGGAAACCCTCAAGCCTGGTGTGAGCCTTCCGCTTTCGGCCCCCCTCGTGGGTGAGTGGGTCACAGCGGGGTTGGGATGCTGAGTTATCCCGTGGGGCCTATAATGGAAACTACATGTGAGGACCTGGCCTCCAGCGGATGGGCCTGGGCTGCTGGCTCTCACCCAGCTCCGCAGCGATTTTCCTGTATTACCCTAAACAAGTCATTCACCCTGCCCAACCCTATTTTTGCCTAATTACAAAATAATTTCTTTTAATGAGGCCAAGCTTACTAGTAAGCCTGTATTCCGTGGTCTGAGGGTTGCTAAGACGGCACCACTGGGACTTTAGGCCCAGCTCCATGATATTTACATCTCCCCACTCTACTTTGCACCAGTACCTGAAACACCACCATTCCTGTGTATATTTAATCTACAAGCATGCTTTGTGTGCCTGCTTTATGCCAGACACTGTACTAGGAATTAAGTATACAGGGGTGAGTAAAACAAGCATAGACCCCATGCAGAATATAGCTGGCAGAAACCCACTAAATAGGTAAATACATGTGTGTATATATATATATATATATATATATATATACACACACACACACATATATATAGATATATATACACATATATATATACACACACACAGACATGCACTGTAAGGTTAGTGAACAAAGCACTCTAAGAAATGAGAAGTCTGAGTCTTAATTAAGGTCATTAGAAAAGCCACCAAAAAGATAATCTTTAAGCAGAGATCTGGAAAGATCCAGGAACATAGTATTCTAAGCTGGAAACTAGCATGTGCTACCCTCTAGGCTAGATGGGAGCTTGATGGAGTCTAGAAATTGAAAAGGAGCTCATTGTAGCTGGGACACAGTACATGAGATGGAAAGAGACTGAGATCAGGTGAGAGCTGCTTGAGCAGAGATCACATGGGGCTTGGTAGGCCCCGAAAAGGAATCTGGATATTGATTCACCCCCAATATGAAGCCATTAAAGAATCTAAGCAACACTCTTCTCTCACTATTAAAATTACTCTGGCTTCAGTGAGGTAGATAGAATGGTGGAAGGCAAAAGAGGAAACAAGAAACACAGGTAAAATATTTTGCTCCCCTCCCTAGATTATAAGCTCCATGAAGGCAAAGAGTTGCATCAGTTTTATTCAAAATATCTCTGTGGTTCTTAAAACAAAGATGTCCCAAGAAATTAGCAAGTTCTGATGGTGAATAAAGGCAAAGCCTTACTTAGGATCAATAAGAAAAGTACTCTATGTGGCACTGAAAAGACATTCTATCAATAAATATTTACTGATGAAAAAAGAATGAGTAAAGATAACTGTACTCCAGAAGAAAATATTACAGTAGCTTGGATATACTGGTAAAGTGGAGAGTGCAGGATAAGTAGGCAGATTTGAGATCTATTTTGGAGGCAAATATAAAGGACTTACAGAGCAAATGGATGCAAAGACGGAGAGAGAAGGACAAATGAAGATCAATACCCTCATTTCTGGCTTGAGCAACAAGGTAATTGGCAAAGGCATTTCCTGGGAAAAGAAAACTTCCTGGGGGACAGGTGGGTTCGACTATTGGTCTATATCTAGAATCACAATGACTCAGCCTCTACAGACCTGTGTATGTCAGAATAAATGTGTACTGTTACTAAATTTGGGGGCAGTTTATCATGAAGCCTTACCATGGCCATAGCTGACTTCTGTGGTTTGGATAACTGATCATTCCAAATATGATGTTGAAATGTAATCCCCAGTGTAGCAGTGTTGGGAGGTGGGCCCAGTGGGAGATGTGTGGGCCACCGGGGCAAATTTCAAATGAATGGCTTGATGCCATCCTTACATTAATGAATGAATTATTGCTCTATTAGTTCCTACAATAGCTGGTTGTTAAAAAGAGCCTGGAATCTCCCTGTTTGCTCTCTTGCTTCCTCCCCCACAGTGTTATATCTGCACGCAAAGGCTCCCCTTCAACTTCTGCCATCAGTGCAAACAGAGGCCTCACCAGAAACAGATGCAGGTGCCATGCTTCTTGTACAGTCTGCAGAACCATAAGCCAAATAAACCTCCTTTTTCTTATAAATTACTCAGCCTCAGGCATTCCTTTAGAGCAACACTAAATGAAGTGAGACACTAACTGAAGCAGGAATCAAAAGATTCAAAAGAAAATCATAAGTCCAATATCCAAATGTCAAATTTAGGAGAACTGTGAAACACCCAAGTGAGGATATCAAGTAAGCAATTGGATACACAATTCCATAAATGTACATGTATTGAGGGCTCAACTAAAAATAAACTTCTGGAGTTACCAGCGCATAAAGATTATACTTAAAACCAAGAGTACCAGTGAAATCAACTAGGAAGAGGACACAGAAATATACAAAAGTGTCTCTATCCCAATCATGAAATTCTTCAACTTTTACAGGTTATGAGAAAGAAATTTTGAAGACAAAGAAGGATGAATCAGAAATGAGGCAAGAAAACAGAAAGACATGGGAGCATAGCATCCAAGAAAGGAGATTTTTAAAAAATACATAGCAAATACTCAACTGGGTGAAACACTGATTGAAGACTCTATTAGTTTTCTACTGCTATAACAAATTACCATGAACTTAGGGCCTTAAAACTACAAGAATGTATTTTACAGTTTTGGAGATCATAAGTCTGAAATAAGCCTCAATAAACTAAAGTATCAACAAGTATGTGTTTCTTCTGGAAACTTTAAGGGAATGTCAGTTTTCTAATTTTTCTCAGCTTCCAGAAACCACCCTCATTTCTTGCCTCATGGTCCCTTCTTAAATCTTCAAAGCCAACAGTGTAACAATTTGAAATCTCTCTTGGGCATTGACATGGTTTGGCTCTGTGTCCCCATCCAAATCTCATCTTGTAGCTCCCATAATTTCCATGTGTTATGGGAGGGAACCAGTGGGAGATAACTGAATCATGGGTGTGGAACTTTCCCATGATGTTCTCGCGATAGTGAATAAGTCTCATGAGATCTGATGGTTTTAAAAATGGGAGTTTCACTGCACAGGCTCTCTCTTCGCCTACTGCCATCCATGTAAGACATGACTTGCTCCTCCTTTCCTTTCACCATGATTGTGAGGCTTCCCCAGCCACATGAAACTGTAAGTCCATTAAACCTCTTTCTTTTGTAACTTGCCTAGTCTCAGGTATATCTACAGACTAATACAGGCATCAACACTGACTTTCCTACCTCTCTTTTTCACATGTAGGGATACTTGTGATTATACTGGGCCCACCAGGATACCCCAGGAAAATCTCCCTATCTCAAGGTCAGCAGATTAGCAATCTCAATTCTGTCTGCACCCTTAATTTCCACCTTGCCCCATGCAACATGACATATTCACAAGAGATTAGAAAGCAGCCATCTTTGGGAGACCATTATTCTGCCTACCACTGACACCAAATAAGATGAGCTTTGCTTTTGGGGAAAATGGATAGATGTTTTAGGGAAAAGTTAAGGCTCCTAGTGTGTTAGTTCCACAGAATATTAAGAGAAGAGCTCAGGCTAACTTTCGGCTCTATATAACTGTGTTTTCTTTTCGCAGATCCAACCAATTCAATTCTCCCACACCAGTTGGGTATTGTATCATCAAATTTAATTCTGACACTAACTACCCAAAGTTAGCACAGACCCCACAAGTTAAGGACTCGGTCTCACAAGACTGTCCCTACTTCAGAGCCAGGTGCAAGTGATGTCCCCAGGTTACCCACACTTCTGCTCAATCAACTACAAATTTGTGAGTGTCTGCAATGCACCCTCAAGTTTTACCATTCTCTAGAACAACTTACACAACTCAGAAAAGTGCTTTACTTACTATTACCATTTATTTTGAAGGACACACATGAACAGCTAAGATAAAGAGGCACAGGAGTCATGGTTCAGAAGGGTTCTGAGTGCAAGAACATCTGTCCCTGCAGAATCAGGGAGAGTTACCCTCCCAGTATATCAACAACCAGAAAGCCCTTGAACTCTGTTGTTTTCATAAAGGTTTCATTAAAGTGGGTAGGATTGATTAAATCATTACTATTGTTGATTAAACTCAATCTCCAGTCCCTCATTTGGGGAGTAGGGCTGAAAGTCCTAACCGTCTAATCACATGGTTGATTTTCCTGGCAATCAATCCCCATCCAAAGCTGTCTAGGGCCTCCCACCATGAGTTATCTTGTTAGCATACAAAAGACATTCTTATCTCAGTTTTTTTTTTAATACTTTAAGTTCTGGGATATATGTGCAGAATGTGCATGTTTGTTACATAGATATACATGTGCCACAGTGGTTTGCTGCATCCATCAACCCATTAGCTAGGTTTTAAGCCCTGCATGCATTAGGTATTTTTCCTAATGCTACCCTCCCCTTGCCCCAACCCCCTGACAGGACCCGGTGTGTGATGTTCTCCTCCCTGTGTCAATGTGTTCTCATTATTCAACTCCCACTTATGAGTGAGAACATGAGGTGTTTGGTTTCCTATTCCTGTGTTAGTTTGCTGAGAATGATGGTTTTCAGTTTCATCCATGTCCCTGCAAAGGACATGAACTAATCCTTTTTTATGGCTGCATAGTATTCCATGGTGTATAAAGATTTCATATGCTTGTTGGCTGCATAAATGTCTTCGAGAAGTGTCTGTTCATATCCTTTGCCCACTTTTTGATGGGGTTGTTTTTTTTTTTGTAAATTTGTTTATGTTTTTTGTAGATTCTGGATATTAGCCCTTTGTCAGACGGACAGATTACAAAAATTTTCTCCCATTCTGTAGGTTGCCTGTTCATGCTGATGATAGTTTCTTCTGCTGTGCAGAAGCTCTTTAGTTTAATTAGATCCCATTTGTCAATTTTTGCTTCTGTTACTATTGCTTTTGGTGTTTTAGTCATGAAGTCTTTGCCCATGCCTATGTCATGAATGGTATTGCCTAGGTTTTCTTCTAGGGTTTTTATGGTTTTAGGTCTTACATTTAAGTCTTTAATTCATCTTGAGTTCATTTTGTATAAGGTGTAAGGAAGGGGTCCAGGTTCAGTTTTCTGCATATGGCTAGCCAGTTTTCCCAACACAGTTTATTAAATAGGGAATCATTTCCCCATTGCTTATTTTTGTCAGGTTTGTCAAAGATCATATAGTTATAGATGTGTGGTGTTATTTCTGAGGCCTCTGTTCTGTTCCATTGGTATATATATATATATATATATATATATATATATATATATATATGTATGTTTTGGTACCAGTACCATGCTCTTTTGGTTACTCTAGCCTTGTAGTATAGTTTGAAGTCAGGTAGCATGATGCCTCCAGCTTTGTTCTTATTTCTTAGGATTGGCTTGGCTATATGGACCATTTTTTGATTCCATATGAAATTTAAAGTAGTTTTCTCTAATTCTGTGAAGAAACTCAATGGTAGCTGCCAAAAACTGCCAGAAACACAACAAAAAAAGAAAATTTCAGGCTAATATCCCTGATGAACATTGATACAAAAATCCTGAATAAAATGCTGGCAAACTGAATCCAGCACCACTATAAAATGATTAGGAGACAAGAACGTCTTAATGGAAATTAAAAATATGATGCAAGTCTGGTTCAACCCACACAAATCAATAAACGTAATTCATCACATAAACAGAACCAATGACAAAAACCATATGATTATCTCAATAGATGTAGAGAAGGCCTTGGATAAATTTCAACTCCCTTTCATGCTAAAAAAAAAAACTCAATAAACTAGGTATTGATGGAACATATCTCAAAATAATAAGAGCCTTTTATGACAAACCCATAGCCAATATCATACTGAATGGGCAAAAGCTGGAAACATTCCCTTTGAAAACCAGCATAAGACAAGGATGCCCTCTCTCACCACTCCTATTCAACATAGTATTGGAAGTTCTGGGCAGGGCAATCAAGCAAAAGAAAGAAATAAAGCATATTCAAATAGGAAGAAAGGAAGTCAAATTGTCTCTGTTTGCAGATGACAGGATTGTATATTTAGAAAACCCCATCATCAGCCCCAACACTCCTTAAGCTGGTAAGCAACTTAAGCGAATTCTCAGGATACAAAATCACAAGCATTCCTATACCCCAATAATAGACAAACAGAGAGCCAAACTATGGGTGAACTCCCATTCACCACTGCTACAAAGAGAATAAAATACCTAGGAATACAACTTACAAGGAACGTGAAGGACCTCTTCAAGGAGAACAATAAACCACTGCTCAAGGAAACAAGAGAAGACACAAAGAAATGGAAAAACATTCCATGTTCATGGATAGGAAGAATCAATATCGTGAAAATGGCCATACTGCCCAAAGTAATTTATAGATTCAATGCTAGTCCCATCAAGCTACCATTGACTTTATTATCCCAGTTTTAATAGCTCTTCAGCAGGAACCTGGGGCAAACACCAAACATATTTTTTCTTAAATCACTAGGTCTATACTGCACAAAAAGCCTTAGTACTGAAAAATGTCTCCCTTATATGCAGAATTATATAAGGAACATTTAAGAAATCAGAAAAGCAGACTTAAACCATAAAGAAAGCTCATTTAAGTTACTTCTTTTAATCATCTGTCTCCAAACATTTGAGAGAAAAAGAAGACAGGATAGAAAAATCAAGATGGACACACACACACACACAAAATGCCTGATACTGGAATACATAGATGATCTACAGAATATGAGATCTCTCAAAACTATGTATTTTTTTTTTTTTTTGAGTCTCACTCCATCACCCAGGCTGGAGTGCAGTGGTGCAATCTCTGCCTCCTGAGTTCAAGTGATTCTTGTTCTCAGCCTCCTGAGTAGCTGGGATTATAGGTACATGCCACCATGCCCAGCAAATTTCTGTGTTTTTGGTAGAGATAGTTTCACCTTGTTGGCCAGGCTGGTCTCCAACTCCTGACCTCAAGTGATCTGCCCACCTCAACCTCCCAAAGTGCTGTGATTACAAGTGTGAGCCACTGTGCCTGGTTCTCTCAAAACTACTTTAATGAGACTTCTCAGAGTCTTTGGGAACAGATTAAATCAATAAAATAATATTAATGGGTTGATATAAAAGGAGTAGGAGATAAGAACATATTAATGGAAATTAAAAATATGATAGCTGAAATTTCTTTAAAAATCGGTAGCATGGCCTGAGAAAAATACCACAGAACATAAGGCAGAGAAAAAGAAAAGAAAATATAAAAGTAAAGTTTTAAAGGATCAGTCCAGAAGGATTGTTACCAAAATGTCAGGGATTTTGTGTAGGTCCTGCTGCTCACTACACAGAAAGCCAATCACTGAGACAATGAGTATTGCCAGGGAAGAAGGCTTAAATCGGGTGTTGCAGCTGAAGAGAATGAGAGATAAAGTCTCAAATCCATCTCCCCAACTGATAAAAACTGAGGGGGCATAGCAGAGAAGGCAGGAAAACAAGAATTAAAGAGGGATAAGGAAGCAATCATGAGGGATGAAGCGTCTAGCATCTCATTGTCTGGATGTGGTGATCTGAAGAGTTTCAGTTGCTTGCTTGAGGGTTAGTTTCCTGAGGAAGGAACTCAGATGAGACAAAAATGAGTTTCAAGTTTCAAAACCAGGAGTTTCAATTTGTATGTTTATTCAAAAAAGTGTAAATATTAGTTCTATGGATGATTGGGCCAGTTTCAGAATCATCATCTATCCAAAGCAGTTTTAGAGAAGAGAACAGTATATGAAGGAGATTCTGCAAGACAGCAGGGCAATAACTATAACATTTTAAGGAAAATATTATCTTTAACCCAGATTTTCACACCTAGACACAATACTTAGTGTGAGAGTAAAATAAAGAAATTTCCAGACAGGAAAGGACTCAGGCCAAAAAATTCTTAATAATGTACTTCAACACAACGAAAGAAAACGTGAAAAGAGCAACCCATGGGAATAACTCAGGAGTGTGAGTAGAGCCTGTAGTCTTTATCTGTTCTGAGGCAAACAGTGGATCCATTTTCTGTCATCTCTCCATCAAGGTAGGCCATGTGACTGCTCTTGACAATGGAATATGATCAGAAGTCACAAGTGCCACTTCTAGCCAAAGAAGATTAAAAGCATATGTGCTTTCTGCATTGCCTCCCTTTTCCACTGGATGATTGCAGAGGTGAAGGCAGACTTAGAAGATAGCTCACTCACCTGATGGAAATCTCCGTTTCAGAGTGTCTGAATGGAGAGGAACTTCCTTCTGGTTCTAGGTGGACTGGGATAGGAGTGGAAAAAAAAGTAGACTTCTTATAAAATTAAGCATCTGAAATTTGGAGATGCTACAACATTTAAACTAGCCTGATTAATAAATAATTAAATGGGAAGAAATTCTGGAAAAAGAGCTCTGCAGCAGGCTCATAAAGCACTAAATCCAAATTTGAATGTAATTCAGGGCACCCTAATGGTTTAATCTCTAAGAAGGAAGAAGACTATTAAATATTTAATAATAGAATTGAAAAGTCAGGAAATCCTATGGGCTTGGTAGAAAAAGTATGTGTTTCTTTTGTCAGCAAGTGAAAAACAGCAATCAGAATCAACAAGAAAAATTAAAGGATGTATAAGAACATCATTGTTCAAGTAGAAAGCGAACTAAAATGTGATATGATATTGAGCAATTAGAAGAAAGGAGAATCCATTTAAATTTATTAACATTGGAAACATTCTCTGTCAATCCTAAAGAACATAGGATTACATTCTTTCACTGTGATTACAAACCTACCACTTGCTCCTAAAGCATCTTTACAATTCTTACATTGACATTATCATAATATTATAAAGACTGTTTGTTTTCAAACTTTTAGCATCATTTTTCTAAAAAGCAAAAAATAAAACAAATATAATCACAAAACAGAATTTAAATATTAACATTCTGATACAGGATAAATAATTGTATAGCTGAAACAACTTCGGAAATACAAAGGAGAAGAGAGGTCAGTAGTTGTGCTGTGGCCCTAACTTCCCTATTGGAAGTAATGAGGAATCAAGATATACTCTCTAAATTTGATAGAGCAAGAAACACAATTTTAAATATACTATTTAACAAAACTGGGAAGTAGTGTATGTGAGCCCAGTCCTATTTGTCAAAGCAAAGAGTCAACACATACGTCAAGAAATATACAATAATGTACTGTTTAATATTACCTTAGCAACCATTAGAAGAAATAAAAGCATATGTAATCCTACTAAGAAATGGGACTCACAAAGGAGGGTATAAATAGGGACTGAAGAAATGTTAATTTTTTACTTACTACTGACTTTCAATTATTCAAAGAATGTGCATATATTATTTTTATAGTGCTATCAACTAATACTCTACAAGGAGGAAGCAAAACAGATGTAAGTGGCCGGCGGCGGGGATGGGGGGCAGGGGGTGGTGGTGGGTAAAGATTTTGGAATGTCGAATCATTTACTTGAAATCTGTTTTTCTTTTTTGTTTTTTGGTGTTTTTTTGTTTTTTTTTTTTTTTGAGACAGGGTTTCGCTCTTGTCACCTAGGCTGGAGTGCAATGGTGTGACCTCAGCTCACTGCAACCTCTGCCTCCCAAGTTCAAGTGATTCTCCTACCCCAACCTCCTGAGTAGCTGGGATTACAGACACCTGCCACCATGCCCAGCTAATTTTTGTATTTTTTAGTAAAGATGGGGTTTCACCATGTTGGCCAGGCTGGTCTCAAACTCCTGACGTCAGATGATACGCCCACCTCTGCCTCCCAAAATGCTGGGATTACAGGTGTGAGCCACCACACCCGGCCTACTTGAAATCTTTAGATCAAACAAGAGCATTTACTATAAGCTCGCTGATAGTAGGATTATAGAAATATACTTCATATACAATGGAAGACTTCAGTGTACTCATGTTAAAATTTGCATTTCTATTTTGAAAGGAACTTTGTGTTCCAATTTTTTATTGTTTGTTCTCAAATGTATCCACTTCTTTGACTTAGAGCAATTATGTTTAATAAAAACCAAAGCATGAGCAATTTTTCCATTGTTCATCATAAAAACCTCATTTTACTTCAGGTTTTCCAGTGTCTTCTCAAGTGCTTACATTACCGAAATATTTATTTAAAAAATAAAACAATGCAGAGTGTTTGGATTGGTAAGTTTCCCTGAGTCCTTGAAGTAATGTATCAAGAACTTGGTTTGTCATTCAATTAATAGGCTCCTTCCCAAGCCCTGTCTTCATAAGCAGTACAGCATGTAAGAATTCAGTGGTCTTATCCAAGGGAAAATGCACAACAGAGAGATGGAAACACAGGTCCAGACCTTGGCAAAGATAGAGAGGTCAGGATTAAAGGAGTATTTTGGATAGCGATTAAAAGGCTGATAATGCAAACCATGGAAGTGGAATTAAATTGCCTAAGCAGGGAGTAGAGGGAAAGGAGATGAGAGAGAATGACAAAAATTCAGGCGATGCTCAGACACAAAGATGCAAATGTAAGAAGAATAAAGCACTAAAGTATAGTCTGGGGGAATAAGATGCAAACTCACTAGATTATGAATTACTTGAAGACCAAGACTGTCATTGACTTTTAATCTAATCCTTCTCTCCCCAATCCCATTATATTTAATTCTCTGACCTTCCTCTCTCCAACACTTGGAAAATGGTTTTTAAATGAGATAGAAGGGGAAGAATACATAATGGAGAAAAAATAAAAGAAATTTCTAATAGAGCCAAGAGAAAATAATCGTACTGAATGAAACTGTCGCCAAAAGACAAGACTTTGTCCCGTCAGAACCTAGCAGTTTAGGTGGTAAATGCTCAACAGAGATGAGAGGGAATGAATGAAGTATAAGCTGGGATGGGCACACAATGCAAGACAAAGAAAAGATGGTAGAGGGGAACTGGGAACTAAGATTAATTTAGGAGCCCAGCATTTGTATTTTTGTGGCTGGACTAAAATCCAAAAATCATAATCATACATATTATATGAAATGGCATAAGTAGTAACCAAGATGGCTCCAATAAAACAGGTCCAATAGGAATGACCCCAAGCCATATCAGTCTCTTGTGTCACACTTTCTTTTAAAGTACCGCCAGTCATGTTAGAATCTGTATCCCACATCACAGTCCCTAGACAGAAATTTCTAAAGGCTCACTGCTGCCTTCAGAACAACCCCACATTGGGATGTTGAATAAAAACAAGACATAGAGCTGTTCTTTAGTTTAAGTAAAGGGACTTATGTCATCCAATTGGAAAGTGATGAAGAATTGGCATGAATGCAGTAATTTTACCTCTTAGGTGCAAAAGCCAATTTAAGAGTGTGCAGGCAAAATTTGCTTTCATTTTCCCTAGTTTTCCAAAAAAAGTCATGAGTGTGGATCAGACTATATAAACATTATGAAAGCAGCATAACATCAGTACTGGGTGAACTGCAAACCTATGTGATGCACTTAGTTTTCAGGAGAAATGGGCTGATTTTCGACAACAGATAGGGGCCAGAGGAACAGCTGCTGGTCAGAACTCACTGATCTCTACCTTACCAAGATAATGATACTTCTTCTCTTCAGATATGTGTCATTTACAGGCAGGAAGAATTTTTATATTCTGAAGCCTTCTGTGGATTTCTGCCTCCCATTGGTTCTCAGAATGGAGATACACACACACACACACACACACGCACACACCAGAGAAAGAGACAGAGAGAGAGAGAGAGAGAGATTAAGAGATATCACTCTTGACTGGGTGTGGTGGCTCACCCCTGTAATACCAGCACTTTGGGAGGCTGAGGCAGGCAGATCACTTAAGGGCAGCAGTTCATGACCAGCCTGACTAACATGGTGAAACCCCATCTCTGCTAAAACTATAATAATTAGCTGGGCATGGTGGCGGGCGCCTGTAGTCCCAGCTACCTGAGAGGCTGAGGCACAAGAATTGCTTGAACCTGGGAGGTGGAGGCTGCAGTGAGCCTGTATTGTGCCATTGCACTCCAGCCTCAGTGACAGAACATGACTCCATCTCAAAAAAAAAACAAAAAACAAAAAAAAAGAGAGAGAGAGAGATACCACTCTTACATCTTTCTCATTCTGCTAAACGTCAACCACAAAATCATTTTCGTGAGAGAACAGACATCAAAGTACTGTTGATTCCCATTGTTTGTGGTTGTTGTGTTCTATAAAGTCATCACAAAGGCTGAATTAGCAAATACTGAACCATTGCTTTTAGAGAAACTATGGGATTTGTTTCCTTCAAGCCTCTGGTTACAACATTTTCATTAATCGAGCAATACTCAACTTTGTTTTATGTCGTTTTAAGGACAAGTTATTTGTTTTGTATTGTTGATTCATTGACATTGAACTCATGGCTGACAGCACTGTAACTCATGCTACAAAAAAGCTTACAAAATGTACAGTTATGCGTTGTGTAACAACATTTCAGTCAATGATGGACTGCATATACAGCAGTGGTCTGGTAAAATTATAATATCATATTTTTACTGTATCATTTCTATGTTTGGATACACAGATACTTACCATTATTTTGCAGTAGCCTACAGTATTTAATACAGTAAAGTACTGTCCTGTTTTGTAGCCTAGGGAAAACAGGCTAGACCATGTAGCCTAGTTGTTTAGCAGGCTATATCATCTAGTTTTATGTAAGCATACTCTGTAATGTTCACACAACAACAAAATTGTCTCATGATGTGTGTCTCAGAATATATCCCTATTGTTAAATGACATATGACTATGTTTTCTTTGTGAGGCACATTACAGTCCTCTTGTCTTTGGAAATGCTAGGTGCACTTCAGCACAACACTTGAGGGCCATTTAAATAGCTAAAATAACAAAAAGGCACAAAAATGCAAAAACACAGCATTCGATAGACCATGAAAGGACACTTGTTTACAATATGAGGCAGGGTATTACTCTGTTTGATTTCAGCTGGAAATGTGTGCATCAGGCAATTCCTATTTTTCACCCCTCTGCACATGTCCACAAATGACTATGAAAGTGCCGTGAGTATTGATTTGAAGATTACAATAAATTTTCACAAGTAGGTGAGACTTTCAGCTTCTGTTGAGGCCCTCAGGCTGCTTCCACTCATGGCAGAGGCAAAGGGGACCAAGCATGAACAGAGATCACATGGTGAGAGAGGAGTGTGTAAGGGGAGAGGCTCTTTTTAACAACCAGCTCTCATGAAAACCACTATGGCATTCTTCCCCTAGCCCCCCAAATCTCATGTCCTTCTCACATGCAAAATATAACCATCCCTTCCCAACAGTCCTCCAAGTTGTAACTTGTTCCAATACCAACTTAAAAGTCCAAAGTCTCATCTGAGACTCAACGCAAGTTTCTTCCAGCTATGAGACTATAAAATTTTAAAAAGAAGTTATATAATTCCAAGATATAAGGATTGTACAGGAATTGGGTAAACATTCCCATTTCAGATGGAGACTTACTATCTTATTCTGAGCCCTCCAAATGCTTCCAGCCTCTGAAATTGGGAAAACATTCCTATTTCACAGGGTATAATTACATTTGAAGTGGGAATGTTATACTTCACTCCTGGCCAAAAGAAAGGGGTAGCAGGCCCCATACAAGTCTGAAATCCAGCAAGACAGACATTACATCTTAAAGCCCCAAAATCATCTTTCTTAACTCCGGGCTCCACATTCTGGGCACACTGATGTGAAAGGTGGGTTCCCAAGGCCTTAAGCAGCCCCAGCCCCCTGGTTCTCCTAGGCACAGACCACATGGCTGCTCTCACAGGTTGGAGTGAAATGCCAGAGGCTTTGGCAGGCTGTAGATTCATGCTACTGGTGGCTCTATAATACTGGGGTCTTAAGGGTAGCAGTCTTGCTCCTATGGCTCCACTAGACACTGCCCTGTTTGTGGTAGCTCCACATCTGTTGCAGACTTTTGCCTGGGTTCTCATGCTTTCCAGTATATCCTCTGAAATTCAAGTGGAAACTGAAAAGCCTCCATGACTTTTGCATTCTGTGCACCTGCAGACTTAACACCATATAGAAGCTGCCAAGGCTTACCACTTTCACGATTTGGAGGCACAGCAGTACCTGGGGCCCTATCAGCCACAGCTGGAGCTGGAGTGGCCAGGATGTGGGGAGCATCATTCCCAGATGGCACAGGGCAGATGTGCCCTGGCCACTGTGTGCTCCTAGGCCTCTGGGCCTGTGATGGGAGGGGTAGTCTTGAAGGTTTTGGAAATGCCTTCAGGGCCTTTTCCCCATTGTCCTGATTGTTAGCACCTGGCTCCCTTTTAGTCATGCTAATCTCTTTAGCAAGTGGTTTCTCAGCAGCAACCATTTTTTTTCCTCTCCTCAAAACATTTTCCTTCTCTATCATACGGACCGGCTGCAAATTTTTCAAATTTCTATACTCTGCTCCTTTTTTAATTATTAATTTCATCTTTAGGTCATTCCTTTGCTGCCACATCCAACTGTAGGCTATCAGAAGCAGCCATGCCACTTCTGGAGTGCTTTGCTGCTTATAAATTTCTTCCACCAGATACCCTAGGTCATCACCCTTCAGCCTTCCATAAAGCCCTAAGGCATGGACAGAATGTAGACAAGTTCTTTACTAGGGAGTAAAAAAGGATGACCTTTGCTCCAGTTTACAATCAGTTTGTCATTTTCATCTGAGACCTTGTCAGCATGGTCTTTATTGTCAATATTTCTATCAACATTTTGGTCACAACTACTTAAGCAGTCTCTAATAAGTTCCAGACCTTACCTCATCTTCCTATCCTCTCTTTGCCCTCCACATGCTTTCAACCTCTGCTCATTACCCAGTTCCAAAGCTACTTCTGTATTTTCAGGTATCCTTATAGCAACACTTCACTCCTCAGTACCAATTTCCTATCTTAGTCCATTTGTATTGCTATAAAGGAACACCTGAGACTGAGAAATTTATAAAGAAAATAGGTTAATTTGGCTTATGATTTTTCAGGCTGTACAAGAAGCATGTCACAAGCATCTGCTTGACTTCCTGCTTCCACTCATGGCAGAAGGCAAAAGAGAGCCAGCATGTGCAGAGATTACATGGTGAGAGAGGAAGCAAGAGAGACAGAAAGAGAGAGAGAGAGAGAGAGGAGGGAGGTGCTAGGCTCTTTAAATCATTCAGCCCTCACAGGAACAAATAGTCTAAGAACTCAATCATTTCTGCAAGGACAGCTCTCAAGCCATTCATGAGGGATCCACCCTATGACCCAAATACCTCCAATTAGGTCCCACCTCCAACACTGGGTATCAAATTTCAACACAAGATATGGGGAGGTAAAACAAACAAAAGTATAGCACAGGTGAATTCATAAATATGGAATCCATGAATAAGGAGGA
This sequence comes from Homo sapiens, assembly GCF_000001405.40. Lineage (NCBI taxonomy): Eukaryota > Metazoa > Chordata > Mammalia > Primates > Hominidae > Homo > Homo sapiens. Next base: position 12,995,279 of record NC_000004.12, read on the forward strand.
TTGGCTATAATGACAAAATAATAATAATAGTTAACATCTACTATTCAATCACTGCATGCCAAGCCCTGTTCTACACTCTTTAGATATTAACTCTATATGGTTCTCACAAGAACCCACAGAAGTCGGGACAATTCCCACTTCTATATTATAGATAAGGTAACTGCAGATGAACGAAGTGCCTTGCTGCTCAGGGTGGCACCAGCATTTAATCCCCAGTGTTGTAATTCAAAGTCTTTGCTCTCAGCCACCTCCCTGGATGTAGGACAGTCTGCAGGTCTTTTCCTGAGCCAGGCCCACCCATCAATGTGCTTTCCTAAATAAAATAATCATATGCATGAGCATAAATTAATTCAAACACTCCCTGAGGGACAGAAAGACTCTAGAATCAGTTTTTTTAAATGGCAATTATTTCTTTCTTCTTGCCAAATACAGATGACAGTTACTATGTGCAAGGCACTGCCATGGTGGTGGGGGGATGGAGACAGTTACCTGGCGTGTGAGTAATCAGCAGCTGCACAAATGATAAAAGCTGCTGACTCCAAGACCCTCCTACACCCTGTGTACTCAGTTGAAGAGAATAAAGTTTAATTAAATACACGTACAAGCACCTGGGGATCTCTGTACCTCAGCAGTCATATCAGTCCAATAAGAGGAAAAAGGCCTAGCTCTTTCTGAGGATACTAAAAGGGGTGCACTGGGCTAATGATCACAGGGGCAGTGTCTGTGATTCCAGCCCAGACCTCCTTGAGGATTTGAAGCAACCCGAGCTTGTCTTGGTGCACAGGTCTTTGTAAGAGCCTTCTAGAGTATATAAGAGAGTTAGGCATAGAGCGTATGGGGAGGGTGTGACTACCTCTGCCCTTGCTAACTATACTTTCACCACCATCTTCCATCTCCCCTATATCCCTGCAGATATGGGACAGAAATGATTATTTCATATCCCAAAAGAAAAGCAAAACATTTAGAGAAATTGTGCCACCAGGCACAACTGTCGGTTGCTTTTCTTTCCCTTGGCAGAATTTGTTGACTTCTGTAATGTGCCAGGATATAATACAGCAGTGAAAAAATAGAGACAACTTCTGATGCCATAGAGCAAGACACTGAGCAAGCCACTGAAGGGTAGACAAGAGATAGGGAGGTGTTAAGAGAACAGGTAACAGGAGCCCCCAGCACCACCAGGGAATTAGGGGAATACTCACCATGGAAGTGATATTGAGGCTGTCATCTAAAAGTGAAAGCAGGAAGCAGCTGCCAAACAAAAAGAGGTACAGGTACAGAAGCTGAAAGGTGGGAAAGACTTATTTAAAAATCTGAGAAGACAAGAGCCCATAGAAGTGAAGGGAACCTAATGTGGAGGGGGCAGTGGACTTGATATGGACCTGGAACAACAGAACCAGATACTTTAGGGCCTTCTACTTCAAAGACCCAGAGAACTCAATACGGTGGGCCAGCCAAGGCACCTCTCAGTTGTCAGGGGTCCCTTTAGAGGGGAGGAAAGCAAGCTCATTAAGCTCTTTAATCTCTCCCCTCTAGGTCATTTCCTCCAGCTACGAATGAATCATACAGTTTCCTCCTCCCTGTCCACATGGCCTGGGTACCGAGGCTTGGAACAGGGGCCTGTTTTCCAGGTGCGGTCTCACCAGTGTCGTATAAAGGGGATTATTCCCCTTCCTGCAGCTTGACTCCTCGCACAGGCCAACCCCAGCCGAGTCGGCTTTCCTCATGGCCAGATCACATTACAAGTTAATATCTAATTTGTAAGTTCTATATCACACCTCAGTTTCACAGCACTGTGGCTTCCAAGTGAACATTCACTTCTTCCTTTTTCAAAATTAGTTGGGTACCCTATGGTGAGACAGGGAGAATGGAATGTACAATTGGCCAACTAAAACAGAGAGGCCCTGAATTGCTGTCTGACCCAAGGATGTAGCTTCATCTCTTAGTTAACAATCTGTAAAATGGGGTCTTAATTTGCTCTGCCATTACATAGCTGCATAAATTCTATGTATTGGAATTCAACTTCTAATACCAGTTTTTATCACTAAACATCTCTCTTGTCCTCAGTTTCCCTTTCTGTAACATAAACAAATAGGAATACATGATCTCAAAGGACCCCTTTAAATATAATATTTTTTACTTTTCAATATGATTAGTAGCTAGAGGATTATTCTGAGGATTTTTATGTCCTAAAAATTAATATCACAGTAGTTGCATTGCTAATTTTTTGTGTGTCGAAGACTTTTTGGAGATAAAGGCAGAGGCTACATAAAAGTAAACAATTTTTCAGAAGAGTAGCATAATGGTTCCAATTCCTCCCACTCCCAGACCTATGCCATGTAACTTTATAGTGTGTCCCACTCTGACTCAAGACTTGCTTTGGGACAATGTGATGTTGGAGAACATGATACAAGCAGAGACTCAAAAAATCTTACATGATTAGCGTTGCTTTTCTTGCCTTCTACCAAAACCACACAAAAGACATGTCCAAGTTATCCCACTAGCCTCAGAAGAGGATGTGGGATGTGTGGAGCAGAGTCAACCCACAGACACATGAGCAAACCCAGCCACACTGCAGACACATGAGTGAGCCCAGCCAAGACCTGCCAAGCCCAGCCTAGGTGATCTGATCCCTGCTGATGTGCTAGAAATAAATATTTATTATTTTATACCACTGAGTTTTGGGGTGATTTGTTACACAGCATTATTTTAGCAGCTGATACAAATCTGAACCTAAGTCCAGTATTTTATCATTTGTTTAGTCCACCCAAAATAATTACACGAAAGGTAATACCTAACTTGTCTCTCTGCCTCATCGTTCTATGTCTCCATTTGTCCTCCATCTTCCCCTCTGTCTTAGATAAAGACATGTCCCCCCTTTGTACCAACACTAACCCTATCTTCTCTACTCCATTTCTTGCCCTTCCAACCTTCTGTGTGATGTGACACCATCCATTATTCCCTCCTTCAGAAAGGTTAATGCACCCTGACATCTTTAAGGGTGGTTTCTCTCAGAAAGGTAGATTTAAGAGCAAAATACCTTATTGTCTAGAACAGAGGGCTATAAAAGTACCACTTTGTTTTGATGATTTAAAATAAAAGTGCCCATCCTCTAGCACTCACCAGTGGGATAAGGAAGGATAGGTTTCCTCCCACTGGGAAGTGGCTCAGTGGGAGGGCTGAGTAATAACAGCCACATCTTGTGGGAAAGGGTAAAGGGTAGAGTGGGGGGCAAAGGTGGAATCTCCTTAGCAGGGCTTTGCATGGAGGGAAGGTCAGGGTCTTCCTTTACAAATCAGATGCCCTCTTTTCTACTCTCCCTTTCTTTTCCCCAAGCCCTGCCAACCACATAACGTATTTTTTCTATTCTTATTGTCATCCTCCCTATTCTTTTCATAGCCAAGTTTATATTCATGCACGGTATTGACATTCCTTGTTTTCAGTGGCAAAATTTTCTTCCTTGTCTTTTGGAGACTCATGAAATAAGTGCAGGTCTAAATTTTCAAGACCTTCTTTAATTAGTGTTTAATTTATTATGTGGCATACAGTGAAGAAAGGAGCATTTATCTTTATTGTAGAGTGAAATGCTAATGGGACAACTAAAAGAAAAAGATATTAGGCATTTTCAAAGCCTCTGTTCTGAAAAGGCAGCAGGTTGACATTGATTAAAATATCACATATTGTGGAACGTGTGAAAGAAGGTTAACTGGGGCCAGCAAAAATATTTTTCCTCTCAGGTGTGTAAAATCTTGGATTTCATGGTTTACATATATCCTAGACCGGCTTGGAGGCAATCCGAATGTGAACAACACGTCATCTTTTCACTCTGAAACTGGCATTTATTTGTATAGTTCTTCTCAGAACTACCAAGAACAGTATTGGATGATCTTGGTAGAGGGCAAGATAATCAATTCCAATCGTGCAAGAGTTTTTACGTCTCTGCTTGTATCACACTCAACATCATCACATTGTCCCAAAGCAAGACCGGAGTTAGAAAGTGGGACACACTCTAAAGTTACATGACATGGATCTGGGGGTGAAAAGAATTGGACTGTTATGCCACTCTACTAAAAGATTGTTTACTTTCACCTAGCCTTTCTCTCATCTCCAGAAAGTCTTAGTAATTTCAACACTTTAAAAATTAATATCAACTACTATGATGTGAATTCTTGATATCTGAAAATTCTCAGAAGAATCCTCTAGACACTAGTCATATAGCAAAACAAAAAATGTTACTTTGAAGTGAATCCTTAGAAATCCTTAATTCCTATCTGTTTATGTTACAGATGAGGAAACTGAAGACAGGAAAGATGGTTAGTGAAACAGCTGGTGTTAGAAGCTAAATTTAGTTCATTTAATACTCTACTCTAATTAGGACTTTATACAGCTATGTAATGACAGAGAGAATTAAGACCCCATTTTACACGTTGTTAACTAAGGGGTAAGGTTGCATCCTTGTAGTCAGATCACGACACAAATGGTCTTTTTTTAACCACATCACTGAGCTCTCCAGGGTCATGTGCTTCAGGAAATCACTTGCCTAAACAGCTCTACTCTTTCCTAGGGAAAGTACAAATATTTATTAATACTTTCTATTGTCCAAACTCAATCCATAGTTTATCACAATCATCAGATAATAAAAATTAGGTATATTACTTCTTTCTGTTCTCTAGACAACTTTCATTACTCCTATTCATTCTTTCTTTCAATTTTTCAATGAATGTCAATACTGTAAAATTTATGACAACAGATGTACACATTGGGTCTCTTTCTTCCTGCCTAGTGTTGAGCAGTTTCTGATGTGTAATGTTTATCCCGCAAACATTAAATGAATTAATGAATGAATGAATTCAAGGCAACATAGTTTTCAATTCAGGATATGAAAAGGAATATGAGATATCATTTCATTAAGATTATAACACATAAGAAAGACAAACGTTACCAAAAAAAAGTTACATTGACATAGATGCAATGACACAAGATGGCAATGATAAAACCTGGGGGCTGAGGACGAGCGCAGTGGCTCACGCCTGTAATCCTAGCACTTTGGGAAGCCAAGGTGGTTGGATCACGAGGTCAGGAGATAGAGACCATCCTGGCTAACACGGTGAAACCCCGTCTCTACTAAAAATACAAAAAAAAAAAAAATTAGCCAGGTTTGGTGGCGGGCACCTGTAATCCCAGCTACTGGGGAGGCTGAGAAAGGAGAATGGCGTGAACCCGGGAAGCAGAGCTTGCAGTGAGCAGAGATCGCGCCACTGCACTCCAGCCTGGGAGACAGAGCGAGACTCCATCTCAAAAACAAAACAAAACAAACAAACAAACAAAAAACCCCTGGGAGCTGAGTTGGAGTTGGAGACTGAGAGAGGGAGTTATTTGTGCTGCCTGCAAGGCTGGGTTTCCCCATCACTGACACTGGGAGAGCGAAGCTAGACCATCTCCCTTTGGAGCTGGCTTCTTTATGTCGTCTATAAGCGAGACATGATTGGTATTATTATTATATCTCATCCTTTTAAAAATTAATTAGTTAATGTTTAAGTTAAACATTGTAATTGTATATATTTATGGGGCACAATTTGATATCTTGATACTTACATGTGTGTATAATGATCAAATAAGTGTATTTTCCATGTCTATCACTTCATGCATTTATCATTTCTTTGTGATGAGAACATTCAAAAGCATCTCTTCTAGCTATTTTAAAATATACAATACTTTTTTAAAGCAAAAATCAACTCTCCTGGGTGACATATAGAGTAAGATTGGGATAATAATAGTAATATGAGTTGTTGCCTCCGCAATGTATATTATGTGTCAAGCACTAGCATAAATGCTTTCTATGAATCATAATTTAACTCTCACAATAACCCTAAGTGCTAGGTAATATTATTGTCTTCTTCTGTTGCTGAGATACATAAGACTGAGGCATGTGTAGTACATTCAGATAGACATAGAACCCAGCCAGAGACCCTTAGATAGATTCTACCCACTGCCTACCCCAACATATTATGGTTCTTCCTAGGTCATTTTTCTTCTCCTAAATAATTCTTTTAATACACGCTGTTTCTAATATTGTTTCTTAAGAGCAATCCAGTGAAGGAAAAGGAAAATGAACACTAATTCTATTAGCAAGGGCTTTGGAAGTTGCAAAACGTGGGTTCATATCTTGGCTTCATCACTTTCCTTACATTCCTTTGGGTATCACTTAGGTCTTCAGTCTCTCTTCTGTACAATGGGTATGACACTAACGTCTTTCAAGAGTTCTTCTAAAGATGAAATGAGATGCACAGATAAACCACCTCACACATGTCTAATTCAGCTAATGATTTTCTTTTCTTGGATCCCACTCATTATTCCCTAACTGGGTGGTTTCTCTATTACAAGAAAAAAGTAAGTAAAAACAAGTGCAAAGAAGATCATATGAGGCTAATTGTGATGGGTAATTTTATGTTTCAACTTAACTGGATCATAAGATGCCCAGATATCTAGGTAAACATTATTTCTGGGTGTATCTGTATGGGAGTTGCAGGAAGAGATTCACACTTGAAAACTAAGTACTAAAGAAGATCCACTCTAACCAATATGAGTGGATATCATCCAATTTGCTGGGGGCCTGACTATAACAAAAAGGCAGAGCTAGGTTGAATTTACTTTCTACCTGACTGCTTGAGCTGAGACACTGATCCTGCCTTTGGTGCTCCTGGTCCTCAGGACATCAAACACAGATTGGCAACTATACCAACTATCTGGCTTTCAGGCCTTCAAACTATGCCACTGGCTTTCCTAAGTCTCCAGCATGTATTTGGCAGATCATGGAACTTCCCAGCTTCCATAATGCTATGATCAAATACCCTATAAGAATCTCATTTTGTACATCTATACAATACACACACACTACACACACACACACACACACATACACACACACATCTATAAATATGCATACACACACACATATTTCCTACTGGTTCTGTTTCTCTGGAGCATTCTGAGTAACATACACCAGTCAAATAAAACATGGGAGTACCTACTGCTTACAGTATAAATACCTGCCTCCCTTCTCATCTTTTTTTCTTAGCATCGTTATTGAGATTTAATTCATATTCTGTAAAAATCATCCTTTTAAAGTACAAAATTCAGTGACTTTTAGTATATTCAGAGTTGTACACCCATCATCAAAGCTAAGTTTAGAACATTTTTATAGCCCCCAAAAGAAACTTCATACCAACTAGCAGTTACTCCCTTTTCTCCCTCCCTGCCCCCAGCTCCTAGGAAACACTAATATACTTTGTGTCTCTATAGATTTGCCCATCCTGGATGTGTCTTATCAATGGGATTCTACAGTTGTGGTCTTGTGTGACTGGCTTCCTTCACTCGGTATAATGTTTTTCAAGATTCTTCCATCTTTTCACATTTATCAGTACTCCATTCCTTTTTAGTCCTAAATAATGTCTCATCATATGTATAAAGCATATTTTGCTTATCCATTCATCAGTTGTGGTACATGTGGGTTGTTCCCCATTTGAGTAATTGTTAATAACAGTGGTATAAACACTTGTGTGCAAGTTTTTGTGTGAATATGTTTTTATTTCTTTTTCCGAGAAACCTAGGAGTGGAATTGTGGGGTCATTCTCCTTTATTTTTGAGCAAAGGGAAAACCTAGGGGGTGCTGAGGAAGACGATAATCCATAGAGTTTGTGCTGAAACCACTGACAGTGTCATATGGGAGTACATTCATTTCCCATTGCTGCTGCTAAAATTACTACAAATTTACCAGTTTAAAACAGTGCATTTTTTAAAAAAAATCTACTGTTATGGAGGTCTAAACTCCAAAATAGGTCAACAGAGCTGATTTCCTACTGAGGACTCAAGGGGAACCCCCTTCCTCGACTTTCCCAGCTTCTTGAGGCCGCCTGCATCCCTTCACTTGCATCTCCTTCCTTCATTCCTCCATCTCCAAAGTTAGCAGCATAGCATCTTCAGTTCGCTCTCGTTCTCTCTCTCTCTCTCTCTCCAACCCTGCTGCCCAGTTTCTGTCCTCACAGCTCCTTTTCTTGCTTTCCTGCCTCCTTCCTATTATAATCCTTGTGATTACATTGTGAATGCCTGAATAATTCAGAACTATCATCTCATCTCAGTGTCCTTAACTTAGTATCTGCCAAGTCCCTTTTGACATGCAAAGTAACATCCACAGATTCTGGGGATTATGACAGTAAGATGTGAACATCTTTGTGTGTGTGTGTGGGGGGAGGGGGGTATCATACAGGCTACTATATGGAGAATATCATAAATTAAGGGATTCTTTAGACCAGACACTTTGGGGTAAATGTGTCCAGTCCACTAAAAACTTCATTTATCCAACCATAGAAAATTGACTTAATTTTGATTTTATATAAAAGAAAAGCATGTCTGTTATCTTCATTTGGATAAATATGAATCATAGTATTACAGAAACAGTTAGAGTAGGTGTATGAATGGGTTTTGGGGTCAGACTTTGGGGAATCAAATCCTAGCCCTCCCACTTATCAGCTGAGTGACTTTGGCAAGTTATTCAGACCAGCTGTACCTTAGTTTCTTCATCCATACAATGGAGAATATGATAATATTACTTCATGGGCTTGCTTTAAGATTTAAATAAAGTAATACATGCATGGTGCTTAGAAAAGTGTCTGGAATGTAGTAAATGTTAGTGAATATTTATCTTTGCAAAATTAGCAAAGGAAATTGTTAAAAGAGAGTAAGTTAGCCTAATGCCATATAAAGATTTGAAAAGATGTTTCTATAGGAAAGCTTACCCAGAAAATCTGCAGCTTTGTTTCTTTGTAGACTATTGTTTTCAGGTTACTGAGCTCTAAGATTTTGAGTTAAGCAGCCTGTCCTGGTTCTAAAATGTTTGGGTATTCCTAAAGATTCTTAGTTTTACAACAGAGAGTGGGACTAGAGAACTTTATCTAATGCCATATTGTCACTTTAAATCCCTCTCATAACTCAACATAATAATCACTCTGATGGTTGACATTTACTGAGCACATGGTATGTGCTAGAAAATATTCTTAACATTTCATAGGAATTAAATCATTTGATTGTCACCTAAGCCCTAAGAAGTAGATAGTATACAATCTTCATTTTATACAAAAGGAAATAAGACCCAGAAAGCTGAAGCACCTTGTCCAATGCTGCACAAACTATTAAGAAGCAAGTCAGAGAGTCTAAGCCTTATCTCCTGATCTCAAGTACACACTGATGTTTCCACTAGGCAGGCTGTGAACATGGTGGTTGAGAGCAGTCCCTGAAGCCAGGCTGCTTTGGTTCAGTCTGGCTCCATAACATGTACAACATAGGTAGCTTAGGCAAATCACTTTACTTCCCTGTGCCTCATCTCTACACTGGTGATGCAGAAAGCGGGAACTGAGTGCTAATGTTTGCCTCATGGAGTCATTGTGGGGATCAATAAGACCCTATGCAACATTTTAGCACATTGCTTTGCCTCCAGCAAATGCTCAAGCAGAGCTTCAAAGTTGGAATTGGTTTCCTTGGTAATAGGCTCTGCCTTTTAAATGTCTTCAAGAATAACAGAAAATTAATTCTAGCTGTTATGCCCAATCGCCTTCCCTGATATTGGCTCATAAACTCATGTTTGGTCCTCCACAGCCTTTCCATGCATTTTCTTATTCACTCATTCATTCGTTCATTGTCTTATGTCTTCAATAAAACGTGTTGAGCCTCAGGCATGAGACAAATTCTGTCCCATAAATTCCTACAACTGAACATCTGATCCCTATAAAAACCTTCCACGCAAATGGCACTATTGTTTCCATTTTCTGATGAGAAAATTGAGATTCAGAGACTCTAGATGACAACGGTAGTAGATGTGGTCCCAGGAAACAGGATATCCTGTCACCCAGTGAACATTCACACCACCCTTTCTGCTGTTGAATTGTGGAATGAGCATAGACTAAGCAAGCATAAGGTATGGCTAGGTTTGCTTTAGGCATCTGCCAGCCATTGACCTTCAATGGTATATTCACTCTAAGTCTCAGTTTCCTCATCTGTTAAGATAAAAACAATTACAACTCCTTCTGTGGTTGTTGTGTGAATAACTCAATATATTTGCATGACTAGATGAGATTAGATGTCCAATAAATAGTTATTTCTGTGGTTACTATTTGTATTTATTTGTTAATTCCTTTGTAAATCTTAAAGTGTTATTTCTAATAAAGCACTAATATGCCCTTTGTATAGAAAGCTTCAGGGAAAACTTTTTGTATAGATTTTATTTTATTTTAATATAAATGATGAAAAGGTAGCCTGGAATATTTTACACATATGTTACAAAACCCCTGGGAATTTGCTGGAAAAAAAAGTCTTGAATCCAAAGCAGGTGGCTAGGCAGGACATATTAGTCTGTTTGAAGGGCTGGACTTCCCTCAAAAACTCACAAACTCAGGGAAACGTCCAAGGGAACTGTGAGAAAACAGTAATTAATGACTACAAACTCTGTGCTCCCAGTCCTCGTCTTCTGTGGAGAGCCATAAAGAGATCAATTCCACATTTTAAATTCTTCACCTAATTCGAAACCAACAGGAGCAAAGCCCCAATAGCACAGCGCTCCAGCTATAAGTCAAGAGTAGAAGACATTTTGTGTGCATTACCTCATCTTTTATCCACAAACAACTATTATGGGTTGAATTGTTTCTTCTAAAAATTCATATATTGAAGCTCAGTACCTCAGAATGTGACCTTATTTGGATACAGAATCCTTGTAGATGTAATTAGGTTAAGATTAGGGCATTAGGGTGGACGTTAATCCAATATGACTAGTGTCCTTTTAAAAAAGGGAAATTTGGACAGACATGCATACAGGGAGAACGTCATATGACAGTGAAGACAGAGATCCAGGTGATGCTTCTACAAGCCAAAGAATGCCAGAAATTGCCAGCAACCACCAAATGTAGGAGAAAAGCATAGAGCAGATTCTCCCTCATAGCCCATGAAGGAAGCAACCCTGATGACAATCTGACCTTAGACTTCCAGCTTCCAAAACTGTGAGACAATACATTTTCTTTATTTAAGCCACCGAGTTTATGATACTTTCTTATGACATTTCTAGCAAACTAATATAACAACCCAAAGAGTGAGATATTCCACACTTTTAAAAACTCATCATTAGAAAATCTGATTTTCTTGCCTAAGGAACCACAGCTAGTGATTGGCGAATTTAGTGGAACAGACTTATTCCAAAGTTCACGGTGTTGGGCTATGTAGGTTCCATTTTTCACTTTCTTTCTAATTTTTATGAAGAGAAAGGAAGCCCCTCATAATGATTTTGTACTGAGTAGCTGAACTTTCTCAGAAACCATGTCTGCTTTATGGGATGCTCATTTATGCCAACAAAGACTATTGGCTTGCCCAATGAGAAACAATGTAACACTTCAATAATAATGACAAATATTTAAATTGTATTTCACAGTACTTCCTGATGTTGGTTCAGGTTTTCACAGGAGCCCGTGTGAACAGACACAGGCATTGCTAATCTCAGATGAGGAACACAACTGAAAAGGCTGCGGGATTTGCCAAGTTCAAACAGTGAGCATGTGGCCACGCCAGAACTGGAACCAAGAGTTCCCAGTCCACTGTGTTGTTCTCCTGTCATAAACACAAGCCTTACTTGCTTCTTCTGCATCTGATACATCTGTTCCTTACCTGGAACACAGAAAAAGCCCTTGATAGTCACAGGATCCTATTCGAAAAAGCATGGCTTTAGGAGTTGAGCTGATATGCGTTCAATTCTCAGAATTTATCAGACCCTAAGTCTATTTCACTGTAAAGCAGATTGTTGTGAGTATTACTGATGTAAGCTATAAAGAGTGACCCACAGAAAATTCTGCTGAACTAGTTGTATTATTTTTTAAAATACCTGGCCTGATTCTACCTCCACCATTTATTAGGGGTGCCATTTTGAGCTTACTAAACCTTCCTTTGCTTGCTTGTTAATTAAGGTGGTCGTACAGCAATGAATGCAATAACACTTTCAAGATTTCCAGTTCTACAAATGCAAGGAATTCATTTTAAGGAACATGAAGATATATAAATAGTTACCGTAACATAGAAGGCATTAAGTAACTATTTGCTTGCTGAATAAGAATGGGCTATACCCCACACCACTCCCCAAATTCAAAAGAACCAGTCATAATGGATACAAAAAGATGTTACCCAGACAGTGTTTGCAAGTGTGAGAAAAGGGAGGGAGTAAGTCCACTTGCTCTTGAAAACTGGAAATCACAACCACTACACCTTGATCAAGAAGAGCATCTCATGCCTGAGGTTTAAGTTTACCTAAAATCCAAATGTTTCACTGAAAAAAAAAAAAAACCCTCTGGGCAATTCCTTTTAAGTTAACTGTGAATTTCATTTTAAATCCCTTCATCCCCAGGCTTAATATTATTACAAATAAAACATGTTTTAACCCATGTTCCTATAAAATATTTTTTAGTAACACATATATGGATTTGTCTCAGAGGAATTCTAATAAACATATTGAAATCTACGTCAAATCTTGGTTTGATGTCTGATAACTGTGAATGCAAGGAAAACCTATCTCAAAGTTTCCCTTTAGAAATCAACCTCAAATAACCACTCAGTGTTCAAAGTCAATTCCTATTAATGCTTGTACATATGGTATTAATTCCACATTAATTCTGTCAAAAGTGATATCATAGTTAGAAGTTCCAAATGATGACATCACTAAAACAACTTGCTTTTCATGAGTGTGGGACCAGTCAGTGCCAAAATCCAATTCAATCTATTCATCTGTCTATTCTGACAAGTTCAGTTTAATTAGTTCATGGCCTCATAACGAACAAGAGACTGGTTTTCTGTCCAATTTCCAGAGCCATTTCTATTCTCTTCAACTTAAGTGCCAAATGCTTACGCTGCTTTGCCCAATTTATACCTTTGCCTATAATTACTGGTCCCCAAGGTGTGATTGTCCTTTTTCATAAGAGTTTGTGCAGCTGCCAACATGAAGTTGTAAATAAATTGTAATACCGTTGCTATGAGGTGTAAAAATCCCACAGCTCATATCCAGAGCCTTGTATAATAAACTCAAGTAAACATTCCATTTCCTGCAAGTGATTGTGGTCTGTGACTAGATTTAGAAAACAGGGCAGTAAGTCATCTTTCTTTAATGAGTCGTTGAAAACAAAGTCGTATCCCATGAAACCAAAACCTGTCCTTGACAAAAACAAATAGCTTATTTGTAAAAGACCCTCCAAGGGGGGGTCAGGTTTTTCTGCAGTTTATGATCTGAGATTCATTTTTGCTATCACGAAGTGCTGAAACAATAGCAACCCCACTCTCCCAACAGCACCCACTGCCAATGAAGTGCGAGAGACTGGTTTTCTAACTAGAGAGGCAAGGAGCTATTGGAGGAAAAAATTAGAAAATCAAATGTAGAGAGATCAGGTTTGAGGACTTGGTCTTCTATTTACCAGCTATTTATAACCGCTGTGCCTCAGTATCTTCAGTTGTATCTTAGGGAGAATGATGCCTACCAAACAGCATTGGTGTGATCACAAAACAGGATAATTAAATATAAAGTACCCTGCAACAGTGCTTTCCAACAGTAGACAACACAGAAAATAGTCATTTCTCCCTCCTTTATCTTTGTGATAGACAGCAAATCTGCATTTTTTGGTTTCCACTGGACCAGTGCTGAGCCTACTGTGTGGAATGCGCTTCACTAAAGAGCAAGCCATATTTTTCTTGCGTCACTGTTCTTACAACCCTTAATAATGCTATCTTTTTAAATGGCCTCATCTATGAAAGGTGATTGAAACTTCTAAAATGATATCTTTACAGACTCCAGTAACTCTCTAATTTCATTAAGATCATTGGAATTTTTCTCATCTTATTTATTTTTATCGAAAGTATTCAATGATTATTTATTTATTTATTTGAGATGGAGTCTCACTCTGTCGCCCAGGCTGGAGTGCAGTGGCGTGATCTTGGCTCACTGCAAGCTCCGCCTCCCGGGTTCACGCCATTCTCCTGCCTCAGCCTCCCGAGTAGCTGGGACTACAGGCGCCCGCCACCACGCCCAGCTAATTTTTTGTATTTTTAGTAGAGATGGGGTTTCACCATGTTAGCCAGGGTGGTCTCGATCTCCTGACCTCGTGATCTGCCTGTCTCGGCCTCCCAAAGTGCTGGGATTACAGGCGCGAGCCACTGCACCCGGCCCCAATGATTACTTTCTTAAGTTGAATTTAAGAAAATTAGAAGCTTCATGTCAGACTTAGATACACCATGAGTTCAACTTCTCTTTTTCTTTGTAGGGACAAGTTCTCACTAGGTTGCCCAGGCTGCTCTTGACCTCCTGGCTTCAAGAAATCGTCCTACCTCAGCCTCCCAGAATGTTGGGGTTAGAGGGGTGAGCCACTGTGCCAGGCCTCAAATTTAATATAAAGCTGCACAATTTTACACTTGAACCAATTAGGTCAAGAGGTAATCATTGTGTGCCCAACAGCAGCCCAGTTCTTATTGTGGAAAATTAAATCAATCAAGACCAAAAATTCTTGCCTGTATGTGGCAAAGACCATTAATCCTACCAAATATACATGGTTTCTCCAGCATCTCCCAGCCTCCCTTGCAGTTAGCTTGGCGCCATTTGACTGGCTCTGGTCAATGGACCCTAATCAGAAATGATGTGTATTACTTTCAGTTAAAGGAAGTTGAGAGTCTACATGCTTCCTTCATCTCTCTCTTCTCCCGCTACGGAGAACCCGGAAAACATGTACCGGGTGATGTAATACCAGATGGAGTAGAGCAAGTTCACCTTCATAGAATTATGTGCCAGTAAGAGATTAAATATTGCAATATGATATTAATATTAAGGATGTGGGGGTTGTCTGCTACAAAGAGTCTTTTGTGTTCATGACCTATACCTTTCTATGAGACCACACTTCAGAGTTCGCTTTGCTTTGTGTTCTAAAAAGGTTTTCCCCAGATTTCTAGCCTTTGCCCATCCCTTGGTATAATTGGGGAAACATTCATGGTCCTCACTTGAACAGAGGTCCCTCCCACCTCCCCATTAGGTTGTGCTTGGGCTTCCAATGGGTAGTTCCCATGTATAATTGCCATGAAATATTCACCAGAAAAGTCATCATTTTGGTGACCATAGCTTCCTCAAATGAGCACCACTTTCACTTCTAGTGGGTCTTTCCATATCTACTGGGCATCATGTTTGCCCAAGGCCTTGATGTCTATATTAACTTCCTATGGCTGCTGTAAAAATATGACCATAAATTGGGTGACTTAAAACAATCAGAATTTATGTTCTCACAATTTTGGAGGGCAGAAGTCCAAAATCAAGGTGTCCTTGGGGCTGTGCTCCCTCTGGGGTTCCAGAGAAGAATCCTTCCTTGCCTTTTCAGCTCTGGTAGCTGCTAGAATTCCCCCACTTCCTTGCCTTCTATTTCTGTCCTCATCCTCACATTGCCTTCTCTTCTATATGTGTTTTTGTAAAAAAAAAAAAACTTCATCTGTGGATTTGGGGACAATTCTGATAATTCAGGATGATGTCTTGATTTCAAGATCCCTAATGTAGTTACATTTGCAAGAACCCTTTTTCCAAATAAGGCAACATTCACAGGTTCCAGGAATTAGAACTTAGACATATCTTTTTGGAGACTATTTTTAGGCGTGGTACAATGTCCTCTGCTAATGTAACAACCAGAATTCTGCTCGCATTTATGTTACCCTCCAACAGCAGGTTCTAAAGCAGAGTTGCCTTGTTCTCCAATGTCTCAGGGTTTTAGTTACAGATGGGATGAAAAGGTTCTTTTAGTTTCTTACTAGCAGCTTCCATTTCTCTAAGACTCAGACATAGGCCATGAACAGACTGATCTGCAGAACTTCATTAGACTGATTGCTATGCGTTTGTCGTCAAGCCAAAATTTTCTATGGGAAGAACATTTCCTTCCCTTGAAGATACCTCAGTCCCTCATTTATGAAAATTTCTGGCCATCTCACCTAGAAGTTCCCTAGCATATCACCACGACTTTGATTTCTAAAAATATTCAAATATAGGCTCAAACCTGGATTCAAGCTACAGTTAGATATTTTGCATCTCTCAGTCCCATAACACTCAGATCCTTGTAACCAGAGACTTACTGATCATTCTTTTCTTACACTGAATTGGCAAGCTAGTAATGTAACATATCAAAACAAAACCACACATTAAATCATCATCAATAAGAATATCCTGAATTATGAGTAGGACTATATAATTATAATAAATTAAAATAGAAAAAAGAATTCAAATCATGTCATTAAGCCTCTTATTTTATAGAAGAGAAAGCTGAGATCCTCCAAATGATGTTACTTATTCAAGATCACCCAGTAATTCAATTATGACTCACAAATACCATTTTATTTGTTGGAAATGTTCAACAACATTGACTCCTGGTTAGAAAAGCTAGATTTTAACCCTGACACTAATTGCTGGAAAATCTTCTAAGTCATATGGCTTCTTTCAGCCTTAGCTTCTTCTCTTAGAAATAATACCAAAAAGGAAATTGATGCCACCCTCTGACCACCTGTGCAGCTCATGTAACATAATATGGGTAAAAAATATCTTGTAAACATTTTCTTACATGCCTAGCTAGAATGAGCTCCTTGAGAGCAGACAGCATGACTCGCCCCTGGTCCAACCTATAGCTCAGTAACTGACACATGAATGGTGTTCAGGGAATGCTGAGCCAATGATCATGTTAATCAATTAATTAATGAAAGCAGAAAGTGTTATTAACCTCAAATAAAGTGAGAATGTATAAAAATAGGGATTAAGAGCAGAGACTCTGGAACATGACTTCCTGGGTTCAAATCCTAGCTCCAACACTCATGATCTATGCCACATAGGACAAATTACCTAACCTGTCTGTGTCTCAGTTTTTCTTCTCTAAAGGGGAAAGAATACAGGTAGTCACCACATAGAGTTAAGATGACAATCAAATGATACAGAGTCTGACACAAAGAGACTATCAATATATATTTTCTTTAAAACTTTAATGCCTATAACTTTTCTGGAATATGTTCTAGTACAGCTTCCCTTTGTTTGTGTTTTCAATCTGATTCTGGTGCTTTGCCATTATCATGAGTTTCCATATGTTTTATCTCTTTTCAAATTATTAAAGAGAGTGAAGATTATAGAAATCTTTGTATTAGCTTATGAATGCTCACAGTAACCAAAAGCACACAGAAAGCCAAGAATACATCAGATTACATCATGTTTCATCAAAGCAGTGCTCTGATACTTCAGAAAACTTCAGCTTTGAAAGAAGATGCCAAAGTATCAGGCACATCACAAATGAGATTTTCATAAACTCACCCAGGAGTGATATGATTTAACCTGTGGTTCTTACTTGGCCCCCTTTAGGAATAGCATTGTCTATTTGATCTGCCCTGAACGCTAATAATACCCTAATTGTATTGGCAGCAAAGTACTGTATGTTTATAACCTAAAGCTACTACCATGACTGGAGAGGGTGACTCACACCTCCCCACCTCTCTCTTGCTTGCCCCTTTCCTGGCATGTTGTGCACCCACATCTTCATCCATCTAACTTAGATATATCTTCAAAACTCAACACGGGTTCCCTGTCACTTCAAAAAATTCTTCTCTACTCATGCCTCCACCACACACTCAGTTATGGTATCCCTAAAGAAAGAAGCCAAGTCTCATGGATGTTTGTATCTGCAGTCAAATATCACAGTGTTGCTATGTTGCAGGCACTCAGAAATGTGTTATAGAATAAAGCACAGACCCACAAAAATGAGACTTTCAGTTAGCCTTGATTGGTTGTCTTAAGAAGTCCCTATTATTATTATTATTATTTTATTATTTTGTTTCTTTATTTATTTATTTGAGATGGAGTCTCACTCTGTCACCCAGGCTGGAGTGCAGTGGCGCGATCTTGGCTCACTGCAACCTCCACCTCCCCGGTTCAAGCAATTCTCTGCCTCAGCCTCCTGAGTAGCTGGGATTACAGACGCCCGCCACCATGCCCAGCTACTTTTTGTATTTTTAGTAGAGATGGGGTTTCACCATCTTGGCCAGGCTGGTCTTGAACTCCTGACCTCCTGATCCACCAGCCTCGGCCTCTCAAAGTGCTGGGATTAGAGTCGTGAGCCACCGCACCCAGCCTGAGGTCCCAAATTTTTTTAAAGAAAAATACGTCACATAAGAACTTGAAATTTTTTTAAAAAATCTTTATTTGGGCAAGATAGGTGTATCAGTCCATTTTCACACCACTAAAAAGAACTGCCTGAGACTGCATAATTTATAAAGGAAAGAGGTTTAATCGACTCACAGTTCAGCATAGCTGGGAGGCCTCAGGAAACTTACAATCATGGCGGAAGGTGAAGGGGAAGCAAGGCACCTTCTTCACAAGGTGGCAGGAAGGACAATGAATGCAGGAGGAAATACCACTTTTCACATCTCTTGAGAACTATCAGGAGAACAGCATGGGGGAAACTGCCTCCATGATTCAATTACCTCCACCTGGTCTCTCCCTTGACATATGGGGATTATGGGGATTATAATTCAAGATGAGATTTTGGTTTGGGACACAGCCAAACCATATCAGTGGCGGAGCAGAAGACCCCAGCCTTTGACCCCCATAAGGAAGATATCAGGAACCCAGTTAAGAAGCTGTAGTAACACAATAGAGCCAAACACCCCAGGGTAACTACACAATAAAATGATAGATAGTAAAGTTTAGTTTTGCCTGCATCTTTCTGTCCCCCAGGTCAGAGCTGCTCAGCAGTAAGAGAGAACTCCCCTGCCCTTGATTTCTCCTGGTAGGGAAAAGGAGAGCAGGGTGAACAATCAGCTTTTCCAGCCTTTCAGGAACTGACCAAGGTTCCCCTTCTGTTTCATGTCACCAAGAACATCAAGACTAATGGCATAGCTGAGGTGTCTGGAGACAGGTTGGAACAAAGAAGGGAGGGAGCTGTCACTATTAACCAGTGGTGGAAACCACAGTGGTCTCCAATGACCTGCTCTACAGAGGACTCCTGAAACCTTTTCTGTCGAGGTCCTCAACAGTCTGTGCAACCACAGCAGACCCCCTAGAGCTTTCACTGTTGATGATCCCACAGTGTTTGCAGCCATGGACCCCAGTAGCCTGCTCCATACAGGACCCTAGCAGCATTCATCACTGAGGAAACCAGCAGCCAGCACAGTTACCATGGACTCCCCACAGTCTCACTGCTAAGAGTCCCACAGTTTTTCATCTTCACAGACACTAGTTGCCTGAGCCACCACCCACTCTCACTTCTCGTACTAGAGTCATCCTAGTTGTCACCAAAAATGATGGCCCAGCCCCAGGACTGAGCTCAGTCATTGTGGACATGCTTGCAGATGGCTCAAACCCCTGTCATTGGCTCCAACATCCACTGCTGCATGTACACCTGTAGTTGACCCCACAGCCATAGGCATGCATGCAGTTAACTGCAAGCTCTGCTGCCAGCTCCCACTGCCTCACATCAGTGACATCCAAAACTTAAAATGCTGGCAAAGAGGAGCAAGTAGCTGAAGTGCAGTTTTTGTATGTAATAGGAGCTAAAGTTGTTATCAGCTTTAAATAGACTGTTATATCTATAAAATATTTTATGTAAACCTCATGATAACCACAAAGCAAAAGTTTATAATAGATAAACAAAAGATAAGGAAATCAAAGCATGTCACTACAGAAAATTATCAAATCATAAAGGACAACAGTAAGGGAGGAAGAAAGAAACAACGGATCTACAAAACAGTGACAGAATACATTAACAGAATGGCAATAATAAGTCCTTACCAATCAATAGTTCCTTTAAATGTAAGCAGACTAAATTATTAAATGAAAGACATAGAGTGGCTGAATAAATACAGGAAATAAACAAGACCCAACTTCATGCTGCCTGCATGAGGACACACATTAACTGAAAGTGGAGGAATGGAAAAAGATACATCACTAAAATAAAAACCAAAAGATAACAGCAGTAACTATACTCATATTACATAGAATAGACTTTAAGTCAAAAGCTGTAACAACTAAAAAAGAAGTTTACTATATAATGATAAACAGGCCAATTAATCAAGAGGCTATAACAATTGTATTTCTATTCACCCAATATCAGAGCACTTAATATAAATGTAAACAAAGTATCAACAGATCTGAAGAGAGTAATATACAGCAATACAATGATAGTAGGGACTTCAATACTACATTGTCAGCAATGAATAGATCATTCAGACAGAGTATCAAAGAGAATCAGTGGAATTGAAAAACCTATAGACCAAAGGGACCTAAGCAATAGACATAGAACATTCAATCTGAGAACAGCAAACCACACATTTTTCTCAAATATACACAAAACATTCTCCAGAATAGAGCATATGTTTGGGCACAAAACAAGTATTAATAACTTTTAAAAGATTATTATTGTATCAAGCATCTTTTCTTACCACAATGGTATGAAACTAGAAATCAATAACAAGGGGAAAACTCAAAAATTCACAAATGCATGAAAATTAAACAACACCTTTCTAAACAATCAATGGGCCAAACAATAAAATCAAAAGGGAAATAAAAAAGCTTTAGACAAATAAAAATGAAAATGCAACATACCAAAACTCATGAGATGCAGCAAAAACAGTTACAAGAAGTTTTAATGATAAACATCTACTGGTTTTAAAAACAAATATCCCAAACAAGCAAGTTAACTTTACACCTCAAAGAACTAGGAAAAGAAGACCAAAGTAAGCTGAATTTTAATAGAAGGAAGGAAATAATAAAGTTATAAATATCAGAGCAGAAATAAAATAGAGTCTAAAAAAATAAAAAAGATCAATAAAACTAGGAGGTGGTTTTTTGAAAAGAAACAAAATTGACAAGTCTTTAGCTACTCTGAAAAAAAGAAAGGAGATCCAAATAAAATCAGAAATGAAAGAGGAGGCATTACAACTGATGTCACAGAAGTACAAAGGATTATAAGAGACTACTATGAACAGTTATACACCAATGATTTGGATAACCTAGAAGAAATAGATATATTCCTAGAAATATAAAACCTCTGAAGACTAAATTATGAAAAAATAAACAATTGGAACAGATCAATAATGAGTAAGGAGATTCCATTAGGAATCCAAAATATCCCAATAAAGAAAATTCCAGTACCAGATGGCTTCACTGAAAAATTCTACCAAACAGGTAAAGAATAATTTGTATCAATCCTTCTTTAACTCTTCCAAAAAAAAAATGAAGAGGAAGAAACACTTCCAGACTCATTTGACAAGGCCAGTATTACACTGATCCAAAACCACCAGACAAGGATGATACATGAAAATAAAATTACAGGCCAATATCCCTGATGAAGACAGACGTAAAAACTCTCAACAAAATACTAGCAAATCAAATTCAGTAGCACATTAAAAGGATTATACACCATGATAAGTGGAATTTTTGCTAGGATGCAAAGATGGCTCAACATATGGAAATCAATAAATATAATACAACATATTAACAAAATAAAGAATAAAAATCATATGATCATCTCAATAGAGCCAAAAAAAGTTGACAAAATTTAACATCCTTTCATGACAAAAATTCTAAAAAAAAAAATACAGAAGAAATGAACCTCAACACAATAAAAGCCATATATGACAAGCCCATGGCTAACATTAATCTCAATGATGAAAAGCTGACAGCTTCCTTCTTTAAGACCAGGAACAAGACAAGGATGGCCACTCTCACCACTTTTATTCAATATAGTACTGGAAGTCTTAGCCAGATAAGTTAGGCAAGAAAAAGAAATAAATGTCATCCAAATCAGAAAGGAAGAAGGAAAATTGTCTCTCTTTGCAGATGACATAATTTTATGTATAGAAAATTCTTAATCTAAACCAAAATCCTTTATTTAAACCAAGTATTTAAATACTGTTTAAAGTAATAAGCAAACTCAGTAAAGTTTTGGTATACAAAATCAACATACAAAAATCTGTTGTATTTGTATAGGCTAACAATGAACTGTCCAAAAAGGAAGTAAAGAAAACTATCTCATTTACAATAGCATCAAAAAGAATAAAATATGAATAAATTTAAGAAAAGATATGAAAAATCTGTATACTAAAAACTATAAGATAGTAATGAAATAAATTAAAGAAGACACAAAAAACATTTTATATTCATTGATTGGAAGAATTAATGTTGTTAAAATTTTCATTCCAGAAATCTCTATCAAAATCCCAATGATATGTGTCAAAGAAATAGAAAAAATACTCCTAAACTTTGTACAGAACTACAAAAGACTCCAAACAGCCAAAGCAACCTTGAACAGAAGAAAAAAAAAATTGTAAGTATCACACACCCTGATACCAAATTATATGACAAAGTCATAGTAATCAAAACACTATGGTCCTGGCATAAAGTCAGACATGTAGAGCAATGGACATGAATAGAGAGCCCAGAAATAAAACTGTACATATATGGTCAAGTAATTTTCAACAAATGTACCAAAAATACACAATAAGGAAGAGATAGTCCCATTAATAAATGGTGTGGGGAAACTGGAGATCCACACAGGAAAATTAAATTAGACCTAATCTTACCCTATACACAAAAATCTACTCAAAACATATGTAACAAACCTGTACATTGTGCACGTGTACCCTAGAACTTAAAGTATATATATATATATATAAAAGAGAGATTAAAGGCTGGAACCATAAAACACCTAGAAGAAAATAAGTAAAGCACAGGCAACAAAAGCAAAATAAACAAGTAAGAGTACATCAAACTAAAAGGTTCCTGCATAGCAAAGGAAACAATAAACAAAATTAAAACACAGTTTACAGAATGGGAAAAAATATTTGCAAACCATATGTCTGATAAAGGTTTAATATCCAAAATAAATAAGAAATTCCTACAACTCAACAGCAAAAGCAACATCAACAACAAATTAACCCAATTAGAAAATGGGCAAGAGACCTGAATAGATATTTTTCCAAAGACAACATACAAATGGATAATAGGCATAGGAAAAAATGTTCAACATCACTAATTATTAGGGAAATGTAAATTAAATCAAAGTGAGATACCACCTCAAATCTGTTAGAATGGACATTATCAAAAAGACAAGGGAAAACAAGTGTCAGTGAGAATGTGGAGAAAAGGAAACCCTTGTACACTGCTGGTGGAAATGTAAATAGGTACAGCCTTTATGGAAAACAGTATGGAGAGTTCTAAAAAAACATAAAACTAAAAATACCATGTAATCCAGTACTTCAACTACAACTAGTCTATATGCAAAGGAAATAAAATCAGTGTGTCAAATGTTTACTGCAGTACTATTCACAATAGGCAAGATGTGGAAATCACCTCAGTGTCCATCAGTGGATGAATGAATAAAGAAAATGTGGTAAAAATTCAAAATTAAATACTATTCAGCCTTAAAAAAAAAGAAAGAAAATCTTGCCATTTGCAAAAATGTGGATGAACTTGGAGGCCATTATGCTAAATGAAATAAGCCACACACCGAAAGCCAAATATTGCATGATCACATTTACACAAAACCTAAAAAATAGTTGAACTTATCTTAACAAAGAGTATAGTGGTAGTTACTGGGAGAAGAAGGGCGACAAAGGAAGGGAGATGTTAGTCAAAGGGTGCAAACTTTTGGTTATAAGAAGAATAAGTTCTGGAGACCTAATGTACATGGTGACTACAGTTAATAAAAATATTTTATATACTTGAAATTTGCACAGAGAGTAAATATCAAGTGTTCTCACCACACACACAAGAAATGTAACTACATGAGGTGATGGATATGTTCATTAGATTGATTATGGTAATTATTTAACAATGTATACATATATAAAAATGTCATGGCATAAAATATCTTAAATACATACAATTTTTATTTGTCAGTCACAAGTCAATAAAATGGGTGGGGGGAAATCGTAATATTTTCCCGATCATTGGGAAAAGATCAGTTTTATTTGACATTATCAAATAAATTTGTAGAATACCGCTATTCTGTGGAAACACTGATTAAGAATTTGTTGGAAATATCCAAAACTACACGCAGCAGGTAAAAACATGAAGCCTAATTAACTTAAGAAAAGTTGATAAGCAAATATATTCTTATTACTACAACCCAAACCCGATGTGCACTTGCACCAAGGCGTAAAGGTAAGAAAAACAATAACCCATGTGTATTAGGAGACTTCTCTCCTTCTGTGCCTGTAAATCCATTCCCTCCAATATCCACAAAAGACTTGAAATTTAGACATTATTATTCTTATTTTGGAAATGAAAAATACACACTAAGGTTTATAAATATTAAATAAATTACCCAGAGGCACAGAGCTGGTGAGCAGAGAAGTTGTGAGTTGAACTTACAGGCATCTGATGCAAAGCCCATGTGTTTTCTCCAATACCTCAGTTTACAATATATACGAGACTAGAAAACTAACAGAATTTGAAATTATCAACTACTTGGACAATTATCTATGCAGATTATTAAAAGTTTAAAACTCCACGAAAACTTGTTTTAATAGAACAAATAGGATTTTAGAACTATATCATAGAATAAATACCAAGAAGTTCATTATACAGATGTAAAACTTAGGTCTAGGAAGTCTAAGAAGCTAGTTCAAAGTCATACTGTTGTCAATTTTTTAAATATGTGCATTTATGAATGCATTTATTCAACAACTAAGTCATTGGAGAATGTTTGAGCATGGACAGTGCTCAAAATGGCTGCTATTTTATACTCAGTTGAAGCACAGGAATACATAAGGAATGATCCGAGACTTTAGGAATTTTGTAGCCTGTTAAAGTAGACGGGTACATAAATATATAATGATAATATCATGTAATATAATACTTATGGTAGAGCATCCCTTTGTATATTTTCCTAGGCTGCCTTTACCACTTTTCAATATCTTGTCCTCCCATTTTCCATATCCCAGAGCTCTCGGAAGTATCTAAACACTGGAAATGTAGACTACCACAAAGTTAATTTCATACATTTAATCAGCATAGCACCACTGCAGTGGAATTTTATAATATTATCTGTATTCTTCTTTCCTCTGCTTCTGATAATTGCCGCTTTCCAAAACCTATGTCGTTCTCGTGGAAGTTGTGAGTTATTCCACCACCCTATCTACATCTACTTCCTACTATAGCTGTTTTGATCAAGTATGGGCGCATGATGCAAATGAGTTCAACAAGAATCTTCACCAGGGTTTTTGGTCTTGCGACCAGAAACATCAAGGATACTCTCTCTGCTGGGCAAGTAGTGTAAGATATAAATCTCAGAGTCCATCAGCAGCACACTGCCAGCCTTGGAAAGAGGGACAATCTATATCTATAGTCTCCTATGTCCCAATGCCTTTGAGCCAACTCTTTGGCTCAAAGTCATCATTTCCCAGTACTCATGGTTGCAGTAAATAATACTATAACTCACTGAGGAATATAAGCTGGATACTTAGCATTGCTCTTAGGCCCCTCCCTCTCCATCCCTGTCAAATCCCACTATTATTGTCCCTATTGTAGTCACTCTTAAATAGTTCTTCACTCTTCACTCTCCCCTATATCTACCACCTTTAAGACCAAGCTACCATGATCTCTTGCATAAAATACTACAAAAAGTTCTTAAGTGATCTATTCACACCGTTGTTCTTCTACAATCTATTCAAGAGGCAGCCAATTTTATTTTTGTAATTTTTATGTATTTATTTATTTTTGAGGCAGGGTTTCATTCAGTTGCCCAGGCTGGAGTGCAGTGGCATGATCATGGCTCACTGCAGCCTGGACCTCCTGGGCTCAAGCGGTTCTCCCACCTCAGCCTCCAGAGTAGCTGGGACAATAGCTGCATGCCACCACTCCCAGTTATGTTTGTTGTTGTTGTTAATTTTTAATACAGATGAGGTCTCCCTATGTTGCCTAGGCTAGTCTCAAACTCCTGTGCTCAAAAGATCCTCTTGCCTTTGCCTCCCAAAGTGCTGGAATTACAGGCATAAGCCATTGTGCTCGACCTGGAAGCAGCTAATTTTAATTATTCCATGCTCATGACCAAAATCCTCTAATGTATTCCCATAATTCTTTTAATAAAAAGTCCTGCAACATTTTAGGCTTCCTTTCATGTCACTCACTTCTTCATGCTTAAGATCACCTGCCTATTCAGAATGGAACCTTTGCAATTGACATGAACTCCTGCTTCTCACTTCAGTTATCTCTGCTTCAGGGACAACACCTCTGACATCCCCGACCAGGTCAAATCCCTCATCGTCAGCTCTTACAGCACCTTGTACCTTTCAGAGATCCAGAGCAACCAAAACTCTCCTTAGGAAACGTACCACAGTAGTAGTGTTCCATTTACTTGTGTGGTTATCTCAAAGTTAATCTCTTCCACCAAATTCCATAAGGTAGGAATAAGATGCATAGGAAACACATTTGCTTTCTCACTCCATTCTGTCTCTAGACTGTAGCATGGTGGCCCATAAAATGCATTTTAAAATATCTATTATGTAAATGAATACAAATATTTTATGTTATGAGCCTCAATTAGTTCTATATAACTTGTTCTGGTGACTATAGAAAATTACAGGTACTTTAAATAGATTGAAAATGTAAACTAAATTTCTTAAAATGAGTCATTCTGTAAAGAGACAACTCTACCATGCTTTTAAAAAATCTATGCGAAGACTTGGAACCAACCGAAATGCCCATCAATGATAGACTGGATAAAGAAAATGTGGCACATATATGCCATGGAATATTATGCAGCCATAAAAGATGGATGAGATCATGTCCTTTGGAGGGACATGGATGAAGCTGGAAACGATCATTCTCAGCAAACTAACAGAGGAACAGAAAACCAAACACCTCATGTTCTCACTCATAAGTGGGAGTTGTCCAGTGAGAACACATGGACACAGGGAGGGGAACATCATACACTGAGGCCTGTCAGGGGTAGGGTGGGGGGCTAGGGGAGGGATAGCATTAGGAGAAATACCTAATGTAGATGATGGGTTGATGGGTGCAGCAAACCACCATGGCACGTGTATACATATGTAACAAACCTACACATTCTGCACATGTATCCTAGAACTTAAAGTATAATAATAATGTAAAGAAATCAATGCAAATTTTTGAGAAATCTCCATATTGCTTTCCATAGTTGCTGAACTAGTTCACATTCCCACCAACAGCGTATAAGCCTTCCCTTTCCTCCACAGTCTTGCCAGCATCTGTTGTTTTTTGACTTTTTAATCATAGCCATTCTGCCTGGTGTGAGGTGGTATCTCACTGCAGTTTGATTTGCATTTATCTGATAATCAGTGATATTAAGCATTTTTTCATATGTTTGTTGGCTGCTTGGATGTCTTCTTTTTAGAAGTGTCTTTTTTTGTCCTATTTTTATTTTTCCAGCAATCCCGTTACTAGGTATATCCGAAAGGAAAACAGATTATACCGAAAAGAAACATTCATTTGTATATTAATCACTGCACTATTCACAATAGCAAAGACGTGGAATCAACCTAGATGCCCATCAATGGTGGATTGAATAAAGAAAATGTGGTGCAGATATACCATGGAATACTATGCAGCCATTAAAAAGAATAAAATCATGTCCTTTGCAGCAACATGGAGGGAGTTGGAGGACATAATACCATGTGAATTAACACAGGAACAAAAAATCAAATATTGCATGTTCTCACTTATAAGAGGGAGCTAAGCATTGAGCACACACAGACATAAACATGGGAACAACAGACACTGGGGACTACCAGAAGTGGGGGCATGAGCTGAAAAATTACCTATTGGATATTATGCTCATTACCTGGGTCCAATATAACTATGTAACAATCCTACATGTGTACCCTCTGTATCTAAAATTAAAGCTTAAGTTGAAAAAACATCTATGCAATTCCCCTCCTACAAATATTTTCTTTGTGCCAATTCTGGCCTTGCTAACTCTGAAATCACAGGTTATTCTAGTGAGCACCAATGTCAAGGAATCTCTTGTAGAAATCATCTTTACTTCTCCAGATTCTGGATTCTATTCAACTCAACAAACTTTTGTACATCCTTGGCACTTTGATAAGTATAGGGGACTGAAAGATGAGTAAGTCCTGAACCTAGTCATCAATATGTTCAGAATCAGTAGTGCTCCAAGTGACCACTCTTGCAGGCTCCTCCTTCAGCCAGTTGCCTCCATTCCAGGCATGTTACTGTCTCATAAAAGCTATAATTAAAAGGTGCTTTTGACAAGAGTGTTTCACATAGGAACTTACCCAACACCGGAACAGTGTTTGGCAAAAAAATTTAATGTATGACCTAGATAATTTCTCTAAGTTTTCCTTAAAGAGCATTAGACATTCTTTGATCATGATTGAGCAATGTATGAATCCAAGGAACCATCCTTGCACTTCATACACAAAATAAACAGTTAAAATGACTCCTATGGAAAGCTATTTGGCAAGGGACAAATGCTTGCCTTTACTATTACTTTAAAGTGTCTATCAGTAGACCCTAATACCACATCTGTCTCATAGCCATCATTGAAGACATCTTTATTGAATAAATATATGGAGAAATCAATGGGCGAATGGATACAAATTTTATTAGAAGGTATTGACGTGTCTACTGAGGGAAGACTGCTAAGAAGAAGGAGTAGAGGTGCAGGATGCCTGGTGTGGCAGAAAAAGCACTGAACTGAAAGTCTAGAGAATTTCACACCAGTGCTGGCTTTGCTGCTAATATGATGTGTATGACCTTAGGGAGCAGTCAGCTTCTCCAGGCCTCAAGTTTTCTTCTGAAATGAAAGAGTTAGGTTTAGATATCCAAAACTCAGCTTTAAAAACAGCTCTTGCCTTCCACAATGTATAATGTTATTACTATAGTGTTAAAAGAAAAACGTCAGCTGAATTAAATTTAAACAAGTTTAATTGAGCAATGAGCGATTCATGAACCGGGCAGCCCCCTGAATCACAGCAGACTCAGAGAGACTCCAGGGATGCCCCATAGTCAGAACAAATTTATAGACAAAAAAGGGAAGTGGCGTACAGAAATCAGAAGTGAGGTACAGAAACAGCTGGATTGGTTACAGGTTGGCATTTGCCTTATTGAACACAGCTTGAACACTTAGCAGTGTATGAGTGGCTGAAGTATGGCTTCTGGGATTGGCCAAGACTCAGCTATTGTTACAGGCACACACTCCTAAGTTAGGTTTTCAACCCTGTCTTCCTATTAAGTTGGGTTACAATTCATTCACAAGTACTCAAATATAGAAGTACAGAGTCCTGCTCAGGCCATATTTACTTTGCTTTAACAAGCGGTTCCATTCTGGTTGTCTCATAATCCATATGCCACAATTCCCAGCCCATTCAATAAGTAGAAATATATATGCAACAATTAAATTTCAGATTATAAAAAAGATTTTTAAACTATTTTTGAAATAGTTGGTGTTATGATGTCATAAACACTGCAGAAAAAAGACAAAATCAGAAAATGCTGTTGATCACTGGACTCTTTCTCAACATTGAAAGCAAACGTGGCTGGGGCAAAGTGTGCCAGAGACTCAGAAACTTGCTTGAAGCATTACTTCAATATTACGGGGAAGTCAGCTGGTAAACCACAGCACAGAGTACTGCTGATACTCTCAAGAATAATAAGTTCTTCTAACTGATAGT
This sequence comes from Homo sapiens, assembly GCF_000001405.40. Lineage (NCBI taxonomy): Eukaryota > Metazoa > Chordata > Mammalia > Primates > Hominidae > Homo > Homo sapiens. Next base: position 13,025,018 of record NC_000004.12, read on the forward strand.
AGTGAACAGTTTGGGTTTGTTTGTTTATTTTTTGCAGTTGGCTGAAAGCATTTCCTTTTTGAAATAGCTCAAAAGCTACCATGATAGAAAGTTTGTAGATCAGGGGGCAATTCTTGGAATCTAAGAGAATTCTGACTTTGATTGTCGAAGTGCACTAGAGTGGAAAGATCAAGTTTTCTTTCTACTAAAAAAGAGTGCACTGAATGCTATTTGAATGGCCTTGTTTTTTAGGAAATGGTCCTGTCATTCAGGTTGAAAGATGAGATTGCTTGACTAATTATGTTTTCTTTTGCAAAACTACCTAAACTACCTCACCATCCATTATGCTAAAGCCTTAATGAGTTATTTCTAGAAAAGGCATACCACATACAGTCATCATCATAAAAGCATTTAATGAATAAATTCAGAGCAAGGATGCCAGCTCCAATGCCATCTTCTCCAGTGGGCCTTCTTATTGGTAGAATTAATCTCTTCTTTTAAGTGCTATCAGGACTCATTGATTTTACTTTCAAGTTAAAAAAAATTACCCTGGGAGAAGACCATAGATCACATGGAGGTGGCATGTCAAGTCGTTATTTTTTATATTAAGAGGAGGAAATATGAGTATTATCCCACAACAGACAAAATAGACTCACATTTATAAAACTGATTTCAGATACTGATAGTATATGAAATACAAGACTGTTCTGTAATTTTTAAACTGTAGTATATTGGGGTATTGTGTTGGGATCTTTATATGATTTGGGGAGGGAGGACAGTTATGTTCTCTTCCATCTTCACCTTCATCCTATCTCTCAATCTACTTGAATACTATTTTTATTCTTTTTTTAACAGGTATATTGAGGCGTATTTTACATACAATAAAATCCACCCAATTCATATGTACAATTTAATAATTTTTTAGTTAATTTATTAAGTGGTGCAGCCATTATCATAAATCAGCTTTAGGACATTTTCATCCCCAATAAGATCTTTCACACCCAACTACAATAATCCCCAACCCAGCCCTAGCCCCAGGCAAAAACTAGTCTACTTTATGTCTCTATAAATTTTCCTTTTGGAGACATTTTATATAAATGGAATCACATAATATGTAGTTTCTCATGTCTGGCTTCTTTCATTTAACATAATGTTTTTGAGTTTCATCCATAATATAATGTGCATCAGTAGTTCATTCCTTTTTATTCCATTACATGGCAATAACACATTTGTCTGTCTACTTACCAGTCAATGGGCATTGCACTGCTCCTAGTTTAAGGGCTATTATAAATAAAATTGCTATGAACACTCAAATCTGTGTGCAGATATATGTTTTCTTTCCTCTTGGGTACGGAAATGGACCCAAAAAGGAGAAGAGAAATTGCTGGTCTGTTTAATGTTTTTATTCAATCCTTCCATACTAATTAATTCATTGGCTATATAAGGCAGTTGTGCCCTATGGAAGAATATTACACGAGTGAAGTTTACTGTCTTATGAGAGAAATAAAACATGCACATAGAAAGGTATAAAGTGGTGTCCTAGAGAGGTAGATTTTGGAGGAGGGAGATACTGGATTTAGTAGAAAAACAGGAAGCTTTCCTGGATGAAGTAGTGTAGTGCTGGGGCCTTGAAGAATAAATAGGAGTTCAATAGCTGGACATTTTTGATGCAGGTCACTTTCTGCTAAATCCTTAGTGTTGTTCTTATCTATAAAAGCAAGAAAGACGGTCACATGGATTTGAGGACTTATGGGCTCCAGGGCTGGCTCAGTCTCTCTTTACAGTGTGTCTAAATTATCTGGGCCTTGATTTTCTCATTTGAAAGAATAATCATCCCATTCCTCTGGATCCTTTTCTTGACTTCCCCCTAATTTGTCACAGGGCTTGAGAAAAAAAGTGCTTAAGGTATTGGATGTAAAGGGCTTCTCTTTAAGTGAATGTCTTTCTCCAAATTTAAACCCAATGCTTTGTAGAAATGTGTTGATATGAAAAGACTCTAGAAAGAGGTCTTCCATATGTAAGCTGATATCAGTAAGCTGAGCCATGTATATTTTAGAATACCTGAGTGGGCCCTACCTGATTTTGAAAAAGTTTATCTCTAACCTAGACAACAGGTATTCTTCTCCTCCTCAATTAGTTTAATCAAACCACACTGACCTTTCTGTTAATACCCCTTCAAAGCCTCTGAATTTACCATTCCCTCTGCTATGAATGTTTTTTTTCCTCCCCATCATCCAAAAAGGTAGCATCTTTTTATTACCCGGAATTTACCTCTATAGCCACACTCTGATGGAAACTTTCATTGACTAGGTAACACAGCGACAATGATGTATGTAGTGGACCTGAAATGTAGTGGTCACTCAATACACATTAGCTAGAACTGACCATCAATATTAGTTATATTGCTATTTATACTGTATTAGTTTGCTATGGCTGCTGTAACGAAGTACCACAAACTGGATGACTTATACAACAGAAATTTATCATCTCACAGTTCTAGAGGCTAGAGGTCCAAAGTCAACGTGTCCACAGGGTTGATTCCTTCTGAAGGCTGGGACAGAAACATCTGTTTCTGGACTCCCTTCTTGGCTTGTAGATGGCCATCTTCTCCCGATTTGTCTTTGTGTTGTCTTCCCTTCATGTGTTTCTCTGTGTCCAAATTTTCTCTTTTTATAAGGACAATAGTCATGTTGGATTATGGCCCACCCTAATGACCTCTTTTTAATTTGATTACTTCTGCAAAGATCCTATTCTAAATGATGTCACATTCTGAGGAATGGGGAGATGCACTTCGACTGGTGAGTTTTGGGAAGATGAAATGTAACCAATAGCAAACATTATTATTTAAACTGCTGTTAAAAAGAAGTTGTTCCAAAAGGAAATTGTTCTTGGAGGAACATCAATGTAGACTCTAGTTCGATGACTCTGGGCAAAAAGCAGACAATTGCATTAGAAGTCTAGCCCATGGGACAAAATGTTGCATTTATATGCCATTCGACTGGTCTACAATGCTTTGCAATGAGGCATGTCACCATCTTAATGAAGCAGGCATTTTCCTAGGCATTCAGGCTAGCCAATTAATCCAGGCACTCAATAAGAAAACACATAACCCACCCAGGCCACTTTCCCATATACTATGTAAAGTCAAGAACACATTTAGAATCTATGCACACTGACTATGTAAACACTAAACAAATCAAAAAGGATGGAGGCAAGGGTAATACAGTTACCTTAAGGAGGAGGTTAAACCAACATGTTTCTCTATTTTATTATTTACTTGGCATTTTTAGGCTTATCTGCTTTTTCATAAATGAAGGTTGATACACATATAAAACAGCTGTTTTTGCTGCACCATTTAAAATGAATTCTTTTTTCCCAATCTGTTGATAGAAGACAATTAAAAGAAGATGAGAATTTCACTTTTTGACAAGCAAGACCTCTTAAACTTAAATGATTACTTGCTCATAGTAAAGTGTGATTTTTAAAGTATAGTATGTAACATTTCCCAAGAGAATTTGCACTTTTTTTTTTTTTTTTTTTTTTAGACAGAGTTTCACTCTTGTTGCCCAGGCTGGAGTGCGATGGTGCCATCCTGGCTCACTGCAACCTCCGCCTCCCTGGTTCAAGCAATTCTCCTGCCTCAGCCTCCCAAGTAGCTGGCACTATAGGTGCATGCCACCATGCATGGCTAATTTTTGTATTTTTAGTAGAGAGGGGGTTTTTCCATGTTGGTCAGGCTGGTCTCGAACTCCTGACCTCAGGTGATCCACCTGCCTCAGCCTCCCAAAGTGCTGGGATTACAGGGGTGAGCCACCACGCCAGGCCGGGAATTTGCATTTTAATGCTACAACTTATGAAAAGGTAGAACAAGGGCTCCTTTAAAGTTGAAGAAACTGATAAAACAGAAGGATTAAGTGATGTGTCTCAGGTCACAGGGCACTTTAGGCAGCCATGTAAGGACTGAGTTGGGGATTCTTGGGTCCTTTCCTATAGATTGTGCTCCCTAAGGCCTAGGAAAGGGTCCATGGAGGAACTTGAGAAAAGGGCACGAGTATTCTATTTTAACACCAGTCTTTGTCACGTGAAATATTTATAGGTAAAGTGTTTTTTCGGGTCGCTCAGGGGTAGAATGGGTAAACATTACCTGACGTTCAAGTACGTATTACTACTAGTCCAGGAATCTAGACATTAAACTTGCCTTCCTTTGTGACTTTCCAGGTACACTGCCATTCTGGGGATGCGTATATGTGTATGTATCTGTATGTGCAGAAGTGATCACTGGTAAGGTAGAAATTGAGGATAAAGAGAAGGTAATGTATCCCATAATGATGGCAGTACCAACATCTCAGGGAGAAAATGCTGATCCAGGTTTTAGACTTGTACTGCTTTGGCCCCAGGAAGATATGGAAAATGTGAAAACCCCATATGGAATTTGTAGAGACATTTTGCAGAAAATCATGATCAGGATCAAGAGAGATGAAAGTTTCATCAGAGGTTCCTGCCAGCGCACCTCATTGAGGACACATGGAAATAGACCAAAGCAGCCTGTCAGGTTGCTCAGCCAGGGAATATATTTTTTAAAAAATATGTTCATCATTTATCTTGGTAATTACAATCCAAGACTGTAATACATTATAAATGTTAGAAACCTAAGACATTGGAGAGGAACAGAGAATATGTGAATATGTTTTTTTTTTAAGTTACATAACTTAAGAGTTGAGCTTCTTGAGGTCAAATGCACTATAACATCAAAGGGAGCCAACATGGGAAATTTGTACTCTGTTTCCAACTTTTTCTAGGCTAAAGCTCAGCTGCTACAGCACACCCTCAGCTGCTTGTTCTTTCTTTACAGTTTGCTAGAGTATGTGTCAGGTAAGAGACTGTATAACATAAATATCAGCAAGTAAGAGAGGTTCTTCCAAATCACAATATACCAACATTTTATCAAGGAAGTCAATTAGCTTTTCTAAATCTCAGTGTCCCTGATTAAGCAATCTAATTAGAAAAAAAAAACCCACAGTTACTACAATATAAGCCTTCAGATTTATTAAAAGTAAGATATTTTATTTACTTATTTATTTATTTTGAGACGGAGTTTCACTCTTATCGCCCAGGCTGGAGTGCAGTGGCATGATCTCGGCTCACTGCAACCTCTGCCTCCTGGTTCAAGCGATTCTCCCGTTTCAGCCTCCTGAGTAGCTGGGATTAGAGGCATCCATCACCATGCCTGGCTAATTTTTGTATTTTTAGTAGAGACGGGGTTTTGCCATGTTGGCCAGGCTGGTCTCAAACTCCTGACCTTAGGCGATCCATAGAAATGGTGAGTATGAAGTGCTATGAAAGGAAAAATATTTAACTTTTTCTTGGGCCTGGGGGAATGCAACTCAGACATGAATTTCACCTTGTACCTCAGTTTCCACATGAGTGACATGAGAATACTAACAGTACCTATTGTGAGGTCACTGTGAGGATTAATTTATTTTTATTTTTTTAATTTTGTTTATTTATTTTTTTTGAGATGGAGTCTCACCTTGTCTCCCAGGCTGGTGTGCAGTGGGGCGATCTCGGCTCACTACATCCTCCGCCTTCCAGGCTCAAGCGATTCTCCTGCCTCAGTCTCCCAAGTAGCTGGGACCACAGGCATGTGCCACCATGCCCGACTAATTTTTGTATTTTTAGTAGAGATGGGGTTTTTCCATGTTGGCCAGGCTGGTCTTGAACTCCTAACCTCAGGTGATTCACCCACCTCGGCCTCCCAAAGTGCTGGGATTACAGGCATGAGCCACCATGCCTGGCCTAGGATTAAATTTAAAAACACACATAAAGGGCCTCTCTCAGTGTAAACACTTTGTAATGTTAGCCAAACTCTGACGATATTATTACTAAAGACAAATAACTCCTATTCATCCCTCAAGAATGAGCTCAGGTGCAGTGTCATTCAGAACACCTTCTCCTAACCATGGCTACCCAAGTGGAACAGCCCTTCTCCTGTGCCCCCACATCACCCCATGTCTGCTGCGTCGCAGCCTTGCCTGACTTGGTGGCGATCACACCTGTGTCTCAGGCTTACCCCTGTGTAAGCCCCTAGAGAGTAGAAACTGCATTTTATAATTCCTTGCATCCCAGGACCGAAGTGCAGGCCTAGTACAAAATAGTTGTTGAATAAAGTTATCCTCAATAAATATTTGTTGAGTAGTACTTGAATGAAATGGTAATGAATCAAACTGGCTGCTACTGAGAAAACTGGGGTGATCCAAAACACTGGTTTAGAAAATCCTAGTTTCCAAAAGGCCACAAAATGCCATTGCTGTAGCTATGTGTTCTCAGTCAACCTACTCTCCCTACTCCTCAATCATACCCCTGTGCCAACAAATACTAAATGTAGAGGTTAGTGTCTACTGTCAAAATGATTTAGAAAATCCTGATTTCAAAGTGTTTCAATTTGTTTTGATTTGATTTGCCTTTATCATAAGATTTATCAGCCTGAGTGTCAGCAGAATGCAAAATTTCCCAAAGACATTGGGCTTGGATGCCATTCTGTTTGAGAAACAGTCCTTAAAGAAGCATGGTCTCCTGAAAGGCCCACACCTGTATGGATGAGCAAGTCAGTAAGACAAAGGTTCCACCAGGCACAGAGTCTTGAGGGGGTGCATGACTCCCTCCCCACAAGGAATAGGGTCTTTGGATGAACCAGGGTCACAGGTGAATGACCCTACAAGGCATAAAGGGCTATAAATCATTAACAGTTTGTATTAGTCAGTGTTCTCCAGAGGGACAGAACCAATAGGATATATGTATATATGAAAGGTAGTTTATTAAGGAGAATTGACTCACACAATCACAAGGTGAAGTCCCATGATAGGCCATCCGCGAAGTGAGAAGGTAGGAAGCCAGTAATGGCTCAGTTTAAGTCCAAAAGCCTCAAAAGTAGGGAAGCTGACAGTGTCAGTCTATTTCCAGAGGCCCGACGGCCCCCGGCAAACCACCAGTGTAAGTTCAAGAGTCCAAAGGCCAAAGAACCTGGAGTCCGATGTCCAAGGGCAGGAAGCATGCAGCACGGAAGGAAGATGAAAGCCAGAAGACTCAGCAATCAAGCTTCTTCTGCCATCTTCCACCTGCTTTGTTTCAGCCGTGCTGGCAGCCAATTGAATGGTGCTCACCCACACTGAGGGTAAGTCTTCCTCTCCCAGTCCACTGACTCAAATTTCAATCTCCTCTGTCAACACCATCACAGACACACCCAGAAATGATATTTTACCAGCTATCTAGGCATCCTTCAATCCAATCAAGTTGACACCTAATATTAACCATCACACAGTGGTATAAACAATGCTATCTGACCTTGGGGAAGGAAACAGACCTCTGACTTTGGAGAAGAACACATAGAGTTTGTGTTGGTAAGAAAATGATGAAGGGTCTAATATTTCTAATGTCTATTGGCAGTTCTTTCATTATAAGCAACAGAAATCAATTATGCATAATTTAGGAAAAAAAATTACCAGGAATACAAGGAGCAGCTCACCACGTTGAAGAGAAAACTGAAGAACCAGTTTTCAAAGAGCAAGACCCAAGGCAGTTTCTGAAAACCCAGGCAGTGAGTACTAGTGACTGGAGGCTACATGCACCAATAGTGATGAGCTCCACGTGCTCTGCATCTTGGTGCTCCTCCCGCAAGGCTCAAATTCCAGGGAAAGAGCCTCTGATTGACCTTTCCTTGATCACATGACCACTGATCAACGTCTCACTATCAGAATATCCAAAGTGCATTTGGACTGCTGTTACCAGAAGAAAGTGCCATGGATGTTGGGCAGTGTAACAACAGCTGACTGTAACCTGTGGTCTCCTCTCAGCAACGCTGTGTAGTACTAGGACTTCCATTCAATGGGAGGGAAGAGCGAGTCTTGCAAGTTTAAGCAACCAGTCCAAGGGATTTGAATGGAGTACTTGCCTGAGTTTGGAGCCCAAGAATATCACTGTTACAATTTTTTTTTTCTCTGGCAGCAAAGTCTAGGCTCTTTCCACTACAAAGCTTCTGAGCTGGGCTTTAAAAGGTGGGTGGGATTCCTAATGGCAGAAACATGAAGGGAAAGAAAGTGGGAAATGACCAAGTCATTTGCTATGCCGTGCATTTGGTATTTGCACCATTCCCTTCAGCCAGAGATCCAGTATGCTTTGTAAATGTTAAACCAAGAAAAAAAGCATTCTAGGAGTTTCCTTTGAGACTCACAAACATTCTGCTAAAGGGAAAGCAATCCAAGGCAACATTTGTTTAAATTAAAAATAACAATAAAAAGAAAAACTTGACATCTATTCCTGGCCAAAGGTTGAGCATTAAATAACATTCAAATTTGGCTTTGATAAAAAATGTATGTTGCTTTGGATAGCTATATTTAAGCAATTTTTGCAAGCCTCAGAGGGAACTAAAAATTCCTTAATTGCTTCCTCATTTTTACATACTCCATTACATTGAACCTCAAACAGCATCTGTCACTAAATTACCAGCATTACAAAAACAGTGTGTATTCCATACATGGAAGAACCTCAAATACCTGAAAATAACTCCAAATATTTAAGGGACCTATTGAGCATTTTTTAACATTAATTTTAGTCTTTAAAATTTCTTGTTATGCCTAGTTATCTGGAACATACCCTAAGGCCTTTGTTTTTTTTTCATTTATAATAAAAAAAAATTTCATTGAAATTCTCCCTAATCAGCCTATTTATGAGAAGAATAGTTATGCATCTTCAAGAAAGCAAAGATAATTATGCATTTGACATTTTAAGATACTGAACCTTATATCAGAGATTTTAAGAACAAAGAGTGTGTGAAATGGAAATCAATATTTTGGGAGCTTCTTCTATGTGCCAGATAGGTGACTAGGCCTTTTCCATTCCAACATCTCTGCGATCCAAACATCAGCATTTGGAGAGCTGTCATCTGCCCCAGTGATACTGCCCTTCAGAGGCCAGGTAGTTGGAGCTGAGAAGCAATTTACTTGAGGCCACATAATAATTAAGTGGGTGAACTGGACTTTAACACAAACTAGATAAGGCACTAAAGCTCTTGCCCTTTACAAATAGAATATGTATTTTTTTTCAAGAGCCAATAGTCTTGAGTCTCCATCCCTTTCCCACTCCAAATAATCTATAAGATGAAAACAAGACAAAAAATGAAGTTTTCTAAAAAGACTAGTGGTCAATGCTTTGTCTCTTGTTTTGAATTCTAGCCTTGCCTCAGTTGCTCAATGATCCAATAGCTATCACAGGATTGCCACATGCCACTATCTTCCGACACATGGCAAACCCTGAAACTCTGAAATGTCAATTCTAATTCTTTCTTATTCATTAACTCCAGACTGATCACCAAGTCTTGCCAATTCCATCTGCATGCTTCTTAAAACTGCCCAGGAAGCTCCAGGTCTACCCCTTTTGCCAGCATGTTCATGATACGGCATCGTGATGTGCTGCTTCTCATTTTCCACTTCATTTTTCTATCTCTCCCACTAGGCTCCAAGCACTAAAAGGCAGGGCTGAGTCTCCTTTGTCTCTGGGTGCCCCATGCCTAGCACAGATCCTGACATAGCACCGGGGCTCAGCAAATGTTGGCTAAATAAAGGAACAAACATGTTATGTATGACAGTAGATGCGTGAACCCTCTAAAAGAAATAATAGAGCAATACAAACAGAATAGTATTGGCTCTGGTCTTCAAAAGCCTTTTTTAAATTCATGTGCCTGTTTCTGGCTGTTCTCTTTGCTCCAATTAGACACATTCTTTTCTTGTCTCTTGAGTTCACCTTTCCCTGCTTCCCTGATATTTTGGCTTTCTCACTGTACCTAGAATACATACAAACTATAATTGGACATATATCATATGCATGTACATTCACTGCCTGGATCCAGCATTCCTATCTAAGCAATTCTACCCAATGAGCACTAAAGGAAAGGCAAAATACACTTACTATTAGTTTTCTTTAGAATGCCCTTTTTTGCTTTGTGTGGTCAATGCTGGTCTCTCAAAGGATAGTTTCTAGTCACCTTTACTACAAAGGCCTTTCTGATCTGCCCCCATCTTGTCTGGTGTCTTCTATTAGGACATCTCATTCCGATGGTGTATCATTCTGGGTTCAGTCAGAAAATGGAAGCCGTGCCAGAGAGTACACTAGAGGTAATTTAATATGGGAACTAGTTACAGCACTGGGAGGGCTAAAAGAGCAAACAGGAGATGGTGAGACCACCCAGAGGTTAGCAACAGCAGAAAGCCACTATCCCTTCTGTGGAAAGAGCATCAAATGGTGGTGGCATGACCAGAGCTCAGGACCTACAGCTACTCTGAAGTGAGGGGCTGCCCAGCAGGAGTTGGAACAACAGGGGAAGCTGTGACTATGGCCAGAGATGCTTCTTGAAGCAAAAAGAGGCAGGCAGAAAGACCTTGGCATTGTCCCTTTCCCTGTTGTTCAGCTTCCTGAAAGGGCCTCCCATTGGCCAATTGATAAAGGTTGCCTGGCCTTGCAGGTTGCAAAGGTCACTCTCTGTGGTGCGAAGTCAATTAGGGGAAGAGTGTCGAGTAGATCTGAATCCAGACAGCAGAAAATATCATACTCTTTGGGTCTCTTCCCTGCTTTTCTGGTCTATACACTTATTTAAATAATGTATATCATGTCTATTTAATTAGGCCATTATTTAATTGAGTTTAAGCCCCAAGGCAATGGGAAAAATATTATGGGCTCATTCACTACCCTCCCAATCTGGTCATTCAAACTTCCTGAGCCACAGTTTCTTCACCTCTAGGAGGGAATTGTAATACTTACATCCGAAAATAGAAATTCAATAAGATAATTGATACAAAACATCTAGGAAATTACTTGGAATGCAGAAAGTCTTTTGATAAATGGAAATTTTGTTTCTTTCATTGTCCTAACACCTGGGAAAGGGTAAATTTCCAGGAGAGCTGGTTGTGTTCTGTCACTTCACAGTCTCTCCCCATACCTTTGTCTCTCTCTCTCCCTCTCCTCTCCCCTCCATACACAGTAGATACACACATATATCACGATTTAGAACTTCATTCACTGAATTCAAAATCGGCATCTTCATCATTATGTATCCCTCTTTCCTTCTTCTCTCACCTAGTAAGCTCTCTCCTTCCCATCTCTTCACCTCTTTACTTTTTCTTGTTTGCTTGCTTTCTTCCTCCTAAGACAGCATCCCTTTAAACTTCAAAGCACTTATGACATGAGGAAAAATATTTGCCCATAGAAGTTGGTCTAGAAGGAATTTCAGCAGGAGTTGAGATGAAGAATTCAGTAAACAGAGCATGGGGCCAATAATAGACCGAACTTGTAGCATTGTGCTTGCTGAAGAACCCTGGAGTAACTCCCTAGATGTTAGAAAATCAGGAAGATGGATCCCTGAAAATCCATGTTTTCAAATTCAGTCACTCAGGTGCTCCTAACATGCTTGATATCTACAATACATATCAGTGATCTGTTCATTAGTAAACTTTCAGACCTTTTCCATGCAATACGTTCTTTCTTTCTCCTTCTCCTTCTTTTCCTTCTTTCTCATTTTTTAGGAAAAAGTGGCCTCAGAAATGCCTATAATTTCTTACCTCCTCCTGCCAAAAAGTGTTTCAGTTCCTACCACTAAATTTACTACTAAAATCCTGGCTTCTCTCTTTTTCTTTATCAGATGCAAATTAGTTTTAAAAATCTATGAAGGACCTATTATGTACAAGGTTGCATGATAAGTACTTTGGGGGTGATTTTTCTTTGAGTACTTCAGGTTATTTGGTTATTAGCTTGACACCGTGGAAATACATCTGAAGAAAAAAAAATTCTCCTTCTCTAGTGCTTATGTTCTTAGAGGAATTAGAAAAAGACAGTCACAAAGGAAACTTTTCTAGCACAGAGAACTATAAAATACGAGTCTTTGTTTCTAAAATCACCTGTACTCATTGTTTCTATCCCCTAAACCACAATATGGTTACTTTAAAGCCATTTCCTAATTACAAATGTTCCAGCTATACTCTACTTAAACAAATTTACAAGAAAAAAGCAAACGACCCCATAAAAAGGTGGTCAAAGGACATAAAGAGACACTTTTCAAAAGAAGACATACATGCAGCCAACAATTACATGAAAAAAAGCTCAACCTCACTGATCATAAGAGAAATGCAAATCGAAACCACAAGATACCATCTAATACCAGTCAGCATTACTATTATTAAAAAAAATAAAAAAATAACAGATGCTGGTTAGGTTGTGGAGAAAAAGGAAGGCTTATCCACTGTTAGAAGGAATGTAAATTAGTTCAGCCATTGTGGAAGACAGTGTGGCAATTCCTCAAACACCTAAAGACAGAAATAACATTTATCTCAGTAATCCCATCACTAGGTATATACCCAAAGGAATATAAATCATTCTCTTATGAAGACACATGCAAACAAATGTTTATTGCAGCACTAATCACAATAGCAAAGACATGGAATCATCCTAAATGCTCATCAATGATAGACTGGATAAAGAAAATGTGGAACATATACACCATGGAGTACTATGCAGCCATAGAAAAGAACGAGGACATTTCTTTGGAGGGACATGGATGGAGCTGGAGGCCATTATCCTCAACAAACTCATGCAAGAACAGAAAACCAAATATCGCATGTTCTCACTTATAAGGAGAAGCTAAATGATGAGAACACATGGACACATAAAGGGGAACAACATGCACTGGGGCCTTTCAGAAGATGGAGTGTGAGAGGAAGGAGAAGATCAGGAAAAATGATGAATAGATACTAAGCTAATTACCTGGGTGATGAAATAATCTGTACAACAAATGCCCACCACACACGTTTACCTATGTGACAAACCTGCACTTGTACATCTAAACTTAAAAGTTAAACAAAGAAACAAGAGAGAGAGAAAGAGAATTTCTAGGGAGCTGATACAGTTTGGATATTTGTCCCCACCTAAATCTCATGTTGAATTATAATTCCCAGTGCTGGACGTAGGTCCTGGTAGGAGGTTGTTTGGATCATGGGGGCAGACCCTCATGGCTTGGTGCTCTCTTCCTGATAGTGAGTTCCCATGAGATCTGGTCATTTAAAACTGTGTGTGTGTCCCCTCACCCACCAGCCTTCTCTCTCTTGCTCCTGTCCCCGCTTTGCCTTCCACCGTGACTGTAAGTTTCCTGAGGTCTCCTCAAAAGCAGATGCTGGCGTTATGTTTCCTGTACAGCCTGCAGAACTGTGAGCCAACCAAGCCTTTTATTTTATATATTACCCAGTGCCAGGTATTTTCTTACAGCAATGCAGAAATGGCCTAATACAGGAGACCACATACGATATTTGAGACAGTGCCAAGCTCTTGGGAAAGAGAACAAAACAGAGCTCCTCCGGACAATATATTATGATAAATTTCACAAGAGATGTCAGGACCCAAGCACACCAAGGAATGAGAGACTAATGCTTTTTCCTCAGATGTCCATATTTGTCCTAAAGGTGAGTAGGAGTTTACCAGCTAGAAGAGGGGCTGAGGCTATTCAGGGCAGGGAAAGGGCAAGTGAAAAGTCACATCACTCCAGCTCACAAATACTGCCTTTGTGGGGTAGATTTTATTGTTCTTCCTAACAATATAATATTCTTCTTGTTGTCCTAACAATCGAAGTTTCTGTCCATTCTTGTGGGTGAATTAGGCATCGCCACCTGAAACCATGATACAGTGTCTCCTGTGGAAGAGTAGATTTCCCCAACCCCATTGATGTTGGCTTCGGCCATGTCACTTGCAAATTGACTTGATACTTATTATGTTTAAGAATATTTAAAAACCACTGCATATATTTCTACAGACTCTCTTTTACACTTTTTTTCCCCACAAAAAAAAGCAGGTCCCTGATAAGAATTGTTTCTTCATCCTGGTTTCTGAATGGCAGCTAACCCACAGATGCCAACAAAGATGCCATAGGAAATAAATGATTGTCCTATGACATTTGAGATGTGGCAGGGGGCTTGTAAATGCAACAAAACTACATCATACAAATCCTCCTTTCTCTCTGTCTCACAAAAAATACTTTATACTTTCCCAAATTCTATACCACATTATGCATTAAGCATAATATGAAGAGCTATCACTTCTATAGTTAATTTTAAAAATTAAAAAATTTAAGGTTTAGTCAATGCCTCTGTAAAAATGAGTCTGATTTTTCCAGTTTCTACAAAAAGAAAAGTGGCTCAACAACTCTTCCTAAAAGAGCAGACAGTCTACTAGGAACTAAGGGGACACAGAAATTAATGAGGACTGATTTCATTTCCTTTTTCTTCCATCTGTTCCAAGACAGTTACATTGTTTTGTTACTATCAAAAGATAGCAAGTAGAGGCCACATAGCTTGGGGAAAAAAAACATTGAAAAATAACTGAATTCTAGGTTTAGTCAGCTCTGAAATGAAAAATAAGACCTATTCTTACTCAGGTTTAAGTATCTCTGTTTTACAATTAAAGAGTTGAAGAGCAAATCTCCAAGGTCCTTTCCTTTTATAAAATTATTTCATTTCAGTTTGCCTAAACATATAAAAACATAGTGAACCCTAAGCTCCAAAGGATCCTTTCATGTCTGGTTTATTGTAGCTTTCCAATGTCTGGCCCAGTACCAGGCATGGAATAGGTGTTCAATAGAGGTTTGCTGAGTGACTGAGTGACTGAGTGAGCATATGCAGGAAACAAATATTGAACACCATTGTGCTTCAGGCTAAAAATCTTAGTGTTAGCCACTAAGATCCCCCAAGTGGAAAAGATACAATTTCAGTTACTTTCAATAAAATACAGTGAGTACAGCAACAGAGAAAGGCATGGGGTGATATAAAAACCTACACATATAAGAACTCAAATTGGCCCTTTGACCCAACCTCGTGTTGGAAAAGGCTTTTCACTTCTCAAAATATTTGCACATCTATTAGAAGTATTTTCAGAGTCATATTTGAGGAGTAGCTATTTAGGGATTACAAAATATCAGTCAGGTGAGATGTGTCCCCTTAAACACCATATAAAAATGGTTCAAGAAACTTAAGAGGGGCAGGAGGATAATAAAACCCAGGCTTCCATAAATTGGAAATAATGGAGAAAACAGAGCTCTTCAAACAACTGCTCTAGAGACATCCCAAGAGATAGAAATTTAAGACAAGATTTTTTTAAAAGTCTGAGTGTGAGGCTCAATCACTATTACTAAATAAGGAGTTAATATTACTTTTATATATAGAACATATAGTTCTTTTAAAGGGGGCCATGGATGGGGCTCATTTTAGTCTGAGACCAGTTGAGAAATTTTGGATGGCTGAGATGAACACCTATTAGTCAGTGGTCTCCAGTACTATTATTTGACCATTTTTCTATTTAGAACTCATTCAAGCTTATATGGCATATTACATTTAATTAATTGAGTGTTTATGCATTAAGGAGTTATTTGCTTGTGACTATAGTGAAATTTCCAGGATTTACGACAGGAACGTTTCAGAACAGCGACATGTGTTTCCCTCCGATTTGTATAGCTTCATTCATTATAATTTTTCCTGATGTTTTGCCTACCATATTATTAACTTCCCCAAAGCAATGAAATACCAGCTTGTCTTCTCACGGCAGAGAAATGAGAGGAATAATTATGAATGTGGAAATCCCAGTGAAAACATGCTTCTATTGAAAGAGGCTAGTAGTCCAAGAAGGAGCTCCCCTAGATTTATGGAGACCACTAAAAGAAAAAAAACACACACACACAAGAAAACAGATGCATTTTTTTCATCCAGTATGCTGGATGTCCCATATGCAGGGGAAAGAGATTATATATAAATATATTATATATGTATATGTATATGCATATATGCGTGTGTGTATGTGTCATGCTGGGAAAGAATTTATATTTTACTACAAGTTATAAAGTCTAAATAAATCATCAAGGTTACAAGTGTGTGCCACGCATAAATATTTAATCACTGCAAAGTGTTCTTTTCAAAATGTAAGGGTTTGTAAGCACAGTGTTTGATTTGTAACTGACTCCAGGGGCAATGTTGAGATGTGTTCCTCACAACTCTTGGCTACTTAAGATCTTACAATCATGAGGAGGAGGAGAGTGTTAGGCAGATTTCAATGCCTGTCAATGAAAAGACATAGAATAGTCTGGGAAATCAATTCCAGTCAGGGCTGTAGATCAGCAGTTATTTTACAAAGAGCGAGGGCTGACAGGACCACCACAGTCATTCGTGTTTATTGTTCAAACAGGTGTTTGGGGGCCATCCAGGCTCAATGCAGATCATGTGAAGAAACCAGCAAGGGGCAAGTTTAGGGAGAAAGGAAGAGGACAGTAAGGGGCCAGGCAGCAGGAGAGGGCAGGGTGTAAGGACAGGCTTGGAGGCAGCCTTCCCCCAGTTTGAGATGGTGTTTGTCTTATGACATCCTGCAGCCTCCATTGTTATTTCTCACAACATCACGACTGGTGTAGGCACTCTGTCCATCAGGGTGGCCTCTTCTCACAGGAAAAAAAGAAGCCCTTGATTTACATTCTGCCTTTAGAAATGTTCCCTGCCTTTCTGCTTCATGTTGCCATGTTTTCCTTGCCTACCCTGATGTTCCACATTCGTTTACACAACCTCTCAACTGGCCACCAGTTCCAAATGTGTGTTCATTAAGAAGAAGGTTAGATTGAAAAGTAACTCCCAGCCTCAATTCCTACTTCCAAAATCTGTGCCTGAAAGCGGCCCCACAGTTTAAAGTTATTTCTATCTGTGGATATGTGGGGAAGAGAGTGAAATTTACAAAGTAAAAGTAACCAGCCCAGGACAGGTCATTTGGGTGATGAGGTAGGGATAACTATATTTTCTTAATGGTCAACTTTTTTTTAATTTTCTTAAAGACAAAAGGTTTATTTAGGAAAAAGACCCTAATCACCCATCTGGGACGGGGAGACCCTGTACAGCAAAGAAGTTTCCAAATCCGCAAACCTCAGAGAAGCGGGTAATTGCTATTCATGAGACAGGTAATGGAATGGTACTAGGCTCCTGAATGGCAGGAACAGAGAGGGATCCAAAGAGACCAGTGGGCACATGGGAAAAGGTCCTGGGGAAAGGTTGAGAGAAAATCCCACTTACGCTGTGGCTAAATAAGATTTTAGGGAAAAGAAATGTTTCATGAAATATACACTGCTTACACTTTCTCAGATTTCTTCCATCACCCCCTTCTTCCTCTCTCTTAGGCAGAGCTCCTGATGGGCCAATTATGCCTCCACTTCTGGAGACTGATAAAATTCTACAATGGGGACATGAGATCTGATCAGCCACCAACAGTCCAGATGATTCAACATGGAAGAGAGAGAAAGAGTTAGCTACCCTTTGGGATGAACTATGATCAACGGGAAAGAGAAGGCAGGGGGATACTGAGACATAAATCCCATTTTGTTTTTTCTTCCTGGGACTTCTCCCTGTTCCCTTTTTCCCTACCAGATGAATTCTGTGTGGTAACCAAGCACACCTACCTAGTGATCTCCTGGGTCTCTTTTTGACATGTCTGTTTGTTTCATATTTCATTAAATGTATTTGTTGAGCTATTGCAATACAGACACTCTACTAGGAACTAAGGGGACATAGAAATTAACGAGGACTGACTTCATCTGTGGGAAACCTATGAGGGCTTCCCTGGGAAGGACATGTTTAAATTAGTACTTGCAGTGTACTGTGATAATAGCAATAAGCCAAGTGTTCTAGAGGAACAAGCTGTGACACACGATCATTGTGAGGGCCCCTACCAATGACAAGCCAAAATTTGGAACTCAACCCAGTGTATGAAGCTCAGGAAAATGTGATGTTTATTATTAAGCTTTTATATGTCTCAAAGCAAGATTGTGGGGGTTCAGAAACCATTGATTCTCAATGCTTTATTTTCAAATCCTTAGCTTTTACAATAATTTTCATTATAAATAAGAATTTCATAGAAATGACCCAAATCCACCTTTTTAAGAAACCTAATAGCTGGAACAAATGCCAATCATGAGGCTAAAGCTCACACCAAGTTTGTTATCAAAACGAACAATCCAGAGGTGGCACGGAAGGTGGCCTCATTGAAACACTGACCTCGTCAAAACATTGGGGCATAAGATCCCAAAGAACAGCAATATTCATTAAGAAATAATGCACCCACTTTTAGTCTAAACTTTGTTATTCTCTGATTTTTCAGAAGTAGCACCAACTTCAGTCCACACTGAAGAATTCCCCAAGGTAACGTACTATAATTTTTAAACTTCTATATTAACCATTCAACTTTTCAATCTTAACACATGCAAAGGTGTATCTGTATAATAAATATTTGGAGAATAAAATAGATTTTCTGGAATTTCATGTTATCATATTATAAGATAGATAATTTGAATTGTGATAATTTGCCTTGCATCTTCTGTGTCAAGTTTCCACCAAGTGATATGTTGGAGATCCCCTGACATGATGTAACCATTTCTCAGAAAGCAAGGAGCCAGTGAATGTTCTAATGCTCCAAATATAAACAAAGTATCGTTGTGGTACGTGGCCTATAATATGGACCCCAGGGATGTCTGCCTCCTGGCATTCACCTTTTTGGGTAATCCTTTGTGAGTGGCCGTACCTAGTTATTTGCCTGTACTGAATAGCATAAAGCAAATGTTATAGGATGTCATTCATAAATTACGTACAAAAAACTGTAACTTCCTTCCTGTTTCCCTTCCCTCCCCTGCCCTTCCCTCACCTCCCCTCCCCTTCCCTTGCTTTCCCTTCTTTCTTTCTGGAACACTCACTTTGGAAGATATAAGCTGCCATTTTGTGAGTTGCTTCTATGGCTAGAGCCGCAGGACAAGAAACTGATTTCTCCGGCCAACAGCCAGTGAGGACTACCAACAGGCAGTAAGTGAGTGAACTTGGAGGCAGGTTCTCCCCAACTCAAACAATTCAATCAGAAGACTGCAGGTGCAGGCCCAGCCCCAACCCCAGCCCCAGCCATGGGACTGCAGCCCATGAGAGACCTTGAGCCAGAGAATGCAGCTAATCCTCATCCAAATTTACTCATCCACAGAAACCATGAAATGATAACTGTTCTTTGAAGCTGCTAAATGTGGGGATTATTTGTTGTACAACAACACATAAATAAGACAATAATCTTGCTCCCAATTTTAAGATAGTTTCTCCATAAGTCATTGCTAAGGTGTATTAGTCCATTTTCATACTGCTATGAAGAAATACCCGAGACTGGGTAATTTGTAAAGAAAAAGAGGTTTAATGGACTCATAGTTCCACATCGCTGGGGAGGCCAAGGCTTCACAATCATGGCAGAAAGTGAAAGAGGAGCAAAGGCACATCTTACATGGTGGCAGGCAAGAGAGTGTGTTCAGGGGAACTGCCTTTATAAAACCATCAGAGCTTGTGAGACTTATTCACTATCACAAGAACAGTACAGGAGAAACCCACCCCCATGATTCAATTAACTCCCACCAGGTTCCTCCCATGACATGTGGGGATTATGGGAGCTACAATTCAAGATGAGATTTGGGTGGGGACACAGCCAAACCACATCATAAGTCATACCTCAAAAGTCTAGCTATTGAAATAAAATCATTGATAAAGAACAATTGAAAAGCCAAGATCACAACTTACCACGACTCATTGGCAAAATTTTCCCCAAAGTTCTATAAAACCAGTGATTCTCCATATTACCCATGCTGCCCTTATCTTTTAACACATTGCATATAAAACACACTCTATTTGTTCGTTGTCTTGTTTTCTTCCAATTAGAATAGAAGCTCCATCAGGGCAGGAATTTTATTTTATTTTTTTCCCCACTCACATGTCTCAAAGACTAAAACCAGTGCTTGGCGCATGAGAGTTGCCCAATAAATGTTTCTCGAATGAATTAATTTGACAGGTTTCAATGTTAAATTTATAACTTCTACCCACAAGCCATAAACCATAAAAATTGCTGTTCCCCAATCACTGCTTCCATTTTCCCAAACTCACAGTTTGCCCCAAGCTGTTAATTCCACCTAAAATCCTGTATGTCTTAGATGGCATTTCTCAGATGCAGAATCTAAGACAAGAACTTGTGGGAAATCAATTTATTAAGAAACTATGCCCAAGAGAAACCAGGGAAGAGTGAGGAGCATGACCGACAGGAGAAATCAAGCAAGGGTGTGATTTCAGGCAAAGTATAAGAGAGGGTAACTTCAGCTTAATCCCACTGGGGAGCTGTTAAGTGTAAATTATCCCTCCAAATTACACCCATACTAATCAGTCATTGACTAAGGGCTGCCCCAGGGATGTAAACTCCAAGGTACTTGCAGCTCTCCACAAGTGTGGGTAGAGCCAAGGCTAGGCCTCCAAAGAAGAGACACAGGTGCTGGCTTTAGAAGGAAAACAGCACGGAAGCCGAGAGAAAGGAATGGAGAGCCAGTAATAGGGAACCAAGGAGACCTGAGTGGAGTTCCAACAGTGTCTGCTATTCTACATAGGATTTTTACTAGTTTATTTTATTGAAGTCCTACCAACATTCACATAATTCTTTCTCTATGTGCCTCAGCACTATACTAGAACCCTGTATACAGCCTTGTTATTCTTCATTAATTTTCCCTCTACTTTCCTAGATTTTAAACTCCATAAAAACAGACATAATAAGTTACAGAATTTTGTGCCTTCCCTATTGCGTTGTAAACATAGCAATAACAATTAATATCTCTAGACTGTAATCCCCATGATGGTGAAGATCAGTGTATCACCATATATTCAGCAACTGTCACATACACCATATGCAATATACCATATACAAGTGACTGGTGTATGGTAGACACTAAGTAAATGTTTTTAGAATAAGTATGAGGGCTTTATAGGCTACAAAAAATGTTTTCTTATGTATTATTTTATTTATCCTTCACAGGATACAGAGAGGCATATGTAGTAGAAGGGACTATCCATTTTTCAGAAGAAAAAAAAAAAAGGGCTCAGCAATGCAGACTGACTTACCCAATGACGAACTTACTAAATAGGTACTGAGCAGTGCCTCAGGACTAAAGTTGATTTCAAGTCCAATTTGCTTTCCCCTAAGCAATCCTGATTGACGAACAGACTGGGAACATATTTGAAGATTGAAATCAGTTGAGAGACCCAAGATGACCCAGTCTTAAAACACAAATCTATCTCAAGGTGATTTACTCCAAGAAAAGTCATAGAAGGCACATTTATTGAGCACATAAAAGATAATCAATAAATTTTTAATTTTATCGAATTAAATCACATGAAATAGAATGGAAATGGTTGGCTGGAATTAAATTAGATTGAAATAATTTAAATTAAACTAAGTTTTCTGGTGTCTGTTACTTCCTGAGTCACCCATTTTTGTGTAAAATTGGGAGTGGGAGAAGTAGAGAGGAGGCTAGAAGGGAGGCTGCTGACTGCCCACTGCTGGCTATAATTCATTAAGATGTGGGAAGAACTATCAACAGGTGAAATCTCCAGAGCACAGCCTTGCAAACTCATCTCAAACCATGTGCTCCTGCTATTCTCCAGGCAGCATTCTGTTTACCCAAATCCTTCATCACAACTCCTGCCACCTTAAAAAAAACCTATTATTTTCCTTACTACTCTATCGTCAATTAGATATCATTGGTGAAAGCATTCAGACAGTCTAGTTTATGGCAAGATGGGAAGGACTGATTGATAGAAACGCTATAGCAGATGCTCTCTGTACCTCAACCCTATCCTGTTCCAGGACACATCCATAGAGACCTACTACAAACTCTGAAGACTGCCTGAGAGTTTGGCCCTAGCACGGCAGACAGGAAGACAGTGTTAATGTCCCCTGAAAGTAGCTCTCACCAATGGCAGGTGGGAGTTGAGAAAAAGTACCCTGATTTTCTCACTCTTCTAATGGGCAATTCTATAGTGTAGTCAACATGTCTTTCTAGAGTTTCCCAAAGGGATTGAACCTTGGTTGCCCATAGCAGTCACCTTTTCAACTGCATACCTTTTCTTCGTTTCCTTGTCTTTCCTGTCTCTTTCCCACTCCCAAGCCAGTTGCTATGATTTAAATAAGTTCCCTCCAAAATTCATGTTGAAATTTAATCCCCATTTTGGGGATATTAAGAGGTGCTATTAAGATGTCTTTAGGAAGTGATTAAATCATGAGGACCTTCATGAATGAATTAATGCCCTACAAAAGGGCTGGGGAGAACTAGCATAGGCCCTCTTTGCTCTTCTGCATTTCTCCATGTGAGGACAGAGAAAGAGGGCCCTCACCAGATGCCAAATATGCCAGCACCTTGATCTCAAACTTGGCCTCCAGAAATTTAAGAAATAAATTTGTATTGTTCATAAAATACCTAGCCTCAGGTATTTTGTTATAGTAGCACAAATGAATTAAGACACATTTTTTCCCACAATCACCTCTAAAATAAACTATTTGCATCCAAATCCTCATCTCGGGGTTTGCTTCTAGTGGAATCTAAGCCTAGGTTGTGTTATGCCATTCAGGTGCGTTTAACTGTTAAAAGCAGACAGGCAGAGCAACAGCCCAAAGGCATAAACCAGATTCATCAGCATCCAGGGTTGAGTCATGTGACAACCTTGGCAAATAGATTATAAAATCTTTGACTTGTTAAGTGCAACAGTCTTTAAATTTGTGTTGATCTATAGTTAATACTGACAGAATTAATCTAGTCTGACAATTGGAGAATGAGAGAATGTTAATAAATAAGATAGTCCAGTAGGGGGAATAAATTGCAATAAAGAGCCTGCACAGAAGCATCTCCAGGAGTGGTCACGTGACAACGTCCGTCTACATAGCAAGTAGACTGGCATGGTGGAAAGAGCTCTGGACCAAATGTCAGAAACCTGGATTCCAGTGCTGTTGTTGCCACGAATTCATGGCTCAGCCTTGTTATTTTATCTCTTTTATCTTCAGTTTTTCTTCTGGAAACTTACAGGACTGGATTATTTGATTTCTACAGCCCTTTTGGGCCCCCGGTTTCCATGAATCCATGGAAGCGGATAAAGTGCATAGCACTTCTTTAAAGGTGTGTTCCACAAGTAATTAATAAACAAGCAAACTGTTCACACAGCACTGGCTGTGTGAAGAGGGACTGTTTAATTAGGCACACCAGCTGTTCCGATCTGTCTAGACAGACTTCTCTTTTTCCCCAAGATGGCTTTGGCCACACTTGCTCCGACATTATGACAAGGTGTCCTTTGGCTGCAGATAGCAATTTTGTTGGGTGATAATTCTAATGCCCATAGAGTCAGCTATGGAACTTTCTTTAGTTTTAATGCTGTTTGCCTTTCCAAGTGGAACTGGAGAGATTTACCCAAGAAATAGCTAAGAGAGGCAGTTTGTGCAACAGAAGTCACCAAAAATAGCTTCTAGTTTAGCCTTCGTGCCTACCTGTCCATCATCATTAGTGGGCTCTTTAGTTCCTGCTCCCATTTCCCATCCCTGCCTTTGCGGAATAAAATATTTCAACATCAAAAGGAAACTTCCAAGACATTTAGGTGAACCTCCCACCAAACCAATATAATAAGCCTTCTCAAGATCTCTGACCAAAGATCTTGAAGCAGAGAAAGTGATTCCTTGACACCCAGGTTCCTCAATATCCAGGCTTGAGTCATGGGACAACCTTGGCAAATAGATTGTAAAATGTTTAACTTCCTAAGTGCAACAGGCTTCAAATTTGTGCTGATCTATAGATGATTTGAAACAGAATTTATCTGATCTGAGAATTGGATAGGAAATCTATGAAATAGCTGTTAGTAATTAAAGAGCATTTTCAAAATGTAGCCAGTCAATTAGATAAGCACAACTCATTGGATAAGATTTTTTAAAAACATTACATTTTCACCTTTTATTGCCTTTCTCAAATGTATTCAGGAGAAGAAGATGAAAAGTTGTCAGGAAACATAACTTTATTTTATTATTGTAGTCCTCCAGTTATATTAAGCCATAAAACAACCTTCATTCAGTTACTGAAAGTATCTGGTCAAGACACTACTCAACAGTTCAATCCTTATTCATGCTTAGACTTCTCCTAATTCTCACCCCACATAAACATAGAAAAATTATTTTTAAATAAAATAAGCAATTCAAAAATCATATATTAGAAGGACAACACAGCATGATCAAGAGTGCAATCAAGGTTCATTTAAGAAATGTAAGGTTGATTTAACATTCAAAATCCAATCAATGTAAAGCTTTTCCCCTAAGAGTGGGAATAAGGTAAGTGATATACTTCCACTCTTACAGTCAATTGATTTTTGATGAAATATTCAAAGTAATTTAATGACGAAAGAAAGTTTTTTCAAAAAATTGTGTTGAAACAACTGAATATTCATAAGGAAAAGATTTATATATATTATAAAATATATATCATATATATGTATATATAAAAAATAAACTCTTACTTCACACTACACACACAAAATAGATTATAGACCTAAAAGTAGGAGAGAGATTATAAAGTATAAGAGGATATCTTCATGACTTTGATATAGGCAAGATTTTCTGGGCAGAACCCTGAAAGTATTAGTCAAAAAAGGAAAAGAACTGATAAATCGGACTTGATCAAAATTTAAACTTTTATCCACCAAAAAAAAAAAATAGAAATGACTAGGCAAGGCACACAGTGGGAGAAAAATATTTGCAGAATAAATATGACAAAGGACTGTATCCAGAATATATAAAGAACACCTACAACTCAAAAATAAAAAGTCAAACAAACTACATAAAAATGGCAGTGCGGAGAAAGGGGGAAAGCGAAATACTGGAGCAGACATCTCACAGAGGAAAATATGTGAATGGTTAAAAGCCTGTAACAAAGTGCTCAACATCATTAGTCATCAGGAAAATTCAAATTAAAACCACATGGTGATATCCACTACACACCTACTAAAATGGCTAAAATATTTTAAGCTGACAATAACAAGAGTTGATGAAGATGAAAAGCAACTGGAACTCTCACACATGGTTGGTGGGCATGTAAAATAGTAAAACCACTTTGGAAACTGATTTGACAGGTTCTTAGAAAATTAAACATATACTCTACCCTACAATCCATGAATTCCACTTCTCTGCATTTTCCTAAGGGAAATAAAAACTTAGGTTCTATGTCCACAAAAATATTTTCCCACAACTATTCTGAACTCTTTATTCATAAAAGCCAAAAACTTAAAAAAACTTAAATGTCCCAACAGAAATAGAAATTTCATGATATTCATTGAATAAATAAATTCTGATATATGCATATTATGGAAAACTACATCATAGTAGTAAAAAAGAAATACATTACTGATACATGCAACGATATGAATGAATCTCACATATAGTGTTCTGAGTGAAATAAAAATAATCATGAAAGGGCATATACTATATGATTTCATTTATATGAAGTTCTAGACAAAACTAAACATGTGGTGAAAGAAATCAGAACATTGGCTGGTTTAAGAGAGAAGGATGTGTGGAAGTCAGCTGGAAGTGGCATGAGGAAACTTCCTGAGGTGATGGAATTCTGTATCTTATAGGGAGGTGGATTATATGGATGATTGCATTTATCAAAAGTGATTAAACTGTATACCTAAGATCTTTATATTTCATTGAATGTAAAGTATACGTCAGTGAAATATGGCATCTTATTAATAAAAAAAAATACACCCGGTAATAAAAGTGTTATAACTGAAATGATTGACAGGAGTGACAGTGGCACCAAGAAGGAAGCAGTCAAACCTGGTAGAGAGAGGCCGGAAAGTCTAGAGACAAGAATGAAATCTGGATCTGGAAATAGCAGTAGGAGATTGTACATGGAATGGAGAACGAAACACGAATTGGGGATGTGCATTTGGGACCCAGGAATGTGCTAGCAAGCCTCAAGTTAGTTATCTATGAGAGATAATATAGCCAGTAGTTAACATTTTGCAACCTGCCAAATTGTCTAGGTTGATATTTCAGCTCCACAGCTTACTAGCTATGAGTCTTCGGGAAAGTTTCCTAACATTTCTATGCCTCACTTATCTTCTTTGTAAAACAAGGAAAAATAATATTACTTACTTCAGAAAGTTGTGAGGATCATACACTTTAATACATGAAAATACAGAAAAAAAAATCTGGCTATACTTAACATTCACTAAACATTAGCTGCTATCATTGCTTATGTTTTTCTGAGGGAGAAGGAAAGAATATTGACCATGGGCACCTGAAGGAGAGGTGGGAAGTGGGATGAGAATGGGAAGTCATCTGTTTCTCAATCAAACCTGGGAACGAAATCATAACATCTATATAAAATTCAGCTAGAGCCAGAAGGCTAAGAAGTGGTTTCGGGGATGCTCACTTCAGTAGTACATATGCTAAAACTGGAGTGATCCAGAGAAGAATAGCATGGCCTCTGTGCAAATTTGATCCAGAGAGGAATAGCATGGCCCACTATGCACTATTTCCATGATGATGTGTAAATTTGTGACGTGTTCTATATTAAAAGAGAGAAAGAGAGAGAGAGAGAAAGAGAGAGAAGAAGAAGAAGTGGTTTAGGGAGATTCTCTGAGATCCTAAGGTGCTATTCGAGGGTTCGGATATTGAAGCATGACACTGAGTTGGTGCAAGTTCATTCTTGCCTTGGAGAGTGGCCACCAACAGAGAAGTGCCATGCAGTGGGAGTAAGTAGGGCACCTAGCCTAGTGCAGTCTCATCAACACACTCACAGCAAAACAGTGGTGTGGTGTGTCCGTCATCAGACCCCAAAAAACAGCATGGAGACAAGGATCATGAAGGGGTGTGTTTCTGATCACACATTTCATTATCTATTGTGACTGCTGGAAGTAATTTAGAGGCTCCGTAGTAGGGATCTACGGTTATGAAGGTATGAAGTTGGAACTTTAAGCCAGTGAAATGTGTTTATCAATGTTAATGTGACCTCATTTCTCCACATGAGCTGGTAAATCCTAGAGCTATTCAAGGGAGAGAAGCAGGTTGATGTAAAGTTTGGTGGATTAGCAGATACAGGGGCAAGAGATACAAATATTAATATAGTCCCCAAGAAAGGAAAGAACATGAAACACCATGCACTAATATGTTATACATCCCACCTTTCTCATTAAATCATTTGATAATACTTTCTTTCTTTTTTTTTTTGAGCCGGGGTTTCACTCTTGTCACCCATGCTAGAGGGCAATGGCGTGATCTCAGCTCATTGCAACCTCTGCCTCCTGGGTTCAAGTGATTCGTCTGCCTCAGCCTCCCAAGTAGCTAGGATTACAGGTGTCACCACCATGCCTGGCTAATTTTGTATTTTTAGTAGAGACGGGTTTTCACCATGTTGGCCAGGCTGGTCTCGAACTCCTGACCTCAGGTGATCCACCCACCTTGGCCTCCCAAACTGTTGGGATTACAAGTGTGGGCCACAGCACCTGGCCAATTTCATAATACTTTCACTTGTTCACTCCACATTCACATTTTCAGCGCCTATTATGTTTGTGGCACTAATTATTTGGTTTAGCAGAGAAAGAAATTCTAAAACTGCCTCTAAAGAGAAATGGGTAACACAAAACATTGCAGCTTGAACAACAAGACAAGACAATGGCCAGACCCTGTAATAAACACTTCATGAGCTTCCAGAAAACAGAGATGAAGGAGACCACAGTGGCCTGAAGGATGGGAGAGGATTCCTTGGAGAACCTGAGCTGATGGGACATGAGAATTTAGGTATCATTTGGGTTAATTGAGGAGAGAACAAAGGGCAGAGAAGAAGAAAAGAAACATGATTATTAACCCTGGGGGTTCTTGAATTCTTCCCAATATGTAGGCAACTTTTGATATGTGTGTAGAAGAAGGGCCATAGCTACCAACATATTTCCTATGGGTCCAGGACACAAAAAGATTAATGGCAATTATTTCAAGACATAGATGGGCCCAACAAAGGGAAGAGTACATTTGATAACTCTTAATTGAAGGGTCCCACAAAGGCCTGTTAGGCACTCTGGCTCCTGGAATTTTTTCTGCTCAGATGGCATACAGAAAGAGTAATTAAAATAATATAATGTGTGTATTTATGGGACTCCAGTACCCACCTTGTAGTTAATGAAGGTAGCACTGATCCCCATGGGAGTGGGCGGAGGATCAATTTAATCAGTTTAAATGTTAGCATATCTATCTCATGTGGACTTCGCTCTTACCTCACATGCTTACAACCATTTGAGAGATGTATAATGAAGCAACATAAAGCATAGGCACCAGGGCCAGACAGACCCAAATTCAAATAACCTCTCGAATGTCCTTTGTTATCTGTGGCACTGTGAATAAATTACTCAACCTCTCTGTGGTTTTGGTTTTGCTTTTTAATCTACAAAAATAATAATATCACACATTTACACTGCTTGTTAAATTCAGTATGACACAGACTATAGTTCTAGATTCCATGTCCTAATTAATTAATCTCCATGACACCTGTGAGAGAAGCACTTCTATTGTCTCCATTTTGTCCTTTAAGAATCTCAGTCACAGGAAGTTGTGTCATTTGCAATAGTCACAAGGCTAGCAAATAAGGAAGTCAGATAACAATCCCAGACAATCTGGATCCAGATGTGTGCCCGAGTCGAGGATATGAACAGCACCTTGCACATAGTGGGTTGTAGTGAGGGCCACATCGGCTCATGTTAGCAACATATGGGACACATGGTGGGTGTTGACTTTGTGATGGGGTAGGGGTAGAATGCTTTGTCCCATTTCTGATCTTTCCTTCCACTTGAAAGGAGACTTGTCAACAGAATATTCTTGGTCTCACTGTCCCCTTACACACTACCTTAGCAGAAGAGGAAAGATATGTCTAATATGTCTAATGTGTCAATTTTACAGAAATAAAGGGAGGCATGCTTATACCGGTTCTTACTTCTCCCTCCTTCTTGGGAGAAAGTTGCCCTTAGGGTATACTTGTTTTCCTTGGTCACTCTTCACCCCAAGATTTGAAATCCTATGCATTGTCTATGACTTGGGCAGTCTTTCTGTCTCACTAAGCCATGTCCTCCACTCTTGTCACTGTCAATCAAAAGGTAGTGTTCTGGCTCTATTTGCTTTACTCTTTTGTCTTATTTCTCAGCCCAGACAAGGAAGCCAGAGCAGAGGAACAAGGCAGTATTTATGGCTCTTTCCCATCTCTTAAACCCTAACACTCCCCTCCAGATTTTGTTTCTCTATAATAGGCTGCAGGATTTCTTCTGGACTGTAAGCCTCAGCCTAAGCTACTTTCAAGAACTTGAAAGATGGCTTCCAGATAAATGAAGGTAACCTTAATGGAAGGTAACTTATTTGAAGGCAATGTCTTGTTCTTCTGAGTCGTTTCTTTCAACTTTGTTATCCAATTAGCTATAACATTCCTCCAGGAATCAGCTAAGCCAGGATTGCCATTGCCTCGCCTGCCCTGGCCAACATACACACTTAATTCTAGAGAGAGGAAGCTATCCAAGGCACCATGAGTTTGAAAAATCTGGTACCAAGATGATTCAAGTAGAGAGATATTTTAAACAGACTCAGCCTCATAGGGCCTTTCCTGAGCTCAGGCCATTCAAACCTGAGCAAGGCGTTTTCTCATGAGCATTGCCAGCTGAGTTTCACAAAAAGTTATTACACTCTGTTCTTCCCACCATGAGAACATATTCAGTTATTGGATTGGAAATAAAGACTCCAGCTCCCTCAGCTGAGCTGCTGATGTTTGAATGTGTTCTCCAAACTCATTCTTCTTGCCCTGCCAAGTTAAATGAAATATTTCCACCACTGTCCCTGAGGGCATTATAGCAAATAAGGTGAGTCAGACTGACATGTATAAATAAATTGTTTCTCTTTTTTCCCATCATTCCTTCCTCCACATATAACTTTTTTTAATGGAGCTGAATTTGAAAATGAGAAAAGTACCGCAACACAACCAGATGAATTCTGTTCATAGAAAGATTCCAACTGGGAAAATGAATCTTATCTCTACTCATCATGGTCCCTGGATATAACTTCATTTATTCATGCATTAGTTTATTCATTTCACAAATATTTACTAGTATCACTGTGTGACAATTAGCATATTTAGTGCCAGGAACACAAAATCTTTTCTCCCAAACAGTGTATTACATAGAGGGGTTAACAAGTAAATCAGGGAGCATACAATATGATAAGTTATAATATGTACTACATTGAACTTATAGAAATTATAGATCAGAAGGAACACATTGTGTTTTGGAAATGCAAAGGTGTTGCCTCAGACTCAAGCTAATAAGGAAATGATTTACAGGTAAAAAGACCTTTGAATTAAACATTAAGAATGTCCCCAAATGCCAGCCAGAGAAGAAGAAAATGAGGTTTCCATTTGAGAGAAGAAAATGTGCAAAAGCAAAGGCTTTGAATTGCAAGGCATTAAATTACATTTTAGGAACTAAGAAAATTTCATGGTGAGAGAGAATTATACACAATAGCTTAGCCTCTGCCAGACAATTGACATTATTTAGTATGCAAAATGCTATACAAAGTAGTTTGGAAAGATACAGAAGGAGAGATTTAAAGACAGGGAAAGGGTTGTAGGCTGGCAGGAATCAAATAATAAAAAATGAAATAATTGAGATGCCAACAAAAATCTTTTACAAATTCTCCCTTTGCAAAGGCAATTCCACTTGTACTTTGATCTTTGACCTGGACCCATACAATTAATTCCACATCATATTTCTGCATATTGCTCTCCAAGGAGAATCAAGTTTACACTTCCCCCCAATCCAAACCATAACAGTACTTAATTAGGTGACAATTTATGTAGTACTTAGCATGAACTTTTGGCACTTGCTGGAGAAGGCTGTACAAGTGTACACGTGTTATCACCTGACTACATCAAGAAACGGGGCCTGGGCATTGGCGAGGTTTCTTGGGCTTTACAAGGTATCAAATGACTTTTATAACCCTGTAGTACCTGGCTTTCTAGTAGGCAGGACTGTCTCTAGTGTGTATTAATATACTAAATATTATGCCCACATGCACTTAAAACACTGATTTTTGAGCACTCCAAAACAACAAGGAGCCTAGAAAATCAGAGAAACAGATGTTGGATGAATAGTAGGCCTTCTCAGAGTCCATCATTTAACTTAAGGGAAATGGCACAACAGCGGAAGGGAATCATTCAAACCCACTCAGTGAAAAATAAACAGAGTGTTCCCCAATGGCAGACATGGTCTGTGGTGATAACGAGGCTCTGGACACCTGGCTGAGACCCTCAAGCCCCAGCCTCATCAATAACACTGACCCAGAAATGGTTCTTTTCCAGGTACCCCATGGGGGCTGAGAAGACATGGCCTCAAAACTTTGGAGATGCTCATTTAAATAATTATAATGAACAGCAGATGCCTGGACTGTGGTGAGTGTGGTGAGTGTACAAGCTTGGATATAAGCCCTGGCAAGATAGAACCAAGAAGACTGTCTACCCATTTTCCCTGATTCTCATCATGCTCGTAAACAAAAGAAGAAGGAAACACAAAAGGACATTATTTTGGATCTTGGATATGGCATCGCATCTGTCCTCTAAGGACAATTGCAGAATTGGTCCTCTTTTGTTGCTTCCTGGAAGACACAGCAAGATGGAGAGAAAACAGAACAAGGCTTGTGTCCCATTCTGAGCACCACAAGTTCACTCCAGGTCCATGGTCATAGGCTGACTAGGCAAAGTAGCTCCTATCAAGGATGTCTCATGCCATAAGTTAATCTGATCCCCCATACACCACTGACAGCTGTTTGCAGCAATTGCAGATCCCTTACTTTAGCTTGGTCTTTTTCTGAGCAAGGTCCACCTGGCATGTCACACTCAGACCTATCTTCTAGCCAGGGCCCTACTCTAGCTTCATAAATTGGGCCCTTGACTTGATAACACACAGTTTTGACCGTTCGCAGGCCCTGAGAACTGTAGCTTAAGCACTGTTCCTGGCTACTCCCAGCCCCTGGCTGCCTTGGTGAGACCATCACACCCTCCCACTGGCTCCTCGGCTATCTGGCTCCCGGCTTGGGCAGATCCTCCCAAAGCAGGGCTGTGGTCAAAAGGAAAGCAAATAGAGGCTTAAAAATTCAGCTATGAGATTAAAATTAAAAATGAACCCTGTTTCCTCTTCCTGGGATATGTCAGTCAAAAATAGAAGTAGTATATCCCTATAGAACCTCTTGACAAATCCAGTGTGTGTCTAAAACAGTGTTGAAATCAAATCTATAACAGTTTCACAAACCACGTGCTTGTTCTTTCTCCAAGAATTCTTTTAGCATCAAAAATAAGTAAAACATTGTTCTGGGTGTTGTGGAAAAAAACAAAGATGAATAATGTGTTCTGCCTTTATGGAATTTACAATCCAACTCAGGAAATAAGATACAAGTGCTGTAGTTCCAGCAAAGTAGAAGCATAGAAAAATAGGATCTTTAGGACGGGAGATTTCTGCAGGATCATCCAGGGTTATAGCCTAAACTTGAGCACCTCCAGTGATAGATAACTCACAACGGTTAACATTAAACCATTTCATCTTTGAAGTACTCTGGATGGTGGACTTTTTTTTACACGAAATTTAACTACGTGTTTGTGGCTTCTGCCAATATGTCCACACTGGAGTCTCACAGGAAAATCCAAGTATTCTCTGCTAGCCATGACAGCCATCAATTTTTTAAGTGAAATCAAGTTGATTAAGAAAGTAAAGTAATAAAAGAATAAAAGAATGGCTACCCCAGAGGCAGAGCAGCTAATTATTTAAAACTATTCATTACTCTCCCCAACCCTGCAAAATTCTTCTCTTTTTCAGATCTCTTTTTCTAATTCTTTGAATCATATTTTATGTTACATAGTTGATTACAATTATAATTACATGACAATTATAATCACTCTGTTTATATTTGTCTTAATTCTGTTCAGTTTGCCTAACCTTTTGAGAATATGAAAATCATTACAATGTCCATATACGAGACATGGTTTAATTAGAGTAGGGAAAAAAATGAGCTTTCTCCTCCCTTTTCTTAAGTACTATATTAATATAGCATTCACTTCTTCTTTTTTTTTTTATTTTTTTGAGGCAGAGTCTTGCTCTGTGTCCCAGGCTGGAGTGCAGTGGCACAATCTCTGCTCACTACAAGCTCTGCCTCCTGGTTTCAAGCAATTCTCCTGCCTCAGCCTCCTGAGTAGCTGGGACCACAGGCACATGCCACCACACACGGCTAATTTTTGTATTTTTAGTAGAGACAGGGTTTCACCATGTCGGCCAGGCTGGTCTCAAACTCCTGACCTCAAGTGATCCACCCACTTCGGCCTCCCAATGTGCTGGGATTACAGGCGTGAGCCAATGCGCCCGGCCAGCATTCACTTCTTGAGAGGAACATCATACCTACTGAGCTTACTGCTAATTTAAATTTGTCAGAGTGCCAATTTGATAACATAATCCATCTATCTATATGGTTGGTTTGGGGAAGCCAGGCATTTGCCACAGAATAATCTATCCTGAGTCCACTGCTCCAGCTTGTTTTAAAAATAACGGATCCCTGTTCTGTCATCCAGCCTTCCAACTTATACTATATCCTCCAGAGGTCTTGTGAACCTGTGTGTTTACAGATTTTCTGCTGCTGAAGTCAGTGTTAGTGAGGACAAGAAAAAGGACAAAGCTCTAGGGCACACTGCAAGAAAATTCCCAGAATCAGCCTCCTGCATCTCCTCCATTCTCATCCAAGCTATCATCATCTGCAATAGGATTAATGCAAAAGCAAAGCTTAACCTTTCTGCCTTCCTTCACCCTTGCTTCCCTCATAGTCTATGCTCAACCCTGCAGCCAAAGAGATTCTGTTAAAGCCAAGTCAGATCATCCATGCTTCCTCTAACAACTCTCTCAATGCCTTCTATCACGGTCTTGATAAAAGCCAAAGCTCTTTCAGTGGTTGACAAAGTGCACCTTTCAACTCTCTCCCTTCTCTCACCTAACCTCTTTCCACCCCCACCATCAAGCCCTCT
This sequence comes from Homo sapiens, assembly GCF_000001405.40. Taxonomy (NCBI): domain Eukaryota; kingdom Metazoa; phylum Chordata; class Mammalia; order Primates; family Hominidae; genus Homo; species Homo sapiens. The sequence goes on from NC_000004.12 coordinate 13,059,003, forward strand.
GTTCAGCCAAACTGGAATCTCTGCTGATCCCCAGACACACTAGGCAAGCTCTGGCCTCAGAGCCTTTGCACTTGCACTTACTTATGGCTCTTCCACCAGAAAGACCATGGCTCACTCCCTCACCACTTCAAGTCATTTCAATATTACCGGCTCATTGTGGGCTCTCCTGACTAACACATGTAAAGCCACGCCCTCCTGACTCTCCTGTCACTGTGCCTTGCTTTCTTTCTCTCTCTCCTGCTGACAAACGATCAGATGTATATCTTTCACGGTTATTGACTGGCTGGGCTAGAATGTGGAATGTTGAACTGTAGTGTTCACTGGTGCATCTCTAGAGCCCTGTAGCATCTGACATAATGCAGCCATTCAATAAGTGTTTCTTTTCCTGTGCCTGGCTCATTTCACTTAGTATAATGTCCTCCAGATTCAACCATGTTGTCACAAATTAAAGGATTTTCCACTTTTTTAAGGCTTCCATTGTGTAAGTAATAATACTCTATTGTGTATATATGCATTTTCTTTATCCCATTATTGGTTGATGGACATTTAGGTTGCTTCCATATCGTAGCTATTGTGAATAATGCTACAATGAATACAGAAGTGCAGGTTTATCTTTGCAACACTGATTTTAATTCCTTTGGACATGTATCCAGTAGTAGGATCACTGGATCATATAATTTTACTTTTAGTTTTCTGAAGAACTTCTCTACTCTTTTCCATACTGGCTACATTAATTTACATTCTCACCAATAGTACACAAGTGTTCCCTTTTCTCCATAACCTTGCCACTTGTTATCATTTTTCCTTTTGATAATAGCGTTTCCAGCTGGTGTGAAGAGATATTTCATAGTAGCTTTAATGTGAATTTCCTTGATGACTAGTAATGATGAGCCCTTTTTAGTGTATCTATCAGCCATTTGTATGTCTTGAGTAGCATCTTTCAGGTCTTTTGTCTGCTTTTTAATTGGGTTGTTTTATTGCTATTGAGTTGTTTGAGTTTTTTATGTATTTTGGATATTAGCCCCCTACCAGATGTGTGGTTTGAAAATATTTTCTCCCAGTCCATGGGCTGTCTCTTCACTCTATTTTTTCCTATGCCTAGCAAAAGCTTTTTACTTTGATGTAATCTTGTTTATTTTTGCTTTTGTTGCCTGTGATTTTGGGGTCATATCAAAAAGTCTTTGACCAGACCAAGGTTGTGGAACATTTCCTCTAAGTTTTCTTCTTATAGTTTACAATTCTGAGTCTTCCATTTAAGTCTTTAATCCATTTTGAGTTGATTCTTGTATGTGGTGTGAAATAAGGGTCCTATTTCATTTTTCTGCAGAACATCCAGTTTTCCCACCACCCTTTATTGAAGAGACTATCCTTTCTCCATTATATGTTCTTGACACTTTAGTCAAAAATTAATTGACCATAAATGTGTGGGTTTATTTCTCGGCTCTGTATTCCGTTGCATTGGTCAATGTGTCTGTTTTTATGCCCACACCGTGCTGTTTTGATTACTATGGCTTTTAGTAGGTTTTGAAGTAAGGGAGTGTGATGCTTCCAGCTTTCTTCTTTCTGCTCAAGGTTCCTTTGGCTATTCGGGGTCTTTTGTGGTAACATATGAATACCAAAGTTTTTTTTTTTGGTTTGGTTTTTTTGTTTGTTTGTTTAGTTCCATGAAACATGACATTGGCATTCTAACAGGGACTGTAGATCATGTTGGGTAGTATGAACATTTTAACATAATTAATTCTTCCAATCTATGATAATGGGATACTTTTCCATTTATTTGTGTCATCTAAAATTTCTTTTATCCATGTTTTACAGTTTTCAGTAAACGGATTTTTCATTTCCTTGGTTAAATTTACTCCTAAGAATTTTATTTTAATTTTTGATGCTATTGTGAATGAGGCTTATTTCTTAATTTCTTTTTTCAGAGAGTTAATTATTAGTGTAAAGAAATGCTGTTGATTTTTGCATGTTTATTTCGTACCCTACAAATTGAATTTGTATATCACTGACAACAGTTATTGGCTGGAATCTTTAGGGTTTTCTATGTAGAAGAACACATCATAACAAACAGAAAATTTTACTTTTTCTTATTTTATTTGGATACCTTTACTTTCTTTTTTTATTTAATTGCTGTTTCTAGAACTGCTACTATGATGTTGAATAGAAGAGGCGAGAGTGAGTGTTCTTATCGGGTGTCTAATCTTAGAGAAAAAGCTTTCAGCATTTCATTGTTGAGTGTAATGTTAGCAGTGAACTTTTCATAGGTGGCCTTTATTGTATTAAGGTACAGACTTTCTGTGGCTAATTTGTTGGGAGTTTTTATCATGAAAAGATGTTAAATTTTGTCAAATGTTTCTTCTGCATCTATTGAGATGACCATATGATTTTTGTTCCTTCTGTTAATATGGTATCACATTGCTTTCTGTATGCTGAACCATCCTTGCATCACTGGGATATATCTCACATGATCATGGTGTATTATCTTTTTGACGTGCTGTTGGATTACATTTGTTAGTATAGAACTTCTGCATCTACATTCTTCAGGGATATTGTTCGGGATAATTTTCTCTTATTCTAGTGTCTGTGGCTGGCTTATCAGGGTAATCAGTTGTCAGGGTAATGCTGCCTTGTAAAATTAACTTGGAAGTATTTTTTCTTCTTCAATTTTTTGGAAGAGTTCGACAAGAATTTTTTGGAAGAGTTCAACAAGAATAATATATATACTTGTATATACATATATACCTGTGTATACATATATACACTTGTATATACATACACACCTGTGTATACATATATACACCTGTATATACATACACACCTGTGTATACATACACACACCTGTATATACATACACACCTGTGTATACATACACACCTGTGTATACATACACACCTCTGTATACATACATACCTGTGTATACATACACACCTGTGTATACATACATACCTGTGTATACATACACACCTGTGTATACATACATACCTGTGTATACATACACACCCGTATGTATACATACATACTTGTGTATACATACACACCCGTATGTATACATACATACCTGTGTATACATACACACCCGTATGTATACATACATACTTGTGTATACATACACACCCGTATGTATACATACATACTTGTGTATACATACACACCCGTATGTATACATACATACTTGTGTATACATACACACCCGTATGTATACATACATACTTGTGTATACATACACACCCGTATGTATACATACTTGTATATATACACACCCGTATGTATACATACTTGTATATATACACACCCGTATGTATACATACTTGTATATATATACACGTATGTATACATACTTGTATATATACACACCCGTATGTATACATACTTGTATATATACACACCCGTATGTATACATACTTGTATATATACACACCCGTATGTATACATACTTGTATATATATACACCTGTATGTATACATACTTGTATATATATACATACTTGTATATATATACACACGTATATATATATACTTGTAGATATATACACGTATATATATATACGTGTGTATATATATATACTTGTAGATATATATACTTGTAGATATATATATACTTGTGTGTATATATACAAGTATATCTTGTATATACTTGTATATATGTATATATACACAATTCCACTGTGAAGCCATCTAGTCCTGGGCTTTTCTTTGATAAGATATTTTTTATTACTGATTCAATCTCCTTACCCATTATTGGTCTGTTCGAAATTTCTATTTTTTCTTGATTCTGTCTTGATTGGTTGTATGTTTCCATAAATTATTTTTGCTATGTAATCCAATTTTTAGCACATAATTGTTCATATTAGTCTCTCATGATTCTTTGTATTTCTATGGTATCAGTTGCAATCCTCTTTTGTTTTACATTTTATTTATTTGAGTCTTCTCTCACTTTCTTCATTAGTCTAGCTAAAATTTCATCAATTTTGTATTAAAAAAAAACTTAGTTTCATTAATCATTTCTATTTTCTTCCTAGTATCTATTTTATTTATTTCTGCTCTGACCTTTATTATTTCCTTCTTTCTGCTAATTTTGGGTTTAGTTTGTTCTTTTTATAGTTCCTTGAGGTATAATAACATTAAGTTGATTATCTGAGATCTCCTTTTTTGATGTAGGTATATGTTGCTATCAACTTTCCTTTTAGAATTGCTTAAAAGGCAATTTTTGAAAACTGGTTTTGCTTCATCTCAATGTTGTGTTTGCATTTTCATTTTTCTCAAGGTATTATATCTTTAAAATTTCTCTTTTATTATTTGATCCATTGTTCAGAAGCATATTATTTAATATCCATATATTTGTGAATTTTCTGAAATTTCTCCTTTTATTAACTTCTAGTTTCATTCCATTTTGATCAGAGAATACACTTAATATGCTTTCATTCTTCTTAAATGGTTTAAAACTTGTTTTGTGGCCTAACATATTATCTATCCTGAAAAATGTTCCTTGTGTGCTTAAGAAGAATATACATTCTGCTGCTGTTGGATGGAATGTTCTATATATGTCTATTAGAGTCACATGGCCAAAAATGTTGTTCAAGTCCACTGTCTCTCTACTGATTTTCTGTCTGGATAATCTGCCCATTGTTGAATGTATGTGGAATATTAAAGTTCCCCTACTGTTATTGCATTACAGTCTATCTCACCATTTAGAACTATTAATAATTGCTTTATGTATTTATATGCTCCAATACTGAGAAGATATATTTAATAATGTGTATCCTTTCAATGAACTGTTTCCTTTATCATAATATAATAATCTTCCTTGTCATTTTTTACATTTTGAGCTAAGACTATTTTGTCTGATGGAAGTTTAGCCAGTCCTGCTCTCTTTGGTTACCACTTGCCTGAAATAACTTTTTCCAACAATTTAATCTCAGTCTGTGTTTCCAAGGCTAAAGTAAGGCTCTGCTAGGGACCGTAGAGTTGGATCTTGTTTTTAACTTTTTTTAAAAAAATTCATCCAGCCACTCTGCTTCTTTTGATTGGAAAATTAAATCCATTTATACTTAAAGTAATGATTGATACATAAGACATACTGCCAGCATTTTGTTAATTTTTAATGACTGTTTTGTAGTTATTTTGTTCCTGTCTTCTAATTTTATTGTCTTTCTTTGTGACTTGTTGCATTATTTTGCAGTGGTATGCTTTGATTTCTTCTTTACTTTTTGTGTATCTACTAAAAGTTTTTTTCTTTGTTGTTACCACGAGGCTATACATAAGCTGATAGTCCCTTAACTTCAGTTGCATATAAAGACTCTAAACTTTTACTTCTCTCTGCCCCTATATTTTATGTTATTGATAGTATGCTTTACATCTGTTTTTGTTGTATATTCATTAACCAGTTTTTTATAGCTATACTTGTTTTAACATGTTTGTCTTTTAACTCATCAGCTTGACTTAAGAATGATTTACATACCATCTTTAGATTATTATTCAGAATTTGACTATAGATTTACCTTTAGCAATGAGTTTTATAGTTTTATATGTTTTTATACTGTTACTTGTCATCCTTTTGTTTCATCCTTCAGCATTTCTTGTAAGACTGGTACCATGGTAATGAACTCCCTTAGTCTTGGAATGTCTTTAACTCTTCATTTCTATAGGGCAGCTTTATTGAATAAACAAAATTTAATAAATAAATAAATAATAAAATAAAATTTATTTAGTTAGCAATTTTTTTAGCATTCTACATGTGTCATCCCACTCCTTCCTGGCTTGCAAGATTTCTGTTGAGGAGTCCACTGACAGCCCTATAAGAGTTCCTTTATATGTGATGAGTTTCTTTCCTTCTGCTTCCTTTGAGATTATCTCTTTGTCTTTGACTTTTGAAAATTTGATTTTAAGGTCTCTCGGAGTATTCTTTTTTGAATTTTGTTGCTTGGAATCCTGAGTCTGAATTTTCACATCCCTCCCAAGATTCAAGTTTCAGACAATATTTTTTTGAATAAGCTTTCTTCCCCCCTTCTCTTTCAGGTACTCCTGTAATACAGATATTCATATGTTTTCTGATGTCTCTTATGCTTTTTTTACTCTTTTTCAATCTTGTTTTCTTTTCGTCCCTCTAACTGGGTAATCTCAAATAACTTGTCTTCAAGTTCACTAATTATTTCTTCTCCATGATCAAGTCGGCTGTTGAAATTTTTAAATTTTTCAGTTCTGTCATGGTATTCTTCAGCTCTAAGATTTCTGTTTGGTTTGTTTTTATCGTTCCTATTTCCTTATTAAACTTCTCATTTTGTTAATGCATTGTGTTTCTGAGTTTATTTAGTTCTCTACCTGTATTTTCTTGCATCTTACTGAACTTCATTAAGATGATTATTTTGAATTTTTTGTAGGCAATTAGTATCTCTTCATTTCTTCTTTCGAGTTGACAACTGGGGCTTTATAAGGTCCATCTGGTGATGTCATGTTTGCTTGATTCTTAGCTATCCACATAGTCCTGCACTGGTGTTCATGAATTTGAAGAAGCAAACCCCTCTTTTAGTCATTACAGACTGGTTTCAGCAAGGTGAAGTATTTTCCTGTTAGGTCTCTGGAATAACGGGATTGCCTCTGGAATTGCAGTTGAATGGGGTTGGATCCACATCATATGGTTGATGCTTTGTCTGAAGTGAAGGCCACATTTGTTTGGCCTATGTCAGGGGAACTGGTGGGTATGGGGCCTATCTGGGACCTAGGAGGACTTGACTATCTCCAGGATTTTGGTCTGTGAGGCTGTGATGAGTGTCTGCTTCAGAGTTCACAGGCAGTAGGCCTGTTACCAAGTGCAACGACAGATGTAGCTTCCTCAGGGTCTCTGAGGGTGTCCCTGTTGGATCACAGAATGGATCCCTGGGCTGCCTATACTGCCTAGTCTGTGGCTAAGATGGACTGGAACTGAGATACAAGGTTGTTTCAGGTCCACAGCTGAGACCAAGATCTTCAAGCTTGACTCCTGGATCACAAACATTCATGTCTCCCAGTAAGTTCCTGATTGAGGAAGACCGCTCTCAGACTGTTTCAGAAGGGCCACAGCCAATTTATAGGGCTCTTTTAAGATCCACAGTGGAACTGAGATCAGGGCATCAGCCTGCAGGATATGCCTCTTTCCAGACCTGCAGGCAGGCAGAACAGCTCTCTGTCCATCACTGAGACGGGGTGAGAGCAAGCTCCAGAGCCATTTAAGGATACACTGAGGTAAAGAGTCTTGCAAGCCTGCCATAGAGACTCATGGGTGCATCTTCCAGTGGGACCTAAGCTTGGCAGAAATGGTTCCCAGACCACAGATAGAAGGGACTGAAACTGAGATTGAGGGCTAATTGTGAACCTGCTATGGGATGGATACTGGCAAGCCCAACTGTGGTACTAGCAGACAAGACTCCCAGTAGTTTCCTGTGTTTGCAGGACTGTTCATAGACCACAGCTAAATAGGAGTGGAGGTGAGATTCAGAACCCCTTCAGGAACTTCTATGGTATGGAGGCCAGCAAGCCTGTATAAATGCATTTCCCCAGAGTTGTCTGCACAGTGTTGGTAACTCTGGGTCTGCGGCAGAGAAACAGGGACCCTTCAGGATCTACTGTGGGATGGAAGCTACAAGCCTATCATATTGCCCAGCAGTTCCCCATGTCATTGGGATTGCTCACAGGCTGCACCAAAGAGGGTCTGAAGTTAAGCTTCAGAACCCCTTTAGGAGCTAATGTGAGATGGAAGCTGGCTAGGCTGTCATGGTGGCACAGATGAGGAGTTTTGCAACAGTTCTCTGCATGAATGGGATAACTCCCAGGCTAGAAACAAGACAGAGCCCCTCTAGAATCTACTATGGGACAGAAGCCAGCATATCTGTTCTGGTGGGACAAATAGACAAGTCTTTCTCTGGATCCTTGTGCAAGTCATACTAAGTTGGGACTACAGCTGATTGGGCTGGAGTTGAATTACAGTATAACTTTAGTTTCCACTACCAAGATCAATGTCAGCAGGCAAATGAGTCTGTCTGCCAAACACTCATGTGCAGTGGTAGCAGCAGCAGCAGCTTTCCTTACAGAAGTAGCAGAGTCCAACAGTAACTGAGCAGTAAACTGTGTGCTCAGCTATATGTTTTATTTTTAATTAGATGTGTATTTATTTAACAAGCAATATGCCAAGCAACATTCTAATCACTTTACTAATTACTGTCATTCAATACTGATAAAAATCCTAAGAGGAAGGTATTGTGTAAATAAAAAAAAAAAACTGTGACACAGAGAGGTTAAGTAATTTACCCAAGGTCACACAGCTAGAAAGTGGTAGAGATGATCTTAGGAAGTGAACTCCAGACCCCATGCTTTCTTGAGAGCACTGCTTTATGCTTTTATTATATCCTCACCATCAATCGGGGGTAGGCATTTTTTGTTGTGGTTCTTATCTCATTTTATAAATGAGCAAATAGGTTCAAAGAGCAGTGCATTCACCAGCATCTCATGACTAATTTATATCAGAGCCCAGCTACAAGTCCCAACCTGCAGACTCCAGACCCCATGCCCTTACCGTGTCCCTCCAGCTGAGTTGTGGTCTTGGGAGTTTATAATTAAATCTCAGAACCTCATGTGTGTCTAAATCTACTTCCAAAAAGCTTTGTTTACTGAGAAGACAGTTTCAGTTTACAAAAAATCAAGGAATCAACAAATGGCTATTCATCACTTACTGTGCAGAAAACATAAGGGAGAAGAATATCAGGCCATATAATAAACTATTCCTAACTCAAAGATCTTACACCCAGCTGAAAGCAAGATACACTGTCAAACAGTAAAACAAGTACAGTAGTATGGGGCAGTAGGTAATAGATGGTGAGAAATTATAGAAACTTCACCGAGGGCTCCAGGAAGGGAAAAGGGTGAAGACATATAGTCATGGTAAGTGGGAAGGATTTTGACAGTTGGGGAGGAGACTGTGGAGTTACCTAGGCTCTGATTCCAGGGTAAAAGCAGGAAAGTCCAGGTCTGACTAAAGTGGTGGGACACCAGAAGTTAGATGGGTGAGGGTCAGTGTGCAGGAGCCAAAATGTTAACGATTGGCACTCTGCTCTGTGATAAGTAGCTCAGCCTATTAAGAAGATAGAGCCTTAATTCAATGGGTCTTGGGGTAGATACCAGTGTAGGGTCACCAATATTGTCTATTGCCCCTTTGAAACACTGGCTGGACAGAGAATTTCTACAGCATCAGTCATTGTGGCTTCTTTGTGAGTCACCTGTACATAGACCTTAAGGAACAAGAGAGAAACAGAAGCAAACACAGGAGGACAGTCATCAGGGAAAGAAGAGTGAGCAAAGAGAAAATAAGAGCTTATAGCTGAGACAAAGCCCAGGCTATATTCTGTTCATGATCAACCCAACCAAAATTAACCTTAAAAAGAAGTTTGCTCTGTAAATGCAAGTTAACATTATTGAATTGCTCCATTACCATCTGGACTGTTTTCATTTTTAAGCACATGGGTGGTTGCCTCCACATTGAGGAACCATTCACAGCCAGGGAAAACACCCCCAAAATGATTTTCCAGGGCATCTGTGCCCTTGTAGAGGCTGCCACGATGTTTTAATTGAGTTGGATTAAATTTCGGTGGAAGGGGTAGAAGTCGTGCATTTTCAAGAACTAATAATTCTGTAATTTTGCAGGTAGAGAGTACCTTTTTGGCACAAATAGACAGAGAAGGCATCTGCATTTCTCTACAGCAGGCATTCTCATTTGGAACAAGACCAGGACTATCAAAAGTGCATGCTGTTTCTTTCTGACTCTGTTGTGCCTAGAGAGGGTCTCCCTCGATGCAAGGGGCAATAAGGAGGTTTGCCAGATGGGAGACCTGCAGAAGGAGCCAGGAGATGGTGGTCCAGCCTCACTGAGTCCTGGGTGTCCTGGTCAGCTTCTCGGTGACATCTACACCCTTCACTCCTGAGTTATTTCTAAGGAATCCACCCATTCTTTCTGGAGCTGGCCACATAGAGAGAGGATTAATGCAAAAGGAGCAAAGAACAATGGCATTTCACCAGGCACACGAAGGTTTGCATAAATCTTTGCCAAGAGACCCAACGCAGCATCATACGGCAAAAAGAGAGCTGCTGGGCTGGAAGAGATGAGAATTCTGATTTGGTGTCTTCCTTCTTAGCCCAGTGGGACCTAAGTAAGTCATTGCACCTTTTTGCACCTTGGTTTCTTCCTCTGTATGATGTCTAAAGGTCTTCACAGCTCCAATGTTCTGTGATCCCATGACTCTTTTGTGAGGCATTCAAGTCTTCACAATAACAAAATCCACCTGCCCTTCCCTCCAGCATCATGTCCTCAGCTCCCCACACACAACCTCTTATTTGTTTCATTTGTTGTCTCCTTTTGCCACAAAGTCCCACTGGGCCTTCTAACCTTGGCACAAATTCCCTTTTGCCTCTGTAAAGCCAACTTTGCCTTCAAGTTTCCCACTGGCAGCAGGGACCCACTTGGAAGGGAAAAGATTCCCCATGCTAAGAACTCCCAAATGTTCCCCTGTGCCACGTTGCACCCCAGTGCCTCAGAACAGACTTAGCACATTGTACTGATGAATTCATACGGAGACCCACTTCTAGGGCAGTGTTTCTTACACATGTTGGGTCCTGGACAGGTTTGATAATCTAATGAAACAGGGACCCAAGTTGAGCCAATTAGAGTTAGTTTTAGGGGAATGATATAGGTGACGGGGAAGGGAGAGCTATATTACTTTCCCTAGGATCATTACGAGTTGAAATGTTATAAGCTTGGAGCTATTAAAAATGATCTTTGCTGTCATGAGGGAAAGAGCGGCTCAAAGCAGAAAGCCAACACAGAACAAAGCAGAGTTACAAAATGGACAACAATGGAGTCTTCCAGTCTATTTGCAACCCTCAATGTAGCCATGATTTCCCATTTTCATGAGTCTACACTTTCCTGTTAGTATCAGCAACAGCAGCATTGTTACTATGACTACTATTTTCTTTTTTCCTCTTCGTGTGTGTGTGTGAGATGGAGTCTCGCTCTTGCTGCCCGGGCTGGAGTGCAATGGCACAGTCTTGGCTCACTGCAACCTCCGCCTCCGGGGTTCAAGCAATTCTCCTGCCTCAGCCCACCAAGTACCTGGGATTACAGGTGCCTGCCACCACACCTGGCTAATTTTTGTATTTTTCATAGAGACAGGGTTTCATCATGTTGGCCAGGCTGGTCTTGAACTCCTAACCTCAGGTGATCTGCCCGCCTCAGCCTCTCAAAGTACTGGGATTACAGGCATGAGCCACCACACCTGGCCTATAACTACTATCTTTTTAAGCCAATTTGAGTGGTGTCCATTGCTTGCAGCAAAGAGTCCTGCCTAATATAAATAACCCCACACACACAGTTGCAGGGAACTCTCGTTTGGATGGGCTAAGGTCCTAGCAGGGTAGCTGTAAAGAAACTAAACAAGGAAAGACAGGCATAAGTCTGGCTTGCAAAAATGACTCCACCAGCAGGGAAAAAGAAGGGCTGTGATTCTGAGGTGCCAGTGCTCAGACTCCTGCTCTGCCATAGCAGGTAGACAGGAAAGGAGACTGGGCAGAGAGGAGCCCAGCACCCATGGTTGAGTCTAAATACATAACCCCATAGCAAAATCTACTGTCACTCATGGACAGGCACTGGACTGCAGGCTTTCCATGCATCATCTTGTTTAATCATTGCCATAAAACTTTAAAATGTGTTACATATACTTCACAGTAAAAGAAAGAGAAGTTCAGGGAGGCTGAGAGAAAAAGTTGTGGCATCAGGATTGATGCCCTGTTATATTGGAATGCAGAGCCCATACACTTCACTTTCCTCAAGCCTCAGGGCCTGGGAGAGGAGCAGAAGTTGGAGGTGTTTGATCAGAAGCTGAAGCAGGACTGGATCTTCAGTGAGGTCCATCAGCAGACTCAGCTGTGAAGAGCGCTGCACAGAGAAAAGAGCAAGTACACAGCTAGCAGGTGGTCATCTATTCAGTGCTGTGTCCCTCCAAACCACTCTTTGCAGACTCCAGGCCAAGCTCAGACATGACACAGCACATCAGTGCTGCCCTCAGAAAGCTTATAACCTCGTCTATTTCCCCTTGAAGTCTAAACAATCTTGTTGTAGCTTTTCATTTGTTGTCTTCAATAATTTCTTACATTGTACAGTGTGTCTGGTACAGAGGAGAATTTATTACTTGCTCTGCCACTGACTCTGTGATTCTACATTTTTCTCACTACCTCAACAAATTGTGAATACCTGAAGATCTGGAATCCCCGGCCAGGAATGCCTTGGTATTCCCCATGGGGAACTGCAGTGCTTGGGAGGCAGTCAATGAATATTTGTTGGAAGGGTAAACAACAAATACTAAGGTTCTAGGGAATTTTTTTTCACTCTATTGTAAAAATGAAGCAGAAGAAAAGCATTTATTGTACTCATTTGGAGCAGTGATTTCTACTCTAGAGAAATCAGCAAGCCTCTATTACTCTAGGCTTATGGCCAGGTCTTTAAAATATTATTGTTATAGTAATATTTTTCCAACCATATTTGCTGTAATAGGATTTCACCTTAATTTGTTCTCTTGCCACAATGCAAATCAACAAACTATAGGACTAGAAGAAAATCAATCAAAAACGAACTCAGGAAATTGAGACCATCTACTCTAAAACTGCATTCCTTGGAGATATTTAAAAGACACTACATGTACACATGCACGCATGCACACACACACGCACACGTGCACAAGGAACAAGGATAGAGGATATGGGAGAAACCTGTAAACATACTTCTTGTTCCCCTCAGTGATTCACGATGGACCTTAACATATGAAAGACTTTGAGCAGCCCTAAAGTAAAGAAACTGATCAGTTTTGAATCACTCAGCATTCCTCGACTTATTGGAGCAAAGCCTTGATGAACCCAGAGATGAATCAAGTTGTGCAGACTGAACATCAGAAACTCTGATCTTGTATATTCCCCTCATTCGAGTGATAAGGAAGCTGGAGGTAATGTGGAATCGTGTAACACGCACAGAGTTTGAAATTTTTTTTTTTTTTTTTTTTTTTTTTTGAGACAGAGTCTTGCTCTGTCTCCCAGGCTAGAGAGCAGTGGCGCCATCTCGGCTCACTGCAAGCTCCGCCTCCAGGGTTCACGCCATTCTCCTGCCTCAGCCTCCCAAGTAGCTGGGACTACAGGCGCTTGCCATCACGCCCGGCTAATTTTTGTATTTTTAGTAGAGACGGGGTTTCACCGTGTTAGCCAGGATGGTCTCGATTTCCTGACCTCGTGATCCGCCCACCTTGGCCCCCCAAAGTGCTGGGATTACAGGAGTGAGCCACTGCGCCCAGCCCAGAGTTTAAAATTAACATGACCTGGTGCTGGCTTTCTTCTCTACCACCTAGGAGTTTGAGGCAAACAAGTAAGTTTACCTCTTGGAGCCGTGTCTCTTCCAACAAAACTTCTTTTAGCACTTGCTATGTGCCAGGCATTGTTATAGTCACTTGGGATATATGAGGGGACAAAAAAAAGACCTGAATCCCTGCTGTAAGATGCATAAAAATACCGACATCTCATAGCTATCATAAGGCTGAAATGGGGGATAGTTTTCAAGCATCTATCATGTTGTCAGTCTTAATAATTTTAAACAAACAAACAAAAAGCTATCAAATTTTTAAAGGAGGTAATGAGCTCATTCTACCAGAAGAAATCGGGTGCTACTGGTGTCTCCCGACTTCCCACATGCCACAGAATCTTCCTGGTTTATTATCCTATCGTCCAGATTTTTCCTACCAAAAGCTACAAATCACTGTACCAGTACTCAGTTATTTAAAAAAAGAATATGATAAATTTATTAATGAGCCAAGAAGAAACTATATTGCTGGAGAAACTTGAAGAATGGACTTCAAAA